>NC_000009.12:126970552-127595552 GCF_000001405.40 Homo sapiens | reverse complement strand
GCCCCGCTAATTTTTGTATTTTTAGTAGAGATGGGTTTTCACCATGTTGCCCAGGCTGGTCTCCAACTCTGACCTCAAGTGATCCACCTGTCTCGGCCCCAAAGTGCTGGGATTACAGGCATGAGCCACCGTGTCTGGCCTTCTTTTCTTTTTCTTAAAGACAGCCTCAGGCTACTGAAAGCTTTTCTAGGTCTTCTTTACAAGACACTGGTGCTGGGGGCGGATGATGAGGACACCCAGGGTGCCCTGTCATAACTGGAGAAGGCAAAGTACTCCTAAGTCAGGATCTTACCCTGCCATGATGCTCCCTGGATCTAATGATGGGCCACCCATCTTCCTAGCCACCCACGGAGCCAGGGAGGATCCAGGTTTTCTGGGGCCTGAAGCTTCAACAATTTGGATGGCTCACACCTGTAATTCCAAAGCTTTGAAAGGTCAAGGTGAGAGGATCACTGAGCCTCTACGACCTGCCTATATTTTGCTGTGAAAAGCAGAGGCGCCTCCTGCTAACTCAACATTAAACACAGGTTGTCTGCCCTGCCAACCTCCTCCCTCCCTCCCTCTCCTTTTGTCTCCCCACCCCCGCTTTTCCCCACTCACCCCTCTCCCTGACAGCAGCACCTCCCCGCCTCCCCCTACAGAATCAGGGCCCAGAGCCCTCCCCACAGTCTGAGCAGGACTCCTAGCTTCTGGGGAGCCGGCAGTTTGAGCTCCGAGTCTGGCCCTGCCCTGTTGGTGACCCGGGGCAGTCACTTCTCTCTGGACATCAGTTTCCCCATTTCCCATGCACACATAACCTGGGCCCTGGGCTCCTTGTCCTGAAGCACAGTGGATGTCTCTGGCTCTCCCCTAAGTCAGGGAGCAGGTAGACAAGGGGGCTCATGCTGGGGCCCTGGCTCCCCTCCTCACCATCTGCGGCTGCCCTGGCGGTATCTCAGGTGCCTGTCATTGGGTAAGCAGGGGAGGCAGGCTTGGGGTCTCTGGTCTGATTGTCCATAAGCTCGGGGCTTACTGCCCAGACCTTTGGAGCATTCCCATGCAGGGTCTCATGTAGGCCTCCCTCCCCCACTTCAAGGGACTCCCCCCTCTGATGCTCTGTCTCCTTTTTTTTTTTGAGATGGAGTTTCACTCTTGTTGCCCAGGCTGGAGTGCAATGGCATGATCTCAGCTTACTGCAACCTCCGCCTCCCAGGTTCAAGCAATTCTCCTGCCTCAGCCTTTCAAGTAGCTGGGATTACAGGCATGCGCCACCACGCCCCGCTAATTTTTTATTTTTAGTAGAGATGGGGTTTTTTTCTCCATGTTGGTCAGGCTGGTCTCGAATTCCTGACCTCAGGTGATCCACCTGCCTCCACCTCCCAAAGTGCTGGGATTACAGGCGTGAGCCACCATGCCCAGCCGATGCTCTGTCTCCTTAACCCTCAAATTCTTCCCTCACTTCCTTCCAGGCTATAACCCTTCCCCTACCTGTTGATACATCCCCTATGAATACATCCTAGCCAAGCCCTGGGTACATGGAGGTGATGTTTAGGCAGATGTTTAATACACAAAACAAAAATAAGGGCAGGGGAAAAAAAAGGAAAACCAAACCAAACCAAACAAAAATAGCAGCTATTTTGCTGAATGGATCCCCAACCATCTGAAAACATCTGGGCAGGGCATGGTGGTTCACATCTGTAGTCCCAGCACTTTGGGAGGCCAAGGCAGGAGGATTACTTGAGGCCAGGAGTTGGAGACCAGCCTCCACAATATAGCAAGATAGAGCCCATGTCTCTACAAAATAAAAATAAAAAATTAGTGGGGCATGGGGGTGTGAGCCTGTAGTCCCAGCTACTTGGGAGGCTAAGGCAGGAGGATTGCTTGAGCCCAGGAGTTTGAGAGTTCAAGGCTGCGGTGAGCTATGATGCTATGATGATGCCCCTGCACTCCAGTCTGGGTACAGAGTGAGATGCTGTCTTAAAAAAACAAACAAGGCTGGGCGCAGTGGCTCATGCCTGTAATCCCAGCAATTTGGGAGGCCGAGGCAGGTGGATCACCTGAGGTCAGGAGTTCAAGACCATCCAGCCTGATCAACATGGTGATACCCCATCTCTACTAAAAATACAAAACTTAGCCGGGCATGGTGGCGCAAGCCTGTAATCCCAGTTACTTGGGAGGCTGTGGTAGAAGAATCACTTGAACCTGGGAGGCAGAGGTTGCAGTGAGCCGAGATCACGCCATTGCACTCCAGCCTGGGCAACAAAAGCAAAACTCTGCCTTAAAACAAACAAACAAACCAGCTTTAAGTCACAATTACACAACTTAAGCTAAACAAAATAAAAATGAAGACATCTGTTTGTGACATCCCACCCTGGAGCCTAAGGATGCTGCTGCCTTCTGAGGCAACAAGTGCAGGAACCGAAGAGTTGTTTGGGCATATTTAGAAGCAGTTCTCCAGCCAGATGCAGTGGCTCATGCCTGTAATCCCAACACACTGGGAGGCCAAGGCAGGCGGATTGCTTGAGCCCAGGAGTTTGAGACCAGCCTGGGCAACATGATGAAACCCTGTCTCTACGAAAACAAGACAAAATGAAAACTAGCCAGGAATGGCAATGCTATAGTCCCAGCTACTCAGGAGGCTGAGGTGGGAGGATCGCTTCAGCCTAGGTAGGTCAAGGCTGCAGTGAGCTGTGATGGCGCCACTGCACTCCAGCCAGCATGGCAGAGCGAGACCCGGTCTCAAAAAGAAAAAAAAAGAGAGAGAGAAAAGAAAAAGGAGCAGTTCTCTGCCCTGTTTCACTGAAAGGCTACAAACATACCCTACCCCCCGCCCCCACCGCCCTGCCACACCCCCAGTCTTTCTGCTGGCAGGTCGCATGGAGGAGGGGTGAAGGGCATTATGTTTTGTGTTCTGGGGTTATAGCTTACATTTTTTTTCCCTTGGCGTTTTCTTCAGTTGTGTGTGTGTGTGTGTATACATATACGCTTTTTTTTTTAACCAGACCTCTTTACTCTGAAGATGAATGTTGGGCCATTTGCTCTCTTGGTATGAGATCCCCTATTATCGATACTGCTAGCCCCAATTTCTTTTTTTTTTTTTTTTTTGAGACAGAGTCTCGCTCTGTCACCCAGGCTGGAGTGCAGTGGTGTGATCTCGGCTCACTGCAGCCTCTGCCTCCTGGATTCTAGCGATTCTTCTGCCTAAGCCTCCTGAGTAGCTGGGACTACAGGCATGTGCCACCACACCCAGCTAATTTTTGTATTTTTAGTGGAGATGAGGTTTCACCATGTTGGCCAGGCTGGCCTCAAACTCCTGACCTCAAGTGATCTGCCTGCCTCAGCCTCCCAAAGTGCTGGGATTACAGGCGTGAGCCACCGTGCCCGGCCTGGCCCAACTTTTGACCCTCATTATGCTAAGAGTGTCTGTCTTCCTCTCTGAGAAACAGGATCAAGTCCTCTGATAGTGCTATGTCCATCAGCATTCCTCATTCCCGGGTTTTCCCTCCGACTGTAGGAGAAATCCTGCAAAGATATAATTGGACCACAGTGCAGTTGAGTTCTATGCAGTTTTTTCACTACATTTTAATGCACAAGTAATAACAGTATACCTTTGTTTTAAAAAATCTCAAAAAGGAGGCTGGGCATGGCAGCTCACGCCTGTAATCCCAGCACTTTGGGAGGCCGAGGTGGGCAGATCATGAGGTCAGGTGTTCGGACTAGCCTGACCAACATGGTGAAACCCTGTCTGTACTAAAAATACAAAACTTAGCCGGGTGTGGTGACGCGCGCCTGTAATCCCAGCTACTCGGGAGGCTGAGGCAGGAGAACTGCTTGAACCCAGGAGGCGGAGGTTGCAGTGAGCCGAGATCACACCACTACACTCCAGCCTGGGCGACAAAGTAAGACTGTCTCAAAAAACAAAAAAATCTCAAAAAGGAAATGAAAAGAATTCTTCATACTAAAACTTGTGGGACACAGTTAAAGCAGTACTCAGATGAAAATTGACAGCCTTAAATACTTTCATTTTTAATAAAAGACCAAAAATAAATGAACTGGCCAGGCAGGGTGGCTCACGCCTGTAATCCCAGCACTTTGGGAGGCCGAGGTGGGCAGATCACGAGGTCAGGAGATCGAGACCATGGCGAAACCCCGTCTCTACTAAAAATACAAAAAATTAGCTGGGTACGGTGGCGGGCACCTGTAGTCCCAGCTACTCAGGAGTCTGAGGCAGGCGAATGGCGTGAACCCGGGAGGCAGAGCTTGCAGTGAGCCGAGATCGCACCACTGCACTCCAGCCTGGGCAACAGAGCGAGACTCTGTCTCAAAATTAAATAAATAATAAATAAACCAAGTATTCAGCCTAGGAAATTAGAAAAACAGCAATACAATAAGAGGTGAAAAATAAAATGAAGCCTGACATTAATGAAATAGAAAAAAGATACTAAAAGAATAAATAAATGGGCCAGGTGCAGTGGCTCATGCCTGTAATCCCAGCATTTTGGGAGGCCGAGGTGGGTGGATCACTTGAGGTCAGAGTTCAAGACCAGCCTGGCCAACATGGCAAAACCCCATCTCTACTAAAAATACGAAATTAGCCAGGCGTGGTGATGCCTGCACCTGTAATCCCAGTTACTCCGGAGGCTGAGGCAGGAGGTTAAACTGGGAGGCAGAGGTTGCAGTTAGCCATGATTGTGCCACTGCACTCCAGCCTGGGTGACAGAGAGAGACTCTGTCTCAGAAAAAGAAAAAAGTCCCGGCATGGTGGCTCACGCCTGTAATCCCAGAACTTTGGGAGGCCAAGGTAGGCAGATCACTCCAGATCAGGAGTTCAAGACCAGCCTGACCAACATGATGAAACCTCTGTCTCTACTAAAAATTCAAAAATTAATTGGGTGTGGTGGCAGGTGCCTGTAATCAAGCTACTAGGGAGGCTGAGGCAGGAGAATCGCTTGAACCTGGGAGGCGGAGGTTGCAATAAGCCAAGATAGTGCCACTGCACTCCAGCCTGGGTGACAGAGTGAAACTCTGTCTCAGGAAAAAAAAAAAGGAAAAGAAAGAAAGAAAAAAAGAATTGCCTAGATCCCCCATCTCCCCTTTCCCCTATGAAGAAGGATATTTAAGTGTCTGTACCTCATGGGGCTATTAGATGGTCCTTCTGCAATTCCCCTGTGCTTTGCACATTGAATACAATTGTATGCTTTTCTCTCCTATTCATCTTTCTATCATAAGTTCACTTCAGCTAACTTTCACCCCTACAAGAACAATCACATGCCCGATGATGTGGCATGAATAATAAGGATGAATGAGGACTCAGGGCTGGGATGTTCCAGCTAGAAATGAAATTTGCGGGCAGAAAAAACGGAGACCCAGAGAGGGAAAGAGTCTTATATGTGATTTCAGAATGATCGTCTATCACAGAATGACTGTCCAGCCAGAAGAGAATCTACTTAAATTCCACAGACCTGGAAAACGGACCCAGCGGGAGATTATTTTCCAGAATCAGGCGCCACCTGCAGATTGTCAGGAGCAACAGCAGGAGCCTGAGGGTCAGGACTCAGGTGATGGAATCATTATTTTTTTTCCCCACATGAGGCTCCGATATGGCTCAGCACAGCACTGTTACTAATCTTGGTTTGGGTTAAAATTTTGACATTTTGTCCATCATGGAATTTTTCTGCATTAATTTTGAATTTTTTTTTCTTTTCGAGACGCAGTTTCACTCTGTCGCCAGGTCGGAGTGCAGTGGTGCGATTTCAGCTCACTGCAACCTCCACCTCCCGGGTTCAAGTAATTCTCCTGCCTCAGCCTCCCGAGTAGCTGGGACTACAGGCGCCTGCCACCACGCCCAGCTAATCTTTGTATTTTTAGTAGAGACGAGGTTTCACCATGTTGGCCAGGATAGTCTCGATCTCTTGACCTCGTGATCTGCCCCAGCCTCCCAAAGTGCTGGCATTACAGGTGTGAGTCACTGTGCCCAGCCTAATTTTGAATTTTAAACAATTATTTGTCTCGATTACTGAGGTCTTTGGTACCCCCTAAAATTTTGCACCCTAAATTTTGAGTACTTCACTCACTTCCTATTCTGCAACTTGCCAAAACTTGGAATTTTCATCCCCCATCCCAGTACTGCCATCTCACCAGAGGACCTCACCTCTTCCATAAGACTACAGGCAAGAACACCAGCCCAGCTGCCCTCCTTCACCCCCCTCCCCGCCTCCCCTCCCCCCTCTCTCCTTCCCTATCCCTCCCTCCTTCCCTCCTCCCTCCCTCCCTTTCTCCCTTCCTTCCTGGCAGGCAGCTATGTTAAACATTCAGGGAGTATATCTGCCCTTAGACAGCTGTTAAATAAGGAGACACCTGCAAATGCAATAAAGAGTTACAAGAGCTTTAAATGGCCAAGGGAGGGATTGTATCTGGGATTATGGGAGGGAAAGAGCCTGGATGGGCTTCAGCCCAGTGCCCATGTATACCTGCTGCTTTATTCATGTTTGAAACACAATAATAAGTTATCTAGCACTTGCTATGTGCCTGGACAGAGTGTTCTATAAGCTTTAGCTCATCAGATCAACAGACACCCCTGTGATAGAGACACCACTTTTACCTTCATATACGAATGAGGAAACAGAGCTCAGAGACGTTAAGTCATTCGCTCAAAGTCCCTTAGCTGGTAAGTGGCAGAGCAATGATTTAATCCGAGGTCTGCCTGACTCAAAGCCCATTCTAGTCATCATTTTGCCATATGCATTCATTCAACAAATATTTCTGCATGCCTACTATGTGCCAGGACCTGTTCTAGGTGCTGGGGATATAGCCATGAAGAAAATGGCTAAAGATTTATCTCCCATGCAGCATTCATTCTGGCAAGGGAGGACTAGCAATAAACAACATAATTTCAGATAGAGTAAAAAGAGTTATGAAAAAACCAAAGCAGGCCGGGCACAGTGGCTCATGCCTGTAATCCCAGCACTTTGGGGAGGCTGAGGTGGGAGGATCACTTGAGGTCAGGAGTTTGAGACCAGCCTGGCCAATATGGTGAAACCCTATCTCTACTTAAAAAAATAAATAAATAAATACAAAAAAAAAATTAGCCAGGCATGGTGGCATGCACCTGTAATCCCAGCTACTCAGGAGGCTGAGTCAGGAGGATCGCTTGAGCCCAGGAGGTGGAGGTTGCAGTGAGCCAAAATTGTGCCACTGTACTCCAGCCTGGGCGACAGAGCTGGACTCTGTCTCAAAAATAAATAAATAAATAAGTAACCAAAGCAGGGGGTAATGGGAGAGAATAAGTGGGTGGTCAGGAAGGCTCTCTGAAGAGGGGCATTTAAGATGACACATGAATACTAAGAAATCTGCCAAGTGGCTATTGAGAGGAGTGTTCCAGGCAGAGGGAACAGGGAGTGCAAAGGACCTGGGGCAGGAGCAAGCTGGGCACGTTTGTGGAACCAACAGAAGGTTGATGTGACTGGAACACAGTGAACAAAGGGGAGGGAGGGAGGCAAGGAGGTCTAGGGCCAGGTCACACAGGGCTTAGTAGGTGATGAGGAGGTTGGATTTCATCCTGAAAGCAGTGGAAAGCCATTGGAGGGACTTAAGCAGGAAGGTGATGGGATGTGATTAACATTTGTAAAAGATCACTCTAGTCTATGGTTTTTCAACCTTAGTACTACTGACATTTTGGTCCAGATATTCTTGGTTGTCCAGGGGACTGTGCTGTACACTATAGGGTATCTAGCAGCATCCCTGGCCTCCACCCACTAGATGCCAGTAATACAACCACAGTTGGGACACCCAAAGTGTCACCAGGCATGCCAAATGTCCCCTGGAGGGAAAACTTACCTCCAGCTGAGAACCACTACTGTACTCATAAAAGCAAAGAAGGGCTGTGGAAGTGTTCCTCATTGATGGAGCCTACAAGACAGGACAACTAAATGCAATATCTAATCTTAGGCTGACTAGATCCTGCACTATGGAATGCTACAAAGGGCACTATTGGGTCAATTACTAAAATAAGATTTTGGGCTGGGCACAGTGGTTCACATCTGTAATCCCAACACTTTTGGAGAATTACTTGAGCCTAGGAGTTTGAGACCAGCTTGGGCAACATAGTGAGACCCCCATCTCTATTAAAAATTAAAACATTAGGCTGGGTGTAGTGGCTCACACCTCTAATCCCAGCACTTTGGGAGGCTGAAGCAGGCAGATCACCTGAGGTCAGGAGTTTGAGACCAGCCTGGCCAACATGGTGAAACCCTGTCTCTACAAAAAATACAAAAACTAGGCAGGGTGTGGTAGCTCACACCTGTAATCCCAGCACTTTGGGTGAGGCAGGTGGATCACCTGAGGTCAGGAGTTTCAGACCAGCTTGGCCAACATGGTGAAACCCGTCTCTACTAAATATACAAAAATTAGCTGGGCATGGTGGCATGTGCCTGTAATCCCAGCGACTCAGGAGGCTGAGGCAGGAGAATTGCTTGAACCCAGGAAGCAGAGGTTGCGGTGAGCCGAGATTGCGCCATTGCACTCCAGCCCGGGCGACAGGAGCGAAACTCCGTCTCAAAAAAAAAAAAAAAATTAGCTTGGGTTGGTGGCACATGCCTGTAATCCCAGTTACTTGGGAGGCTGAGGCAGGAGAATCGCTTGAACCTGGGAGGTGGAGGTTGCAGTGAGCCGAGATCTCGCCATTGCACTCCAGCCTGGGCAACAGAGTGAGACTCTGCCTCAAAAAAAAAAAAAAAAGGAAAGAAAAGAAAAGAAATGAGAGGACAGAGGGGGCTTGAGGGTGAGCCCACACTGAACACCTGGGTAGGGATGCTGGTGACAGACATGGGGAGGTCTAGGTGAGAAGCAGGACCTGTCCCCATTTCACCCCGCCAGAGTCTGGAATTCCTTCCACAGCTGTGTCCAGTCACCACCAGGGGGCAATGGGTTCCTTTATGACCAAAGAGCCAGCCTGAATCCTGGAGCAGGGCTGGAGTCAACAGTCCACTGCAGGTCCAGGGAGCGGATGGGGATCTGGGGGTGCCTCGGTGGCCTCTGAGCCACCAGGACACTGTGCTCCTTGCAGCATAATCTTGTGGGAGGGGAAGGGAAAGAAATTAAATCCTAAAACCCTAGAATCTGAAAACTGTCACTCTAGCCATTGCAGGGTTTCCCTGAGGACAGAGGCAGACTCCTTAAGATGGCCCTAGGGTCCTAGGGTCTTGCTGCTGGCCCTCGCCTGCCTCCACTCGACCCCAGCACCCTGGAGAGGGACTGGGCTCCCTAAGAAGGCACTGTACACACACACACACGCTCGCACACACACGCACACACCCGCACACACAAGCGCACACACACACGCACACACAAGCACACGCACACACACCCGCACACACACTCTCACACATGCACACGCACTCACACACACGCACACACACATACACACGTTCTTCAGCTAACGCTGTCTCCTCCCCTGGGCATCCTACACATCCCTCAGGAGTCCTTCCTCTAGGACCCTTTCCTGACTCAGGCCCTGGGTCAGGGCTATTCCCCCTACTTCTCCCATCACACCCCCCTTTTCCTAAATGTTAGTAGTCAGTCTACCTGGCTGGCTCCTCAGCTCATCTGTGGCTCTGAAGGCTCAAAGAATATTTGTTGAATGAATGAAAGAATGAGTGAAGGCCTGGTGCTGTGGTTCATGCCTGTAATCCCAGCACTCTGGAAGCCTGTGGCATGGGGATCGCTTGAGGCCAGGAATTTGAAACCAGGCTGGGTAACATAGTGATACCCCATCTCTACAGAAATAAAAAGTAAAATTAGCTGGGTACAGTGGTGTGCACTTGTAGTCCTAGCTACTCAGGAGGCTGGGAGCAGGAGGATCGCTTGAGCCCAGGAGTTGAAGGTTACAGTGAGCTATGATTGCACCACTGCTCTCCAGCCTAGGGGACAGAGCAAGACTCTGTCTAAAAATAAAAATAAGAAAAGAAACAGTGAGTGAATCTAAGATTGCAAGAAGAGAACATCTCATTTCATCAACCTGTGGTTTTGATGTCAGAGACCTGGGTTCAAGTGAGGGCATTGCCACTTGTGAGCTGTGTGACCTTGGCAACTTTCTTAACCTTTCTAAGCTCCAGTCTCCTCATCCAGTTACCACAGTTATTGAACAATTTCAATGATAAGATGCATGTCGATCCCTTTGCTCAAAATCTCCATATAGTATATGCTCAATAAAAACAAGAGGGGGGGCAGGGCGCAGTGGCTCATGCCTGTAGTCCCAGTATTTTGGGAGGCTGAGGTGGGAGGATTGTTTGAGCACAGGAGTTCAAGACCAGCCTGGGCAACAAAGCGAGACCTCATCTCTATTTAAAAATAAAAATAAAAAGCAAGAGGTTTTCACTGTGTGTGTGTGTGGTTACAAAAAGGTAAGCTCTGTGTGTGTGTGTACGCAATAATATCTGTTTTTGTAGACATAGAAAAATGTATATATGGAAGGCTGTATAATAAACCAATAACCAAATTATTGTTAGCTAATGTCAATGAGTGAAACTGGAGGAGTAAGGTAAAAATGTTTCTATTGTACTTTATAGATTTCTGTAGTTAGACGTCTTTTTTTTTTTTTTTTTTTTGAGATGGCATCTCACTCTGTCGCCAGGCTGGAGTGCAGTGGCGCGATCTCGGCTCACTGCAACCTCTGCCTCCTGGGTTCAAGCAATTCTCCTGCCTCAGCCTCCCGAGTAGCTGGGATTACAGGCGCCCGCCACCACGCCTGGCTAAGTTATGTATTTTTAGTAGAGATGGGGTTTCATCATGTTGGCCAGGATGGTCTCCATCTCTTGACCTCGTGATCCATCTGCCTCGGCCTCCCAAAGTGCTGGGCTTACAGGTGTGAGCCACTGCACTCAGCCAATGTCTTAATGTCTTACATTAAGCATGTTTTACTTTTTTTTTTTTTTTAAGATAGGATCTCACTGTCACCCAGGCTGGAGTGCAGTGGCGCAACCACAGCTCACAGCAGCCTTGAACTCCTGGGCTCAAGTGATTCTCCCACCTCAGCCTCCTGAGTAGCTGGGACTACAGTTGCCACCATACCAGGCTAATTTTTTTTTTTTTTTTTGTAGAGGTGGGATCTTGCCCAGGCTTGTGTTAAACACTGGCCTCTTCCCAAAACATTGGGATTACAAAGCATGCACAGCATGTTTTACTTGTAAAATAAATAACAGAAAGCTTAACTTTTTTTTTTTGAGACAGAGTCTTGCCCTGTCACCCAGGATGGAGTGCAGTGGCGCAATCTCGGCTCACTGCAAGCTCTGCCTCCCGGGTTCATGCCATTCTCCTGCCTCAGTCTCTGGAGTAGCTAGGAGTACAGGCACCCGCCACCACGCCCGGCTAATTTTTTGTATTTTTTTTTTTTTTTTAGTGGAGACGGAGTTTCACCGCATTAGCCAGGATGGTCTTGATCTCCTGACCTCGTGATCTGCCTGCCTTGGCCTCCCAAAGTGCTGGGATTACAGGCGTAAGCCACTGCACCTGGCCCAGAAAGCTTAAATTTTTTTAAGTATAGTAAGTATATGAAACAATGGTCTACAACATTAGTCATTAGTCATAAGGGAAATGTAAAACAAAACCACCATGAAATACCGCTGCTTATCACCAGAAAGGTTAAAATTAAAGGTCTGACAATACCAAATGTTGGCAAGAATGTGGAGCAAAAATGTTGGCAAGAATGTGGAGCAACTGGAACTCTCATACATTGTTTGTGAGGGTGTAAAATGGTAGAAACATTTTGAAAAAGTGTTTGACAGTTTCTAGTAATAAGAACACTTCCTCTATGAACCAGAAATTCCACTCCTAGCTGTTTACCCAGGAGAATGAAAATATGTGTCCATAAAAAGACTTGTATACAAATGTTCATAGCATCTTTGTTTATAATAGCCAAAACTGGAAGTAACCCAAGTGTCCATCAGAAGGAGAATGGGTAAACACCTTGTGGTGGATCTGTACAGTGGAACCCTAAACAGCAATAAAAGAAACAAACTAATACAGGCAACAACACGGGTCAATCACAGACACATAGTGTGATGCAAAAAAAGCTAGACACAAAAAAATAGATTGCATTGTTCTTTTTTTTTTTGAGACAGAGTTTCGCTCTTGTCACCCAGGCTGGAGTGCAATGGGGCAATCTCGGCTCATTTCAACCTCTGCCTCCCGGGGTCAAGTGATTCTCCTGCCTCAGCCTCCGGAGTAACTGGGATTACAGGCATGCGCCACCATGCCTGGCTAATTCTCGTATTTTTAGTAGAGGCGGGTTTTCACCATGTTGGTCAGGCTGGTCTCGAACTCCTGACCTCAGGTGATCCACCCACCTCAGCCTCCCAAAGTGCTGGGATTACAGGCATGAGCCACCATGCCTGGCCTGCGTTGTTCTTTAATTCCATTTTTTTTTCCATAAGAAATCATATGCAAAGAGTTTAATTCCATTTATAGAAGTTATTGGCTGGGCATGGTGGCTGGTGCTTATAATCCCAGCACTTTGGGAGGCCGAGGCAGGAGGATTGCTTAAGCCCAGGAGTTCAAGACTGGACAACATAGTGAGACCCTGTCTGTACAAAAAATAAAAAACTTAGCAGGGCATGCTGGTGCATGACTATAGTCCCAGCTACTCGGGAGGCTGAGAGGATGGGAGGATTGCTTGAGTCTGGGAGGACTGAGGTGGGAAGATCACTCAAACTGGGGAGGCTGAGACTGCAGTGAACCATGATTGTGCCACCACAATCCAGCCTGGTTGACAGAGTGAGACCCTGTCTAAAAAAAAACAAAAATTACATATGCATGAAATTCTATAAACTTAATATAAATGGAATGAAACTGACTTATTGTGATAAGAGTCAAAATAGTTGAAGCAATATGGCCTGAAACAGGAGAGCTTTCTGGGTCCAGGAAATGTTTCATGTCTTGACCCGGGTGATGGTTATACGCCTGTATATACAGATTAAAACCTCATCAAGGTATGCACAAATGCTCACAAGTGTTTTATTTGACTTTTTCTGTTTTTTGTTGGTTTGTTTTGTTTTGTTTTTGTTTTTGAAACAGCATCTTGCTCTGTCGCCCAGGCTGGAGTGCAGTGGCACTATCTCCGCTCATTGCAACCTCCGCCTCCTGGATTCAAGCAATTCTCCTGCCTCTGGAGTAGCTGGGACTACAGGTGCACATCACCACACCCAGCTAATTTTTGTATTTTTAGTAGAGATGGGGTTTCGCCATGTTGGCCAGGCTGATCTTGAGCTCCTGAACTCAAGTGATCTGCCAGCCTTGGCCTCCCAAAGTGCTGGGATTACAGGCATGAGCCACTGTGCCCTGCCATAATGATGAGTTTTTTTTAAAAAGCTAGATAAAAAAGAGTAATACTATATTATTCAATTTCTATAAAATTCTAGAAAATAGCAGCTAATCTATAGTGATGGAAATCAGCATAGTGGTTGCCTGAGGGAGGGAGAGAGGGATTACATGGGATGAGAGGGAGGGAGGGATTACATGGGGAGAGAGGGAGGGAGGGATTACATGGGGAGAGAGGGAGGGAGGGATTACATGGGATGAGAGGGTGGGAGGGATTGCATGGGGAGGGAGGGAGGGATTACATAGGGAGAGAAGGAGGGAAGGATTACATGGGGAGAGAGGGAGGGAGGGATTACATGGGGAGAGAGGGAGGGAGGGATTACATGGGATGAGAGGGAGGGAGGGATTACATGGAACGAGAGGAAGGGAAGGATTACATGGGGAGAGAGGGAGGGAGGGATTACACAGGGAGAGAGGGAGGGACGGATTACATGGGGAGAGAGGAAACTTTGGGGGTGATACATATATTCATTATCTTGACTGTGGCGATGGTTCTATGGATGGACACATCTGCCCCAAATCATCAAATTTTACTTTTTTTTTGAGACGGAATTTCACTCTTGTCGCCCAGGTTGGAGTGCAATGGTGCAATCTCTGCTCACTGCAACCTCTGCCTCCCGGGTTCAAGTGATTCTCCTGCCTCAGCCTCCTGAGTAGCTGGGATTACAGGCATGTGCCACCACGCCTGGCTAATTTTTGTATTTTTAGTAAAGACGGGGTTTCACCATATTGGCCAGGCTGGTCTCAAACTCCCGACCTCAGGTGATCCACCTGTCTCGGCCTCCTAAAGTATTGGGATTACAGGCATGAGCTGCCGTGCCTGGTCAAATTGTACATTTTGAATGAGTGTGGGTTATCTGTCAGTTATACTTACATAAAGCTGCCAAAACATTTTTAAAACTCATTGCGACTGGTGCATTTGATAATATGTAAATTAGGCTTCAACAAGTAAGAGAAAAAGGAAGAAACTGTACTCCTGAGACTGTTTCCCAGGCTATCACTTCTAGCCTTGCCCAGGCCCCATGGATCCTTCTTCCTCACTCAGAGAACCCCCCAGAGAATTTCTACAAATCAGCACTTGGCAGCCCGGCTGGTGCACCTGGCACACACAGCTACTTTCCCAGTGAATCTGTTCTGTCTCCGATGGCCTAGTTCAAACACCTCCTCCTCCAAGAAGCCATCAGGCCTCGTGCCACACCCTCCCTGCTGGCTCAAACCTCTATCATGGCCCCATCCACCTTGTAACATCAGAATGAGAATCCAGTGCAGGCTGGGCTTGGGGGCACACACCTGTAATCCCAGCATTTTAGGAGGCTGAGGCAGGCAGATGGCTTGAGTCTAGGAGTTCAAGACCAGCCTGGGCAATTACATCTCTTAAAGAAAAAAAAAAAAAAGAATTGATGTAGGCTCTTCCCATCTTTCACACTAGATGCTGACAATCATCACGAGAGAGGGTAGCTGCCATTTGATGAGTGGGCCAGGTGCCATCCGCGGATGCCCTCATTGCCAGCCTACAATAACCAGGAGAGTGGAAATTACTGGCTCCATTTTACAAAAAAGGATGCCCAGAGTGGTGAGAGCCGATCCGAGGCCTCACAGCTGTAATGAAGTTGAGGAACTTCCACCCGCCACTGCCCACTCACCCCGAGGGCGGCCAGAAGCTTCCCTGAATGGGCAGAGAGGAAGGACTTTGCATCTTCAAAACTCTTCAGAGTTATGCAAAGATGCCTGACAGGGAGGAAGGGGAGCTACTTTAAGGTAAAAGGCATTCCCTTGAAGATTTCCAGAGCAGGGCATCCTTGGAGAAAGTAGGTAGCATAGGTAGAAAACCAGGCTCGGCCGAGTGCAGTGGCTCACGCCTGTAATCCCAGCACTTTGGGAGGCCGAGGCGGGCGGATCACTTGAGGCCAGGAGTTCGAGACCAGCCTGGCCAACATGGTGAAACCCCATCTGTACTAAAAATACAAAAATTACCCGGGTGTAGTGGCATGCACCTGTCATCCCAGTTACTCGGGAGGCTGAGGCATGAGAATCACTTGAACCCGGGAAGTGGAGGTTGCAATGAGCTGAGATCGCACCACTGGACTCCAGCCGTGGCTCCATCTCAAACAAAAACAAAAACAAACAAAAAAACCGACTTAGCACACTGGGAAGAATTTCACAAGGTCACAGTTGTTATGGTCCTCTCCACGATGTAACTGGACAGCAGAGGGGTCTCAGGCCTGGATTTGGGAGTACAGAGAATATTTCATCACCCTTGGCAGGACCAGCCACCTTGACAGGACACCTAGCATCCCTGGATTTCAGACACTAAATGCCAAGACCCCTCCCCTTGCCCCACACTCCCCCACTCCCACAAACACCAGACATAGTGGCGATGAAAACACCTCCGTAGACACATTTCCAAATGTCCCCTAGGAGGCGGCACCATCCCCGCCTCCTCACTCAGGGCTCCCTGCACAAATGCGTTGGGTGATGGGGGCTGAATCCAGCCCACACTGCACTTGCCAAGCCAGCTGGGGCCCTGGCACAAGACAGTCCCAGCCTGTTTTCACTGACTTTGCTAATTCTCACGGAGGCACCATGTGGTGTGGGAAGGCCCGGTCCTCGTAACCTCTCTGCTCCCAGGTCCCTGACCAGTCCTTAACACACAGTGGTCTTTGCTCACCTGCGGCCCAGCTCTGGGCTCTCCCCACAGCATCCTTTGCCTTGCCTCCCTCCCATCTTCCTCTGGGCCTTCTCTCTGCTCCTGCCCAGGAAACTGTGCTCTCAGGAGCGCAGGAGCCAGCTCTCAGCCCCCATCTCCTGGGCACTCACCGTACTCAGGAAATATGTTCTGAATTCAGGATTATCCTCATTCTACTGAGAAGACCTGGAGGACAGAAATCAGCAAGACCTAAAGGGGAGAGGAAGGAGGGCCAGGCTGGGGTGGAGGTGCCCCACCCGGGAGCCCGGGCGCAGCCTCACCGCAGGCTGATTCACAGAAGGCTCAGAGGGTTGCGAGGGCCCAATCGGCACTGTCATCCTGCCCAGGCTCTGAGTCACCAGCTGGTGAGGGGCAGCTGCAGCCCAGCAGGAAACAAAGTCTAGCATGGAAGAGGTGGGAGGGAGGTGGTGGGGCCTGAAACCCCGCCTGGCTGGCCTTAGAGGAACTGGGAGTGACTGTCCGGCACTGGCTCAGCAGCAAACAGCTCTCAAGGACGTGCTAGGAGTCAGGAACTGGGCCAGTTCCGGTCCCTTCCTTTTGGGGCTCTCACTCTGGAGGATGGGGTGGATGGGAGGTAAGACTTGTGCACAAGTCCCCAGGACACAAGGCACACGGGGTTCTTTTTTGTTTGTTTGTTTAGAGAGGAGGTTTTGCTCTGTCACTCAGGCTGGAGTGCAGCGGAATGATCATAGCTCAATGCAGCCTCAAACTCCTGGGCTCAAGGGATCCTCACTTCTTGACCTCCCAAAGCGTCATAGGCTTAAGGCACTACAGCACCCACTGACAAGGGGTTCTTTTTCTTTTTCTTTTCTTTTCTTTTTTTTTTTTAGGCGGAGTTTCACTCTTGTCACCCCGGCTGGACTGCAATGGCGAGATCTCGCCTCACTCTCACTGCAACCTCCGCCTCCCAGATTCAAGCGATTCTCCTGCCTCAGCCTCCTGAGTAGCTGGGATGACAGGGCCCCACCGCCATGCCCAGCTAATTTTTTTGTATTTTTAGTAGAGACGGTTTCACGATGTTGGCCAGGCTGGTCTTGAACTCCTGAGCTCAGATGATCCACCTGCCTCGGTCTCCTAAAGTGCTGGGATTACAGGTGTAAGCCATGGCGCCTGGCCACTTTTTTTTTTTTTTTTTTTTTTTGAGACCAAGTCTCACTCTGTTGCCCAGGCTGGAGTGCAGTGGCTGGATCTTGGCTCACTGCATCGTCTGCCTCCTGGGTTCAAGGGATTCCTCATGCCTCAGCCTCCCGGATGGGATTTCAGGCACAGGCCACTACGCCCAGCTAAATTTTTTTTTTTTTTTTTGAGATGGAGTCTTGCTCTGTCTCTCAGGCTGGAGTGCAGTGGCGCGATCTCAGCTCACTGCAACCTCCGCCTCCCAGATACAAGTGATTCTCCTGCTTCAGCCTCCCAAGTAGATGGGATTTCAGGCACCCACCACCACACCCAGCTAATTTTTTTGTGTTTTTAGTAGAGACAGGGTTTCACTGTGTTGGCCAGGCTGGTCTCAAATTCCTGACATTGTGAGCCACCTGCCTCAGCCTCCCAAAGTGCTGAGATTACAAGTGTGAGCCACTGTGACTGGCCCAACATTTTTTTTTAATTAAAAAATTAAAGCCAGGTGTAGTGGTGCATGCCTGTAGTCCCAGCTACTCAGGAGGCTGGGTCGGGAGGATTGTTTGAGCCCAGGAGTTTGAGGCTGCAGCAAGCCATGATCAACTCACTGCACTCCAGCCTGGGTTACAGAGCAAGAGGTCTTATCCCTGAAACAAACAAACAAACAAAAAGATATAGCAGAGAAGCCCATTTTGTGTTTGAGAAAGAGCTGAACTCTAGGATTGGATCTGGAGGATGGTGTGGGAAGCGTGGGGTATTGGATCTGGAGGATGGTGTGGGAAGCGTGGGGTATTGGATCTGGAGGATGGTGTGGGAAGCGTGGGGTATTGGATCTGGAGGATGGTGTGGGAAGCGTGGGGTATTGGATCTGGAGGATGGTGTGGGAAGTGTGGGGTATTGGATCTGGAGGATGGTGTGGGAAGTGTGGGGTATTGGATCTGGAGGATGGTGTGGGAAGTGTGGGGTATTGGATCTGGAGGATGGTGTGGGAAGCGTGGGGTATTGCAGCTCTAAAGTAGGCAGAGCTATGTATGGGTCTCATCCTCATCTCTTAATTTTTTTGGGGGGAGGGTGGACACAGTCTCGCTCTGTCACCCAGGCTGCAGTACAGTGGCGCAATCTCGGCTCACTGCAACCCCTGCCTCTCTGGTTCAAGTGATTCTTGTGCCTCAGCCTCCCGAGTAGCTGGGATTACAGACGTGCACCACCACGCCTGGCTAATTTTTGTATTTTTAGTAGAGACGGGCTTTCACCATGTTGGCCAGGCTGGTCTCAAACTCCCGACCTCAGGTGATCCGCCCACCTCGGCCTCTGAAAGTGCGTGAGCCACTGCACCTGGCCTCATCTGTTACTTTAAAATAAAATAACAATAAATTATTTAAAAATAGAGGCTGGGCATGGTGCCTTACACCTGTAATCCCAGCACTTTGGGAGGCCGAGGCAGGTGGATCACAAGGTTAGGAGTTTGAGACTAGTCTGGTCAACATGGTGAAACCCCGTCTCTACTAAAAATACAAAAATTAGCCGGACGTTGTGGCACTTGGGGAGGCTGAGGTTGCAGTAAGCTGAGATGGCGCCACTACACTCCAGCCTGGTGACAGAGCAAGACTCTGTCTTGGGAAAAAAAAAAATAGAGACGAGGTCTTGCTATGTTGCCCAGGCTGGTCTCAAACTCCTGGGCTCAAGCGATCCTCCTGCCTCAGCCTCCCAAAGTGTTGGGATTACAGGCGTGAGCCACTGTGCCTGATCTCATCCTCATCTCTTACTTATACCTCATGAAGCCTCAGTTTTCTCTCCTGTAAAGTGGGTGTTCCCCAAAAGTTGTGACCATTCAATGAGGCAGAAGCTATAAAGCACTGAACTGAGCACAGGAGCCTGCAATGAACGGGCGCTTCCATTATCTTTATCATCCTGAAGTTATTTCTCACTCCCTGCCTGTCTGCTGGCACTTCAGCGGCCCCCTGCCTGACTTCAGTGCTGTTGGATCCAACCACGGAATTTGTGCCTGGGAAGGCGGTAAGGCACCCCCTTCCTGGAAGTTTACAAGCAGAAGCTCTGCACAGTAGCAGAGGCCCACATGCACTATAGAAGGGACTTTGTACCCCATGATGTGTCATGGCCACTGCAGGCATGAGTGTTTCAGTATAGGTCTATGAACAAACCTGTGAGGTCCCAAGGACCAGGTGGGTCCCTCACTGTCACGTTCCCCTCCAGTGCCCAGGATAGTGTTCTGCACATCATACGTGCTCCCTCAAGCTCCCATTGCGACTGACGCTAGTGATGTCATGTCGAAGGAGGACAGTCCTGGTCCTCAGAGAGAAAGATTTATTTAAACAGATAATTGCACACACACAAAATCATGTTGAATGTGATGCTTGCCATGAAGGAGGAGTTTAGGACACTGGGGAGGGGGTGATAATAATGGCAGGCCTGACCTAGTAGGGGGGCAGGGTGCAGAAATGTCCTCTCTGATGAAGGGTAATTAGCTGAGGTTGAAGGCTGAATGCTGCTTGGTGGGGCAAGATGCGGGAAAAAAATCCATGTTTCACACAGCCAGGCACGGTGGCTCACGCCTGTAATCCCAGCACTGTGGGAGCCAAGGCGGGCGGATCACCTGAGCTCAGGAGTTTGAGACCAGCCTGATCAATATGGTGAAACCCTGTCTCTACTAAAAATACCAGAATTAACCAGGCATAGTGGCGGGTGCCTGTAATCCCAGCTACTCAGGAGGCTGAGGCAGGAGAATCGCTTGAGCCTGGGAGGTGGAGGTTGCAGTGAGCAGAGATCCCGCCACTGCACTCCAGCCTGGACGACAGAGCAAGACTCCATCTCAAAAGAAAAAAAAAAAAAAAAGGGCCCAGCACAGTGGCTCATGCCTGTAGTCCCAGCACTTTGGGAAGCTGGGGTGGGTGGATCACGAGGTCAGGAGTTCAAGACCATCCTGGCCAAGATGGTAAAACCCCGTCTCTACTAAAAATACCAAAATTAGCCAGGCGTGGTGGCAGGAACCTGTAATCCCAGCTACTTGAGAGTCTGAGGCAGAGAATTGCTTGAACCCAGGAGGCTGAGTTTGCAGTGAGCCGAGATCGCACCACTGCACTCCAGCCTGGGTGACAGAGCGAGACTCCATCTCAAAAAAAAAAAAAAAAGAATCCATATTTCATAAGCTGTGAGGTGGGATGGAGCAGGGCTAGTTTGAGGATGTGAAATCTCAGTGTGGCTAGAGAATGGGGAGGGGAAGTGGGGGGAGGGACTGGCAGGGGCCCCCAGTGCCATGTCTGGAGTCTTTCTCTCCAGGACAGTGGAAGCCACAGAAGGTTAGAAGTGGGGGAATGGCAAGGTCGTATCTGTGTTTACAACAATTCCTCTGGCTCCCAGTGAGGAATGCATGGGGGGCTGGAGGCAGGGAGGCCAGTTCCCTGGACTTGGGGTGGCAGTGGAGCTGGGGAGAGGTGACAGCTTGGCCACTGAAAGAGTAAGAGGGAGTTTAGCAGCCTGAGGCCAGGTGACAGACGGAACAGGCTGTAAGCTACGGACCTTTCCACCACCCAACAGTTAATAAAGAGAGGAGGTCCGGGCTGGGTGCCAGGGTCCCTTCTGCACAATGGGCCATGCCAACTGGGTAAACAGAGGTAGATACATGATATTCCTTAAAAACAAAATCCTGATTCATTCACACTCCTTGCTGTTTACTGGAGGTGTTTGTTTTTTTTCTCCTGGTCTATTTCAGGTTTGACAGGTTTGTGGGGAGAGCAGAGCTGGGACTCCGTGCCAACTGGGAGGGAGAGGGACTCATGGGGAGAGAAAGGGCCTCTCCTTCTTCCTACAGGACTAGCAAGGGGTCTTGGGCTGGGCTCCTGCGGAATGCTCTTGGGCAAATTGCTTTCCTTCTCTGAGTCTCGGTCCAAGCTCTGGCTCTGACCGTCTGAACCCTCCCTTTTAAAGCCAAATATTATTATTCTTCGCCCTTGGATCCCTGCTTCCAAATATGCTTGAGGATGTGGTGGGCAGGGGAGGGGCGGGGCAGGTTTGCAGGGAGGCAGTGGGCAGAAGCCACTTCCAGAGAAAGGCCTGATGAGTCAGGACCTGTAGGTGGCATTCTCTGTTCAAGAGGGGCAGGCCCAGCAAGTGGGCAGGGAGAACCTTTCCTCTCTGCTCCAGATGTAGACCATTGCCACCCTTTGTCCACAGCCCTGGCATTTTCAACCAGGTTCTGGGGCCTGAGCCAAGAAAAGGGAGTGGGAGCCCCTGGTGAATAGAGACAGCGTCCAGAGTCTTAGAAAAAGAACAGATATCCCTCTGCCTTGCAGATTTCAGAAATCCTTGCTATAGAAAGAACTCTTACAAATCAATAAGAAAAAGATAGACATTCCCACAGAAAAGCAGGCAGAGGATATAAATTTTAAAAACCACAAATGGCCAGGCTGGGTACGGTGGCTCATACCTGTAATCCCAGCACTTTGAGAGGCCAAGGGAGGCAGATCACTTGTGGTCAGGAGTTCCAGACCAGCCTGGCCAACATAGCAAAACCCCATTTCCACTAAAAATACAAAAATTAGCCAGGCGTGGTGGCAGGTGCCTGTAATCCCAGCTACTTGGGAAGCTGAGGCAGGAGAATTGCTTGAACCCAGAAGGTAGGTAGAGATTGCAGTGAGCAGAGATCGTGCCACTGCACTCTAGCCTGGGCAACAGAACGAGACCCTGTCTCGAAATAAACAAAATAAAAATAAAACCCACAAATGGCCACTAAATGTGTGAAAAGATGTTTCCATTTACTCAAAAGTAACAAGGGGACATCAAAATGGCCTCCAGCGTGAGGGCAGGGGTTTCCAGCATTTTAGAGTTGAGAAATTCTCTGATGTCAAACTTCCTGGAATCCTTCATAGTGCTGATGACTATGTTTATTTTTCTTTCCTTGAAAAAAAAAAAAGGGCAAATAACTTCATTCCTTCCCCACCCAAAGACTGTAACTTTTTTTTATTACAATAATTGATTTCTTAACATATAGTAGAGAGAGTTGAGAAAGTTTAAAGAGCTTTACAATCTTTCCAGAGTGAAAAAAAAAAACAACAAATTCTGTTCTGGATGCTCAGGCTGCCTCCCCATCTGGGGTCCCACCAGTCCATGCCAGGGCCCACCCCTCCTTCCCTGCAGGAAGTCCTAGATCAGCCATCTGGCTTAGGCCCCACAAGGACTCACCTTGCTTCCTTTTGCTCACACTCACGCCTTTACCTGTCACGCCTTCTCTGTGCCTACCTGTTCCAGTGTTTGAACAAGGATTGCTGTATACATACAATGGAATATATATACATACGTACATACATATATCTATAAAGAGGGAAGGTCTCACTCTGTCACCCAAGCTGGAGTGTAGCGGCGAGATCACAGCACACTGCAGCCTCAAACTCCTGGGCTCAAGGTCTTCCTGCTTTGGCCTCCTAGTAGCTGGGACTACAAGCATGCACCACCAGGCCCAGCTAATTTTTTTAAAAAATTATTTAACGACGGGGTCTCATTCTGTTGCCCATGCTCGTCTCAAACTCCTGGCCTCAAGCAATCCTCTTGCCTCAGCTTCCCAGAGTGCTGGCATTATGAGTGTGAGCCACCGTGCTCAGCCTGAATATCATTAAAAAAAAAATCCTCGCAACAATTTATTCAACTCTAAAATGGGCTTTATCATTACTACCCCAGAAGCTGTGAGGACAGTAGGAGGCAGAAAAGTCCTTGGTGTGACACCTGGTCTGTGGTCCATCTCCATAAATGGCAGCTCTTCCTGAACCTTCTTCAAGCAGGCTCCTTCTTGCCAATCAGGTCCCAAGGCATCATCTCCTCCTCCTTCCTAGACCACTTTCCTAGATGGCATCCCACCCCAACCCCACTTGTCACCCTATCCCATCTTAATGTTTATTACTCTCTGAAGTCATTTTATTTATTTGTTGTATTTTTTCATAAGACTATAACCTCTATGAAGACGAGGACCGTGACTTTCTTGCATACTGATTTATCCCCAATACCTAGAATAGCATCCAACACATAGTAGGTGCTTGCATGTTTATTTTTTCACTTTAAAATAAATGGTGGCTCACACCTGTAATCCCAGCACTCTGGGAGGCTTAGGCGGGAGGATCCCTTGAGCTCAGGAGTTGGAGACCAGCCTGGGCAGCATGGTGAGATCCCATCTCTATGAAAAACATTTTTTAATTAGCTGGGTGTGGTAACCCAAGGGTGAGATTGGAGGATGCCTTGAGCCCAGGAGGCCAAGGCTGCACTGAGTCCATGTTTGCACCACTGCACTCCAGCCTGGGCGACACAGAGAGACCTTGTCTCAAAAATAAAAATAAAATAAACTTTGTTGAAGTATAATTTTGATATAATAAAATGCATCCGTTTGATGCATCTGTACAGTTTGATAAATTTAGATAAATATGTTCTCTTACCAACACCTCAGTCAAGACATAGGACCATTTTTATCCCCCTAAAGTTCCCTCCAGATTTTTTTTTGCCATCAATTCTCCTTCATCCCATCCCTAGACAAGGCAGTTTTTTTTTGGTGTGAAATGAATGAATCTTGAATTGTCAGGGACTGGCCCCAGATTTGCGGAGAGCTATTCACATGTGTGCATAGCACCCTACTGTTCACAATGCCTTTCCACTTTCTGTTTTTTTCTTTGGTTTTGTTTTGTTTTTAATGGAGTCTCACTCTGTCACCAGGCTGGAGTGCAGTGGCACGATCTTGGCTCACTGCAACCTCTGCCTCCCGGGTTCAAGCGATTCTTCTGCCTCAGCCTTCTGAGCAGCTGGGACTACAGGCGCGTGCCACCATGCCCAGCTAATTTTTGCATTTTTAATAGAGATGGGGTTTCACCATGTTGGCCAGACTGGTCTCAGACTCCTGATCTCGTGATCTGCCTGCCTCGGCCTCCCAAAATGCTGAGATTACAGGCGTGAGCCATTGCGCCCGGCCGCCTTTCCACTTTCATCTCATGTGCCTCTCACATATGAGGCCATGGATGCTCAGATGGATTAGGTGACATGTGACAGAAGGTCTCCAAAGCAAGAGGAGACCTTTTGGATGCTCAAGTTGCCTCCCCATCTGGGGTCCCACCCTGGGCCAGGGAGGAACCCGTCCCTGGGCCAGGGAGGAACCCGTCCCTGGGCCAGGGGCCTCACATGGTAGGCAGGCTGTGGGTGTTCCAGGCTTGGGTGTGCCACGAAGCCTGGGGAAAGGCCACTGTGGCCCCATCTCTAACCCCCCTGGCCTAGGCCTCCAGCCCAGCCAAGAAGATGCCTCTGGTGTCCAGATGCCAGCTAGCTCCAGCTAGCTCCTCCCTGGGCAGAACAGACCCTGCAGTTTGGGCTATGAGAAAAATGAAAAGAGGTTATCAGCATCACTTGCTTCTGGTTGCTCAGAGAGAATCAGACACTGGGTGCCAGGAGACTTGGCCTTTGGCCAGGTTCTCCCTCTGCCTCACTGTGTGCCCTTAGCAAGTCACTTTCCCTCTCTGGGCCTCAGTTTCCACCTCTATAAAAGGAAACTAGTGATCCCTAACCAGCATGACTTCAACTCCACCTGATGATGACTCTTTGACGCATGAATGCATCCCGGCCCTCAAAGGCTGGGCCCCTGCCCATGCTGTCCCCACTCCCTGGAATGCTGTTTCTCAGTATCTGCTGTCAAAAGTCTTGTTTTTCAACTTCCAGTTCTGGTCCTACCCCCTCTGTGATTTTCCTTAAAACAGAATGTTCTGCTCCTTCCTCAAGCTTCTCTAAGCTCTTGAGGGCAGGGACTATGAATAATAGAATGACACGTTCTGTTCATTGAGAGATGATGGACCCTGGTGCCAGGCACTATGCTGGGCACTTTGTGATATCATTTAACCCTCCCGCAAAAAGCATCATTCTCTTTTGACAGATGAGGTAGCTGAAGTTCAAAGGGGTAATGCCACTTGTCCAGGGTCACAGAGGGGAGGGCAGCTTGGGCTTCCTTCTCTTTTCACCCCCAGCATCTAGCAGAGGGCCTGGCACACAGGTGTTGACCACCCATTGCTGAATGACTGGTAAGTGACTGAATGCATGAATGAATGCCTGCATCACTTTAATCCATTTCAAACCTACCTCCTGTGGTGTGCACAGGCCTGAAGTACAGGTGCTCAGCAAATTTAACTGTTATCATCATCACTTCCTGCCTTATGCCACAGTCACACTAAGAGCTGCCCAATAACAACGTGAAATGCATGAGAGAAGTGGTGAGTGCTTAGTTACCAGGGGTCAACAAGCAGAAAGTGGATGGCCTTGTCCCAGTGCAGATCAGGAGATCTGAGCACCAGCAGCCAAAGGATTGAGATCTGGGGATCCCACTGGTTAACCTGACTGTCTCCCCTGCCAGCTTGGGAGGTCCTGAAACTGAAACACATTCCCCTGGCACTGCGACCCACCCATGCCCAGCCCCATAGGCTGGTGCCTGTCGGTCTCCGGGTTTTGATTCTGGTAGTCTTTTGCAAACTGTAAAGTGCTACTGCTTTTTCCTTTTCTGATTTGCTCTGTCCCCCAAGCCGCCTCCCGAGTGAAATGCCCATATGCTGAGCCTGAGGCAAGCCCGCCTGGCACTGGGGCGGGGGTGCCTTCGGGCCCGAGCCTTCCCCACCCCCTTCCTATAGCTGTTGTGCAAGACCAGCGGGCACACCTTCTGGGGCAGGTCGAATCAAGGCCAGGGAACTTCCTGAGCGCGGGCAGTGGCGGGCGGGACTTGGGGGGGCAGGGGGCACTGTTCAGGGTAGAGGAGGGGGCGAACGCCGAATTCCGGCCCGTAGGTCCAGGCGTCCCCTGCCAGTGCCCCACATCCTCCTCGGCGCGATTCTTTTCCCGCGCGGGCAAGGTTGGGGAGGGGAGGGGGGTGACACTCAGGCTGGAGTCCCCCAGAGCACCCCCAGTTTTTCAGATGTCCCCACCAGCCCCGTCTCTTTCTCTGCTTAGGTACAGGGCGGGTGCGCTCTTCGCAGTCTCTCCGCGGTCTCCCTTTCTGGGACCTTCTCTTTGTCTCCTTCTCCAGGGCGGTCCCGGCGTCCACCGCCCCTGTGCCCCGCCCGCCGGAGGCAGCGGAGGGGGCGGGGCATACGGGGCGGGCCCTGGAGGGGCTGGGTGGGGCGCAGGGGGGTGCAGGACCGAGGGCGGGGCGGGGCGGGGCGGGGTGGGACGCGGCGGGCGCAGGGCAGCGGGCGGGGAGGGGGCGGGGTTGGCCTGCGGGGGCGTGGTCTGGTGGGGCGGAGCGGGGCGCCGGGGTGCAGGGCCGAGGGCAGGGAGGGGGCCAAGGCGGCCGGCTGGAGGGACGGGGCCCGACCGGGAGCGGAGCCGGAGCGGAAGCCGCAGCCGGGCGGCGGGAGCGGCGGGAGCGGCGGGAGCGGGGGAAGCAGGGCGGGCCGGGCTCCATGGCGCCAGCGGCGTCCGCCTGAGCAGCGCGGGCAACAGCGGCGGCGTCGGCCGGATCGGGCCGCGACACCTCCTGGCCATGGGGGACGTGCTGTCCACGCACCTGGACGACGCCCGGCGCCAGCACATCGCAGGTGAGGGTCGCGCCGCGCCACGCGCGCCCAGGGGCCTGCCGGAACCCCCGGACCACGCCCCCGCCCCGGCCAGCAGTTGGCGCCGGGGCCGGGGGCTCGGGGGAGTCAGGCCGGGCCGGTGGGAGCTGCCAGGGAGCGTGCCCCGCGTCCGAGCTCGTTCCCTCTGAGCCTGGGCGCCCCTTCCCGCGCTCTTCTGAGCGCCACCTTTCCCGGCTCAAGGGGACTCGGAACTCCTTCTCTCCCGGAACCCCTTCGGAGCCCGGGCTTGGCGGACCCCCAGCCCACGACCCCTGGCCGAGCTGGGGCAGGGGTCGCAGCCTGCTGCCCACCCTTGGCTGTCCCCGCCCAGAAGCGTTGCAAGCCCATCCGCTACCAGCTTTGGGATCTCCCAGACCCAGCCAGCTCGCGCTCACCTTCCTCCCCAGCCGTCCCGTCCCCAGCTCCGCCGGGCCCCAGCCCTGGTACACGTGGCGGAGGCTTCCTGAAGGACGCGCCCATGAAGGCCCGGGACTGATTCTGGGGAGTGGGGCCAGGGATCGATGGGGCGCCCCGGAGGCGGTGGGGTTGCATGTCCTTTGGCGCAGACAGCAGGCTGCCCCTGCTAGCAGCAGGGGCCCAGGGACCGGTCACCAGAGTGGGGGGCCCTCAGGGCCAGTCGCCAGCCCCTTCAACCCTGTTCTTCAGCCAACCCTACTCTCAGCCTATTACTGCACAGTGGCCACTTCTCCCAGGGACAGCTGTCCCCAAGGCTCCTGGGGAAGCCGGAGCTGCAGAGGGGGCCTGGGTTCCTTTTCCCCACAGACTCTGGAGAACAGTGAGATAGGATGAGGATCTCGGCTGCCTGAGAAACTCCTCTCTGGCCGATCTCTCCTGGCTGGTGGAGCTGCCCTGGGTGGAATCCCAGCATTTGCTTCCCAGACATCTGTCCTGTACACCTTGGTTTTCTCCTTTTTGAAATGGGGTCAGTGATTTCTTCCTTATTAATGAGTTGTTGGGAGGCTTACGTGAAGTAACTCATGTGGCTTGCTTAGCACAGAGCCTGGCATAGGAGAGGCACTTGTATGTGGGGTGACGGTTCAGGTGGGTCGCCCCTCGCTGTCTAGTGGGCCCTGAGCACCGCGTCCGCCTGCACTTATTTTTGTGTCCTGTAGAATTTCACCACCGTGTTCTCCACGCTCCCTTGAGAGCAGGAAGCCCTGAGAGCAGTGGCCAGGTGTCCTTTAACTCCATGTCTCCAGGGCCGCACCCATGCTGGGCACCAGGGAGGTGCTGGGGAGATCTGCCAAGTGACTGTGGTCCCGGGCCAAGTCCCAAGGCCAGAGTCCCTCCCTTGTGCCAGGCCTGGGGCTGGCTGGGCACAGGGGTGACTGGGGTGATGTGAAAATGAATCGGACCCTCTCTAGCCTCTGACCAGCGTGGGGTTAAGTCCTGGAAAGCCTCCTTATCCGACCAGGCCTGGACTGTGGGAGGAGGAAGGGCCAGGGCGGAGTCTTCCTGTCCCCTCCCTGTCGCAGCAAGCTCCTGGGGCTCTGTAACAGTCCCTCCATTCAGGACCTCCTGTTGAGGCCCCTCGAGGGGCCTGGGTGGGGTGTGCCTTGCATTCGGTGGGGTTTTTCCTCTCCCCATACTCAGTGCTGGGCCTCCCTGTCTTCCCGTCTCCTGGGCTGAGAATTGCCAGCCCACCCTCTCTCCCCTGGCATGTTACAGGGGAGGGGACTGAGACCACAGAAGGTGAAGTGTCCTTTACTGGAGAGGGTTGGATTTATTTTCTGGATACCAGGCTGGGTGGAAGAAAGTTGTGCCCACTCAGAGCCTGCTGGTCTCTCTCTTCTCCACACTTCAGTGCTATTTATAATCCTCTTTAAATGCCTCGAATTCCTGGTCCAGACTCACCTGAGGGGAGTTCCTGATGTGGGGGGGTGGGGTGTTGGAAGGGGGCAGCGGGGAAGCCTCCCAGTCTCCCCAGAGGAAGTGAGCTGCCTTTGAAATCTCTGCTGGAAGGGAATGAGGGCGTGTATTTGCCTCCTCCAGTGATCCAGGCACCCTCCTCACCCCACCCAAGGAGCAGTAGGTACTCTCAAAGCTGGCAATTAAAATTCCAGAACCCTCCCTACCTGAGGCCTTGTTCTCTGCCCCAGTAGAAATGTCAGAGTTAGAGACATCCCTTCCCACAGTGCTCTGAGTTCCCAGGCCTGTTAGGGTTCCAAGGTTTGACCTGCAGCTTTGTGCCCGCCCCAAGCAGGTGAGCAGGTGAATGCCAGCCTGCCTGCAAGTCCTGGCAAAGGTCAAGCGTGCTCCCGGCCACGGTGCTGTTTTGCTGCCACGGCACCTTTCATCCTGGGATTTCAAAGCCCCTGGCAAGCAGAGGCTTGTTTCCACACCAGGAGCCCCACGGGGCTGGTGGCAGGATGACTCCTGCCTCCTTACACGAGGCAGTGTGCCGTGAGGAAGAATCCCTGGCCTGGGATCTGGGAGGCCTGAGGATCCTTGGGTAGGCCACTTCCTCTCCCTGGGTCTCAGTTTCCCTAGTTGTGAACCGAAGTGGGTGGGCCACTCGATGGCTGAAGTCCCTTTCAGCTCTGAGGGCCTAACAATCCCAAATTTTCCCCACAAATCTCCCCCAGACTGAAGCCAGCTCAAGGTCCCAGTATAATGCCTGCAACCTTGGAGTAATATCTTTTTTTTTTTGAGACAAGGTCTTGCTCTGTCACCCAGGCTGGAGTGCAGTGGCATCATCATAGCTAATTGCAGCCTCGACCTCCTGGGCTCAAGTGATCCTCCCACCTCAGCCTCCCAAGTAGCTGGGACTACAGGCATGCGCCACCATGCCGTGCTAATTTGTGTGTGTGTGTGTGTGTGTGTGTGTGTGTGTGAGAGAGAGAGAGAGAGACAGGGTCTCCCTATGTTGCCCAGGTTGGTCTTGAACTCCTGGGCTCAACCAATCCTCCTTTGGGAGCCTTGGCCTCCCAAAGTGCTAGGATTACAGGTGTGAACTTCCCGCCCATGAACTAACATCTTTTTTTTTTTTTTTTTTTTTGAGACAGAGTCTCACTCTCTGTCCCAGGCTGGAGTCCAGTGGCACAATCTCAGCCCACTGCAACCTCCACCTCCTGGGTTCAAGTGATTCTCCTGCTTCAGCCCTCTGTTACAGGTACACACCACCATGCTTGGCTGATTTTGGTATTTCTAGTAGAGACGGGGGTTTCACCATATTGGTCAGGCTGGTCTCGAACTCCTGACCTCAGGTGATCCACCCTCCTCAGCCTCCCAAAGTGCCAAGATTATAGGCGTGAGCCACCACGCCCAGCCAAAAATAATAGCTTTATTGAGGCGTAATTCACCTACCATACAATTCAGCCACCTAAAGTGTACACTTCAGCGGTTTTTAGTATATTCACAGAATTGCGCAACCATTGCCACCATCAATGTTGGAGCATTTTCATCAGCCCGGAAAGAAATCCTCTACTCCTTAGTAGTCGCTCCTGTTTCCTCCTAGTCCCTCCTAAATCTAGGCAACCACTGAACATTTTGTCTAATTGCAAAAGTAATGTGTGCACAGGCCAGGCGTGGTGGCTCACGCCTGTAATCTCAGCACTTTGGGAGGCTGAGGAGGGCGGATTGCTTGAGCTGGGGAGTTCAAGACCAGCGTGGGCAACATGGCAAAGCCCCGTCTCTAGTAAAAATACAAAAAATTAGCCGGGCATTGTCGTATGCGCCTGTGGTTCCAGCTAATTGGGAGGCTGAGTTGGAAGGATTGCCTGAGCAAAAGTAACACATGTACAAACAATTTAGGAGGGTAAAATAAAACATGAAAACACCCTCCATCTTTCTCCGTTAAATCCCACTTCCCAGAAGAAGTCACTTAAGTGTGGTGTGTCACCATTTCCAAACCTACCTCTCTCTGTACATGCTCATAATAGCTTGGTTTATAAAAACAGATTTTTTTTTTTTTTTTGAGATGGCGTCTCACTCAGGCTGGAGTGCAGTGGCAAGATCTCAGCTCACTACAACCTCCGCCTCCCAGGTTCAAGCAATTCTCCTGCCTCAGCCTCCTGAGTAGCTGGGATTACAGGCGTGCACCACCATGCCCGGCTAATTTTGGTATTTTTAGTAGAGACAGGGTTTCACCATGTTGGCCAGGCTGGTCTTGAACTCCTGACCTCAGGTGATCCACCCACCTCGACCTCCCAAAGTTCTGGGATTACAGGCATGAGCCACCACGCCCAACCTATAAAAAGAGATATTACTCTATGCTTCTGTGGTTTGATTTTTTTCACTTGGTAAATTGGTGGACATCTTTCTGTGTCAGAACACACAAGACTACCTCATTCTTTTCTTGGTGAGTTCGTTTCTGTGCATGGATGGTTTGTCTACCCAGCCCTCTGTGAATGGGCATTTGGGTTGTTTCCACTATTTTGCTAGTATTCACAGTGCTGCTTGAACCTGCTGGTACAAACCCTCTGTAATATTCCAGTATCAGAGAGGCCCTGAAATGGAACTCCTGGGTCACCTTTTTTTTTTTTTTTTGATACAGAGTCTCATTTTGTTGCCCAGGCTAGAGTTCAGTGGCATGATCTCGGCTCATTGCAACCTCCGCCTCCTGGGTTCAAGCAATTCTCCTGTCTCAGCCTCCTGAGTAGCTGGGACTACAGGTGCCCACCACCACACCTGGCTAATTTTTGTATCTTTAGTAGAGATGGGGTTTTACCATATTGGTCAAGTTGGTCTCGAACTCTTGACCTCAGGTGATACATCTGCCTCAGCCTGCCAAATTGCTGAGATTATAGGCGTGAGCCACCATGCCCTGCCTGGGTCACCTTTTGATAGATGGACACATAGCCTTTAAGAAGGCAGCAGGCGTTTGACACTCTCCTGCTAAGATGGACCTTAGCATTGAGCATTTTCATCCTTTTGACAACCAGATATGAGAAGAAGGGTGTCTTAATTATTTATTGAGCAAAACAAATAATGCTTCTTTCCAAAGTGATTTTAAAAACTTACCTCTCTGCTGGGCGCGGTGACTCACGCTTGTAATTCCAGCGCTTTGGGAGACAGGCAGGCAGATCACCTGAGGTCAAGAGTTTGAGACCAGCCTGGCAAACATGATGAAACCACGTCTCTACTAAAAAATTAGCCGGGCCTGGTGGTGCGTGCCTGTAGTCCCAGCTACTTGGGAGGCTGCGGCACAAGAATCGCTTGAACCCGGGAGGTGGAGGTTGCAGTGAGACGAGATCGCACCATTGCACTCCAGCCTGGGTGACAGAGTGAGACTCTGTCTCAAAAAAAAAAAAAATCTACCTCTCAACATTTGGGAAGTGGCTGTAGATGCCAAGAGTGAAGGGATGGAGGGGTTCCACCTTCTGCCACCCCTCACCCTGCTGTGTGGCTTCCTCTTTGCTCCCCTGGACTTTGCAGAGAGACCAGGCTGGCCGGAAGCAGTGCCTGGGCCTGGGCCGCTGCCCTTAGCCAAGGTCCGGGTCAGCCCCTGGGGGCGAAGTGTCTGGGGATGATGCTGTCTCTCTGTTGGGTCTTATATAACATGCTTTTGTTGGCTTTGACCCTGCCTTCCCCTCCATCCAGCCTCCTCTAGTCCCCCTGACTCTGTTCCTTTTCCACTGCTGGGGCCTGAGTGCCGGCCTCGCCTACTCAGAGCTGCTCCAGCCTCCTCGGAGCCTCTAGTCCTTCCCACACACGCTGCCAAAGGGACCTTTCTAAACCCACGCGGGGCCATGGCTGCCCTCCCTGCTGTCCAAGGAGTGAAGCGGAAAAACAGGACTAGGAACCACTCACCCGCCGTCCTGCGATAACCACTTCATCCTCTGGGAGTACTTCCCATCTGTGTCGATCATTACACTTTACCGGGACCATGACTCAAGTTTGTGTCTTGCTTCTTTCACTACATGATCTATAGTAAACATCTCTCCCAGGTCATTAAAACCTCCCTGGAAGCATCCCCAAAGGCTGCATTTTATTCCATTTGAGGACAGAGGGTCACTTTCCCAGCTTTTTCCCTAATGCTGGACATGAGGTTGTTTCTCACATGTTGGTTTGTAGGGGCAAACAGAGCCACTGTGTGTGTTTCTTTTCTGGCTCCAGTCAACTTCCCTGTCGAAGACCGATTCATCTCCCAGCCCAACTCTTCCCGTGCTCTGCTTCCGCCAACCTGGGCATTTAGAGGGAGGCTCCTTCCTGCCATCTCTGAGCATCGTTCGGGGCTAGTGGGCTTGAAGGGGCTGCCTGTGTACTGGGGACGGGGACTGATGACCATGGCCTCTGGGTGTGTGGCCATAGAGTCTAGCCTGCGGTGTGTAGGAATGGATATATATTTTCTGTCTGAAGACATGGTTGATAGAGCAGGGAGGGGCAGTAATCAGGCTCGGAGTGATAACTGTAAACATTAGCAACGGTTTAACTGAGCACTTGCTATGTGCCAAGCCTTCCTTTGTCTGTATCATCTTATTGAATTCCCACCTCAGTGGCAGGCCTGGATCGGATAGTCCAAGGCCTTAGCTATTTAAACCACGTTCTGCTATTAGTATGTCATCCGTGGTGCCCAGACTGGGCAGGGGGACACTGAAAAAGGCCTCCAAGAGAGGTAAGCTTTCGGAGGCGGGGAGAGGAAGTGGGAGGAGGAGCCGAGTGGGAATAGAGCAGCTTGTGTCAGTCTCCCTCCCATAGGTTGCACAAATCTATCCCACCCGTCATTACTCAGTCTGAGACTCACAGCCTCTGACCAGCCCCATTCTCCGTCCCTGCGCCCCCCTCCTCCTTCCCCGCGGGCAGAGCTCATGACTCACTGCACCCCGGGCTCCTGCAAGCATCATCCTGCGGTTGCAGAAATTCCTGCACTGCTTTTTCCTTCCCCTGCCCCACCCCATCCACTTCTGTGCTGGAGGAAGAAGGGTATTCTGTAGACGCTGCTGGGCAGAGGTTTAAGGAAGGAGTCCGGGCAGATGCCTAGGTTTAAAACCCGTGAGGGTGGAGCAAAGCCATTCTCTTCTCCTGGTAGAATCTTAGGGCCTGAGTCATGGAAGGGTACAATCTTTTGATCTCAAAAATTTTAAAACTGGAAGAACAGGAAGTGTCCACCCCCTGGGACTGGTCCCATTTTTTTGGAGCTGGGCTGCTTCTGGCCCACGAAGGTGAAGGGGCCTGCCTGGTGACGTGGTGGATGGTAAGCCTGAAGAAGCAGGGAGCCCAGAGGTTTTGGGGTAAGGCTTTGCAGTCAGACTGGGTTTGAGTCCTGGCTCTGCCACTGGATGGACTGGTGTTCGGGGGCAAGTTAGTCAACCTGTCTGAGTCTTAGAGCCCTCCTTACATGAGGATGAGAGTTCTGGCATCTCAAGGTATGAAGGTCAAGTCCCCTGGTCAGCGCAGAACAGTGTTGGTGGGAGGTGACAATATGTGAGTGGTAGCTGTTATGATTGTGACTTTATTGAGCTAACTTGACACCCAGGGAGATGTGTCTGGTCTGTCTGTGGCCTCGTGCATCCCCTGCTCCCTGCCATGTGCTCCAGGAAGTTGACATGACCCACTCCTTTCCTAAGCAGCCCTAAATATGAGAATCTTCTTCCCTTCCAAGGTCAGAGGAGCACCAGCCTATGGCCCTGGACCCCTGGGGTATTCAGCGAGTTCCTGGAGGACGGTGGGATGGGGCTGTGGTTCCAGCAAGGTCAGTCACTCCGCAGCAGCATCCACTCTGTGCCTGGCATTTGGCAGTGCACAGAGGAAAAGGGTTAGAAGATGGATGGGAACATGCTCCCTCCTTGCCCACCCATGTGTCAAGAACTAGACTTGTAAGCCTTAAGCCTGGTCCCATTGACCACTTGCTGTGTGACTCTGGACCCAATGGCCATGCCTCTCTGTGCCTTTTCTCCCTGTCTGTGACCTCAAGGCCAGTATCTACTCTTGGGAATTCTCTGCCTCTGAAAACCCTTTTGTAGGGGTCTCAAGATGCCTTCCAAAGGCAGGGCTGGTGGCTTCTATGTAGAAATAGAGGTGCATGCCTGTGAGACCATCAAGGGGTGTGATGAGCTCTGGCCCCCAACACACGTAGTCCTTATTTCTTGTATGAATTCAATCAATAGTTATTGAACACCTTCTGTGTGCCCGGCGCTGTGCTGGGCACCAGGGACACGCAGCTACACAATCACATGGTGTCTGCCTGTGTGTGCTTCCTGGCTGGCTGTCCCTCCTCAGGGCAAGCAATGTTCCCAAAGGGAAAGGCCTTCCTTGGGAAGGTGTAAGGGAGACTGGCCTGGGGTGGGCCAGCCTGCTGGGACTCAGGATGGGGGAGGTAGAGGGAAACACAAAGGCTGGTCTTGGCGAGGAAGGGCCTTTGTCCTTAGGGTCCCAGGGAGGCCTTGGAGGCATTTTCAGGCAGAAGTGGCACCGGTGGGTCAGCTGTGAGTGAGTGTGGATGGGAGGAGGTGAACCCCATGGTGAGAGGGACTGGACCTGCGTGTGTGGGGGTCGGGTGCAATGAGGGATATGTGTGTACAGGGTGGGTGGCGTGGCCAGGCCTCAGTGATGGTGCTGTGCAGGGCTGGGGCGAGCTGATGTACGTGACTGTTGGCTACAGGGAAACCTGTCTGGATTCTGTAGGTTGTTTTATCAAGGCAGACCTTCAACCACTGGTCTTGCAGCCTCTGCTCCCACTCCTCTAGTGACAGGAAACTCAGTCCTTTCCCAGGCAACCCTGAAAATGAGAACCTTCTTCCCCTCCAAGGGCAGAGTAGAAAGAGGCCGGGAGTCAGAGGACCTGGTTTGAGATGCTGTCAGGACTGCCCTGTCATTTGGCAGCTGCCCTCCCTTCTCTGGACCTCAAATTCCTCATCTGTAAAGTGGACACAGCAGTATCCCAGGCCCCTGAGGCTGTTGTGCAGGGTCGGTGAGATGATGTGGCCTTAGCTCTTTGTGCTTAGGGAGCATCGGCTCCTGGTTCATCCACTGTTACCGTTCTATGTGGTTCACATAGGACATTGGCCAAGGGAGGCCCTCCTCTTGCAGATCAGAAGTGCCGGGTGTGGGTCAGGGTGCTGGGTAGAGGGTCCACGTGCAGGGGTGGGGGCCCAGGGAGTAACTGGGCATCCAGGAGGGGAGGAAGAATGAACTGTGGTTTGCAAAGTGCAGACCCCACTTTCCCACCTGCCCATCTGTGGCCAAGCCAACTGCAGCTGCTGTCCATCTTTCCCATGCCCCATGCTGAGCAGAACTATTTGTGTCCAGCCGAATTTGTGAAGCTTAGCACCTTCTAGAAGAGGAGTCCCTTGGGAAGAAGCTGCCCACCCACTCGTGCTCCAGTCACCTCTGATTTATTCCACCTGCCAGGAACCACTGGTGGGTGCGGGCTAGGAGGCAGGCTCCCCAGGATGGGTGCCTGGAGGCCTCTGACAAGCCCTTCCTTTTCTCTGTGCCTCCTCCTCACTTTGCCTATCTGTGCAACGGGCATGCACTTCCAGCTGTGACCCCTTAGGAACCTGTGGGCCTTAGGCTGCACTGAAGGCACAGAGCAGGTGCAGCACCTCCACATTGCAGGAGGCCATCTTGCCGTTGAAGGAAGAGCTTGCTCTGAAAGCTGTCCTGTTCCTGGCCTGAGCTGGGAACTGGGGACAAAGCAGTGACATGAGCCCTGATCTCATGGAACTCATGCCAGCCAAGAAGGTTCCATCAAGCTGGATGTGCTGTGGCTCATGTTACAAAGCCCGTGGATCTTTGTTTCCCAGAGTGTATGTTGGTTTCAGCACTCAGTCGGCCCATCTCAAGAGGCAGCGTGTCTGGCTTTGACCTGGTGGCAGTATGCTTCTGTCACTGAAAGCTGTGTGGCCTTCGGCACACAGCTCTCCTCCTTGGAGGTCCAGTTGTCGCTAAGATGGGATTGGTGCTCCCTGCCTTTGGGCTGGGTGAAGGTTCTGGGAGGTGCACTGCGCAGTTCCTGGCCTGTGCAGGGTGCTCAGTAAATGGCAATTGCGTTTTAGCTGAATTCTTAGGGAAGCTGTGTGTCCTTTGCCCGGCCTGTCAGAGATTTAAGGGGTGATTCAGGCATCTAGAGGAGGAGGGAGCTGACAATTGCACTTCTGTTTTGCTTTTTGTTTTTGCTTTTTTTGAGAGCAGTATTCTCTGGGAGGCGAAGGGTAGAAAAGAGAGCTGAGTTTGAGCTTTGGGGTGGGCAGGCCTGATGGGCTGGGGAAGGTGTGTGCCTCTCACCCTACCACACCTCCCCTAGCCCTGCCTTGATTTTTGAGGTGCTGATGAGAAGTGTCTGCTTTTCTTTTTCAGGCCCAGACCCTTCCTCGTCCTAGTTCTGGAGGACCCCATGAGCTCCTCTAACCAATCCCCTCCTTTTTCTCATGCCCCAGTAAACTGAGGCCCAGGAAGATGATGGGACATGCCTATGCTCTCAGGGGCACCAGAGCTTGGCTGGAACCCAGGGCCTTGACCCCAGCATGAAGCTTTTCCCTCTCCGACTTCGTACTCCCACCCCCCGCACCCGTGCAGGGCCCCAGACGGCAAGGGATGGTGAGGGAAGGAATGATTGGGCCGGGTGGGGCTGCAGAACTTATAATTATGAAAACTGGGTAAACAAACAAGCTCTCTGGGAGAGAAGCAAGCCCTGTGCGGGCCTCACAGATGGGCCTGTGTCCGAGGAGACAGCCCAGGCCCGTCTATGCGCAGACAGTGAGGGGCTGTGTTGGACTTAAAAAGCCAAAGCCACACTCCCCTCCCACCCCCACTCCTATATTTCAGGCTGCCAGGAAAAGAGGAGGGGGAAGGGGCAGCCCTTTCTTCCAAGGAGGTAGGGGCTGACCCCCTAGGACTCTCCTGGGGTCAGCCCTCCTGGCCCAGCTTGGGACAGTCACAGCTCACTGTGTGACCTTGGTCAAGGGGCGTCTCTCCTCTGGGCCTCAGTTCCCCATCTCTAGAGTGGAGGTCACCCCATCTCTCAAGGAGGGTGGCAGGATGGGGAAAGATTTGAGCCAACTGGTTGAATACACTGAGCCCTTTCACTCACCCTGACCCGAGGCCAACTGGGATCTCAGAAACTCTTCATTTCTCTCTGGCCAGAGGCAGGGGCCCCTCTTGGAGCAGAGGAGTGACTTTCTCAGTGACCTGAGAGCCGGCCTGGTCCTGGGAGGCCAAACCTCCAATCCTGGCCTGACTTTAGCAGGCTGCCCAGCTCAGCTTTCCTGTCTTCCTGCTGAGATTGTGGCAGAATCCGAGAGGAGCTGTTTCTGGTGCCTGCCCTGCAGGCTGGGGGCTGGGCAGCTTGCCCTGCCTGGAGGCCCCCGGGTGGAGCCTGGCAGACTTCCTGTGCAATTGGGGCTGAGCCCCCGCCCTCCCTCCCCTCTTCCTGCAGTCCCCTGTGTGGCTTCTGGGAGTCCAGCTCTGTAGATGGGAGGCCGGTCCTGCTTCAGACCTCTGTGGCCTTGGGTGAACTCCTGCCTCTCCTCCAAGCCTCAGTTTCCCCCATGGTTCAATGGAGGGGTTGGATAAGAGCCTCTGGTAGTAGAGTGACCTTGCTACTAACCATGTGTCACCCTCCTTCAGACTGACCCTTCCAGGCTGTCCTGTGCCCTCGAGGTCAAGCCCAGACCCTGAAATGCCCTCACAGACCAAGCCCTGCAGCCAGTAGCCCCACTCCTGGTAGGCTGGATCAGGCTCTTCCTCTGAGCTCCCACAGCCCCTTGGCCACCCGTGTGTACCTGTAGCCCTTCTCACATGGTTGTGATTCATTTTTGTTTTTGAGACAGGGTCTTGCACTGTTGCCCAGGCTGGAGTGCAGTATTGCAATTATAGCTTACTGCAGCCTCAACCTCCCGGGCTCCGGCAATCCTTCTGCCTCAGTCTCCCCAGTAGCTGGGACCCCAGGTGTGCACCACCACATGGGGCTAATTTATTTTTATATTTTGTATAGGCAGAGTCTCCCTGTGTTACCCAGGCTGGTCTCAAACTCCTGAGCTAAGCCATCCTCCTGCCTGGCCTCCCAAAGTGCTGGGATTACAGGTGTTTGAGCCACCACGCCCAGCCCGTGGTTGTGATTCTAATTCCCATCTGTGATATGAGTACCTGCGGGCTAACTCACCATGGGCTCCCCTGAGGTGGACAGGTGGCCTCACAGCTCAGACTTGCTCCACCAGCAGCTGAACAAGTACCCTAGGTCAGGCTTTATGCCTTAGTTTCATTGGCTGTAAAATGGGCATGATGATGCTTCTACTCCACTGGATTGTAAAGGTTATTAAATTATGTGTGTAAAGCACAAGAAATGCTGAGGAGTCAATAACTGTAATGAACATTTATTAGTGCAAATTGTTTTAGTTCCCTAGCAGGAATGAATGAATGAATGAATGAATGAATGAATGAATGCCATTGCAAGGTCCTACATCCTGGGAGCATGGGGATCCCAAAGCTCTCTGGATGAAGGTCCTGGTAGGTGCAGAATGTGTGTGTGTGTGGTTGGTGGGGGTTGGTTACAGAGGGGCAGGGCAGATGTGGGAGGGGCTTGGGGTGGTGACGTACCCCCTGCCCTTGTGGAAGGAGTGGTTTGGGCCCCTCCGTGTCTCAGACCCGCAGGCACGAAGCCATGTGGCCATCCACAACTTCCTTCCTCCTGCCTGTATTCCTCGAAGCGTGACTCACTGGCTTTGAGCCCTTCATTCTTGTCCTTGAGCCCCGAGGGTGAGGCGGGTAGAGTCTTTCTTGGAAGGGCGGCTCTCTCTCTGGGTTCCTGTCTATTCCTGGCCCTTCTGCAGCTTCTGAGCATGACAGGCAGGGATGGAGGGGTGCGGGTAGGGTGGGGTGGACACCTGGGCCCTGGTCCTGGTGGCCCCACTGACCCCATGTGTGTCAGGCTTGGGGTGGGCACCCACTGAGGGCCCACCCAGGGCTTGGATCTGAGCTGGTGTGGCTGAAACAGCCCAGTCAAGCTCACCTGGGCCCTGCCCCTGTAGAGCTCCTGTCTGGTCAGGAGACACACAGAACAACTACCACTCAGTCATTAATTAAAATCATTACCGGAGGGCGAATTGCTATAAAGAAATGGCCACTCTTCCCTGGGAGCTCACGTGTCCTGGGATCTCCCCAGCAGTGCCTGTGGTTTGCTCTCCTGTCACAGAGGAGGAAACACAGCCCACTGAGTGGGAAAGGGAGCAGGCTCAGCTCTGGGGCAAGTCCTGTGCCCACCTGGGGCCTCAGGATCTCGTCACCCATCTTAGAGGTGTGCTGTTCACGTGACCCTCCTGCCTTGGCCTCCCAAAGTGCTGGGATTACAGACGTGAGCTGCCGCTCCCCACTAGGGAATGCTGTTCAGGAGGCCCAGGGTCCGCCGCTGGCCCCCCATGGTTCTGGGTGGGCGGGCTGGCTTCGGGGTTTTAGCCTGGGGACTGTGGAACTGCAGCGAGAGCTGGGTTTGTTGTCTTTAAATCCCTCCTTTGTGTGTCCCTAGACAGAAACCACTGTGACTAAAGTATTGGGATCTTCTAAAGGCTAGGCAGGAAATGGGGGCTGGTAAGGGTGGTCGTCCCCCTTCCCACTCCCTCCACCAATACACAGGACAGCAGAAAGGTGGCCCAAAGCCCTGGGAGAAACCCACCCCAACATTTCACATCTAGAATGTACCGCGTTAGGTAACAAAATGGTTACATTACAGCATGGGGGATGGAATGGAAACAATGTATTAACAGGCATTGTTCAATGGCATAATATGAAGCCATTAAAAGTGATGATTCAGTTTTGTATGTCTGAAAGTGTGTATGTTTGTATAGGCATAGAACAAAATAAGGAAAGAAATTCACCAAAATATAAATAGAGGTTATTTTGGAGTGGTGGGATAATGGATTATTTTAATTTTTTTATTCTCTCCTGATTTTTGTTTTTTGTTTTTTGTTTTTTTACAGTGAGTGGATTAAATCAAAAAGAATAACCTGGGTGGGTGCAGTGGTTCAGGCCTGTAATCCCAGCATTTTGGTGGCTCACGCCTGTAATCCCAGCACTTTGGGAGGCTGAGGTGGGCAGATCACCTGAGGTCAGGAGTTTGAGACCAGCCTGGCCAACATGGTGAAACCCCCACCCCCCGTCTCTACTAAAAATACAAAAATTAGCCGGGCATGGGGTTGCACACCTGTGGTCCCAGCTACTCGAGAGGCTGAGGCAGGAGGATTGCTTTAACTTGGGAGGCTGAGATTGCAGTGAGCCAAGATCGTGCCATAGCACTCCAGCCTGGGTGACAGAGCAAGACCCTGTCTCAAAAAGCAAAAAAAAAAAAAAAAAAAAAAAGAAAAAGAAAAAGAAAAGAATAACCCTATTGACTGTATTTAGTGGAACAATTTGATTCCTGTCTGACTTCAGAATCTAAGCCATTCTGGCCCGACTGGAGCCCCAAGGGGGTTGCAAGCACAGGGCAGGCTCCGGAGCGGGGAAGAGGGAAGAGAAAATTCTGGAAGAGGGGTGTTTGAGCTCAATCTTGGAGGACAGGAGGGATTTTTAACCAGCAGACTTGGGGTAAGGGTGAGTGGAGGGCATGGCCTGGCATAGACCCTTGCTTATCCAAGGCAGGGAGCTGAGCACAGCCTTGAGTGCCAGGCAAAGGGGTTGGGGAATGGAGAGTCCTTCCCATGAACACTTGTTAGCTGGACTTTAGAATGAGGACTCAGTTTCTGTGATGAGGGCAAGGAGAGCAACAAATTTGTGTTAGGTAGGCTCTGTCTGTGTGCCCAGCCTCTGAGCCCCCAGTGGCTGTGAGCAGATAGGACTGTGGTAGTTTAGCCCAGAGATGGCAGATGGATTCCACAAATAAAGAGTCTCTCTCCGTGATGAGTGCTGAAGGCCGGGCGTGGGTGGGGGCATTGGGGTGGTGAGGAGTGGTTGGGTACCATCCAACTGGGAAAGCCTATGACCCATCAGACCTCCAGTCCGGAGGTGTCCCTGCTAAGTAAAAAAAAATTAGCCAGGCATGGTGGCACAAGCCTATAGTCCCAGCTACTCTGGAGGCTGAGGTGGGAGGATTGCTTGAGCCCAGGAGGTTGAGGCTGCAATTAGCTGGATCATGCTACGGCTCTCCAGCCTGGGCAACTGAGCAAGATAGGGCTCCAGGCCAGACAGAGCTCCAGGTCCCCAGGGTAATATGCACAGGATGCTGGTACCTGGCATAGAACTTGGGTGGCCAGAAGCATGCGCTGCACGAGGCTGAGCACGAAGACCCCATTCTGCTGTGTTTAGGGCTTCCCTTCCGCCTGTCTCCATGATGACCTCAGCTCTCTGCTTTCCCTTACCCATCTGTAGCACAGGGATGGTTGCAGCTACCTTCAAGAGGGTTGTTGTGAGCTTCATGCCAGGGCCACCCCTGGTACCTGGCACACAGCAAATACTCAGGAAGAGTTTCCGTCCTCGGGGTTCAGTCCCCAGCCAGGGAACTCCTTCCCTCCTGGAGGAGCCTCAGCAGCCTGAACTTGATGGCCAGGATGGTATTATATCAGGTTGCTTGGCGGTGAGCTCTGGCCTCCCCCTCAGACCCACTGTGGCTCCCACCTGGCAGCATCTGCCAAAGGTCAGGTTCTCACAGCTCTGGAGGTTTGGCCTTTCAACTTTGAGCTTCCCCAGTCTTCCCCCTTTATTGTTTTTCACCTTTTATTATTATTGTTACATAAGCAATAGCTAGTGGTCAAAGAAAATTAGAAAATAACAGATAAGTAATAGGAAGAAAATGAAAATCACCGATAATCCTACCACCCAGAAAAGACTTTCAGGCACCTTCCTGATACATAATTTGTTCTTCTACCTTAATAGTGAGTAGTGGGCCTCCTCCTTGTGAATGGATACAGAATATTCCATTATGGCTGAGCAAGGAGGCTAATGCCTGTAATCCCAGCATTTTGGGAGGCTGAGACAGGCGGATCACCTGAGGTCCGGAGTTGGAGACCAGCCTGGCCAACATAGTGAAACCCTGTCTCTACTTAAAATACAAAAATTAGCCAGGCGTGGTGGTGGTGGACACCTGTAATCTCAGCTACTTGGGAGGCTGATGCAGGAGAATTGCTTGAACCCAGGAGGCAGAGGTTGCAGTGAGCTGAGATCACACCACTATACTCCAGCCTGGGTGACAGAGCAAGACTCTGTCTCAAAAAAAAAAAAAAAAAAAAAACGAATATTCCATTACGCCTCAATAGTCTATATTTTAACTTACTCAGTCAAAGCCCTATTGCCAGGCAGTTAGGCTTTTTCTATTTTTCTTTTTTGTTTGTTTGTTTTTGAGATGGCATCTTGCTCTGTTGCCCAGGCTTGAGGGCAGTGTCACCATCATGGCCAATTGCAGCCTCAATCTCCTGGGCTCAAGCAATCCTCCCACCTCAACCTCCCAAGTAGCTGGGACTACAGGCTTGTGCCACCATGCCTGGCTAATTTTTTAAAAAAATTTTCGTAGAGATGGATTCTCACTTTGTCATCCAGACTGGTCTGAAACTCCTGGCCTTAAGTGATCCTCCTGCCTCAGCCTCCCAAAGTGCTGCGATTACAGGCATGAGCCATGGTGTCCGGCTCTATTTTTTGTTGTTGTAAACAGTGCTGTGTTGGAAAGCTTAAATCAATTAATGGGATTGAGCCATTGATTCCGCATGGTTTGAGAGCCATCTCTGCTCAGTGTCAGGCTGTGTGCTGGGACTGGGGGTGCTGGGTGGGGAGGCGGCCATGGTCCTCAACCTCTTGGGGACCCCTGTCTGGGGAAGACAGGCCCAGCATGGCACGCCAGCAGAGGTGGGGGTTTAGGGCATCTTTGGGAGCCAGGGAGCAGCCATAACCCAGACCTGGAGAGTCATGGGAGGCCCAGCTGAGGACACCTGCAGCTGGTGACCTGAGGGTGGGGCAAGCCCTGCACCTGCTGCTGGCTGAGCTCATGGGAGGGGACCTCTCAGGTGAGCCACAAAGGATACAGGAGGAGAGAGTTTCAGGCAGAGGGCAGGTCTGCAGAGGCCCAGAGTAGACAGAGCATGGGCATTGAGGGAACCAAAACTTCCCAGAGATCGGTGCTGTGGTTCTTGCCAGCCTGGCAGCAGCTCCCATGTGCATGACACTGTGGTAGTTCTTTTCTTTTTCTTTCTTTCTTTCTTTTTTTTTTAAGATGGAGTTTTGCTCTTGTTGCCCAGGCTGGAGTGCAGTGACGTGATCTCAGCTCACTGCAACCTCCGCCTCCTGGGTTCTAGCAATTCTCCTGCCTCAGCCTCCCAAGTAGCTGAGACTACAGGCATGTGCACCACGCCTGGCTAATTTTGTATTTATTTATTTATTTATATTTTTATTTATTTATTTTTGAGACAGAGTCTCGCTCTGTTGCCCAGGCTGGAGTGCAGTGGCGCAATCTCTACTCACTGCAACCTCTGCCTCTTGGGTTCAAGCGATTCTCGTGCCTCAGCCTCCCAAGTAGCTGGGATTACAGGTGCCCACCACTGTACCCAGCTAATTTTTGTGTTTTTAGTAGAGACGGGGTTTCACCGTGTTGCCCAGGCCGGTCTTGAACTCCTGATCTCAGGTGATCTGCCCATCTCAGCCTCCCAAAGTGCTGGGATTACAGGTGTGAGCCACAGCACCCTGCCAATTTTGTATTTTTAGTAGAGACGGGGTTTCACTATGTTGGCCAGGCTGGTCTCGAACTCCTGACCTCAGGTGATCCACCCACCTTGGCCTCCTAAAGTGTTGGGATTACAGACATGAGCCACCGCACCTAGCCGGTAGTTTTTTTTCAAAGTGCCGTTCCATCTGTCCCTTTGTGCGGTGGGGATCACTGGCTTCCCTTTTCTTAATGGGAACACAGAAGCAGAGTGACGTGCGTGCCCCAGGGAAGTGGCTGGCGGACCCAGGCCTTTCACCGGCCCAGCACACGGGACAGGGGGTTGAAGTGCAGGATCCGCCAGCTCTGGTTTCCCGGCTCTTTGCAGGTGCTGGATCACTTGACAGGATCCAAGCAGGAAGAGGACGCGGAGGATCTGAGCTTAGGTGACCGCCTTAGTTTCCATGAGGAGGTAGTGACCTTTTCTGCTGCTGATATGTGACCTTGGCCTGGCCCAGCCCCAAACCCAGCCCTATATTTGCAGGAAGGGTCCTGCCTCTTGGGCCATACTGGGATTGGAGAGGCCCTGGTTTATATGGACCTTGGGGGCTGGGAAGTGTCTGTCCCCAAGCTGGAGTTAACCTTTCTGGGAATATGCCATCCTCCTCTGGTGTCTTAACATGACTGGGAGACTGAACTGCAGAGCTCTGGTCTAATGTCACATAGTCAGGGGATAAATATTTCTGTGCAAAGTGCTGTGCTAGATGCTGGGCATATGTTATGAGTGAGACAGACAGGGTCCCTGCCCTCCTAGGGCAAATGGAGATGGAACAATGAATTATTAAAGCAAAGTTGTGCTAATGACTAACAGGGGTCTGACCTGTGTGAGCGAGCTGGCAACAGTCAGGGACAGTGCTTTTCAGCACCCTAGGCTGGCAGTTAGGACTCAGGTCAGTTCTATCAAGGCTTAATGGTGGGCTCCTCTGGGCTTCCCAATGTGTCAGGAAGGAGCGTTGTCTCATGTCCCAGGTGGAGGGCATCAGGGCGTTGAGGGTCCAGCACCATGGTGTCCAGTCCCTTCACGGTACGGGGAGGAGACAGGGAGCCAGGAAGGGTGGGGGGCTTGTCCAGGGTCACTCAGCAGCAGTCAGGTACATGGATTTGGGGCCCAGTGCTCTTAGCCCTGTATCACCACCCCATTTCACTGGCCAGTGATGGGGAGACACTGAGGCGGTCCCCACTCACCCTCAAGGGACTCCCCCGGGGAAGCAGACCAAGACCACAGAGGCTGTTGGCTGCGCAGGGTCTCTCAGGGCGCACAAATGGGGTCACGCAGGCACCTGGGACAGAGAGTGGGAGGCTGGCGGGGCTGGGAGGGGAGCCGTTCTCCCACCTCCCCTTCTGGCCCCCTCTGGAGCCTGAGGACACCTGCAGCTGGTGACCTGAGGGTGGGGCAAGCCCTGCACCTGCTGCTCGCTGAGCTTAGAGTACAGACCAAGGGAGTCTTGTTATTTGAATAAACTTTCCTTCTATCCATGTAAAGGGTCCCTGGCATTCCAATCTGGGATTGGGTTTCCTCTGGCCCAGCAGCAAGCACACGAGTGGATTTTCATATTGGCTCATCTTTCTTGTTCTCTTCTTCCCCTTCTTTCCCTCCCTGGCTTTGAGAAGGCAGAATCGCCCCTCCCCAGTCCCACTCACTGAGAGGACCCTGCAAGCCAGAAGCTGCAGGCAGCAGCATGCATGTGTGTGCACATGTGTAAGTGTGCGTATGTGTGTGAGTGGATGCACGGTGTGTGAGTGTACATGTGTGTGGGCATGCACATGTGTGAATGTGCGTGTGTGTGCCTGCACATGTGAGTGCATGCGTGTGGGCGTGCATGTGAGTGTGTGTGCGTGCATGTGCATGCACATGTGAGTGCATGTGTGTGGCATGCATGTGAGTGTGAGTGTGCATGCGTGTGGGCATACACGTGTGTGTGAATGGTGGGTGAGCAGGGGTCACGAGGCAACTTGGGAAGAACCTGACTTGGGCTTAGGGAAAGGATATTAGCAGTAGAGGGTGCTTGGCTGATGAGATCTGTGGGGTTTGTGTATCCGAGTTTAGTCCTTTTCCATTGGGGTTGGGCCATGGTGACTGGCACTTATTAGCTGTTAGTTCTTATTGGAACAGAAGCTGGCATTTATTGGGCTCTTCCTGGGAGTCAGGCAGGGTGACAGGTGCATCTCACACATCTTATTTAGTCCTCACACCAACTCTTGGAGGTGGGTGCTCTTTGACCCTCCAGCCTCTGCTTACACACCTCCAGTGATGAGGCCTTCCCTACCCGCCAGGGTCCCTTATCCTGGGCATCTGAGGCCGTTAGAAAGCCCTTGCTGGGATCTTGTGTGTCTTCTGTGGATGACTTGAGAATGGGCTCTGCTTGGCAATAGGGCGTGGCTACGGCTGGACTTCCCCAGCGTCTGTTTTCCAGGGAACTGTCCAACTCTAAGGTTTGGGGAGAGGAACAAGTCCTCCCTCCTTTCCCTGAGCAGCCCCTATGTGGTACTTAGCCCGTCACAGCTTCATTCATCACATACCAAGCAAGTCTGAAGCTTAATGTTGAAACCCTAGAGGTATTTTCATTAGCATCGATCTGGATGTCTTAGTCAATGCAATAAGAGAAGAGAGAAAAAAAGAGAAGTACAAATGCAAGACAGCGGGAAAGCCCTCATGGAGTTCAGGGACTGGTGACAACAAAGCACTGTTGGTCTTTGGACTTCTCCACCCCCTAAGGCTGCCTACAGGAAGCAGAGTCTTGGAGAGACCAGAACTTGCCCAGGGCCACACGTGAGTTGGCGGCAGAGCTGGACGAGGACTCAGGGCCCTTGATTTTCCCAACCAGCATCTCTGGTGATGGATGCAGCAGCTAAGGGAGAGGCGGCAAGGCCAGAGTGTTCTCCATGCCAGTGTCACAGAGCAGGGGGGCTGTGGTCGGTCGAGGTTCTCAGGGGTGCGGTACGTTTGGGTGTTGGCTTTCAGAAGTCTTCATTGATGTTTCTTGCTCCACTTCTCCTTCCTGATGAATTAACCTGAGAGATGAGGGTCCAGAAAGATTGGACCCCAAGCATGTCACCTTTTAATCTCATGACCCACCAGCTGAGGGACCAGGGAGGTGCTGTTCCAGTCACCCTTTGCTGGTTCCCATTGCGTGGCGTGAAACATGGGACAGAGAACTGCCATGAGCACTGATGAGAGATGCCACTGGGCACCCTGACCATTTATGTCCTGGCCACCAATACTGGGACAGATGGAGCTCCTTCGAGAGGTTCCATCACTGCCATTGATAACACCAGCCCACATTTGCCCAGGCTCTGTGGGTTTATTCATTTCATTGAATCCTTATGACACCTTGCAAGATGGGGGATCGTAAAGTTGCTGGGTTTTTTTTGTTTGTTTTTTTGTTTTTGAGGTGGAGTTTCGCTCTTGTTGCCCAGGCTGGAGTGCAATGGTGCGATCTCTGCTCACTGCAACCTCCACCTCTAGGGTTCAAGCGATTCTCCTGCCTCAGCCTCCTGAGTAGCTAGGATTACAGGCATGCGCCACCACACCTGGCTACTTTTGTATATTTAGTAGAGGCAGGGTTTCTCCATGTTGGTCAGGTTGGTCTCGAACTCCCGACCTCAGATGATCTGCCCACCTTGGCCTCCCAAAGTGCTGGGATTACAGGCGTGAGCCACCGTGCCCGGTGGTGCTGTTTTTTGTTGTTGTTGTTGTTGTTGTGTTTTTTGAGATGGAGTCTCGCTCTGTAGCCCAGGCTGGAGTGCAGTGGCGCGATCTCAGCTCACTGCAACCTCCACTTCCTAGGTTCAAGCGATTCTCCTGCCTCAACCTTCCGAGCAGTTGGGATTATAGGCATGCGCCACCATGCCTAGCTAATTTTTGTATTTTTAGTAGAGACGGTGTTTCACCATGTTGGCCAGGCTGGTCTCAAACTCCTGACCTTAGGTGACCTCCCAAAGTGCTGGGATTATAGGCGTGAGCCACCGCACCTGGCCAGGTTGCTGTTACTCCCATGTTACAGCTGAGGAAACAGAGGTTCAGAGAGAATTGAGCCATGTGTTGCTGAAAGTCCTATAGCCAGCAAAGGGTGGAGTTAGGATTTGAACTGAGATCTGGTTCCAGGACCTTGACACTGCACTGTTGAAGGGTCCTTCTTGACCTAGGACGTGCTGATAAATCTTTGTGGAATGGATTAACTCTTTCATGCCTGTCCGAATCTTGGCCTTTCTCGGGTCTTCTGCTTGGCACACACTCCCTTCCCGGTGTCCTCCCTCCCCTAGCAGGGACTCTTTGTGTCTCAGCTGCTACCTCCCTCTGGGAGGCTTCCGTGACCCTGCAGGCTTGGTCAGTCACCTTCCTGGGCTCCTGTGACCTCCTGTGCTTCTCCCAGTTGGGGCTCCTAGTAATTGTAGTTTTTGTTGACAATCTGCCTCCCTCATTAGGGTACTCTCTCCTGAGTACCCAGTGGCCAGGATTGCTGAATGAATGAGTGAGAGCAACATAAACCCTTTCTTGGCCATCGTGATGAAGCCTCAGAGCCTCGCCTGAACTTGGTGACTCGCCTGACATCTGCCATTTTGGCTTGGCCCGCGCTGGCTGATGGAGGACATGGGATCTGGGCTGGGTCCTGTCCTCAGCCCTGCCCCAGTGGTTGTGACCTGTCTGATGGGGCGGGGCTGAGTGGTTGACACTGCGGACATCTTGGGGGAAGGGCTTGACCACAGGCTCTTCCTGCATATCTCAAGGTCCAACACCAGGCTGGACGCTGAGGGGAACATTGGTGGTGGGTTCTCAGGCCCAGGGCAGGTGTCCAGGCCCGTGGGGGGCACCTGCCAATGTGCACGAGCCACAGCAGAGCACCCTGGGTTCCCAGTCCAGCCTCGGCCCTGGACGTGACTGAGAGAAGGGGTATGAGGAGCACCTGTGGACAGGCGTGGGGATGCTCCTCTGGGGCCTGGGCAGTTTTGACAGGTGGCTGGCTAAGGCTCAGGCTCCTGTGGGGGTGGTGAGGATGACAAGAAAGGAATGAAGGCCAGAGACATTGTGGAGAAAAAGTCAACAGGAAAGGGTGACTCCATGTGAGAGGAAAGGAGGGTCGTGTCTACACAATCACTGTCATAGATCAGCCTCCTCCTTGGGCGTGGCCTTGGCCAGGGGGCCGCAGGATGGCAGCCTTGGGTGCCCACCCCCTGGAGTGTGGGTCCTGCTCTGGGTGGTGACGCTGCTGGGGGCCTCGGCACCCCCTGGGCTGCCCTCCCAGCGAGGATCTGTGTTCCCAGACGGCAGGCATGCCTCATCCTGGGCTCCCAGAACAAGCTGCCACTGTGGGCTGTGGGCTGGGGCCGCTGCCAGGCAGGCGGGGTGGGGGGCAGGAGGGGATGAGAGGGCTTTTGTTTCCTTCTGTTTGTGTCAAGATGGGAATGGACTTCCTCCCACCAGGCGGCCTCGAGGTGTAAAGGAAAGGGCAGCCCCAGTGGGCGGGTTTTGGGTCACCCGTTTTTTTGGGTGCATTTCTCTGGGCTCCCGCCTCAGCCCCGCCCTCTCCTCCCAGCCCTCCTGCCTCAAAGCTCACCCTTCCCCACCAGACCTGTTGTGGCCCAGCCCTGGTTAAATATTTGCCAACCGAGAAGAGTTTTCAAGGCAGCCTTGTGAAAAACCCCAGCTGACTCCTGGCTCTGTTGGGCCTGACCTGCCTCTGTGATGAGACCCAGACGGCCTGTGCCCTCAGACTGAGTCCCTGCCCACCATGGCCTCCCTGGTGACCTGTTTGGCGCCTGAGGCTGGGTGACCTAACACTTGTTCGGCACTTGTTTATCAAGCACCCCCCTGGGCCTGGCGGGAGCTGGGTGCTGGGGAGACAGCGGAGAGCAGTCTCAGTCCGGGGAGCGTCTCAGATGAGGCATTAACTGTGGTTGAGGGGAGTGCCGGGGAGCAGGCCAGGGGCTGTGGGAGTGGAGGCCAGGGAGGCTGTGGAGACCTGGGAGGCCGGGACTTGTCTGGAGGGAGGGTTCCGAGGAGGTGGCACTTGAGCCTGGGGAGGAGAAAGAGGAGTTGGCCAGGCACAAGGGGTGGACGCTAGGAGGGCACTGTAGACGTGGGACCCCAAGGCCAGAGGCCAGATTTCCTCCGCTGAGGAGGAAGCTGAGGGGCTGAGGTTGCGGTTCGCTTGGGTTCGCTGGGTGTGAAAGCCCCATTCACCTGTTTCTCCCCAAGATGGTCTCAGAGGAGCTGGGACACTAACAGGGCAATGGGACCCTGGGCAGCTTTTCCCCATTTCCCCAGCCTCAGTTTCCCCATCTGTCCAAAAGATAGTTTGGACTTGATCTTGGAGGTCCCTTCCCAGGTCCAGTGGCCTCTTAGGAGTATGTGGCTGGCCCATGAATGAGGGAATGTGCCATGGCAGGGATTCTACCAGCACCAAAGGCCAAGATAACAGCCATGGCCGGGTGCGGTGGCTCATGCCTGTAATCCTAGCACTTCGGGAGGCCGAGGCGGGTGGATCACCTGAGGTCAGGAATTCGAGACCAGCCTGACCAACGTGGTGAAACCCCGTCTCTACTAAAAATACAAAAATCAGCTGGGTGTGGTGGCACATGCCTGTAATCCCAGCTGCTTGGGAGGCTGAGGCAGGAGAATTGTTTGAACCTGGGAGGCGGAGATTGCAGCGAGCTGAGATCATGCCACTGCACTCCAGCCTGGGCAACAGAGTGGGGACTCCATCTCAAAAAAAAAATTAATTAATTAATTAAAAAAATAAAAGAAAAAAAGAATAACAGCCATGTGCCCTTATAGGGTTCATGCAGCCCTATCCTGGTGTTAGCAACAAAAGCCAACATCTCCTGAGTGCTCCCTGCCCTAGCAACCTTGTGAGGTGGTGGTGGAGGACTATGACATTATACCCATTTTACAGATAAGGAAACTGAGGCCCAGAGAGGCTGTTCTGAGCTCAGGGTTTGCTTCTTGTTTTAAGCATGGCTCCAGAAATACCCGTCTCTGTGAGAAACCCACCCTCCTCTCCCAAGGCCAGCGCCATGTTAGGTACCAGGGATACGGAAGTGAACAAGATACCATTCCAACCTGGGAAGCTGCCAGTCGAGCAAGGAATGTCCCAGCAGAGAGTCAGCAAATGGTTCTAGCTCTTCTCTCTTCCAGCACAGTTTGAGCAGCGAACAGAAGCAGGCTTGCCTTCACATCCCAGTTTTGCTCTTCCCTGTGTAGTATCGGGAAAGTCACTTAACTTCTCAGGAGCCTCAGATCCCTTATCCATAAAGTGGGTTTGGCAGTACGTCCCAGTGAGGGTTAAATGAAACAATGTTGACTATAATTTTTAGCATATATGGGATCTGCCTCTGTGCCTGGCACAGAACTAACTGTTACATGCATTAGCTCATGTTGCAATTATGATTATAATTTTCTGCAAGTGGGGAACTGAAGAACAGTGTGATGGAGGAGAGGATGGGTGAGCAGGGCCTTGAAAGTCTGGCTAAGATTGTGAACTGTGGAATTGAAGGGAAGGGCGGTCCAGCCAGAGGACACAACATGGATGAAGATGTGGAGGTAGGAAATGTGTAATGGAGGCGAGAGACGCCCAGGGTGTGGGGATGGGAAGGAGAGCGGGGCTGAGGTTGCGGATCTTGGATGTGATTCTGTGTAACATGCTTGTGGGCTTCAGTGTGCCAGGCCTGTGGTGACAAGTTAGTCCATAGTCTCTTGGGGCCATCAGAGCCCAGAGAGATCCTTTACAAAGTGCTTCATGCAACCATCTTCCAGATGTTTCCACAGCCCGTGGAGTCTAGGTTCAGCCAGCCTGGGCTCACACCCCAGCTTGGATTTTGGCTCCCTGCTTGACAGCCGGCTGACCTGGGACAAGGCCCTGGACCTTCCAGCCTCTGTCTTGATCGGGGGTGATTCCTGTACCACTTCCTGCAGCTGTTGTCCGGGTCTATGTCAGATGGCGTGAGGTGTCCCCAGCCAGCGTGACACCCATTAGCTTCGGGGTAGGAGGGCTCCCTAACTGTTCTGTGCCTTTTTGTTCCTGGTGTGGAGACAGAGCCTTTCTCCCTGGGCCATTTTGAGAGTCGAGAATGATCTCGCACTGGAAGTCCCTAGCTGAGGGCTGGCTCACGCAGGGTCACACGGCTGTCATTGTCGGGCCTTGGCGTGCTGAGGGATGCTGTCTTTAAGGGAAGAGGTTTTTCCTTGTTAATAACTGGCCTTGGGGCCAGGCACAGTGGCTCACGCCTGTAACCCCAGCACTTTGGGAGGCTGAGGCGGGTGGATCACCTGAGGTCAGGAGTTCGAGGCCAGCCTGGCCAACATGGTGAAACCCCCATCTCTACTAAAAATACAAAAAATTAGCCAGGTGTGATGGTGGGTGCCTGTAATCCCAGCTACTGGGGAGGCTGAGGCAGAAGAATTGCTTGAATCTGGGAGGCAGAGGTTGCAGTGAGCCAAGATCGTGCCACTGCACTCCAGCCTGGGCAACAGAGCCAGACTCCGTCTCAAAACAAAACAAAACAAAACTGGCCTCAGGGAAGAGTGACGCAGCCAAGGGCCCCTTCAGGGCACCTGAGGCCAGCAGGGGGGGAAATGTCGGTGGCAGCCACCTTCCCAAGGAAGGACAGCACAGTGTACATTTCCTCATCCCCAGGACCCAGCCAAGGGCCTGCTCCGATGTCAGCCTCCGTTTCCGTGGTGAGGAATCTCCGGGGTGTGTGGGGGCTTATTGCTCAGTGGCTTCGTGGCTCTCTTTTGGGGGTGGGTCTGGCCTGAGATTGGCACTTCTGGCCTGTTGCTGTGGGCTTCCCTTCCTTTTCCACTGCGTGCCAGGCCCTGCCCCAGGAGCAGGGGTGCTGCCTGTGGGAGCCACATGAGGAACAGACCTTTACCCACCAGGAGGCCAGCGGTGGGCTGCGGGAATAGGTGGAGGGCTCCCACCCAGCCTGGGGCTTTCCAGTTGAAAGACGCATGGTGGTGGGCTGAGGAGTGAGCTTGGCGGAAGACTGTATTCCGGACATGGGGAGCAGCCTCTGCGAGACCCCAGATGACTTGGGCCTGCGGGCATGGTAAGGAGCTCAGTTCCATCCCAGAGGCAGTAGGAGCTGTACCACTGGAAGGTTTCTGAGCCAGGAAACGTTGGGCAACTCCCCTGTGGCCCCTGTGTGTGGGAAGGATCAGAGGCAGCCAGGATGGAGTAGGCAGGACTTCAGTGGCTGCGGCGGGCACAGGACGGGAGTGGCCTGGCTGGGGGGCAGTGACTAGAGGCACAGGCTGGGTGGCCACTTGACTGGCCCCTGGGTGCTGGGGAGCCTGCCTCACCCTGTTGGGCTTGTGCTAGGGGGCAGGTAGTGGTGGGGTGGGAATCCCATAGGCCCTGTTTCTCTCAGGCCCAGAAGGGGGGTCCCAGGGGTCTGCTGTTGTACCCCTTCTGCCAAGGATGGCTCATGGAGGGACCCTGAATCCGTCCCTTGCCTTCTCTGGTATGGTCCCTCTTCTGGACAGGAATTGATTGGGTGGGGGACACTCAGCTGTCCTCCTCCTTCCTGGCCTGCCAGATTCTGGCTGCTGGCTCAGGCTCTTCTCGTGGATGGGCTGCTGGTCCCCCTCCTGCTACTTGATGGAGCCTGTCATTACCCCTCCCACCCCCAACTTCCCACCTGATTACAGGTCCTGAGCAGGAGCCCTGTGTCTGCCCTTCCCGTGGAGGCCACCCACAGGCTGGTGCTGCGGAGGCCAGGGTGAGATGGTTTTGCCCAAACGTTGGTTCCCTGTTCAGAGTTCATGTCATTTACAAGCTGTGTGTCCCTGGAGAAGTCCCTTAACCTCTCTGAGCCTCAGTGTTCTCTGGGAAGTGAGGACAGTGCGTGAAATAATGAGTGTGCATGTGCAGTGCCGTGCTGGGCACAGAGGTGGTGCTGACAAGTGGCTGCTGCTATTGTGTGTCGATTGTGACAGTAGGTGGGGGGCAAGTAGAAAGTAGAAAGGCCCTGAGCGAGGCACTGGTCTATGCCAACCCAGCTCTGTTGGATGTGCTGTGTGGCCCTAGGAGAGTGTCACCACCTTTCTGGACCCCAAGCTCTCCCTGCTGTCTCAGGCACATGATGGAGATGGTGGTGCTTGGGACAACTCTGAGACCTGCGAGAATGGAGTCCCTGCCCCGACTCTGCCTCTGCTGGTCCCTGGACTGTAGGGTGGGTGGGGTCGGCACCCCCCTCTTTCCCCCACCTCCCCATGCTGGACCTGCTCCCTATGCCCTGGGAACCAGGCGGGCAGGTTCTGAGCCTGCCCCACCCTACAGGGTGCTGCTACCTGCCTGGTTTCAGTCGGCAAACCTCTCAGCCCTGAAACCCTGAAACCGGGCTGGGCCTCGTGGGTGAGGTGTGTCCCTGGAGCCCACTGGAGAGACCGGATGAGCCAGGAACGGGTCTGGCACAGCGCCCTCCACTGGGGCCAAACCAGGGCTGGCGCCGGCGTGCAGCCCCCATGGTGGACATGAGCTGGATGTGGTCGCAGCTGGAGATGACTCTCTTCCTCTTGGGTCCCCCGTCCGTGTGGAACAGGGTTTCAGGCTTAGGCATCAGGTCGGGACCAGGGTGCAGATCCTACCTCTGCCTCTTCTCAGCAGAGTGATTTGGCAGAGGTACCCAGTTCTCGGTCACCTGGTCTGAAATGTTCTGCCAGTACCAATACCACCTGGCCCGAGGTTGAGTTGAAGAATCGGGGGCACGTGTCCAAGCAAAATGCTTAGCACAGGAGCGGCACATGGTGGCTTTGGGGAGCGTCATGACAAGGCAAAGAAGGAACTCCTTAGCTTGGCATTCGAGGCCCTCCGGGATACGCCTTTTTAGGTCCATTTTCTGAGAACCCCTGGACTCCTTCCTCCATTCTCAGCTCAGCAAGCCTCCTCTCCTCTCTGAGCCTCAGTTCCCCTATCTGCACAGTGGGCCTGGTACCCCATCCCCCAGCTCCCCAAGCCTCCAGGCCACCCTGGGGCCTCCCCAGTTCTTGCCCAGCCTCACTATCTGCACAGGAAGTAGCGTGGCCCTTAACGTTGTCAGTTTGGAAAATCAGAGATTAATTAACGTTCCGGCCGCCTTGGCTGCTGTTGGAGCTGGTCCCAGGGTGGGCCAGGCTGCATGCTCAGCCTCTGTTTCAAGGGCCTCACTGTGGGTTAGAGGAACCTTGACAAGAGGCACTTCTTAGGAGCCCCCATTGGTGAAGTGCCCCCTTCTTGCCAGGGTAAAGGGCTTCATGCTCAGTAGCCCGTTTGTCTCATAACCCATTCAGGCAGATACTGTTGTGCCATTTTGCAGAGGGGAAAATAAAGGCTCAGAGAGGAGAAGTGCCTTAGCCAAGGCCACACAGCTCATAGGTGGCAGAGCTGGGACTTGGACCCAGAGCCTGTGTGTCCATGTAGAAATGGTGCCCTGTTTGCAGGTGATGGGGGGTGCCTAGTTCTCCCCCCGGGTCCTTTTGTCTGGCCCGAGGGGGCTGTGATCAGCTGCTGGTCAGAGCTGACTCACCAGCAGCTCACAGGAGGGGCTGAGGCCAGCATCCCGGTCAGTTCCTGGGGCCAGGGCAGCACTGATTAGATTGTCGTTGAGATTTTCGGTCAGCTGAGCTGACAGGGACCCACCCTCCCATTTTAAAGGTGGGAAAATTAGGGCCCAGTGAGGATGAAGAAGTAAGGCTCCAGTGGGTCGGATGATTCTCCACCAGCTCCGACCCGACAGGGGCCAGTGGAGCTGGAAACCCTAGACCTCAGTCCCGGCTCTGACACCTGCCAGCTGTTGCCTCGGGAAAGTCACTTTGCCCTCTGAGCCTCGGTTTCCTCGTCTGTAAGATGAGGATAGTAAAGCCTTGTGTTGCCTCATTCTTGGGATTGGGCAAGACCCCAGCAAGAGAGTGGAAAACCAGGGGTTTGAAAGCGGCATTGCGGGTCCTCGTGAGGGGTCACTGGGATGAGAGGCTTTGCGGGGTAGGGCTCTGTGCAGGCTTTGGTGGGAGACAAGGTCCAAAACCCACCTCTTTCCCCTCCGTTGTGTGTCTTTGAGTGAGTCAGTGAGTCTCTCTGAGCCTCACTTTTCTTCCTTTCTTTTTTTTTGACTGACCCAAATTAGATCTTTATTGTATTTTTCCACATATCTATCATTCCCAAAAGATCAGTCAGCTCGATCCTTAATTTTTCTTACTATGAGATGTCCCTAATACACAGTCTTTGTATAAATTATCCATTTTAAGTATATAGTGAATTCCAGATGTGATCACAACTGCATTTCTTTCTTTTTTTTTTTTTTTTTGAGATGGAGTCTCACTGTGTCTCCCAGGCTAGAGTACGATGGCGCAATCTCAGCTCACTGCAGCCTCCATCTCCCAGGTTCAAGCAATTATCCTGCCTCAGTCTCCCAAGTAGCTGGGATTACAGGCGCCCACCACCATGCCTGGCTAATTTTTGTATTTTTGGTAGAGATGGGGTTTCACCATGTTGGCCAGGCTGGTCTCAAACTCCTGACCTCAAGTGATCTGCCTGCCTCGGCCTCCCAAAGTGCTGGGATTACAGGCGTGAGCCACTGTGCCCGGCCGCACAACTGCATTTCTTTTTTTTTTTTTTTTTCTTTGAGATGGAGTCTCACTGTGTCTCCCAGGTTGGAATGCAGTGGCGCGATCTTGGCTCACAGCAACCTCTGCCTCTCAGATTGAAGTGATTCTCCTGCCTCAGCCTCCTGAGTAGCTGGGATTGCAGGCACGCATCACCATGCCTGGCCACACAACTGCGTTTCTAAATAGCCATGTGACACTCACTGAGTGCTTCCTGGGTGGCAGCCGCTGTGTTTAGCCTGAGTCTCACTTTTCTTATCTGTCAGATGGGATACTAATACCTGTTAGGATTAAACAGGCTGTGGAGCATGCAGTAAGTTGTCGGTGGATAGGCACCTATCCCTGGCAAACTCTGGGGATCCAGGGGCAGAGTTAGGAGGACTGGCTTGTGAGGGGGTCCTTCTCAGTCACCCTCAATAACCCGATAGGATGCAGCCCTTGGAGACAGGGTTCCAGTCATATGGGGAGCAGAGCCCCCCTGAGATCCACAGAGCACCCCCTTATTCAACCAACTTGCTGAAAGGGTTGGCTCTCAGCTCCACAACAAACCCACAAGTGTGTGTTGTGAGTTTTGCCCTGGACCTGCATCCCCAAAAGTGGCCTCTTCAGAGGTGGATGCAGCCCAGTACCCATAGAGACACCAGGTGGAGACAGAGGCCTGGGATGGGAGTGGCTTCCTGAGGTCCCTGGGCACAGATCAGGACTCAACTCCACTCCCAGAATTCACACACTGCCCTCTTGGGCTAAGAAGGGAACCGGGACCCCAACAGGCAGGCGCCTTTTGTGACAACCTCTGTGAGGGGCCTCGGCAGGTTTTGTGGACTGACAGAGTGGCCTTTCCTGAGCTGTTTAATTGTTCTGAGCCTCGGTTCATACAGCTGTAAAGTGAGGGTTGTATTTCCCTCTGGGCCATTTGAAGAATGGTGTGTGTTGGGGCAAAGAACAGGTGGGCCCTGTGTCTGATGGGCGTGGGCTTACCTCCTGCTGGCAGAAAGCGAAAAGGGGGCAACCAACGGCTCTGGGCGCCAGCAGAGGCTAAGGGTTATGCCAGGGGATCCCAGCCACGGTTAGGCAGGACCCCCCATCAAACGCAGGGACCTGCTGTCCCCCTTGGCTTCCCCGCATCTGTGATCTTTGTTTGTGGAAGGCCTCCCATCATTATCATTATTATTTTGTGATTCTTGTCCCGGTTCTTCAGAAAACAAATCTTTATTGGATTATTTCAAACTATAAAAGTTATACTGCTAATAAACATTTCAAACAGTCTCTTATGACTGCTGTTCTCAGCTGAGGACACTGATGATTAACAGTGACGTTTATGGAGGCCTGGAGCTGAGCACCTCAAACGCTATCCGGTCCTGCAGAGCTCAGAGCTCGGGAACAGCTTCGGAGAGGCCCATTTACAAATGAAGAATGTGAGTCTCTGAGAGCTAGGCGCTTGCAGGGCTGGCATATGGCAGGGCGGGGACTCTGGTCCTGACTTCAAGCTCCTCACCAGGAGGCTGGGCACCTGGGGCCGCAGGGCAGGCTCTGTGAGTCCTGCCCCACTCCATTCCCTGCCTTCTCACCTAGCAGCACCTGGGGCAGAGTCAATGCAGGGAGGCAGAATGGATGAGATAATGTGGAAAGTGACGAAGCTGGCACACACCTTCACACCACCCCACCCCAGCCTCTCTGTAGCTCACAGAAGCGAGTGATTTCTACCACCAGCTGGAGCCCCCCAGTTCCTGGGCCCAGGACCTGCGGGCCAGCCCTGCCTCTGTAGATGGGGGCACAGCCAGTTTCCTCTCTGCCCTCTAAGGGGAGGTAGGGGGCCTGTGGGGCCCTGTAGACAATGGCCAGAGCTAGGACCAGGAGGGTGGCATGCAGCCGACTATGGCTCGAACCTAATTGCCTCCATCTGGCTGTGTGACCTCAGCTGAGCTGCTCACCCTCTCTGGCTCACATTCCCCTAACAGGGTGGTAAGCCTGAGTGTTGGAGGCCCTGTCCAACATCTGCCCCAAATCCGTGGCGTGTGGTGTCTCCAGAGGCTGCGGCAGGAAATGGAAAGAGCTGCTGTGGGCAAGTATGGAGGAAAGAGGGGTGCCCGGGCTCAGGACCCCCACAGACACCCAGGCCGGGACGCCATGTGGGAATTTGAGTTGTAAAATCCTGAAGCAACAATGCCGGGGGAGAGCCACTGCAGGGAGCAAGAAGGAAAAGTGGGGTACTGGGTGGGGCCTGCCTGGACTGCAGCCCCAGAGCTCAGCAGGTAAGGCGGTGGCCAGGCTGGGTCCTCTGGCTGAGCCCCCACCAGGGCTGCAGTGCTCGCCTGGGTCCTCTTCCAGCAGGGTCCAGCCAGGAAGGCCCTGCAAGCCCTTTGTCCAGGCTGGCCCCCTCCCAATGCTGCTGGCCTTTTGGGTCCCTCTGGCCTCCACACCTGGGGTCCCCAGCACCCGAGTCCTCATCTTCTGCGTCTCTGGGTTACTTCCTCTGTACAAAGCACGTGGCGGTTCCTTCCATGCTGGCTGAGGACATCTCTCAAGAATGTGCTCGGGGCTACCCCTGCCAAGGAGCCATCCGTGGCCCTGTTTCCCATGGTCCTCCCTTTCTAGCTCTCCCGTGGTCGCCACCCTTCTTCTGAGCGGAGCTGGCTTCCCGGTGCTGCCTGGGCTCCGTCCTTAAGGTCCTTAACCCCTTGCTAATGCTGTCCCCCTACCTGCAGCATGGCGCTCCCTCAGTACCCCCTCCGATGCCTGCCCCACGGCCTTCCCTTGTTTGGACTTAGTAACTATTTGGCTGCTGGACCAAACCCCCACTATTCCTCCCCTTGCCGACATCTGCTTGTGCCAGGCCTGGTGCCCAGGATCCAGTGGTGAGCAAAAGGAGACCAGACCCCTCCAGCAGAGTTCCTGGCCCTCCCTACCTGACCCATTTGGCTCCTGAATTCTGAGAGCAAGCCTGGATAGTGAGCGACTCCAGCCCCACCTGGGGCCAACGTGACAAACCTAGAGGGAACTGCATCCTGGACCCCTGGCCCTTGCCTGGGTCCCCTCAGCCCGAGGCCCTAGGCCTGTGGGCAGCACTGCGCTGGTCCAGGGACCTGACCTTCAGCCTTGACCTTCAGCTCCCACCCTGACAGGCAGCGGGGTCCCTGCACTCCCATGTCTCCCTTCCTCAGAGCTTCCTGCAGCTTCCTCTCCAGTCCACAGCCTGCCCAACTTGGGCCTTAACTGTCCCTCGGTGGGACATGCCTGGGCCTTCTCCTGGCTCAGTCTTGCCCTCTTTTGTCCTCCCCAGCCCAGCCCAGGGGCCTTTCTGAACCCAGCTCCTCCCTGCCTGGACACCATATCTGGACTGTGCTGTCCGGGCAGTTGAGCACGGGCTGCGGTCAGGCAGACCTGTGTTCGAGTCCTCACAGCAATGGCAGCTCCCTCCAGGGCCTGCTCCGTGAGGGCCAGGGTGGCAGACTCCAGCCCTTTGGGATCTGTCTGTGGGCTGGGTGCACTGGGGCTGGCTGGGGGCCCTGGAGCCACGGCCAAAGGAACCCTGAGACCTGCAGGCCCAAGCCTGCCCATCCTGCCGACCACGTTGATAGAATGCCTGTGGGGTGCGTGGCTTGACTCCTCATCCCTGAAATAGGAAAACAACAGCACTGGCTTCCTGGGGTTCTCATGGAGATTCTCTGGGTTCACATACGTAAAACCTGCCGTAGCACGGGTTTAATGCTCTGCAAGTGGTGGCCATGACGATGACAACCATGGTACCGATGTTATTGTCAGCTTCCATCCTCTTTTCTCTATTATCCCCGATGTATGACTCTCTTCCATTTGCCCCCTCTCTGCCTCATGATTTTTCAAAACAATTCCCATGGTCTCAGAGAGAGTTCTGGTTGTTTATGGTTTTTAAAAAATAGGCATTCAAAGCAAATTCCTCATTTGTTCTCCCCTTCCTCCCCCCAAACTGGAATCTGGACAGACATGACCTCACTCCAGGAAAGGGGAGTACAGGGAGGGACAGGGTCTGTGGAGAGGGGTTGGGGGGCATCCCTCCACCCCCATCACTGAGGCAGGGCCCGGGGTGTGGGCAGACACCCAGGAAGGTCACATGCCTGGGACCCTGGTTATGAGCTGTGAGGCATGGTGTGTGACATGCCCTTTCAGCCCTCCTCCCAGGCCACCACCTCCTGGTGGGGACCCAGGACTGCATCCCAGCTCTACCACCCACTGGCTGTGTGACCTTATGCCAGTGACTTAACCTCCCTGGGCCTCAGTTACCTCCTCTGTAAAGTGGGGATAACACAGGTTCTCCCTCACAGAACTATAGAGAGGATGGAATGAAATGTCATCCTAGCCAGGTGCCCTCGGTACCTGGAGACTGGCCATGGGAGGGGCAGGTTCCTGCCAGCTCCTGTTTTGAGAAAGGACCAGGTCTTTGAAACCTGGAATCCAAGACTGTCAGAGATGGCAGGGCCTGTCCGTCATCGAATGCAGCCTCTCAGTGCATGGGGGAAACCGAGGCTCAGAGAGGGGAGCCGCACAGCGGGCCAGCACAAATCCCAGTTGGGACGCGAGCTGCAGCTTCTTAGGACCAGGAAGCCTCTCCCCTCATGGGTCCGAGACCCTCTCTGGGCCTCCTCCTTCATCTGAACATGGGGGCACCCAGGAGCACACGTGCTGAGCCTGATGTGGCCTGGGCCTGCCTTCAAGGCCATAGCACTCACCTCTATTCAGAAACCGCGCAGAAGACAGAAGCAAATGGCCAGTGAAAGCAGAAAGGTTGTTCACTTGGTAGAGGCATTAATTTTAGAATGTTTATTTTTTATTATGAAAGGAATCATGATTATAAAATAATTCAAATGCTATAAAAGGAAATAAACCAAAAATGAAGTTCACTCTGTACTCCCCACTCCCACACCAGAGGTCCTGCCTTCCTAGCCTGGCATGCTGCCTTCCAGACCTCCTCCACGCACCCAAGCCTAAGTAAGCTATATGCACAAATAGGAGGAGTTTTGGTTTTGTTATGTGTGTGTTGAGACAGGGTCTCGCTCTGTCGCCCAGGCTGGAGTGCAGTTGCACGATCATAGCTCGCTGCAGCCTCGACCTCCCTGGGCTTAAGTGACCCTCCCACCTCAGCCTCCTGAATAGCTGGGAATACAGGCACACGCCACCACACCTGGCTAATTTTTGTTTTGTTTTGTTTTGTTTTTTGAGATGGAGTCTCGCTCTGTCGCCCAGGCTGGAGTGCAGTGGCACGATCTCGGCTCACTGCAAGCTCCGCCTCCCGGGTTCATGCCATTCTCCTGCCTCAGCCTCCCGAGTAGCTGGGACTACAGGCGCCCGCCACCATGCCTGGCTAATTTTTTCTATTTTTTAGTAGATACAGGGTTTCACCGTGTTAGCCAGGGTGGTCTCTATCTCCTGACCTTGTGATCTGCCCACCTCGGCCTCCCAAAGTGCTGGGATTACAGGCCTAAGCCACCGTGCCCAGCCTTTTGTTTTGTTTTTTTAAGATAGAGTCTTGCTCTGTCACCCAGGATGGGGTGTAGTGGTACGATCTTGGTTCATTGCAACCTCTGCCTCCTGGGTTCAAGTGATTCTCCTGTCTCAGCCTCCTGAGTAGCCGGGATTACAGGTACCCGCCACCATGCCTGGCTAATTTTTCTATTTTTAGTAGAGATGGGGTTTTGCCATGTTGGCCAGGCTGGTCTCGAACTCCTGACCTCAGGTGATCTGTCTACCTTGTCCTCCCAAAGTGCTGTGAACCACCGCACCTGGCCAGACTTTTGTATTTTTTTGTAGGGATGAGGTCTTGCTGTGTTGCTCAGGCTGGTCTCAAACTCCTGGGCTCAAGCGATCCACCTGCCTTAGTCTCCCAAAGTGCTGGGATTATAGGTGTGAGCCACTGCACCTGGCCAGAAAGCGATTTTTTTTTTTTTAAATGAGCTGATAGTCAACAGGTGACTCTGTCACTTGCTTTCTTTCCTTAATGGAGCATGAGCCCTTTCCGTTTGTTGGCACCTATCCGGATAGGTCCCTCCATTTTTTTAAATTTTTTTATTATATGGAGTCTCGCTCTGTCGCCCAGGCTGGAGTGCAGTGGTGCAATCTCGACTCACTGAAACCTCCGCCTTCCACCAAACTTCCAGGTTCAAGTGATTCTCCTGCCTCAGTCTCCTGAGTAGCTGGCCTTACAGGCGCCTGCCACCATGCCCTGCTGATTTTTGTATTTTTAGTAGAGACAGGATTTCGCCATGTTGGCCACATTGGGCTTGAACTCCTGACCTCAGGTGATCCACCTACCTTGGCCTTGAAAAGTTCTGGGAGCCACCATGCCTGGCCCCCCTCCATCTTTTTACTTTTTACTGACCTGGGTGAATGAACCAATGTATACCGATCATCCCTAGAGATCACATTCAGCTGCTCCCCGCTATGGCCTCAGTGCACATTCGCCTTTGTGTCCTGCGAATCGTTCTATGGGGGTAGATTCCTAGAGGTGGGAGCATCCAAGGACAGGACACCCACCCTCCGAAATGGCTGTCCCCATTCCTGGCGCCCCCAGCTCTGAGTGACATGGCCTGTTTTTGCATGTCCCCACCAGTGTGACGACAGGAAATGGAGTCTTGGTTCTGTTTGCATTTGTTTGATTCTCTGTCTATGGCCATTACCCGCTTTCCCATCTGGAGGTTCACCTTTTCCAAGGCAGTTGGTTTTCACAGGAAACGCGGGGCTCTGGCCAGAAATGCAGCGCAGATGAGCGCGAGGAGCCTGTGCAAACAATTCCACATGCAGGAATTTGGGGCTTTGCAGCCACTCCTGCCTAGGGGAAGGATCGTGATGCATCAGCATCCCTGAGGACCTCAAGCTCCTGCTTGTCCTTCTCTTCCAGAAAAAACCGGGAAGATCCTGACGGAGTTCCTCCAGTTCTATGAAGACCAGTATGGCGTGGCTCTCTTCAACAGCATGCGCCATGAGATTGAGGGCACGGGGCTGCCGCAGGCCCAGCTGCTCTGGCGCAAGGTGAGAGGTGCTGGGAGGGCTCGGGTATGTTCTGCTACTTCTCGCCATGTGGCCTCGGGGGAGTGACCTTACTTTTCTGGGCCTCAGTTTCCCATTGTTACTGTGATGGCCTCTAAGGGTCTCCCCAGCTTCTTTTTTTAAAATTAATTATTTTTTTCTTTTTTGAGACAGAGTCTCGCTCTGTCACTCAGGCTGGAGTGCAGTGGCACAATCTCAGCTCACTGCAACCTCCGCCTCCCAGGTTCAAGGCACTCTCCTGACTCAGCCTCCCGAGTAGCTGGGACCACAGGCGTGCACCACCATGCCCGGCTAAGTTTTTGTATTTTTAGTAGAGATGGGGTTTTACCATGTTGGCCAGGCTGGTCTCAAACTCCTGACCTCAAGCCATCTGACTGCCTTAGCCTCCCAAAATGCTGGGATTACAGGCAGGTGTGAGCCACTATGTGCGGCTTATTCAATTTTTTTTTTTTCAGACTGGGTCTTGCTGTTGCCCAGGCTGGAGTGCAGTGGCGCAATCATGCCTCACTGCAGCCTCAACCTTCCTGGCTCAAGTGATCCTTCCACCTCAGTCTCCCCAGTTACTGGGACTACAGGTGCACACCATCACTCTAGGCTAATTTTTGCATTTTTTGTAGAGATGGGGTTTTGCTGTGTTGCCCAGGCTGGTCTCAAACTCCTGGGCTCAAGTGATCCTCCAGCCTCAGCTCCCCAAAAGTGCTGGGATTACAGGCGTGAGCCACCATGCCTAGCCTCCTTCCCACTTCTGAATAGGTGGGTAACCCAGGTCGTGTTGTTGAGACCCCTTCAGTCACCGTGGGTGACTCCTCCTAGCTCACCTCCTCCACCATCAGAGCTGGGGCTCTAGAGTCTGGATAGTCTCCAATTCAAGGCAAGCTCCTCCAGTAAGAGCCTCAGTTTACTCATCTGTCAAATGGGATGAGAACACCTCCTTCACAGGGTGGTTGTGCCTGAAGCAGGGAAGGCACTGTCACTGGCTCCATCATGATCTGCTATGATATAAATAGTAGGATGCTGTTTGCTAAGGACATATTTGTTGAGTGAGAGATTAGAAGCTGCCTGGCTCCAGCCTGAGGGTCAGCGTGGGCCAGAGGGGGCTGGCAAAGCCTTCTGGGAAGAGGAACCTGTGATTGACTCGGACACGGGGCCGGGGGCGGGACTCAAGAGATCCTCCCACCTTGGCCTCCCAAAGTGCTGGGATTACAGGCCTCAGCTGCCGCACCTGGCCAAGGCTGAGCCTTTAAGTGGCTCATTCAGGATGGCGGAGGCTGGACCAGCCCAGGGCCCTTTCTGCTGTGACTGCAACCCGCCCGGTGGAGGGAGGTCAGGACCGTGTGTCGGAGCTGCTCAGAGCATCACCTTTGCTTTTTGACCCAGAAAAGGTTGCCTCTTCCCCAGTGTCATGGTAACCTCTTGACCCTGTGGCAGCAGAGCGTCAGAGGGGCCTGCTGTGGCCCGGCCTGGGTGTCTGGCAGGTGCGTATCTGTGTGGTAGGAAAGGAAAGAAAAGGAGGCCTTGGACGCAGCCCAGGTGAGCGGGGCCAGAATGGCTCCCCTGTCTGGAAAGAAATGTCATGGGCAGCCCAAGTCCCTATAATCCAAGACAAGTGGGCACTGGCTGAGGGCGTGAAGCATTTCCTCTGCGTGAGGCCTCATTTAAGTCTGGGGAGGCAGGAGTGCATATTTATTTGTAGAAAAATAGCAACATGTAAGCAAGGAGAGTGAAATGAGATCACTCACCCACAGTCCCTGAAAAGCAGTATTTTTGGTCTCATTTTGGCCACTCAGGAAACCGATCATCACAATGCAAAGTTATGATAACATCATAATACTGGAAATAATATTAATCACCAGTGGTGATCAAAACAATAGTGGTTTTTATTAGAAACAATAATAGAATACAAATAAAAATAGTGATAATAATGATAACGTAATAATACAACAGAAATAAGAATAATAAAACAGCAGTTGTCTTTTTGTTTGTTTTTGCTTTTTCAGAGTCTCACTCTGTTGCCCAGGCTGGAGTGCAGTGGCACAGTCTCGGCTCACTGCAACCTCCACCTCCCTGGTTCAAGCGATTCTCATACCTCAGCTTCCCCAGTAGCTGGGATCACAGGCATCCACCACCACACCCCGCTAATTTTTTATATTTTTAGTAGAGACAGGGTTTCACCATGTTGGCCAGGCTGGTCTCGAACTCCTGACCTTAGGTGATCCACCTGCCTCGGCCTCCCAAAGTGCTGGGATTACGGGCGTGAGCCACAGCGCCCGGCTAAAACAGCAGTTATCTTATGCCGGTACTGTTTGCTCAGCCCCGTGGCCCCACTCTGAGGGAGGGGCTATGATGATGCCTGCATCACAGATGTAGACATTGAGGCTCAGAGATGTGGAGCTACTTGTCCAGGATCTGGCAGTCGGTGGTGCCGACACAGGAGTTCCAGTTATCTGACCTTGGGGCCTGTGCTGTCTCTGACCGAGGCATTGGAGAGCTTCGCAGAGTCTAAAATATTTTGCCTGGGCTGTCGAGTTCTGTTTCATTTCCTGCAGGCCTTCCAATTGAACACGACTCTGCCATTTGAAAGTCTTAAAAATAAAACCCAAACCCACAGCCAGCCACCCATTCGAGCTCCCCAGGATCTGGGGGCGGACTGGGTGGTGGGGGTTGTTGAGCCTGCCTGGGCCACAAGCCTGCTTCTGCACAGCCTCCTGCTGGGCTGGGACTGGCCCTGTCCCGGAGTGCCCGTCCTTGTGTCCCGGGGCTCCTGCCCTAAGCAGGGATGAAGATGAAAACTAGGGGCCTTTTGCTAGGGTGTTATGAGAGCTCTGTCTGCTCTTTCTAGAAAAGACAGGGATTTGAGCTGGGTGTGGGCAGTTTATACATAGACGGCTGAGGGCAGCTCTGTGACTTGGGCAAAGCCCACTGTGTGTGGGGGTGGTAGGGGAACCATTTTCTTTTCCTGTAAATATTTTTATACCCGGTAGGAAGAAGCCTGCAGGTCCTATTGTGTGAGCACAATGGGCTCTCCTTCTCCAGGAGTGTTTTGTGTTTCCCCTTGAAGAGCAGCAGGGAGGGAGCTGGGGAGAGGGGGACATGGTGAAGGGGGTGGAGAGACGGGACTGCAGGGATGGGCCAGCGCAGAGCCAGGAAGCCAGGAAGGTGCAGGCATGATGGCAATCACCCTTTCTCCATGAGTGCATCTGAGAAATGTTTCTTTTTGCAAAAGGCACCTTATTTATTGTAGAACAAATAGAATTTGCAGAGGAACACTGTACTCTCCTGGGTTCCCTCCCATCCAAGACGAAGCCTCTTCCACTGTGGTCTATCTCCTTCCAGAAGCTTTCTGGTGCTTGTCTGCTCAGGACGCCTTGCACCTGGCCATAGCTTCGCTTGGGCCCCCAACCCTAGTTTAAAGATCTCCCTTCTCCTTCCCCATCCCCAGATAAGTCAGTCCCTGAGGATTGGAGGTCGTCACAGACGCTGAGTCCTACCGTAGTGGTCATGGCGGTCCTGTGCATTATGCACCTGCCTGTCAGGTGCCAACTCTTACTGTTCCCATTTTACAGATGAGGAAACTGATGCTCAAAGTGACTAGACACACTGTGAGTCAGGCAGAGCTAGGGCTTTGTAGGAAGGTCCGGGCGTTTCTGCAGCCCATGTAGGTCACTAGCCTGCCAGGACGCGGGTCAGACATCAAACACCCCCAGACAGAGGCCCCCTCCATTCCCCCTACTCCTTTTTAGGAAGGCGTCTCATCAGCCATCAGAGCTGACAGGCTCTCTGGAGCCACCTTGTTCAAGTTATCATTGCCCTGAGGGGAAACAGAAGCCTAGAGCTGGGGAGAGGCTTGCCCAGGCACTGGGGCCCTCGCAGTTCTGGCCTGTGGGTGTGTCCCCCGTGCCCGGAGCGACCTCGGGGCACCAGTGCTGTAGCTGTAGGTGGGTGGGGAGCAACCATCTCCCCAGACCCTTCCAAGGTAGCGGTGACAGCCCAAGGCTGGGATGGAGAGGGAGAGCCTGGCTGTGGCCAGGCCCTACATCAGTGCCTGTCCTGGGTTCAAGTCCTGGCATCACCACCCTGCCTGGATGCTGGGTGAGCCCCTCCACGGCTCCGAGTCTCGCTCCTCCTCTGCAGAATGGATGAGATGCAGCCCGGCCTCAGAGGCCTTGGGAGGACTTGGGGAGACCCAAAATGGAGGACATGCTAGGCAGGGGGTGCGCACACAGGCTCTGCTGGCTGGGCCATCAGCTTCATGGGGAGCACCACCCCCCCAGACCTGGGCCTCACTCCCCACCCGCTCCTGCCCACAGGTGCCACTGGACGAGCGCATCGTCTTCTCGGGGAACCTCTTCCAGCACCAGGAGGACAGCAAGAAGTGGAGAAACCGCTTCAGCCTCGTGCCCCACAACTACGGGCTGGTGCTCTACGAAAACAAAGCGGTGAGGCCTGGCCCCGGGCGCCACACTGAGCCTCCCCGCTTTCTCCATGTGTGCCCCCTCCCCCAACTCGGAAACTTAGGCCCCAGACGCCACCGTCACAGCCTGCACGCGGTCACCAGGGCCAGAGCACCACCTCAGCCCCTCCCCTCCCCCAAACTGGGCTGCCCTGGGTGCCCTCTCTGGACGGCAGCTCATTCTTCATCTCTGGGGAATATCGCTGACTCCTTCTGTCCCTCATAAACCAACTGTCACTCACTCCTCCCCATCCCTCCTAATCTCTCTTCAGTCCCTCCAGCTGGCTCCAGGGCGTTCCTCCTGCCACCTCCTTCCTCACTGGGCTTCCTGCCTCTCCTCCGACCCCTCCCACCCTCGACAGCCACAGAGAGCTGTTGGAGGCACAATCTGGCCATTCCTTGCGGTGGCTTGCCCCTGCCCTACAGGTGGGTAGGTGTCCGAGAAGGACATCCTATGGGAGCATTGTGCCTTATCTTTTCCCTGAGCCCTCAGGGAAGCCCCACCTGGTTGAGCCACAGACCTGATTTCTTCAATTGCTCATTTCTCCAGAGCAGCCAGAAGGACAGGCCTGGGCCCTGTATTTCACGGAAGATCAATGTTAGAGCAACATAAAGTCAAGAGCAACCTCGTGCCCCAGAGTAGTGGTTCTCAACTGGTAGCACGTCCAAATCACCTGAAGGGCTTGCTGAAAGACACGGTGCTGGGCTTTCCCCCAGAGTTTGATTCAGGTTGGGAGCCAAGATTTGCATCTCTTTTTTTTTTCTTTTTTTTTTTTTTTTTGAGATGAAGTCTAGCTCTGTCGCCAGGCTGGAGTGCAGTGGCGCCATCTCAGCTCACTGCAACCTCCACCTCCCTGGCTCAAGTGATTCTCCTGCCTCAGCCTCAGGAGTAGCTGGGACTACAGGCGTGCACCACCATTCCCAGCTAATTTTTGTATTTTTAGTAGAGACTGGTTTTCACCATGTTGGCCCGGATGGTCTTGATCTCCTGACCTCATGATCTGCCCACCTCGGCCTCCCAAAGTGCTGCGATTACAGGCGTGAGCCACTGCACCCGGACTGTAAAGATTTGCATTTCTAGTAAGTTCTCGGGTGGTGTTGAAGATCAGAGACCATGTTTTGCAAATCAGTGCCCTACAGGTTCTGAGCTACTTTCAGGAACTGTGTTGTATAGTGACACCTAGTGGCAGGGAGTAGCATGGTAGCCCTGCTGTATGAGCTATTCCATCAGAACTGCTTTGCCCCCTGCTACTGGTGTAAGTTTCTAGACCTAATTCTCCAGAGGACGCTTGTGTGATGCTCAGAACCTAGGAAATTGGTGGGGGCAGTTCAGGGTAATGGTCAAATACCCCAGGCTCTGGAGATAGATAGCCCTGGTTCATGTCCTACATCTGCTACTTCCCAACTGTGTGAAGTTGGGGGTGATCCACCTTTTGAATTGGGAAAATTCTGTGAAATTAAGCATGCAATGCCCTTAGCACAGGGCCTGGTATGTAAGAAATGCTTAACTAGTGGAGCTGCTGGGAACAGAGGCAATAGCAGCAGTAGAAACAGAACAACAACCTCGGCCAAGCTCGCTGAGTCCTTGTGGTGTGCCAGGCACTGCAGATTATCTCACTCAGTCCTCACATGGCTCTGTGAGGCAGGAATGGTTATTACCCTGGTTTTGTTTTTATTTTAAAATGTTTTCCCCATCCTGAATATTCTTGATTCCCTGGTTTTATAGATGAAGAAGCTGAAGTTTAGGCATTTAAGGAATTTTATCCTCAGCATCACACAGACACTACCCAGTGAAGCCAGGAATTGAGCCCAGAGCTGGGGTCTAGGTTGCTGTGGATGCCACACTGCCCCAATCACCATGATAGTGACATTCTCCCCTCTGTTCCTCTCTTGCCTCTTCTTCCTTTCCCTTCTCCTCCCCACTTTGGGCCACACTGAGTAGGGCCTTGAAGCCAGGTGGGATTTGGGCTTGGCCGCACCTTAACCCTCAGGGACCCTCTCTCTTGCCTCCCTCAGGCCTATGAGCGGCAGGTCCCACCACGAGCCGTCATCAACAGTGCAGGCTACAAAATCCTCACGTCCGTGGACCAATACCTGGAGCTCATTGGCAACTCCTTACCAGGTAAAGGAGCACCCATCCCAGGCCACAATGCCCTGCACAGGCATCTGGAGCTGGCCAGGGGAGGGGTGGCCCTGAGCCCATTGCTTTCAGCCCCATGTTTGCGGAGAGACCAACTAGGCTTAGAGCTGTGGATGGAGACCTCATTGTTTGCCTTTCGCATCTCCCTAAGTCCTTGAGAGCCTCCTGGAAGATGTTCAGTGACCTTCCCTCGTAAACCTGTGGGTCAGCACTGTGTTCGTCAGGAGTTACTCTTCTTGGCATCCTGCTTTTGCTTCACCTTGGCTGAAATTCCCTAGAAGCCTTACGGGAACAACATTGGCCTCTCTGATGATCCCTGGGAACTAGAGGGCAGGGGACATGCCTGCCTGGGGGGCAGGTCATGCCCCAGGGACTTGAGAGTAGAGTCATGCCTTCATTCTGTGGTGATGGAGGGCCTGGGCATTCCTGGATTCGAGCGGCATTCCTGGATTCCAGCAGCATTCCTGGATTCCAGCGTGACTCTGGCTTTGTTTCACTGTGTCTGCTTGGGCGAGTCACCCCCCCTCCCCTGAATCTCAGCCTCTTCAGTGTCTACAAAGCACAGGCACTAAGAGGACTGCCCTCGGGGTGTTGTGTGGACCCTGGAGGGGCACAGGCCAACCCAGAGCCAGGGCAGAAAGAAGAACTGTTATTGTCATATCATTAACAACAGTGGCAGGGTCACAGCCCAGGACCAGTTATCTCGCTGGATCTTACATATCCTTGAGAATGAAATTGAAGGAGGGAAAAATTCCTTTTGCTGTATTTTGTCCCTCCCCACATGCCTCCCTCCCCCTGTGGACACTTAAGCCACACTTTGGCCTCCACAGCCGAAATCTGAAGGGAAACCCAAGAAGGTAGTGCTTGACCCTTGAACCTGGGGGCTCTGACCTTGTGTTGTTTGTGCTTTACAGAGTTTAAAACCTAACCCAAGAGTGGGGTGGATGTGACTTATTACCCACTCTAAGAAATGGGTCTGCACGGATGCTGGACTCAGGTTTTGGGCTGAGGAGAACACAGCCAGAAAGAAGGCTGCTCCCACCCCCGCCGGCTTGCTGGTCACCTTGGGACAGGCTGGCCTTCTCTGGGCCTGAGCCTGACCTCAGAGCTGATGCCAAGGGATCAGTTCTCTGACATCCTCTGGTGGAGGGCAACCACAGAGGGCAGCTGCTCATCAGGCACTGTCTCCACAGGGACCACGGCAAAGTCGGGCAGTGCCCCCATCCTCAAGTGCCCCACACAGTTCCCGCTCATCCTCTGGCATCCTTATGCGCGTCACTACTACTTCTGCATGATGACAGAAGCCGAGCAGGACAAGTGGCAGGCTGTGCTGCAGGACTGCATCCGGCACTGCAACAATGGTGAGTGGCCTGTGGGTGCAGGGTCGGTGGGAGGGAGGGGCAGGACCTGGGTTATTGCTGAATGGTGACACCTAGTGGCTGACTATGGTGTGGCAACCCTGCTCTACAGGCTGTTCTAATTTCCCTTCTGGGGTTATAAGAAACCATGTAATACCACCCTTAGTCTTCTTTCTTGATGAAAACAGTTTTGTGCTGCTCAGGAAAAAAGTAGGAAATTATTCACAGAGGGGTGTGGTTGTTGAGCCCTTGGACCCTGAGTCACAAAGTCACAATCCTGATTCTGCCATTTTCCAGCTACGTGACCTTAGGGAACTGACTTACCTCTTGGAGGCTCTGTAAAGTGGGGATAATGCCTTGTGTGTCTTAGGGGGGTTATGAGGATTTAGAGTCTACCTCATGCTTGGTAAAGATTTTTTTTTTAATTTTATATATATATATATATATATATATATATATATATATATATATATATATATATATATATATTTTTTTTTTTTTTTTTTTTTTTTAAAACCACCAACCTGCAGGGTGATTTGGAAACTTCACTGCCTCCCTCAGGGCCTCATTGCTCTCATCTGTAAACTTATGGGGTGACTCTTCCAGCTCACTCATTTATTCAACAAACATTTTTAGTGTCTACTCTGAGGAGGCCCAGATTTAGGCACTGGGTGTGCAACAAGGGAGCAAGAAACATTCCCTGCCCTCCTACAATTGGCAGTCTGGTAGGGGAGACAGATGATAGACAGATGAGGATGCCAGCACGATGGCTCACAGCTGTGCTGGGTGCTGGGTGGAGCCAACCTGGGAGCCTGAGGGTGTGTGTGTGTTGGGGGAGGGGTCGATCAGGGCAGGCTCCCTTGAGGAGGTTATGGTTCAGCTTCAGCAGAGACCTGAAGGAGAAGTCCCAGACCTGAAGGAGGAGATGCCAGAAGTCCCAGGGCCCCTCATATCCTGCATAGAGGAGAGGGGAGGAGTGTTCCAGGCAGAGGTAGGCAGTCAGCATGAAGGGAGACCCACAGGTGGTAGGGGTAGGCCCGGAGGAGGAACTGCACGAGGCCCTGAAGCAGGGAGGGGGTGACCTGAAATGGGGCTGGAGGGGGGCCTCTGGGGTCAGGTCTGGAAAAGCCTTGAAGGCCTCTAAGGAATTTGAACAGAAAGGCTGAGGATGGTCTTCCAAGGTGAGGGTGGGTCCCTGGGGGTCTTTCTGCCCCTAGGGAAGGAACAACCCAGTCCTGGACACTGAACTGCTTCCAGGTGATCTGGCCTGAGGGAAGCTCCTGCCCCCGCCCCACCCTTGGGCGCAGTGCCACATGGTGCAGAGGTGGAAGGTTGCAGGGGACGGAGTGGGCGCCAATGGCCTCTGGGCTGCTGCCGTGGGACTCAGCTCACCCCACCCCTCCTGCTCGCCTCTCCAGAGCCACCTCTGCCCTGTCTGGAATCTGCCAAGCAGGAGGAACCAGGTCTTCAATCAGGCCAGCCCCTGCCACCTGGGCCCAGCTGCCCACAAAGGGCCTCCTGTTCCCAGGTCCCGGGGACTGTGGGCTGGGACTGGGTGGAGGCACTCAAGGCTCTGGCTGCCTGGCCCAGGGCCCTCCCGCCTCCCCAGCCCCTGGCCTGGTGCCATCTCTCCAGGTTTCCAAGGCTAACGGCTGACCTGGCCTGGCAGGGTGGGTGACCTGCGCCAGATAGGGAAGGGGTGGGCACAGAACAAGGTGGGGAAGGGCCACCTCAGTCCCCCATGTGTGCAGTGGGGATGATGATAAACTTGAGCTTGAGAGATGATTGGGAAGAGCTGGTCTGGGTGGGGCACTTGGCCGTGGGCCTGGCACGCACAGTGAGCACTCAGTGGGGAGGCCATGGGGGAGTTCTTGGTTCTAAGGTGCAGTGGACCAGAGGGAGGCCCAGGAGAGCTGCTGGGCCAGGGAATGAAGGGGTGTCCTGTGCCAGGAAGGTGTCCTGCCGGGTGGCCCCTTCTCCCCAGGGCGGGAGCTGACGAGGCTGGTTTCAGGCCTTCCTTCCACCCTGCGGACTGTGAGAAAGTTCTCTGCTTCCTCCGTCTTGGAGGCTGGGCTTGGAATTTGTGAAGCCTGGAATTGCTCACTCCGGGGGCTGCCAGGAAGTGGGGGGTGGGGGGAAGGAGGCCAACTGGGCGGACACCAGCGGTCCCAGGGACCCCTTCACATCCTGCATTCCTGGAGCAGCTGGGGGTGGCAGGAGGCAGCTGGGGCACTGGCTGTGCCGGGTCCTCAGTGTTGGCCTGGGGTGCAGAGGTCAAGGCTTCTTCCTGTCTGACCGTGGTCCCCCTCTGTCTGCTGCCTGGGAGTGAGGAATGCAGTTTCCTTTCTTGGAAGGTCTCCAGGTCTGGCTAGAGTCAGCTGGTCCTGGGTTCAAGCCCCGCTCTGCCATCCACTAGCTGAGTAGCCTCGAGCAGTAACTGCCTCTCTGAGCCTCAGTTCTTTCCCTGGGAAAAGTAGGGCACAGTGAGCTGAGGATTCAACGAGCTGATGTGTGTGCAGCCTCAGCCAGGGCTGGGGCCTCAGTTTCCCAAGACTGCCATAACAAATACCACAGACCGGGCAGCTACACAGCAGAAATATGTTCTCTCCCAGCTGGAGGTCTGAGTCGAGGGCAAGGTGTCAGCAGGGCTGGTTTCTCCGAGACCTCTCTCCTTGGCTGGTGGCCGGCCGCCTTCTCCCTGAGTCCTCACAGGGTCATGCCTCTGTGTGCCTGTGTTTTCTCTTCTTTCAAGAAGAAATGTACTTTTCTTTTTTTCTTTTTCTTTTTTCTTCTTTTTTGAGACAGAGGCTTGCTCTGTCACCCAGGCTGGAGTGCAGTGGCGCAATCTCGGCTCACTGCAACCTCCGCCTCCCAGGTTCAAGTGATTCTCCTGCCTCAGCCTCCCGAGTAGCTGGGACTACAGGCGTGTGCCACCACACCTGGCTAATTTTTTGTAGCCAGAATGGTCTTGATCTCCTGATCTCGTGATTCTGCCGCCTCGGCCTCCCAAAGTGCTGGGATTACAGGCGTGAGTCACTGTGCCCGGCCAAAATGTACTATTCTTTTAAGGGCACTAGTTGTATTGGATTTGGTCCCATCCTCATCCCCTCTGTTTAACTTAATTCTTTAAGACTCTAGGACCAAGGGCGGGTGCGGTGGCTCAGGCCTGTAATCCCAGTGCTTTGGGAGGCTGAGGTGGGTGGATCTCTTGAGGTCAAGAGTTTGAGACCAACCTGGCCAACATGGTGAAAACCCATCTCTACTAAAAATACAAAAATTAGCTGGACATGGTGGCGGGTGCCTATAGTCCCAGCTACTTGGGAGCTGAAGCGGGAGAATGGCTTGAACCTGGGAGGCGGAGGCTGCAGTGAGCCAAGATTGCACCACTGAACTCCAGCCTGGGCGACAGAGTAAGACTCTTCTCAGAAAAAAAAAAAAAAAAAAAAAAAAAAGACCCTGGGTCCAAATATAATCACGTTCTGGGGTACTGGGGGTTAGGACTCCAGCATATGAATTTGGGGGGTGTGGAGACACACTTCAGCCCCTAACAGCTAGGCTCACGGGAAGAGCTCAGGAGGGGTGACCCTGAAACTTGTCACACTCAGCGGCTGGGTGTGCAGAAAGAGAGAATCCCAAGGGTCAAGGCTGGCTGGCCTCCCTCCCGCTGTCCCGGCCCTCTGCCTCACCTTCTCGCCACCTGGAAAGCAGGCCTGCCCTGCACACCTGACTTGGTGCATGCAGGATGAAAATTCCCTCTCCCCGTGGGAGTGCCTGCAGGTAACGCACTGTCCAGATTTTCCAGTCAAAACTTGGTTTCTAGGAAACCATGCCCTTCTGAGAGGCGGGTGGGGTGGCGGGGGGACCTCCTTCCCTGGCCCAGGTGGGCAGCCCCCACCCAGGGCTCTGCATGCTGCTCCAGCTGGAACATCCCTGCCCTGCTCCTGTCACTCCTGCCTGACTTCAGGTCTCTGAAATGCAGGAGTGAGACTCCCACAGGCCCCCGTCCCCATCCAGGCAGCTGCGCTGTAGGGATGAGGGCTGGGCCTCCCCCTGCTCAGCTCCCTCCCGGCTCCGACAGGCAGTGATTTCTGTGGTCAGCTGGGTGTGGGGAGAGGAGGGACCCAGAGAGGGGCTTTTTCTCTGCCGGTGGTGACTCAGCCCATAGTCATGGCAGTGGGAGCCTTAGGTTTCTGATGCACAGGCTTCCGTTTCCCCTTCCTGGGCTTTGGGGATGCGGTGGTCAGAGGCACGCGGCCAGGGGAGTCTGCCTGCTGCCTGGCTCGGTGGCGTTTGACCACCTTCTTACCCCAAGTCAGATTTTGTAACTTCCTGCCAATTGCCTCCCGGGCACTGAATCTGGAGGTCCACGCCTCACTCAGGGGTTTACCTTGCTGGCGTTTGGGCCACTGACAGCACCAACAGTGACAAAAATTCAGAAATGGTGTTCTTCTAGCTGTTATTAATAGCAAACTCTTCCATTCTTTTTTTTTTTTTTTTTTTTTTTTTTGAGACAGAGTCTTACTCTGTTGCCCAGGCTAGAGTGCAGTGGCGCAATCTCGGCTCACTGCAACCTCTGCCTCCTGGGTTCAAGCGATTCTCCTGCCTCAGTCTCCCTAGTAGCTGGGATTACAGGTGCCTGCCACCATGCCCAGCTAATTTTTGTATTTTTAGTAGAGATGGGGTTTTGCCATGTTAGCCAGACTGGTCTCGAACTCCTGACCTCAAGTGATTTCCCCCACCTCAGCCTCCCAAAGTACTGGGATTGCAGGCATGAGCCACCACACCCAGCTTCATTCTTTAACAAAGTTATTCAAGCATCTGTGCCAGGTACTGACCTGGACTTAGCAGTAACAGGACAGACCCCGGGCCCAGTGGGGCAGGCAGCTGGCTCCTCAGTTATTGATAAAAAGTGTGGCGCAGAGCAGTGCTGGACCCTGATCTCCTGTCCCTACACTGTGGCCCAGGGAGCCCCGCAGTGGACCTGTGAGGCCATTGTTCCATTGTTCAGAAGAGGAAACAGGCCATTTCGGGTTCAGTGATCTAGAACCAGGCTCTGAAACCTATGGCCTATGGGCCCAGATCAGCCAATTGCCTGTTTCTGTCAACAAAGTTTATTGGAGCAGAGGCACGCTCATTTGTTTCTGGATGGTCCGTGGCTGTTTTTGTGCTGTGACTGTAGAGGCGAGCATTGCGGGAGGGGTTTTATGGCCTGCCGGGCTGAGAATATCTGCTGCCTAGCCTGTTCCAGGCAAAGTTTGAAGGGCCCTGATCTAGCAGTAAGGGAGGAACTGGGGCTCGAACAAGGGTCTCTGGGTGCCTCTAGGGCCATTCTGGGTGGCTGCTTATGGGACGGGAGCTTTTAGTCCTGGCTCTGCCACTCCCTGCTCTGTGACCCTGGGCCCGTGGCCTGTCCCCTAACGGTTGTCTCTTCATCTGTAATCATCTGTAAAGCAATAAGGTGAATGATAGTGCCCAGGTCTTGGGGTGGTTGGGAGGATTTCAGGAGCTAAGGAGGAGGCAAGGGGGCTGCCTTGTCACTGTTGGTGGTGGGGTCATTACTGCTTTTGCCTATCAGATACAACCATGACTGCTCTGATGACGAGGAAAGTGAGGGTCCCAGCTGCCCCTCCTGAGGTGCATGCCATGTGTGTGGGGGGGGTTTTGGTCAGTTCTCAGTTGGTCTTGGTAGAGGCCACTGGGCCATCTGCTGACCTCCTCTCTCCCTCCGTCTCCTGGGCAGGAATCCCTGAGGACTCCAAGGTAGAGGGCCCTGCGTTCACAGATGCCATCCGCATGTACCGACAGTCCAAGGAGCTGTACGGCACCTGGGAGATGCTGTGTGGGAACGAGGTGCAGGTGAGGCCAGACGGGCTGGTGAGGAAACCTCAGAAGTCACCCAAGGACCCAGCAGGGGAGGGCAGGGGGTGGGGTACAGAGATGGGGCTCTGGGGCGCTGCCGGTTTGGAAGGAGATGACATGCTTAGATTTGGACAAGTGCAGGGCCAGTGCACGTGGAGATACTCGCTGTCTTATTCATCACTTACTGGGCATCTGAGCACCTACCCTGGACGAGGCACTGGGGTGCAGCTGGGAATGATGTGGACAAATTCCTGGCCCTCAGGGAGCTCTCCGTATAGCAGGAGAAACAGACATTTGGCAAATAAATGTACACTTCCATGTGCAGGCAAAGCAGGGAGGGAGTATGGTATTCTAGGTAGGGAAGGCAGCCTGTGCAAAGGCCCTGGGGCTGGCCCTTGAGTCTGAGGATCCTACAGGACACCCAGGCAGATGAGTTGGGACCTGTGGGAATGGAGCTCAGGAGAGAGGGCAGCAGGGAGGGTGAAGCAATGGGCCAGTCGCGGAGGAGGTGGGGGCTGCAGCGGCCTGGCTTGTGGGAATGCAGAGAGAAACAGGCCAGCTGAGCGCTCTCCAGCCCCTGGCCTGGCTTGTGCCTCCTCAACCTAGATCCTGAGCAACCTGGTGATGGAGGAGCTGGGCCCTGAGCTGAAGGCAGAGCTCGGCCCGCGGCTGAAGGGGAAACCGCAGGAGCGGCAGCGGCAGTGGATCCAGGTGGGTGGGCCTGGGGCCCTGGAGCGGGGACGGGACCTGCAGCTGGTGCGGTGCCCTCAGCCCTGGTGCCAATTCAGCTGCTCTGCCCACAGATCTCGGACGCCGTGTACCACATGGTGTACGAGCAGGCCAAGGCGCGCTTCGAGGAGGTGCTGTCCAAGGTGCAGCAGGTGCAGCCGGCCATGCAGGCCGTCATCCGAACTGACATGGACCAAATTATCACCTCCAAGGAGCACCTTGCCAGCAAGATCCGAGGTAGGCAGCCACCCCCGTGCTCGACGGGCCCTCCAGGGGCCAAGGTGGACTTTCTTTTTATTTCATGATTCATGTAAATTTCACAGCAATGACTTGCTCATTGATCATTTGTAAGAATTAGAGCCAAATCTGCACTGTGGTACTCCAACCCCTGTGAGTTGTTTTGTGGCTATTATTTCTATAAGCCCAGAACTTGAAGAGAAAAATTTTTGTTCTGGAGGTTCAAGCCTTCTTTTCATCTCTGACTCGTCACAGATTTTTACCATGTGTCATTTTAAAGTACATTTACGTTCAGCAAGTATAGCTTTCCCAGGTCAGTTTATTCTGTCACCCAGGCTGGAATGTAGTGGTGCGATCTCAGCTCACCACAACCTCCGCCTCCCGGATTCAAACAATTCTCCTGCCTCAGCCTCCTGAGTAGCTGGGACTACAGGCACACGCGCGCCACCATGCCCGGCTAACTTTTGTGTATTTAGTAGTGATGGGGTTTCACCATGTTGGCCAGGCTGATCTTGAACTCCTGACCTCGTGATCCGCTCACCTTGGCCTCCCAAAGTCCTGGGATTACAGGCATGAGCCACTGTGCCCAGACTGTACGCCTTTCTCTTCCCAGCCAGATGGGATCCTTTCACCAGCTTGGTCCCCATAACACATCTGCAGAGCTCAGTTTTAGCAATTGTCAGTTGCCCATGGGACGTTCTTTTTATTTTATTTTATTTCATTTTATTTTATTTGAGACAGGGTTTCACTCTGTCGCCCAGGCTGCAGTGCAATGGCACGACCTTGGCTCACTGCAGTCTCTACCATCCTCCCACTTCAACCCCCCAAGTAGCTGGGACTACAGGCATGTGCCACCACGCCCAGCACATTTTTGTATTTTTTGTAGAGACAGGGTTTTGCCATGTTGCCCAGGCTGGTCTCAAATGCCTGAGCTCAAGCAATCCACCCACCTTGGCTTCCCAAAGTGCTAGGATTACAGATGTGAGCGACTGTGCCCAGCCATTATTATTATTATTATTTTGAGATGGAGTCTTGATCTGTTGCCCAGGCTGGAGTGCAGTGGCACAATCTGGGCTCACTGCAACCTTGCCTCTCGGGTTCAAGCAATTCTCCTGCCTCAGCCCCTCAAGTAGCTGGGATTACAGGCACCTGCTACCATGCCCAGCTAATTTTTGTATTTTTAGTAGAGACAGGGTTTTGCCATGTTGGCCAGGCTGGTCTTGAATTCTTAACCTCAAGTGATCCACCTGCCTCGGCCTCCCAAAGTGCTGGGATTACAGGTGTGAGCCACTGTGCCTGGCCTGTTTTTTTTGTTTGTTTTTTTTTTTTTTTTTTTGAGACGGAGTCTCGCTCTGTCGCCCAGGCTGGAGTGCAGTGGCGTGATCTCGGCTCACTGCAAGCTCCACCTCCCGGGTTCACACCATTCTCCTGCCTCAGCCTCCTGAGTAGCTGGGACTACAGGCGCCCGCCACCATGCCTACCTAATTTTTTGTATTTTTTAGTACAGACAAGGTTTCACCGTGTTAGCCAGGATGGTCTCGATCTCCTGACCTCATGATCCGCCCACCTCGGCATCCCAAAATGCTGGGATTATAGGCGTGAGCCACCGCGCCTGGCCGCCCGGCCTGTTTTTTAAGAGACAGAGTCTCGCTCTGTCTTCCAGGTAGAGAGCAGTGGTACAATCATGGTTCACTGCGTGACCTCCTGAGCTCAAGTAGTCCTCCCACCTCAGCCTCCTGCGTAACTGGGACTACAGGTGCAGGCCACCACGCCTGGCTAATTTTTAAATTGTTTGTAGAGAAAGGGGTCTTGGCTGGGCAAAACTCTATCTCTTTTAAAAATTTTTGAAAGAGAGAGAGAGAAGGGGGTCTTACTGTGTTGCCCAGGCTGGTCTCGAACTCCTGGCCTCAGACAATCCTCCTGCCTCAGCCTCCCAAAGCACTGGGATTACAGGCATGAGTGGCCGTGCCTGGTCTCCTGTAGGTTATTCTTTACTAGCCAGATCCTGAGTATTGGTTGACAGCTGGATAGGACACTGAGCATTGACATTTCTTGTGTGGAACAAAGAACGTTAGCTGGGCTGGGATGGGGGTGGACATCTAAATATTCTTGAGTGAAAATGCTTTGGTCAGAATGTTCTGGAGATGGTCCCCACCCAAAGGAAGAAGGCTTTTACATAATTATGCAGAGCCAGCCACACTATTCCAGAGAGGATCAGCCCAGTTTTTGTAAAACCAAGAGGCTCATTGAATCTACTAAGGTATTTTTCATTGCTGTTGTTCTTTTTGTTCAAACGAAGAAGCAAGACCCATCCTAAAGGAGTTTTTGTCTACTTCTAGCTAAGCAGAACACTGCTGACACCTCTGGGCTGGCAGTTTTCTTATTTTATTTTATTTTCATTTTCATTTTTAATTTTTGTGGGTACATAGTAGGTGTGCATATTTATGGGGTACATGAGATGTTTTGATCAGGCATGCAATGTGTAATAGTCACATCATGGGAAATGGGGTATCTATCCCCTCAAGCATTTATCCTTTGTGTTACAAACAATCCAAGTATATTCTTTTAGTTTTTTTTTTTTTTTTTGGACACAGAGTCTCACTCTTCTTGCCCAGGCTGGAGTGCAGTGGTGCCATCTCAGCTCACCGCAACCCCTGCCTCCCAGGCTCAAGTGATTCTTCTGTCTCAGCCTCCCAAGTAGCTGGGATTACAGGCACATACCACCACGCCCGGCTAATTTTTGTATTTTTAGTAGAAATGGGATTTCACCATGTTGGCCAGGCTGGTCTCAAACTCCTGACGTCAAGTGATCTTCCTGCCTCGGCCTCCCAAAGTGCTGGGATTACAGGCCTGAGCCACTGCACCTGTGCAGCCTCTTTTAGTTACTTTTAAGTGTACAATTAAATTATTATTGATTATAGTCACCCTGTTGCGCTATCAAATACTAGGGCTTATTCATTCTGTAACCAGAAAGGGGTCCCGATCCAGACCCCGAGAGAGGGTTCTTGGATCTTGGGCAAGAAAGAATTCAAGGTGAGTCCATAGAGTTAAAGCAAGTTTATTAAGAAAGCGAAGGAATAAAAGAATGGCTACTGCGTAGACAGAGCACGAGGGCTGCTGGTTGCCCATTTTTATGGTTATTTCTGATGACATGCTAAACAAGGGGTGGATTATTCATGCCTCCCTTTTTAGATAGAGCATATAGGGAGACTTCCTGACGTTGCCATGGCATCTGTAACCTGTCATGGTGCTGGCGGGAGTGTAGCAGTGAGGACGACCGAGGTCACTCTCATCACCATCTTGGTTTTGGTGGGTTTTGGGCCACCTTCTTTACTGCAACCTGTTTTATCAGCATGGTCTTTATGACCTGTATCTTGTGCCGACCTATCTCATCCCATGACTTAGAATGCCTTCACCGCCTGGCAGTGCAGCCCAGTAGGTCTCAGCCTCATTTTACCCAGCTCCTATTTAAGATACAGTTGCTCTGATTCAAATGCCTCTGACATTTCTACTTTTTGTGCCCATTAACCATTCCCATCTCCCCCTCGCCCTCGACTACCCTCTCCAGCCTCTAGTAACCATCTTTCTACTCTATCTCCATGGGCTCAATTGCTTTGTTTTCTGCTTGTTTATTTGTCTGTTTTTACCTTTTTTATTGCTCCCACAGGGGAGGCCCCCTCCAAAATGTCAATTTGCTTTAATTTTTAGATCCCACAAATAAGTGAGGACATGTGATATTTGTCTTTCTGTGCCTGGCTGAATATAATGACCTCCAGCTCCAACCATGTTGTTGCAGATGACTGAAACTCGTTCTTTTTTACGGCTGAATAGTACCCCATCGTGTATATGTACCGCATTTTCTTTATCCATTCGTCTGTTATGGACACTTAGGTTGCTTCCAAATCTTGGTTGTTGTGAACAGAGCCGCAACAAACACGGGAGTGCAGATATCGCTGCGATGGGCTGATTTCCTTTATTTGGGTATATACCCAGCAGTGGGATTGCTGGATTGTGTGGTAGCTCTATTAGTTTTTTGAGGAACCTCCAAACTGTTCTCCATAGTGGTTGTACTCATTTACATTCCCACTGTGAACCCTGAAAATTTGAGGCAGGTCTCAGTTAAATTAGAAAGTTGATTTTGCCAAGTTGGGGACACGCACTCGTGACACAGCCTCAGGAGGAACTGATGACATGTGCCCAGGTGGTCAGAGCACAGCTTGGTTTTATACATTTTAGGGAAACCTGAGCCATCAATCAACATACGTAAAATGGGCCGGGCACAGCAGCTCAAGCTGTAATCCCAGCACTCTGGGAGGCCGAGGCGGGTGGATCACTTGAGGTCAGGAGTTCGAGACCAGCCTGGCCAACATGGTGAAACCCCGTCTCTATTAAAAATACAAAGCTTAGCTGGATGTGGTGGCGCATGCCTGTAGTCCCAGCTGCTCTAGGAGGCTGAGGCATGAGAATTGCTTGAACCTGGGAGGCAGAGGCTGCAGTGAGCCGAGATCGAGCCACTATACTCCAGCCTGGTCAACAGAGTGAGACCCTGTCTCAAAAAAAAAAAAAAAATGTAAAATGAACATGGTTCAGTCCGGAAAGGCGGGAGAACTTGAAGGAAAAGCAGGACAACTCAATGCAGGCATGAGGCTTCCAGGTCATAGGAAGAAAAGAGACAAATAGTTGCATTCTTTTGAGTTGATGATTAGCCTCTCCAAAGGAGGGAAGCAGATATGCATTAATCTCAGTGAGCGGAGGGGTGACTTTGAATAGAACGGGAGGTGGGTTTGCTTTAAGCAATTCCCAGCTTGACTTTTCCCTTTAGCTTCGTAATTCTGGGGGCCTAAGATATTTTCCTTTCACACCACCAGCAGTGTACGGAGGTTCCCTTTTCTCCACATCCTCGCTAGCATTTGTTATTTTCTTTTTTTTGGATAAAGCCATTTTAACTGGGGTGACGTGGCATCTCATTGTAGTTTTGATTTGCAGTTCTCTGATCAGTGATGTCAAGTACCTTTTCATATGCCTGTTTTGGGTTGAGTACCTTTCATATGCCTGTTTGCCATTTATATGTCTTCTTTGGGGAAATATGTATTCAAATCTTTTGCCCATTTTTAATTGGATTACTAGGATTTTTTTCCTATAGACTTGTTTGAGATCCTTATATTTTCTGATTATTAATCTCTTGTCAGATGGCAGTTTTCTTAGTTTTTTGCCATCATGGTTTCAGAAAGATCAGAGTCCAATCTCAGAACACCTTGTCATTTTTCCTGCATGGATTTCTCATCTTTATCCACTATTTCTCTGAAATCATTCAGCTTGCTAATGTTGCCCCCAGTGGTTTTTTTTTTTAAATAATATTGGCCAGGTACGGTGGCTCATGCCTGTAATCCCAGCACTTGGGAGGCCAAGGCAGGAGGATCACTTGAGCCCAGGGAGTTTGAGACCAGCCTGGATAACACAGTGAGACTCTGCCTCTTAAAATAATAATAATAATAAAAGTATTGATGGGGGCTGAGCGCGGTGGCTCACGCCTATAATCCCAGCACTTTGGGAGGCCGAGGTGGGCGGGTCACCTGAGATCAGGAGTTTGAGACCAGCCTGGCCAATATGGTGAAACCCTGTCTCTACTAAAAATACAAAAAAAAATCACCGGGCATGGTGGTGCACACCTGTAATCCCAGCTACTTGGGAGGCTGAGGCATGAGAATCACTTGAACCTGGGAGGCAGTGGTTGCAGTGAGCTGAGATCGTGCCATTACATTCCAGACTGGGCGACAGCACGAGACTCTGTCTCAAAAATTAATAACAATAATAATATGATGGGAAGAGAGAGTTGGGAGAGGGCTGAAAAATTACTTTTTGGGCACTGTGCTCATTACTTGGGTGATGAGATCAATCCTACCCAAAACCTCAGGGTCACACAATGTACCCATGGAACAAGCCTGCAGTGTACCCCCTGCATCTAAAATAAAAGTTGAAATAAAAATGATAATAATATTAGGAGGCTGAAGTGGGAGGATTGCTTGAGCCCAGGAGTTTGAGGCTACAGTGAGCTTTGATTATTCCACTGCACTCCGGCCTGGACAACAGAGTAAGACCCTGTCTCAAATAAAATAATAATAGGCCGGGCATGGTGGCTCATGCCTGTAATCCCAGCACTTTGGGAGGCCGAGGCGGGTGGATCACGAGGTGAGGAGTTTGAGACCAGCCTGACCAACATGGTGAAACCCCGTCTCTACTAAAAATATAAAAATTAGCTGGGCACAGTGGCACGCGCCTGTAGTCCCAGCTACTCAGGAGGCTGAGGCAGGAGAATTGCTTGAACCTGGGAGGTGGAGGTTGCAGTGAGCTGAGATCGCGCCACTGCACTCCAGCCTGGGCGACAGAGCGAGACTCCGTCTCAAAAAAAATATAATAATAATGATAATAATAGTAATACAGTAGCCTCCAGCACCTGGGCTCTGGGATGGCTGGGAGGTGCTCCTTGGGGAGCCCCTGCTGACCCGGCTCCCTCGGGGCACAGCCTTCATCCTCCCCAAGGCAGAGGTGTGCGTGCGGAACCATGTCCAGCCCTACATCCCATCCATCCTGGAGGCCCTGATGGTCCCCACCAGCCAGGGCTTCACTGAGGTGCGAGATGTCTTCTTCAAGGAGGTCACGGACATGAACCTGAACGTCATCAACGAGGGCGGCATTGACAAGCTGGGCGAGGTGAGGCCGGCACCGCCCCTAGGAGGGGGTCTCCTGAGAGTAGGTCTGGTCTGTCCCAGAGGGCCCCGGCTGCGTGACTCCGGGCAGCCGTTCCCCTCCAAGGCCGTCCCTGTAGACGGGGAGGGGCTGCTGGGGACTAGGGGCAGAGGCTGTGAGGCCAGGGCTGTTGGAGTCCTCGTGGGGCCTGCAGTTTGAGGAAAGAGGGAACATTAGCTCCCGGCCACCAGCCTTTAGAAACCAAGAGTGGTGCTAAAATAGAAAAGAATTTAACAGAAGAGAGGGAAGGAGGGAAGGAGAGGAGGGGAGAGGGAAGGAGGGAAGGAGAGGAGGGAAGGAGGGAAGGAGAGGAGGGAAGGAGGGAAGGAGAGGAGGGGAGAGGGAAGGGCGGGCTTCAGGTGGAGTAATGAGATTGATAAGGAAGAATTCACAAGTCACGCGCCCTCCAAATGGAGACAGCCGTTGCCCTTACTTGACCTCAGTTATCTGGCTCTCGGGGTGAACGTCCTTCCACAGTCTCCATCTTGGGCTGGCTGCCCGGAGCCCGCATAGTTGTCAGATTGAATTTATCCTGTATCTTAGTTTCCTCCTTTATACTCTGAAATGGGGAGTCCACAGACCATAATAATCCCAGAATCTGAGACCTGGAGAGGACCTTGGAGAGCAGGAAAGCTCTCTCCCAATTTTGAAGCTGAGGAAACTGAGGCTCAGAGAGGGTGAATGACTTGCCCAAGGTCACCCAGCACCTCAGAAGGGATGAGTGCCTTCTGCCGGCACCGAGGCTGCCTCTCCACAGCGCTGTGCCACTGGACTGCGCCCTCCATGCCTTCAGAGCCTCATGCTTCTGTCCTGGGCCCTCCTGGGTTTACCTTTGTGGCCATGAGCACCAGGTGGCCATCCCTGGTAGCAGGCGCCAGCCCCAGGGCCTGGACTTCGAGGACCCAGGCAAAGTGTGTGGGGGGTGCTGCCTGGCCACAGGGCGGCCCTGCTCAGCCCCCGCGGCCCCGGCCCCTGCAGTACATGGAGAAGCTGTCCCGGCTGGCGTACCACCCCCTGAAGATGCAGAGCTGCTATGAGAAGATGGAGTCGCTGCGACTGGACGGGCTGCAGCAGCGATTTGATGTGTCCAGCACGTCCGTGTTCAAGCAGCGAGCCCAGATCCACATGCGGGAGGTAGACCCGAGGCTACGACCCCCACCCCACACCCTGTCCACTGCCTTCCACAGGCCCCCTCGCCCAGGGGGTCCCTTCTGCTCCGTCCCGTCATGCCATAGCCACGCTTGCCTGGCACGCTCTCTCCTCCTCTGCTTGGAACATCTGTGCCTCTGCCCACCTGGCTAATTCTGACTCACTTCCCAGGTCTCAGCTTAGAGACCCCTTCCTCCAGGAAGCTCTCCTTGCGCCCCCAGGCCCCTTCCCATATTTCCTGTTGCCTTGAGGCAGGGACTTGCTCCAGCGTGCAGAGCTGTGAGTGGGCATAGACCGCTTGCCATTCCTCCCTGGCAGGCCTCGGGGTGGGGGGCTGGTTGAGGATGAGGACCCCTCAGCGGCACCCAGGAAGGGGCTGTGGTCACCCTGGGGGCTTCACATGTCCGCGGTATGCCCTGCAGCAAATGGACAATGCCGTGTATACGTTCGAGACCCTCCTGCACCAGGAGCTGGGGAAGGGGCCCACCAAGGAGGAGCTGTGCAAGTCCATCCAGCGGGTCCTGGAGCGGGTGCTGAAGGTGAGCGGCCCCACGCCCTGCCCCGGACCGTCCTAGGCGAGGCCGAGCCCCGAGCCTCATCCCCGGCCACCACCAGGATTGCTGTCCCTGCAAGGAGGCGCCATGGTCCTCTTGTGCGGATGAGGACTCGGAGGCTTGGGTCAGACCACTGGCCTCGTCCTACCCTCAGGGCCAATGGAGCCCACTGACCTGCAGACCCCCGACCCCCTTGTTCCCTGCAGAAATACGACTACGACAGCAGCTCTGTGCGGAAGAGGTTCTTCCGGGAGGCGCTGCTGCAGATCAGCATCCCGTTCCTGCTCAAGAAGCTGGCCCCTACCTGCAAGTCGGTGAGCAGCCCCCACCTGCTCCAGCCGTTTGGGCCCTAAGTTGGGGGATGGAGCCCACAGGCCTCCCTCTACCCTTGGCCCTGACCTCTCATCTCTGCCGCCCCACCCGGGCAGGAGCTGCCCCGGTTCCAGGAGCTGATCTTCGAGGACTTTGCCAGGTTCATCCTGGTGGAAAACACGTACGAGGAGGTGGTGCTGCAGACCGTCATGAAGGACATCCTGCAGGGTGGGTGCCGTCCCGGGGTGGGGACTGTTGCCAGGAGGATGCTGGGGGCGCAGCTGAGAAGTGGTGGCAGCTGAGGGGGTCAGCTAAGGCTCAAAGAAAAGCCCAGACTTGCACCTGGGGTCTGGGTGAAGCCCACTCTTCGCTGTGTGGCCTCCGGAGCAGCCTTAGCCTTGCGTCTCTGTGCTTTAGTTTCTTCTCGCGTCCTTGGCTTTGCTGGGAGGGTCAGAGGAGTGATTAGATGACATGTGGTCAGCAGCCTGGGCCTGGAGATAGCATCACGGCCTTGCTGCTTTCAGCAACGAGGCCTGGAATGAGTCACATCCCAACCACAGACCCCCAAGGCGGGATGAGACGGGTCTTCTTTGAGCAGAGTCCAGCACAGGGGCGGCTGTGGGATCAGTGCTGTGTCCTGACCCTTCCCCTGTGGCCCTGTAGCTGTGAAGGAGGCCGCGGTGCAGAGGAAGCACAACCTCTACCGGGACAGCATGGTCATGCACAACAGCGACCCCAACCTGCACCTGCTGGCCGAGGGCGCCCCCATCGACTGGGGCGAGGAGTACAGCAACAGCGGCGGGGGCGGCAGCCCCAGCCCCAGCACCCCGGAGTCAGCCACCCTCTCGGAAAAGCGACGGCGCGCCAAGCAGGTGGTCTCTGTGGTCCAGGATGAGGAGGTGGGGCTGCCCTTTGAGGCTAGCCCTGAGTCACCACCACCTGCGTCCCCGGACGGTGTCACTGAGATCCGAGGCCTGCTGGCCCAAGGTCTGCGGCCTGAGAGCCCCCCACCAGCCGGCCCCCTGCTCAACGGGGCCCCCGCTGGGGAGAGTCCCCAGCCTAAGGCCGCCCCCGAGGCCTCCTCGCCGCCTGCCTCACCCCTCCAGCATCTCCTGCCTGGAAAGGCTGTGGACCTTGGGCCCCCCAAGCCCAGCGACCAGGAGACTGGAGAGCAGGTGTCCAGCCCCAGCAGCCACCCCGCCCTCCACACCACCACCGAGGACAGTGCAGGGGTGCAGACTGAGTTCTAGGCCAGTGGGTCCCTGACTGCTGCACATGGCACAGGCCGTTCCCTTCCGGACCCAGGCAGGCTCAGCTCTGGGGAGGGCACCCTGGTCTGTGCCTTGTGGGTGGAGGCGGGGCAGGGCTGTGTGGCACCGCCAGGGAGCGGGCCCACCTGAGTCACTTTATTGGGTTCAGTCAACACTTTCTTGCTCCCTGTTTTCTCTTCTGTGGGATGATCTCAGATGCAGGGGCTGGTTTTGGGGTTTTCCTGCTTGTGCCAAGGGCTGGACACTGCTGGGGGGCTGGAAAGCCCCTCCCTTCCTGTCCTTCTGTGGCCTCCATCCCCTCATGGGTGCTGCCATCCTTCCTGGAGAGAGGGAGGTGAAAGCTGGTGTGAGCCCAGTGGGTTCCCGCCCACTCACCCAGGAGCTGGCTGGGCCAGGACCGGGAGAGGGAGCACTGCTGCCCTCCTGGCCCTGCTCCTTCCGCAGTTAGGGGTGGACCGAGCCTCGCTTTCCCCACTGTTCTGGAGGGAAGGGGAAGGAGGGGGTCTTCAGGCTGGAGCCAGGCTGGGGGTGCTGGGTGGAGAGATGAGATTTAGGGGGTGCCTCATGGGGTGGGCAGGCCTGGGGTGAAATGAGAAAGGCCCAGAACGTGCAGGTCTGCGGAGGGGAAGTGTCCTGAGTGAAGGAGGGGACCCCCATCCTGGGGGATGCTGGGAGTGAGTGAGTGAGATGGCTGAGTGAGGGTTATGGGGAGCCTGAGGTTTTATGGGCCTGTGTATCCCCTTCTCCCGGCCCCAGCCTGCCTCCCTCCTGCCCGCCTGGCCCACAGGTCTCCCTCTGGTCCCTGTCCCTCTGGTGGTTGGGGATGGAGCGGCAGCAAGGGGTGTAATGGGGCTGGGTTCTGTCTTCTACAGGCCACCCCGAGGTCCTCAGTGGTTGCCTGGGGAGCCGGACGGGGCTCCTGAGGGGTACAGGTTGGGTGGGCCCTCCCTGAGGGTCTGGGGTCAGGCTTTGGCCTCTGCTGCCTCTCAGTCACCAAGTCACCTCCCTCTGAAAATCCAGTCCCTTCTTTGGATGTCCTTGTGAGTCACTCTGGGCCTGGCTGTCGTCCCTCCTCAGCTTCTTGTTCCTGGGACAAGGGTCAAGCCAGGATGGGCCCAGGCCTGGGATCCCCCACCCCAGGACCCCCAGGCCCCCTCCCCTGCTGCTTTGCGGGGGGCAGGGCAGAAATGGACTCCTTTTGGGTCCCCGAGGTGGGGTCCCCTCCCAGCCCTGCATCCTCCGTGCCCTAGACCTGCTCCCCAGAGGAGGGGCCTTGACCCACAGGACGTGTGGTGGCGCCTGGCACTCAGGGACCCCCAGCTGCCGCAGCCCTGGTCTCTGGCGCATCTCTTCCCTCTTGTCCCGAAGATCTGCGCCTCTAGTGCCTTTTGAGGGGTTCCCATCATCCCTCCCTGATATTGTATTGAAAATATTATGCACACTGTTCATGCTTCTACTAATCAATAAACGCTTTATTTAAAGCCAGTTGCCTTGAGTGGTGCTGTTGGGGTAGGGGACGGGGGGCCTGGGCTGGGGACTATGTCTAGGCCCCCATACGGCTCGGCTTTCGGGGCTTCTCACTTGACTGAGTGCCTCTATGTTTATGATCTGAGTTCTTATTCCATTTTACAGAGAAGGAAACAGGCTCAGCGAGAAGGGACTTGTCCAAGGTGACCTGCCTTCTGGTGGCAGCACAGGCAGCTTCCTCAGCCAGACCTGTGCCGGGTGCCCCTCGGGCAGCCTTGGGTGATGGTGAGTCCAAGAGGGATGGCAGCAGGCAGCAGCTTCAAGGCCACTCAGGGCCCTGGGGTGCCCACAGAGGGGTGGGCCCAGGCTCGGGCTGGATCCAAACAGTGATGCCAGCTCCTTCAACGCTCCCGATCACACTCCTGTTTACCAAGCGCTCACTGTGGGCCAAGCGCCTTGTGTGCAGGAACAGCAGCCTCGAGAGAGCTCTAGAAAGTGGACACAGTCGTCACCACCATTTCACCGATGTGTACACTGAGGCCTTGGAAGGTGGGGACCTGGGCTGAGCCTATGTGGTACAGGAACAGCCCTCGAGCCCCTGCAGCTGTTGGGGGTGGGTTGCCCCATCTATGGGTAAAAACATGTCCCTACTGGTGGGGTGGCAGCCAGTCACCTTGGGGATGTTGGCTTCCCTGGTGCCAGCCTGTCCATGGTGGCCTAGGGCTTGGGCCTGGGCCTCCCTCGGTCAACAAGGGCTGAGGTGCAGAACACGGGGCTGTGTGGCCGGAGACCAGGGATGCGGCTGTCCCTTGCTGTTGTCCTTGGCAGGTCACTGAGCCTCGAGATCCTCCATGAGGCCTCCCTGGGCCCTAGTGAGAGCGTAAGGAGATCTGCAAAGCACTGCGCTCCAGGAGGTAGCCCCACCTGCCTCAGTCTCTCCCCTCTTGGCCAAGTTGAGCCCAGGAGGGTGTTGGGAGGAGGGGGAACTGAGGGGGAACTGTGGGTGGGAAAAGGCCACCCAGCTCCTGCCTGGGAAATGACTCACACGACAAAGGGTATTCGCCTGCCCTGTTCAGTGCACAGGACTGATGGTCTCAGTGAGAGGGAAACAGGCCCAGGCGTAGGGCTGTTCTGCCACCCCAGGACCTGAACTCTCCTGCCTGCTTCTGCGGACGCTGTACTTGGGGCAAGCACTCAGCGCCCCCTGGAGGCCACCAGCCGGTCAGGGCTGCATCACGTCCTGTGTTGAATGCACAGGGAAAGGAGCCCAAACACTGGCCACGATCACTGAATGAGCTGGAGGCAGAGCCCAGGTGCTCCAAGCAGGCCTGCCACGAGCCCAAGGAAGAGGCTGCACCTGGCTCAACGCCGTCTGCCGGAAAATGCATAATCAACGTGCACCTCTGCAGCGAGTGCAAGTGTATATGGCTCCAAGAATTGTGCAGTGACCAACCTGCACAACCGCACGGGCTTGAAGGTGAGGATGCTTCTGGGCCTCAAACCCCGCATCACCATGTCCCAGTTGCAAGGCCCTGAGCATTTACCCCCATCAGCCTCAGCTGCCTCACTGGGATAATGGACGGAACACACAGGGCTCCTCCGCTCATGGAGGCACAGGCCGCAGCCATCACCGGCCCTGGCTGCCTCTGGGCCCTGGTCTCTCCACCTGTGAAGGGGGCGCTGGGATAACACGACATTCGAGATGGCCCTACCTGACCTCTCCTCTCGACTGAGGTGCGGCGCACTCCTGGCTCCTTCCCCGAGAAGAGCTGCCCTCTGCCCGAGCCCCATCCCCAGACCTCGTCCCCTCCCCTCCCTGGGCTCCCATGAGAACCCAGTGATGACTCAGGCCAGAAGCGCACTGAAGACAGGTTTATTGACACTCCTGCTTCGGATCGAGCTACATGGGGTAAGGAGGGACAGTTGTGGAGAGCAGGAGGGCCCCGGGGTTCTGGGGAGCAGCAGAGAGGGAGACCCAGGGTTGCTGGTGCCACTGTGAGCACAGGCCTGCACCACACGCCTTCCCAGGAAGGCCTCCCCTCACCCAGCCAGGCCCTCCTGCTCCCTTCCCACATGCAGGGTGGGACGGGCCTGTGCATGGCCCCCAGATGAGGACCCAAGCTCCTGCAGGGGCGGTGGCCTTCAGTCAAGACAGCTGGGAGGCAGCAGATCCGTGATTAGGCTGGGACGCTGGCTCCCAGGCTCGGGTGGTGGTGCAGCGGCCTCTCCAGCCCCAGCCCCCAGGACCATTCAGACTGGTGGTGTCATGGATGAGGAGCACCTCTGCCTGGCCCAGACATGCTTGGAGCTTAGGATGGGGGCTCCTGGGCAGTGGGGAAGGGGCCCAGGGCAGGGGGGAGCCTCATACGAGTCTGGCTGGCACAAGGCTGAGCAGGAGCCCGGGGCTCACAGTGGCCGAGGCAGGGCTAGGACCAGGCCCAGGTGGGCGGGCAGCACTCAGCTGCTGTGGTAGATGCGGAGGCGCTGGGCGATGTCCTGGCGGCACAGCGGGCAGGTGCGCAGTGGCTGGCAGCACTGCTGGCAGCAGCAGACGTGGCCACAGTTGAGGAAGATCATCTGGGCCTGGGGAGGGAGAGCGGGAGCATGTGGCTGGCCCTACCGGGTTCCAGGAGTCCCAGGCCCGTCTTTTTTTTTTTTTTTTTTTTTTTTGAGACAGAGTCTCACTCTGTTGCCCAGGCTGGAGTGCAGTGGTGGGATCTCAGCTCACTGCAACCTCAGCCTCCCGGGTTTAAGTGATTCTCCTGCCTCAGCCTCCCAAGTAGCTGGGACTACAGGCGTGCACCACCATACCTGGCTAAATTTTTTGTATTTTTAGTAGAGATGGGGTTTCACCATGTTGGTCAGGCTAGTCTCGAACTCCTGACCCCAAGTGATCTGCCCGCCTCGGCCTCCCAAAGTGCTGGGATTACAGGCGTGAGCCACCATGCCGGCCCCCTTCATTATTCTTTAGCATCTTTACCATAAACGCCTGATAGTGGGGCCTTCGGGCATTTGACCACCACAGAAACAGAACAGGCACGGCCGAAACAGGTAACCTAGGCCTTCTGTTAGCAGTTTGCTGTCTATTTCTCTATAGTTTGTAAAAAATATAAATACCCATATAAATGCCCCAACTGATTCTTTCTTAAATAAAACTGGGGATTATATTCCTGCGCTCTGGACAGGCGACGGAGGCCTATTCCGCCGGCCCCTGCCGGAGGGCACGCAGGGTGTTCAGGCTTCTTTCTTGTTGATGCACTTGCCCAGGCCCTGAACTCCTCAGTCTACAAACAATCCCAACCCGGAGCAGCAGCCACTGACTCAGGACCACACTTTGCCTCAGCATCTCCTGCTTTCAGGAACTGATCCAAGCTCCGCTCAAAGCTGTCTGGAATGCCAAGGGCCCCAGAACAGGGATTATATTTGGAACCAATAGGTCCATCCATATCATGGCATGAGTCAGGTCAACGGGAGACCCTGGAATCATCAAACTGCAAACATGGCTGCTTTTCTAAGTAGGATCCCTCAGTGGAGGCAAAGGAGGATTTGTATTTCATTCACTGCTCTGTGTAATTTTTAGAGTAAGTGTTAATGAATTTTTAAAAGATGATTTTTTCTTTTTTTTGAGATGGAATCTCGATCTGTCTGCCAGGCTGGAGTGCAGTGGTGGGATCTTGGCTCACTGCAATCTCTGCCTCCCGGGTTCAAGCGATTCTCCTGCCTCAGCCTCCCAAGTATCTGGGCTTACAGGCGCCCACCACCACGCCTGGCTGATTTTTGTATTTTTAGTAGAGATGGAGTTTTACCATGTTGGCCAGGCTGGCCTCAAACTCCTGACCTCAGGTGATCCACCTGCCTTGGCCTCCAAAAGTGCTGGGATTACAGGCGTGAGCCACCATGCCTGGCCAAAAGATGATTTTCTAAAGCCTCTGCAGGGTAAATCATGTTGTTGATATTTCATGATTTGGGAAATTTTTTCCTAATGTATTTATTAAGTAGGAACAAAAAGAAAAAGGTCCGGAAAATGATGTGAGCGCAGCTCATATTTGGGTCATGGGACCAGGGGTCATCTTTATTTCCTGCCTTCTTTCTAGATGAGCACAGTCTACTTAGAGAACTGGAGAAAACACGTTCAGAGACAACCCTGTACCTGCAGAATTTGAGGAGGGTGGCCACAGGCAGGGCAGGCGGGTGGGGAGGGCCCCGGACTTACCTCCCGTTCCAGGCACACGACACACTCTGAGGCCTGCACCTCCAGCTCTGCAGGGGGAGCGGATGGCCTCACAGACTCAGGAGGCTCCTGGGGGGCCGTAGGGGTGACGACCTCACCCATTGGTGGTTTCAGCTCTGTGGGGACCAGACAGACAGACTGAGCCAGGGTCATCTCCGCTGACCCTAACCCCTGGGGGCTCATTGTGGCCCTGCCCATCCCCATGGTGAGTGAGCTGGAGGGTGGGGGAGCCTCTGCTCTCAGATCTGAGGGAAGTGCTCTCCTTGCCACACACTCTCTTCTTCTCTTCTCTGAGCCTCATTTCCCATCTGCAGAATGGGAGTGAAGTCTCTCTCTGCAGGGATGGCCGCAGCGCTTGTTAAGTGGGTCCTCTGATCTCTAATGTCCCCGGGACGCTTCATAGCCACCCTGCAAGTAGGGCTTGGCACTTTCAGAGATGAGACATTTGAGGCTCAGAGACGGGGAGTCACTCAACCCAGGGCCATGTGGCCATCTGGTGATGCAGCTGCAGATCCCTGGGGCAGGAGCTCTCAGTGAAGGGCCAGCTCTTGGCTTCTCCACCTGGTTGCCCAGGAGACAGGATGGGCTGCTGCCCATCAGGTGACCCAGGGGAGCAGAATGAGAGGCCCCCCGCAAGGCTGTTCCCCTGCCCCCAGCCCCACAGAGTCCCCAGCATGCTGGCTGCTCTGCCCTGGAGTCAGCATCCCCTGCTAAGACATCAGAAGCAGCCCTTACAAAATGCTAAGTCTCTTTTTTTTTTTTTTTTTGAGACAGTCTCGCTCTGTCACCCAGGCTGGAGTTCAGTGGCGCGATCTCGGCTCACTGCAACCTCTGCCTCCCAGGTTCAAGCAATTCTCCTTCCTCAGCCTCCCGAGTAGCTGGGATTACAGGTGCCCACTATCACGACAGGCTAATTTTTGTATCTTTAGTAGAGGTGGGGTTTCACCATGTTGGCCAGGCTGGTCTCAAGCTTTTGACTTCAGGTGATCTGCCCACCTCAGCCTCCCAGAGCGCTGGGATTACAGGCGTGAGCCAACGTGCCCGGCTGCTAAGTCTCTTTTTCTATCATGCAACGTGAGCCACCCACTTCCTTGACTCTATCCCTCGTTCCCTTCCTGATCACGGTTCACTTTATTCTACGGCTTGAATTACAAGCATTATTTTTTATAACAGGAAAAACTAAAGTTTTTCTTTTTTTTTTTGAGATGGAGTCTCACTCTTGCCAGGCTGGAGTGCAGTGTGGTGCGATCTCGGCTCACTGCAACCTCCGCCTCCTGGATTCAAGTGATTCTCCTGCCTCAGCCTCTCCTCTTGCGTATCTGGGACTATAGGCACACGCCACTGTGCCCAGCTAATTTTAGTAGAGACAGGGTTTCACCATGTTAGCCAGGATGGTCTCCATCTCCTGACCTCGTGATCTGCCCGCCTCGGCTTCCCAAAGTGCTGGGATTACAGGCGTGAGGCACCGCACCCGGCCACAACTAAAGATTTTTTAAAGGCTGTTACAACACTAGACCCTCTAAGGCTATCAGTGCTTCCCCCCAAACCACCATTTCGAGGGGGCATTCATATATATATATATATATATTTTTTTTTAGACAGGGTCTTGCTCTGTCACCCAGGCTGGAGTATAGTATCATGATCACAGCTCACTGCAGCCTCAACCTCCCAGGCTCAAGCAATCCTCCTACCTCAGCCTCCAGAGTAGCTGGGATGACGCCTTGCTAATTTTTTTTAATTTTTTTGTTTTGTTTTTGAGACAGTCCCACTCTTTTCCAGGCTGGAGTGCAGGGGCACAATCATGGCTCACTGCAGCCTCGACCTCCCAAGCTCAAGCGATCCTCCCACCTTTGCCCCCCGAGTAGCTGGAACTAAGGTGTGCACCACCACACCCAGCTAATTTTATTTTATTTTTTGTAGAGAAGGGGTCTCCCTATGTCGCCCAGGCTGGTCTCAAACTCCTGGGCTTGAGTGATCCTCCCACGTAGGCCTCCCAAAGTGTGGGATTACAGCCATGAGCCACTGCACCCAGCTTCTATATTTGTTTTTTTCTTTTTCTTTTTTTTTTTTGAGACAGAGTTTCACTTGTCACCCAGGCTGGAATGCAATGGCATGATCTTGGCTCACTGTAACTTCCGCCTCCTGGGTTCAAGCAATTCTGCTGCCTCAGCCTCCTGAGTCTGGGACTACAGGTGCACGCCACCACGCCTGGCTAATTTTTGTATTTTTAGTAGAGACAGGGTTTCACCATGTTGGCCAGGCTGGTCTCGAACTCCTGACCTCAGGTGATCCGCCCACCTCAGCCTCCCAAAGTGCTGGGATTACAGGTGTGAGCCACCACACCTGGCCCCAGCCTCTATATTTGATATAAAGTATACCGATTTCTGGGAGTAATAAGAGAATTGCTAGGAAATTGAGGGTTTCCCTTGCCTTCTGGAACTGAGGACGGATCCCACCATGGCCCCTTCCCCTGCCAATGGGCACAAGCAGGAAGCCCTGAGCAGCCCAGGCATCCGTTTTCTGCATGTGGCCACAGATCCTCATGGCCAATCTGCTATGGAGAGGAAGAACCTGCTTGTTTGCTCCAGGGATGACTCAAACAGTGAGAAGCAGCCGGTCCTGAGGACTGCTGGGCTCAGAGGCACTGCACCCCACTCAGGGTGAAGGGCACCTGTTTGTTTGTGGCTCCTGCTCACGTGAGGCTTGTCTGCCGGGGGTGACCCCAACTCCTGATGGAAAACTCTTCTGATCTCCAGTCTGAGAGCTGGGGGGTCAGGAACATCCAGAAGGGGCCTATTCTGCACATGACTTGATATCAAAAAGCTAAGAAGTTTAATGACTTTTTGGGGGTTGAGTCAGTGTCCCTGGAGTAAAAGTAGCTGCAAAACTGGTGCCTGAAGCTATCCTGGGGCTGCAGTCAGCCCAGCCCCCTGGAGCCCCGGGGCCTCCCCACTGAGGTCCAGTCCAGAACTCCACCTTCGCCTCAGCTCCTCCGCTTCTTCCTTGGCTCTGGCTAAAAATGCCCTGTCCAGAGCCTCGCCCAGCCCAGCAGCACAAGACTGCCCTCTCCTTCACCCCTGCTCTGGCCCCTCACCTCTTCCCCAGGGAGGCAGGCAAGCCCAGTGGCTCCACCATCTGCCAGCAATGGGACCTGATGGGGGACATGCTAACCTCTTTGCGCTTCAGTTTCCCCATCTTGAAAATGAGGACCACAACAGTGCCTCCTCACGGGATGGATCCGGAGGTTCCTCAACGTGGTTCATGCACAGCGGTGGGCAGGTGCCGGGCTCCCAGATCATGCTCAGCACATGGCAGACCCCAGACTCCACACCTGCCCCTTCTCCCCACGGGCCTCACGACCTGCCTTTGCCCCTTCACAGCCTGTTGTGGACATCTCTCCATGTCCACAGGCATGCCTCAGGCCCAGCATTGGGTATACTGCAGGCCCTGGGGACGGGCTATTTCTCCCTCTAGTCCAAAGTCCCTCAGTGTGTGGATCCCAGCGTCTGTAGGGTGGACTGAGGGAAGGCTATGGGACAGGGAGCTGGGAGGGCCCCTCCACTGCTACGTGGAGGTCTCCTGTTCTCCCAATTTGGTGGCCCATTTTTCCCATCTGTAAAATGGGCTCACTGATCCCTAAGCCTGCTCCTTGGGAGGAAACCTTACCGACCAGCAGAGGCTAGAACCAGCCCTCAGGAGTCATCCTGAAATGTAAGCAAATGACTGTCCCCACCAGAGCCCACACATACGGCTGGAGCCCTGCCTGGAAGAGGCTGGAGCTGTGCTTGTACCTGGCTGGATCCTGGCTGCATCCAGCAGTTCCTGGACTCTCCGGAGGATCTCGTGCTGCAGGCCAGCTTCTGAGACGCCCACCTGTGACAGTTCAAGGAAGTGCAGACTGTGGCCTGGGCGGGAGCCCGCTAAATGGTGTGAGCCACGTGGCACAGGCCCAGGCTCACAGGACCGTCGACACCTCCTGCTGGAAATGTGGAAGCCTTCCGGGGCCTGGCGGGGCCCACGGTCAGGATGAGGCAGTGCGGCACCATAGCTGTGAGGGCAACCTCCCCAGGCCTCAGCCCAACAATCAGTGTGGCAGGGGTTGGGGGGAAACTGAGGCCCAAAGGGAAACCAGCACTAGCAACAGCTATGGTTTAGCAACTGCTTCCCGGTGCCAGGCTTCACCTGCACACCTCAGCCACTTCCCCACCAGGTGGGGGAGGAGAGAAGCCTTGGAGGCCAAGCCACTAAGCAGCAGCAGCACACGAGCCCCACAGTCCCTCAGCCTCCAGAGCCTGAGCGGCATGGCCTTGTGACCCTCAGTGCCATCCAGTCCTCTTGGACCCTGGTGTCTGCATCTGTCCAGGGAGGGGCAGGAGAGTCTCATGAAAAAGAACACGAACTCTGGGGCCACACTGCTTGGGGTGGAGACCTCACTCTGCTGTGTGACCTTGGGCCAAGTTATTGCCTTACTGGGTCTCAACTGAAAGATGATGATAATGATATGTACCCTGCTGGGCTGTCGGGAGAATTCAGTGAGTTCGAATACAAAAAGTGCTTAAAATGGTGCCCCGCACGTGCAGGTGCTACAAAGTTAGCTGGCACAGCGATGAGTATTCTGTTTTGAAGAATAAGTGGATTAATGTGCTGTAAAGAGCTCAGCTTGTGCCCAGAAAGGAACAGGGGCTCAGGCAGTGCTGTGGCCACGACAGTTTGTGACACCATGAGGCAGGGCAGAGGCTGGATCAGATAAGCCCCAAGGGCCTGTCTTGTCCCTCCAGTCTGAAGATCCAGTCTGATCAGGTCAGCAGGACCCACCTCCCCAGGATTTCCCAGTGAGACAGTGTGCAGGGCACACACAGGCGGCTGGGGCAGATGGGCAGGTGTTCTGGCCATCTGGAAGCAAGGTGGCCCTGGGCCATTAGGTAAGGACAGGCCTCAACGAGGACTACACAAGGAGCAGATCAACCCCCGGCTGGTCAGGACAGCGGCCTTGCGTGCCCCTCCCCTCCATGCAGACGGCTGCTGCCCACCTTGGCCAGGTCCCCTGGGCTCATTTGGCTCAGCAGGTCCAGTGAGAGGCGGTGGTGCGCAAAGATGGGCAGGTAGTGCTCAGCCGACAGCTCCTCCAGGAGGGCCACCAGCTGGCGCTCCATCCCCTCTTCCTGCAAGACAGAAACGTGTACCATGAGCAGGAAGGAAGAAAAGAACCCACTGTTTACAACAGGAAATGAAGGGTTTGAATATTTATAACATAATACATAGAATGTACTCGGGATTTTTCCTACAAAAACTCATAGGTAGGCACACAGAGATAGATAGATAGATAGGCCCAGGGGTTCACTGCCGCTCTGTCTGCAAACCTGAAAATAGTAAGCAACTTGAACATCCACCAAGAGGGGGCTGTTTCAACTGCCTCTCTGTCCCCGCAGGTGCTGGACAGACAGTGGCTCCCGGCACAGGCTTTGCTCTACTGTGGGCTCAGTGGTCTCTGCCCTGCACAGCAGTGACCAGTGCCTTGTCGTCCCCCTCACCAGAATGAACACTCCCTTACTCTCGCTTCTGTCTCCACTGGGGCTTGGCACAGGATCTGGCATGCTAGAGTCACCAGAAAAGTAACAAGAGGCAGAGCATGGTGGAGGCACCACAGGCGCCTCTGGGAGGAGGTCCCCAGGGCTCCCTGGCCGGGACAGGCACCAGCAGTCCTTACTTGCAGCTTCAAGGACAAGGGCTTCTGGTTCAAAAGCCGTTGATACTGAATCAGCCAGTAATTTTCCTGCCTGGTTTCACTTTTGGCTTCTAACTCCGTCTGCCAGGAATGAAGCAGGCAATGTTAGTCACAAAATGGTAATAAAACCTGTAATAACAATGATGGTTGCCAGGCGCGGTGGCTCATGCCTGTAATCCCAGCACTTTGGGGGGCCAAGGTGGGCAGATCACCTGAGGTCGGGAGTTCAAGACCAGCCTGACCAACATGGAGAAACCCCCCACCTCTACTAAAAATACAAAACTAGCCAGGCATGGCGGCACATGCCTGTAATCCCAGCTACTCGAGAGGCTGAGGCAGGAGAATCTCTTGAGCCCGGGAGGCAGAGGTTGCAGTGAGCTGAGATCGCGCCACTGCACTCCAGCCTGGGCAACAAGAGCGAAACTCCGTCTCAAAAAAACAAAACAAAACAAAACCAAAATGATGGTTATGAACCATGCTCCTCTGAGCGGGTGGACAGCACTTGGTACTTTTATTTTATTTTTGAGATGGACTCTTGCTCTGTCACCCAGGCTGGAGTGCCCGAGTAGCTGGGACTACAGGTGTGTGCCACCATGCCCGGCTAATTTTTATATTTTTAGTACAGATGGGGTTTTCACCACGTTGGCCAGGCTGGTCTCAAACTCCTGACCTCAAGTGATCTGCCCACCTCGGCCTCCCAAAGTGCTGGGATTACAGGCGTGAGCCACTGCACCCAGCCTGAATGTGATTCTTTTATTCTGCCATTCGATAACTCTTCGTTGAGTACTGTTCTAGGTGCTGGGAATACAGCAGTGAACAAACAATGCTGATAACAGCCACGGTGACAACAGGCGTAGCTGACATGTTCACAGTGCCATGTGCCAGACCATGCTGTGCACCTAACGATGCCATCATTAATTCTCACAACTCCGGGAAGGAGATTCTACCTCCCAGGTGAGGGAGCTGAGGTTCAGGGTGATGAGTAACCTGCCCAGGGTGGGGCCAGGAATTGGACCCAGGCCTGTCTTGCTCCAGAGCCCGTGCTCAGAACAACGGAGCTGTTCAGTGAGGGCTGGCATGACATGGGGAGTGGGATCAACACAGGCGTTTCTCAATCCCTGCTGGGCCTGACTGCCCTTTGCGGGCCCCTCCTGGACCTGGCCACGCCCACTGCTCCCTTCCGTCGTTGGCCCTCCCGGGCTGCAGCCCCTCTCTTCCAGCGCCCAGGAGCCGGATGGGCTGTGTTCTGCTGGGGCGGTGCTTCCTCCTTTGGTGGTGACCCCCAAGGCCTACAAGGGCAGGGGCACCAGCCATAGTACCTGGCTGCTAAGGCACAGCGCCAAGGCACCATCTGCAAAGTAACCTGATGCGTAGGAGATGGCAGTAGGGCACCGTGAGGAACAGGCAGCTTCCTCTGATGGGCACAGGCACCACTTGGCTTGTTCAGGGCTCCAGAAGCAGCTGGTCTCTCTCTTCTAAACCTGCACAGGACCCGGCCTAGGACGCAGCTCAGAGGGCATCTGGTGCATTCACGGGGACACAGGAACGACTCGGTCTTTTCCACCCCAGATGGTGAGCCTGGCCTCTGTCCTCATTGCTTGGGTGCCCTCTGGGTCTAGAGGAGACACTCTCAAGGGGGCCTCTGCCACGCTGAAAATGTGCCAGTGTCAAACCCATCAGGGGACAGGGACAGCTGGGCCACTCCTGCCAAAAGCTTATCAAACGGCCTGCCCTGGACATAGTGAGTCCTGTCTGGAGTGAATACTCATGGCTGTTCCCGAATACTCGACTACAAAGGCATTCGGAGAGCATTGCCTAGAAAAGTTTAAAAACCAGAAGTAATCCACATACTCAACAATAGGGGCCACGGACAGCCTTGAGAAAGGACGTCAAGGAATAGTTTAATGACTTGAAAAGAATGTGCGGAAACAGGCTGCTCGAAAAGGGTATGCAGCATGCCACGTTTAAAAGGCGCATACACGAACAGCTATAAAGGTGCATCACAATGTTTGGAAAATATGCATCAAAACCGCAGGAGAGGCTAGGCGCGGTGGCTCATGCCTGTAAAACCAGCACTTTCGGAGGCCAAGGCAGACAGATCGTTTGAGCCCGGGAGTTGGAGACCAGCCTGGGCAACATAGCGAAACCCCATCTCTACAAAAAATAAAAAAATTTGCCAGGCATGGTGGCACATGCCTGTAGTCCCAGCTACTCGGGAAGCTGAGGTGGGAGGATCGCTTGAGCCCAGGAAGTCAAGGCTGCAGTGAGCTGAGATTGCGCCACTGCACTCCAGCCTGGGCGACAGAGTGAGACCCTGTCTCAAACAAACAAATAAAAAATGGCAGGAGATAACGCTTGGAAATGCAATTATTTTCCTTTGTACTTTCCAGTTTTTCTTTGATGAATAACTCTTACTTGAATAACAGGTGTTTCTAAAAATGGCAAGTCTGTTAAAGAAAAGCAAATGCCTGTGTGATGCTGAGCACAGAAGCCAAACACATACCAGGATTTCCCGGAGCTCTTCCTCTCGCTGCTGCTTCTCTTTGAGCAGCTGCTGGAGCAGGGAGCTGAGGGCCCAGCGCTGCTCCGAGATCATCTCCTGCGAACAAGACCACACCCCGCACCACCGTGAGCTGGCGGCAGCGCAGGAGTCCCGCAGTGGCAGGATGGAGAAGGGCCTGGCCTCCCGCTCACTCGGTTCTCTGCCCAATGCCTCCAGGCTGCGTTGGGGGACAAAGCTAAGAGGCCCTTCTGCCCCCTTACCCTAAGCCCGCATCTCTCTTCCTTGTGGGGTTAAGTCAGGCATGGGATCCTGGTGACTGATGACAATGGGATGGTAAGAAACATCAAACAAAAGAAATGACAAGCCACAGGTGCCTGCCTTTGGTCTCCCAGACAACAGAGCACATGGGCAGAAGCAAATGGCGGGGAGCAGTGTGGGGCCCCACACAAATGGAGGTGCGTGCAAACCAGAGCCTGGGGTCCCTGCTTCACTCCTGCGCCTGCTCTTGGAAACCCCATGGGGGCCCCAACAGCCAGAGCCCTGCCACACTTGTGGGCAGGGACTAGGGCACCCGCCAGGCATGATGACCGCAGCTTCTCTGAGAGCAGTCCCAGTCCCCTCATCTCTGGAGATCATTTCAAGGCTCACAAAGGGCTTTCCCTTGCTAGCTCAGCCTTCTCCGATGGCCTGATGGCACAGGCTGGGCCTGGAGGACCGCTGCCATCTTATGGAGTAGGGGAAGAAGGCCTGGAGGGGCAGAGGCCTGTCTAAGGGCACACAGCACACCTGCGGTGCACCTGAGACCAGGGATCCAGATCCCAGACCCTTCACTGCACTGAGGAGTCCATGGGATGGCTTGAGACTTCTCCACTGAGAACAGACACAGGGACAGTGACAGACCGAAGGCTCTGCTCAAACTCCTGGCACAGGCACATGTCCTCACACACCATCCCATCCAGCCCTCCGTCTGCAGCTGGAGAGGCTGAGGTTCAGAGAGGGGAAAGGGCTGCCTCTCCTCCCCCACCTGCCAAAGTTGCACAGCAGGGCTGTGCTGGGCCACACCCGGCTCCCAGGCATCCAGTCCAGGACGCCAGCTGCCAGTCCCTGCTGCCCTCTCATCTGTGTGCGCAGGACTCCCGGGCTGGAGCCCCAGAGATGCTGCCTGCAGGGAGTTACACAGATGCGGCTGGGCCCTCTCCTCCAGACAACCCGGGACACCCAAAAGCTCCAGCCCTGGAGGATGTGTGCCTGGGGGCCTAAAGCACGGCCTACAGAGAGAGACAGGAGCTCAGCGGCGGGCCCGCACCCAGCACAGGAGACACAGTGATGGAGATGAGCAGGGGAGCCTTGGCAATGAAACCCTCCTTCCTCTGACCCTCCTGCCTCGCAACAGGCTGACCACCTCTAACCTTGGCCTGCGCTGGGCCTTCTGGGGCTGGGGGGTGTCCTCTGGTGTCACAGCCACAGAGGAGCTCTGCCCTCTGTCTGCTGGGGAAGCCCTTGACTCCCAGGGGCTGGTGAGCAGCTGCCAGAGGCTGGGAGGGAGCACCAGGTGGGGGTCTCACCACGTGAAGGAGGGCAGGGGCAGGGAGCCCTACATACCTGGAGTGACTCTGTGTCCAGGGACTTCCTCTTTAACTCCAGCTGTGTCAGCTGCAATAACTCAGTTTCTATTAACTTAATCTAAACAGAAGACGAGACAGGGTTTTTTTTTACTCACATTAACCACAGTTCAGTTTTGTGCTGCTACTCTCTGGTGACCAAGTGGGTCTAAGAAGCCTTTCTGGGGAGGCTGGGGAGGCTCTGGAATGAGGGGAACCTGCGGGCCTGGGAACCTCGTCAAGGGGCTTGAACAAGAATTCGTTCCTTCATGGCCTCGCGTTCCTGGGGCATGGACGTGCTTGTTGTGGCCAAAATTGTTTACCAAGAGGCCAGCACAGGATCTCTCCTAGAGTGGGATCAGGATAAAGGCTTGTGCAATGGAGAGGGGGCTTTCCTTGGGGATTCAGGCCAGAGTAAAGCACAGACAGAGCTATCACCCAGTCTCCTGCTGGTCAAGTTCTCTTGTCCCTCGCATCGCTGTTGCAGGGGAGAGCAGAGGGTAGTGGAAGTGACTGAGTAACAGTGGTAGTAGTAGCTGGTATGTCTTGAGCACCTACTATGTGCTAGGCCTGTGCTGCACACTTGATGTATCATATTTCATCAATTCTCTGGCTGCTAGGAGGTATTATTGCCTCCATTTTATAGACAAGAAAACTGAGGCTCAGAGAGGTTCTCACTTGCTCAAGGACACAGAGCAGGTAAGGGAGAGATCCCTTTCTCTGGGATGCCTCAGCTCAGGGTTTAAGGGCAATAGCTGACCTGGTCAAAACCATCTGCAGTGAGAATGTGGGGGGCCCTCACAGGCTCTCCAGGGTGTGTCTAGGGGATTTTAGCCCTGGGCAGGGGTGGGGGTCAGACCCCATAGCCAGTACTTCTCTATCCTGTGCCCATGACCCTGTGACCCTCATCCCTAAGTCCCTATGACACCACCAACCCCTGGTCAGAGGAATGAGCTTCATGTCCGGCAATGTGGAATTGAAATTAAAGAGGGAAATTAAAAAGGTAAATTGGTCCAAAAAAAGAAAGAAAGAAAGAAAGAAAGAAAGAAAAATAGAGAAAGAAAAAAACCATGCAAAAATGCAAAATTCAGTGTGCTGAACATGATGCAGGAGTACTCCCATAGCCTGACGCTCACTTCAGCCCCAGCCCCAGCCCCACTCCACAGGCGGTGACCACCAAGCCGTGTAGGTGGGCTTGCCCAAGGCTTGAAGGTCAGCAGCCGGCCTGCGGGGGGTGGGGGGTATCTTGTCACATGAGGGAGGGTCTAAGAGGAGGACCGCCTCCTCCTGGGCCGAGGTCACTTTTCAGCAGGCGTCAGGACCACCGTGGCTCACAGCTCCCCCTGCCCTCTTCTGGGGGAAATACTATATGCCCCTGAGACGCCTCTGTCTGTCTGAGCTGTAGGAGCGCTGGGGCCTGCGCCGGCTGCTTTTCCCAGTGGGGAAGTCCTGCCTGGAGCAGGGACAGCAGAGGCAGCTGGAGCAGTCAAAGCCACACATCAGCACCAGCCTCCCTGGCCCAGGCGTGGTGGAGACCCGCCTCGCTGGCAAGACCCTCGCCAGACCCCGGAATAGGAGGTCTCTAGACACCCTCCCAGCAGCCCCGACACAAGGCTGGGAGCAAAGGGAGGTTCTGAGGGCAAGGCCTCGACCTCTTGTTGGGCTAGCAAGCCAAGGAGCTGGGGTTCAAACCTCAACTGCTGCGACCTGCCGCCCTGGAGGGCCACTCTGCAAGTCTCTGAGAGAGCAGGTCCAGGGACCCCAGCCCCAGCGCTCACCTGGCTCCTGATCTGCCGATGCATCAGGTCTTTCTTCACCTGGAGTGCCTCGAACGCAGCCTTCTGCATCGCGCTCTGCAACACAGACCACCAGCCCTCAGCAGGGGCCGTGCCCACACTTTTCCCTGCAGCCCCATCCCTGTGAAAAGCAAAAGCTGTGTACAAAGCACCTTAATGGATGGGTTTTTTCTGAGAGAGGGAGAAGATTTCACCTCACTTGTGTAAACCTTAAGATGGTACTAGGGGCTCACTTCGGGCAGCCTCTACCTGATGCACTTCCGGCATCGCACCCTGAGTTTCCACCACAGTGGACCGTGGGGGTGCTTTTACTGCCCCACTTCACAGATGGGGAGTGACACTCAGAGGCATGAATCAGCGGCGCTGGGACACACACCAAGCCTATCCAGCTCCCGAGCCCCACTTAACCACAAGGCAGATGCCTCCTCTGAGAAATGGAGAATTTTCCTCAGACAAGCTCCACAGATACTAAGTCAAACCATTTTAGAACAGAGATTGAAATTAGGGAGAAAGGAGCAGGGTGGGATGACAAACACGCAGAGGACAGGGGAGAAAGGCGAGGGAAGAAGGGAGGCAGCGGCAAGACTCCCACGGGGCTGCAGGAAAGAGCTGAACAGGCCGGTGGCTCATGTCTGTAATCCCAGCACTCTGGGAGGCCGAGGCAGGAGGATTGCTTGAGCCCAGGAGTTTGAGACCAGCCTGGGCAACATAGGGAAACTCTGTCTCTACAAAAAATAAAAAAAAATTAGCTGGGCATGGTGGCCCTGTGGTCTCCGCTACTCAGGAGGCAAAGGTGGGAGGATCGTTTGAGCCCAGGAGTTTGAGGCTGCAGTGAACTGTGATCACATCACTTCACTCATCCTGGGCAACAGAGCAAGACCTTGTCTTAAAAAAAAAAAAAGAAAAGAAAAGAAAAAAAGGAAAATAAAAAGCTAAACAGGCTGGGCACGGTGTCTGATGCCTGTAAATCCAGCACTTTGGGAGGCCGAGGTGGGTGGATCAGCTGAGGTCAGGAGTTCGAGACCAGCCTGGCCAACGTGGCAAAACCCCATCTCTACTAAAAATACAAAAATTAGTTGGGCGTGTTGGTGGGTGCCCGTAATCCTAGCTACTTGGGAGGCTGAGGCAGGAGAATCAGTTGAACCTGGGAGACAGAGGTTGCAGTGAGCCGAGATCGCACCACTGCACTCCAAACTGGGCAACAAGAGGGAAACTCCATCTCAAAAAAAGAAAACAAAAACGCTAAACAGAGTAATATGGACACCGAAGGGGAGGAGGTCACAGGGGCCCTTCGTTTCATCCACTCAAGAGCCCTGCCAGGCACCTCCTGAGCACCGCAGAGATGGAAGAGCAGATAGCAGCACAGCAGGTCTGGACATGAGAAGAGGCCAGAGGTCCCACAGCGTCCTCTGTGCCCTGACCTCCATGGTGTGGTCACCATCACCTCCTGCCACTTAAGTCCTTCCAATGGAGCCTCCTACACAGGATGGGGGTAGGAGCCTGCCAGAGAGCAGGTGGAGGTGCTTCTGTGGATTTTAGTGACCAGAAGACCATCCCCCGGGCCCCCCCTCAGCCTCTCCCACCCCTCACCCTGATCACTTGTACACCTCTATGGTCACAAACCTCTGTGGTCCCACATGCTGTCTAGGAAGGGCTCCGTGTGGAGCTCTGCACTCTGCCCTGGCTCCTGAACCTCCCTCCTGAGCTCCCACCCTCAGGCTCTGGGCGAGGGCTCACCTCCTGCAGGATCTGGCTGATGGCTTTGTTCTGATCCATTTGCTGCCACGACAGAATCTGCTGGAATCGTTCATCCATTTCGGCCATGCTGCCAGAAAGACAGCAAATTCATTCATTCTTGGAACGTTTCCCGAGCACCTACTATGTGCCAGGCCCCTTGGAGGAGATCAAGATAACCCATTTCTTCAGTGGACCACATTCATGGAGTACCTGCTGGGAGCCGGGCCCTGGGTGGGCCACAGACACTGAGTCTGTCTGAATCCCATGGCCTGGAGGGAAGGGGATCGAGTTGGGAGCTGGGAGAGAGATGCTTCCAGGTCCTCTCACCCAACCTGCCACCAGAATCCCCTCCCCAGCACCCCCCGGAAGTGGATGCCTGCCTCTGCCCAGCCACCTCCATGGGTGGGGAGCTCCTGACTCCCATGGGTGGTGAGCCACCGAAGTATGACAAAGCTGTCCTTCCCGGCACTCTCACCCTGGGCAGGGAGCAAGGAGCAGCCCTTGACTTGGGCACAAGAACCTGCAGCCTCACGTATGTTTGTGCTTTGGCACCATCTTGGTTGTTTTTTTTTTTTTTTTTGAGACAGAGTCTTGCTCTGTCACCCGGGCTGGAGTGCAGTGGTGTGATCGTGGCTCACTGCAACCTCCACTTCCCAGGTTCAAGCAATTTTCCTGCCTCAGTCTCCCAAGTAGCTGGGATTACAGGCGCCCACTGCTACGTTTGGCTAATTGTTTGTATTTTTAGTAGAGACGGGGTTTTACCATGTTGGCCAGGCTGGTCTCAAACTCCCGACCTCAGGTGATCCACCCACCTCGGCCTCCCAAAGTGCTGGGATTACAGACGTGAGCCACTGCGCCCAGCCACCATCTTGGCTTTGTTTATTTCATAATAGCAACTGTTTTTTCCCAGTGAGGTCCCTGCTTCACAACAATAGCAAATATTTATTGGACCTTTATGCACTAGAGATTATGCTCATCAACACTCATCAAATTCTCCACCAACTCTACAGGTAGGTACTATGATTTATCTGATAAGGAATTTGAAGCCCAAAGAAGGAAAGAGACTTGCCTGAGACCTCACGGTTAGTAAGCAGAAGTGGGACCTGGATCCAGGTCTGTTTGACCCCTGCGCTTGCAACTCCTAAGCACAGTGTCACATATCAGGAAAGGGGGGAGAAATTCCCACATCTGCAGGGACCCAGGGGAGGCCCGCACAGTCCAGGCGCCCTGGAGGGTGGCAGCAGTGCCAGCCACATGCATGGGAGGAAAAACAGGGCATCCAGGGCTGCTGGCCTGTCCCTGTCTGGGGCTCCTGAGCACTGAGTTTTCCCCACTGGCTCTGCTGGGCACCTGTGGAACCTCCAACAAACCCACAGTGCCCAGTGAGCACAGGGAGCCGGACCCCAGAGCAGCCATCAGCATGAAAGCAACCCCTTCACTTATCCTTCCAGGGCATCCCACCCCCAACCGTGGGGGTCCTCAGACACTGATGAGTGTACCACAGTCAAGAGCACACCCCTCCCCTCTGCCGGGCTCAAATCCTGGCTCCGCCACCTGCTGGCTTGCTTCCTTGGGTGCGTTATACAGTTTCTCAGAACCTGAGTTGCGATTGTGAAATCGGGCTAATAACAATACAGTCCCTCCTAGAATCAATCAGCGAATGTGGTTCATCGCTTAGCCGAGTGCCTGCCACACAGGAAGTGCACAAGAAATGGGAATGACTGTTACCACTTTAACACAGCCCAACACTGAATCATGGATCCGGCTAGAAAACTCAGGAAGAGCAGCCATCACTTGCCCCTAACAGCAGAGCAGAGGCTGGGGTGGCCCAGGGCGGGAGGTTTAGTGCCCAGCTCTCATCCCACGGTCTTGGGCCCTGAGCCAGCTCCCCCAGCTCCCTCACCTGGGACTCCTCTTCCTTACCTTACCTGGAACAGGCCTGCTGGACCAAGTTCTGCCTCTGAGATTCGTAGGCCATCTGGATGAGCCGGTTCTTACAGCTCTCAGTCAGCATCTGCTGCATGGCGGCTGTGGGAACATGAGGTGGGGACAGCTGAGTGGAGTGGCTGCTCCTGGGGCACCTGGGCAGGGAGGCAGCAGGGATTTCCACAGGAACTGAGGAACAGGCCTTGAGGCCTCACCTGGTTACCTACCTGATAGTTATCTTAAAAAAAACCCTTTGTTCCTTTTTGTTTTGTTTTGTTTTTTGAGATGCAGTCTCACTCTGTCACCCAGGCTGGAGTGCAGTGGTGCGATCTCAGCTCACTGCAAGCTCTGCCTCCCAGGTTCCCGCCATTCTCCTCCTCAGCCTCCCGAGTAGCTGGGACTACAGACGCCTGCCACCACGCCCGCCTAATTTTTTGTATTATTAATAGAGACAGGGTTTCACTGTGTTAGCCAGGATGGTCTCGATCTCTTGACCTCGTGATCCACCCGCCTTGGCCTCCCAAAGTGCTGGGATTACAGGTGAGCCACTGCGCCCGGCCTGTTCTTTTTAACTATAAAAGCAACGTATGCTTGGAAGGCTAATTGTAAAACACTGAATAGCACATACATAACATCTCCTGTGATCTTGTCATCCAGAAATATTATTCCATTTTGATATATATTCTTCTAGTCAGTTTTTATGCATTTAGGAATTAAACAAATTAAAATAGGCCAGGCGTGGTGGCTTATGCCTGTAATCCCAGCACTTTGGGAAGCCAAGGCAGGTGGATCACCGGAGGTCAGGAGTTCGAGACCAGCCTGGCCAACATGGCGAAACTGTGTCTGTACTAAAAATACAAAAATTAGCCGGGCATGGTGGCAGGTGCCTGTAATCCCAGCTACTTGGGAGTCTGAGGCAGGAGAATCGCTTGAACCCGGGAGGCAGAGGTTGCGTGAGCTGAGATCATGCCACTGCACTCCAGCCTGGGCAACAGAGCAAGACCCTATCTCAAAAAAAAAAAAAAAAGAAAAAAAGAAAAATCAAAAAATTAAAATAATTGAAAGAAGGAACTAGAATAGATGTTTGTACACACACATTTGTAGCATTATTCATAAGAGTCAAAAAGTGGAAACAACCCACATTCCCACTGATAGATGAATGGATAAAGAAAATGTAGACGCTGGACATGGCGGCTCACCTGTAATATAAGCACTTACGGGAGGCCAAGGTGGGAGGACTGCTTGAGCCCAGGAGTTTGAGACCAGCCTGGGCAACAGAGTGAGACCCTACCTCAAAAAAAAAAAAAATTAGCCAGGTGAGGTGGCATGTGTCTGTAGTCCCCACTACTTGGGAGGCTGTAGTGGGAGGACTGCTTGAGCCCAGGAGGTGGAGGCTGCAGTGAGCAGGTTCACACCACTGCCCTCCAGCCTGGTGACAGAGCAAGGAAAAAAGAAAAAAAGAAAATGTGGCATATACAGGAAATGCAACGTTATTTACTATTAAAAAGGAAGAAAATTTTTCCCTGGTGGGCCAGTGTTTAGAAATAAAGAAGCAGGAAAAAAAAAAAAAAAAAGGGAAAGAAATTCAAACACATGCTATAACATGGATGAACCCGAGGACATTATGCTAAGTGAAATATGGTAGACACAAAAGGAGAAATATTGTATGATTCCACATATAGGAGGTACTTATAACACTCAAATCCACACACAGAAAGTAGAATGTTGATTCCCAGGGGCTGAGGGGAGGGGGGCACGGGGAGTTAGTGTTTACTAGGGACAGTTTCAGTTGAGGAAGATGAAAAAGTTCTGGCGATGGATGGTGGTGGCAGTTGTACAACAATAATGCCACAGAACTAATATATTTTAAAATGAAGACCAGGCACGGTGGCTCACGCCTGTAATACCAGCACTTCAGGAGGTTGAGGCAGGCGATCACTTGAGGTCAGGAGTTCAAGAGCAGCCTGGCCAACATGGCAAAACCCCATCTCTACTAAAAATACAAAAATTAGCCTGGTGTGGTGGTGTGCATCTGTGATCCTAGCTACTCGGAGGCTGAGGCAGGAGAATCGCTTAAACCTGGGAGGCGGAGGTTGCAGTGAGCCAAGATCGCACCACTGTACTCCAGCCTGAGCAACAGAGCGAGACTTTGTCTCAAAACATAAATAAAATAAAATAAAGTGATTAAGATGGTAAAGTTTACATGATGCATATTTTACAATTAAAAAAATGAAAATGGTATCATCCCACTTCCCATTTTTATGAACACTCCCCCTGATAACATGCTAATGGGATGCTAATACTGCAGAGTGCCACAGCATATGGATCACCAACATTTATTTAAACAATCCTCTATTTGGGGGCATTTGGACTTTCTTTTTTTTTTTTTCTGAGAAATGGTCTCGCTGTATTACCCAGGCTGGAGTGCAGTAGTGTGATCACAGCTCACTGCAGCCTTGAACTCCTGGGCTCATGTGATCCTCCAGCCTCGGCTTCCTAAAGCGCTGGGATTACAGGCATGAGCCCCGACACCTGGCCCATTTCCTCCATTTTATAGCTAAGAAAACCGAGCCTTGGAAAAGTTGGGGAGCAGTAAGCAGTAATGTCCCTAAGGTCACATGGTGGGTGTTTGAACTGGGACTCTGCATCCACATCTAGGCTGACCCCAGAGCCTGTGCTCCATGGCAGGACTTGACTGCCCCTCTCGAGGGCTAACACTCAGGGCCCTCCATGCATGGCCAACAGAGGGAGGGCCATCCACCCTGCCAGCCCAGCCAGCAGGCAGCGTGCTCACAAGCTCCCCATCCCAAAACTCACAGGCAACGTCACGTCGCCGCAGGCTCTCAGTCTCCTCCTGGGTTATGGACATCAACTGTTCCATTCTTATTCTAGAAAAAAATCCATCCATTCATTCAGCAAATTTAACATTTCCAACAGGGAATCCCAGCAGATGAACACCACCTCCTCCAGGAAGGCCTCCTTGATTTGGCAACCTACACCTAGATGGGCTCTCTGGATGCCTACCGCATCACAAGCAACCCTTGGGGCCCTCTGTTCGCCTTCAGCCTGTAGTTCGAGTATCTTGTGTAAAAAGATGGACGCTCCCTTAGAAAATGGGCAAAAGAAGCAAATAGCCAATGCTGAAATTCAAGTGATCAATAAACATCTGGAAAGATGCTTAACATTACTGGTAACTAAAGAAAGTAAAATCTTTTCACCTACTAGGTTGGTTGACAGTAAGAAAACTGGTAACTGTTTGTGATGGTGATGGTGGTGGAGAAATGGGCACTTTCCTACACTGCTGAGAGGAGTGTAAACTGGCAGAATGTTTTTGGGAAGGTAAGTTGGCACCTAGCAAAATGTCCTTTAAATATTTCCTTCACAAATAGTCACATGGCCGGGTGCGGTGGCTCACACCTGTAATCCCAGCACTTTGGGAGCCTGAGGCAGGCGGATGACTTGAGGTCAGGAGTTTGAGACCAGCCTGGCCAACATGGTGAAACTCCATCTCTACTAAAAATACAAAAATCAGCCGGACCTGGTGGTATGCGCCTATAATCCCAGCTACTCGGGATGCTGAGGCAGGAGAATCGCCTGAACCTGGGAGGTGGAGGTTGCAGTGAGCCGAGATCGTGCCACTGCACTCCAGCCTGGGTGACAGAGTGAGACTCCGTCTCAAAAAAAAAAAAAAAAAAAAGATATACTAAAAATTCTGCTATAAATATAGCCTGTCACTTTTTCCATTAGCAATATGTTATGTTTTCCCTTAATGAGAAATATTATTCAATAAGACATTTAATGGCTGCAGGTTATTCCTCCATACATAATTTATGTAACTAAATAATTTTTCTTTCCAGAAATTTAGATTTTTTTTCTGAATTTCTTTTTTTTTTTAGCTGGAACCATAGGCGCCTGCCACCACTCCTGGCTAAGTTTTGATTTTTAGTAGAGACAGCGTTTTGCCATGTTGGCCAGGATGGTCTCAAACTCCTGACCTCAAGTGATCTGCCCACCTCGGCCTCCCAAAGTGCTGGGATTACAGATGTGAGCCACTGCGCCTGGCCTGAACTTTTTATACTAGGAATATAGTTGGACATTATATATCTAGCCTTATTCATGTCTCTGAATGTTTTTCAGGAGTGTACGTATGTTTTAATGAACTTGAAGACAATGATTCTTTGTAATTAAATATCGTCTAAGGAGGTGAATCTCCTTATAGCTTTAGGGAAATGTCCTGGCATAATCCTCTGGAGAATCACAAGACATTCTCCCCTCAAAGCTGCTCTCCTTGGCCGGGAGCAGTGGCTCACGCCTGCAATCCCAGTACTTTGTGAGGCCGAGGCGGGCAGATCATGAGGTCAGGAGATCGAAACCATCCTGGTTAACACGGTGAAACCCCGTCTCTACTAAAATACAAAAAATTAGCTGGTGGTGGTATGCGCCTATAGTCCCAGCTACTCGGGAGGCTGAGGCAGGGGAATTGCTTGGACCTGGGCGGCGGGGGTTGCACTGAGCCGAGATTGTGCCACTGCACTCCAGCCTGGCGACAGTGCAGGACTCCGTCTCAAAAAAAAAAAAAAAATGCTGCCCTCCCCTGGAAGAACACTTACCTTTCATTTTCCAGCGATTTCAAAATCTCGGAGCTTTTCTTTTGTCTGTGGAGAAAATCATAAAAGGTCCTGGCAGTCACCAGCAGGCCTGTTTCCTGTCTCACTGCGTTAGCTGTGCAGAGGGGCTTAGGAAATGGGCTGGGGGCACCTTGGCTCCACCACCTTGAAGCTCTGGGTTCTTAGCCAGTTACTGAAACCACTCAAGTCCCAGGTTTCCTCACCTATGAAATTAGAAGAATAAAAAAACCCAGCCAGACACAGTGGCTCACATCTGTAATCCCAGCACTTTGGGAGGCTGAAGTGGATAGATCACTTGAGGTCAGGAGTTCGAGACCAGCCTGGTCAACATGGAGAAACCTTATCTCTACAAAAATTAGCCAGGCGTGGTGGCCCAAGCCTGTAGTCCCAGCTCCTTGGGAGGCTGAGGCAAGAGAATTGCTTGAACCTGGGAGAAGGAGGTTGCAGTGAGCCGAGAGCACACCACTGCACTCCAGCCTCAGTGACACAGCGAGACTCTGTCTCAAACAAAACAAAATGAAAACAACCCAGCTTCTTGGTGCATTTGTAAAGACTTAATGAAGAAATAGATGTAACAAGCTTGGCACATAAGAAGCATCCAACAAATGACTGGTTTCCTGAACTCATGCAGGTACTTTTGAAACTGACAGGTGAGGGAGGAACGAGTGATTCAGGGTTAGAAAAAAGAGGCCTGGAAGTGGCAGGGCATATGGCTGGAGCCTGTTTCTGGAATCATCCTGCAATGGGCCCCCTCACTAGACTTCTCAGGCTTTTCTGGCGCCATGTCTCCCCAGCCCCATCAAGATCTGCTCTTACTAGCTCGTACCTTGCACAGGGTTTGTTAAGGCAAATCTCACTACAGGTGAACAGCTGACCTCAGTGCAACGGGTTACGCAGAACCCAAAATACTGGAGCAGGATGTGATCCCAACTATCTTGTCAAACCCACTCACTTTATAGATGGGAAGCTTGGGGCCCAGTGGGGAAACATTTGCCCGAGGCCACAGGTCCAATCTGGTAGCAGTCTCATGCTAAGAAACCAGACTTTGTAATGACTGGGTCAGATTCTTTTCTCTCTACGCTGGTGCCAGTTGAAGCACCCAGACTGGATCCTGACAAGGGAAGCCCGGGGCAGGGGCAGAGGCAGTGAGGGAGAAACACACTCCTCCCGGCTCCTCAGGGGACTGCACGGGGAAGGACTCTGGGGCTGGGGCCGAGGAGCAGAGCCCAACCTCTGATTGTCCTGCAGCAGCTTCTGGATCCGGCTGGAAATGTTCTGTTCCGTCTGCTTCAGCTGCTCCTGCAGCCGCTGCCGCTCTGCGTTGAGGTGGCGCTGGTGCTCACTCAGGCCCTGCTCCAGCCGGGACTGCTCCTGCAGCCGGAGGTAGGGGTCCTGAGCCCCTGGGACCCCCTCAGACGCCGTGAGGGGTACTGACTGGGGTTAGGAGGCTGGCTTTCCCACCCTGCCTTGCCAATCCTTTTTGTGTGACCTCCGGCCAGCTCCTCCCAGTAGGCTACAGTGTCCATCTGCACACGGGGAGGCTGGGCTGGGTGATCTGTAAGGGCCCTCCCAGGTGCTGGGGGACAGAAGGAAGTGACAGCTTCATCCCACTGCCTTTCCACATCCGAGGGACCTTGGCCCAAGCCAGGAGGCCACTGGCTGGGGGATGCAGCCAGGCTGGACCCTAGCAGGCGGCTCACAAACCTCCTTGACCGTCTGAAGGATCTCATCCTTCTGGCTGCTGCTCTGCTGAAGGAGCTGGGTGTGCTCCCGCTGCCCCAGTTCCAGGCGCCGTTCAAACTCGAGTTTCTCCAGCATCTTCTGTTCCTGCAAGACACAGATCCTGGTGACTGTCAGCACAGGCCCTGGGGGAGTTAGGACACAGAAGTCGGGAGAATCCACCCCTCAACACTGACAGGGCAGGCTCCAGGTCTTCATGCTGAGCAACCCCCACTCCCCTCCAGGGCCCAACTGTAAGAAAACAAGCTGTTCACAGGAAGAGGCTAGTGGTCTAGAGCCCGGTGCTGGGCTCAACCCCTCTGAGCCTCAGTCTCTGCACCTGTCCCATGGATGCTCTACCACCCACCTGAGGCATGTGAGGATGCAGCAGACTGCGTGTAAGAGGAAGGCATTACTGTGACCTCTAATTCTGAGCTGGGAAGAAGTCATTTTCTCAAATATTTTATGAGTTGAGTTGAGATCTTTAATGAGAAAAGAGTGACAGAAGGGTAAAGGCATTTTCTTACCTTCCTCTTCTCATAGTCTGAGAACCTGTTCTGGGAGGAAAAAAAGACAGTGGTCAAGAGAGGGTGGCAGCAGTGGTTCTCCCTGGCATGGGCACCAGGAACCCCCGGGTGGCCTGATGTTATACAAACTCTGGCCCACCCCAGACCACTGCCTCAGAATGGTGGGGTCGGGGGATGAGGGGATCCGTATTGATCAAGGGCACCAGGTGGTTCCAGTGGACACCTGATGAGAACCCCTGGGCTGTCACTGTGTGCATGGCACTGTAGGAGGGGCTCTTCAAGACAGTTCTGGGATGCAGCCCTGAGCAGGGATGGTGGTCTGAAGAGCAGAGCAGGAAATGGGATATCTGATGCCCATGGATGTCTGCGTAACACACCTACAGCACCCGGTTCCAGTCCACCAAAATACTCACAGTGCACAAAGGTGTGGGTACAACTTCCTGCAGAATTATTCAAAAGAGCAAAAACACTGGAAATAACTCATACATCTATCAACATCTGTCCGTAAGTCATGGTGCATCCATACAGTGGACTATTACACAACCGCCAATGGGGCGAATGTGTGAGATCCCTCACCTGTGTGTAGCATGATTCTACTTTTGCAAAAACATCATCAAGAAAACTCAACTCTGAGCATATGTGTGAAGGTATTGAGTCAAAGGTCAAGAAGGACAGTCATTAATCAGTTAATGATGACTACCTCCAGGCAACGGGAGTGCAGGGTGGAAGGGTTGACATTCACTTGGTTTGTAATTGTCTGTATTGTTTAAATTTATAACAAGGAGCAGGTATTAAACATCAATAATGTAATGTAATTATTGGTGTTTAATTAATTAATTTATTATTGATGTAATTAAACAGCAATACACATATACACAAGAGTTAGGTTCTTCTTTTTTTTTTTTTTTTTTGAGACGGAGTTTTGCTCTTGTTGCCCAGGCTGGAGTGCAATAATGGCACAATCTTGGCTCACTGCAACCTCCACCTCCTGGGTTCAAGCAATTCTCCTGCCTCAGCCTCCTGAGTAGCTGGGATTACAGGCACCCACCACCACACCCGGCTGATTTTCTGTATTTTTAATAGAGACAGGGTTTCACCATATTGGCCAAGCTGGTCTCGAACTCCTGACCTCAGGTGATCCATTTGCCTCGGCCTCCCAAAGTGCTGGGATTATAGGCATGAGCCACTGCGCCCGGCCCACACAAGTTTTTTCTTTGTGATGGAGTCTCACTCTTGCCCACGCTGGAGTGCAGTGGCACAATCTCAGCTCACTGCAGCCGCGACCTCCTGGGCTCTAGTGATCCTCCCACCTCAGCCTCCTAAGTTGCTGAGACTGCAGGCACGCACCACCATGCCTGGCTAATTTTTTGTATTTTTGGTAGAGACAAGGTCTTGCTATGTTACCCAGGATGGTCTCAAACTCCTGAGCTCAAGCATCCACCCGACTCGGCCTCCCAAAGTGCTGGGATTATAGGCGTGAGCCACTGCGCCTGGCACACAGGTATTTTTTGAATGGTCCTTCTATTTAGTTATCCTGTTTTGAGAACAGGATCAGTCTCTGAATTATAAAAGCAGCAACCTATAAATAGGATTTTGCCTATACTAATGGTAGGAATATAATTTTAAAATTAATCTTCAATTATACAGATAACATCTCAATATATTCTCCTTGTAAAAGTTTGAAACATGGTATAAAAAACTAAAGCATCTACTGACCACTCCAGCCTAACCCTGGTTCCCCTCCCACCCCACACCTCCTGTCAGGTGTAACTGTCATTATCAGGCCCAAGGCATGCATCTGTACATATATAATTTGTGCCTTTGGGAAAGAAATATATTTGTATTTGTGTGCATATATAAACATTTTTTTAATCAAGTATAATCTATTTACTCTAATTCACCCAATGTTAGTGAACAATTCTATGAATCTTTATATATGCATAGAGTTCTGTAACCTCTAAACACAATTAAGATAGAAAACAATTCTGGCTGGGCGCGGTGGCTCATGCCTGTAATCCCAGCACTTTGGGAGGCTGAGACAAGTGGATCACTTGAGTTCAGGAGTTCGAGACCAGACTGGCCAGCATGGTGAAACCCCGTCTCTACTAACAAAATGCAAAACTTAGCCAGGCGTGGTGGCAGGTGCCTGTAATCCCAGCTACTCGGGAGGCTAAGGCAGGAGAATTGCTTGAACCTGAGAGGCAGAGGTTGCAGTGAGCTGAGATCATGCCACTGCACTCCAGCCTAGTGTGACAGAGTGAGACTCTGTCTCAAAAAGAAAAAAGAAAACAATTCCATCACCCTCGAAAATTCGCTCATGCCACTTCATCATCAAATCCTCTTCCCACTCCAGCCACTGGCAACTACCTGTCTGTTTCCTTTTTTTGTTTTGAGTTTTCTTTTTCTTTCTTTTTTGAGATAGGGTCTAGTTCTGTTACTCAGGATGGGGTGCAGTGGTGTAATCTTAGCTCACTGCAAACTCCAACCTCCTGGGCTTAAGCCATCCTCCCACCTTAGCCTCCCTCGTAGCTGGGACCACAGGCACGTGCCACTATGCCTGGCTAATTTTTTTGTATTTTTTGTAGAGACAGGGTCTCGCCACATTGCCCAGGCTGGTGTTGATTGAGTTTTCTTTTTAAACATAAGAATGGAAATAGACTAGCCCATCCTGTTCTGCAATCTGCCCTTTTCACTAATCCATGTGTCCCAGCGAGCCGAGGCTCAAATGCTCCATCTCATGGTGTGCACATGACCCAGGGGCAGTGCCTTCTCACTGACAAACATTTGGGGGGCATCCAATACTACAAATAAGGCTGCAATAAACACTCCTGCAAATGTCTCCTCATGCAAGCATTTATCTTGGGTATACATTGAGAAGCGGAACTTCTGGATCACGGGCTGTGCCCATGAAAATTTTTGACATCTGGCGGGTGTGGTGGCTCACACCTGTAATCCCAGCACTTTGGGAGGCCGAGGTGGGCAGATCACTTGAGGTCAGGAGTTCGTGACCAGCCTGGCCAACATGGTGAAACCCCGTCTCTACTAAAAATACAAAATTAGCCGGGCATGGTGGCGCATCCCTGTAATCCCAGCTACTCGGGAGGCTGAGGCAGGAGAATCACTTGAACCCGGGAGATGGAGGTTGCAGTGAGCCAAGATTGCACCACTGCACTCCAGCCTGGGCAACAGAGTGAGACTCCATCTCAAAAAAAAATAAAAAAATAATAAAATCTTTTTTGACACCTACTGTCAAATTATCCTCCAAAGTTGTGATACCAATTTTCACTCCCAAGAGCAGTTTATGAGGACACCTGTTTTCCCATACTCTGGCCAACAGAAATTGTCATGTCAAAATGTGTGCCAATCTTGAGGAAGGAAATGGTATTTCAATGTTGTTTTAACTTAACATGCCTCTCCTCTGATTACCAGCAAAGTTGGCATTTTTAAATGTTTGTTTGTTTGTTTGTTTGAGATGGAGTCTCATTCTGTCACCTGGACAGGCTGGAGTGCAGTGGCGCAATCTCAGCTCACTGCAACCTCTGCCTCCTGGATTCAAGTGATTCTTGTGCCTCAGCCTCCCGAGTAGCTGGGATTACAGGTGCACGCCTCCATGCCTGGCTAAGTTTTGCATTTTCAGTAGAGACAGGGTTTTACTACGTTGGCCAAGCTGGTCTCAAACTCCTGGCCTCAAGTGATCCACCAGCCTCGGCCTCCCAATATTTTTTCTATTGCGATGGTTTTCTTCTTACTGATTGGAAAGAGTTCTTTCTCTGCTCAATCTACGAATCCTTCAGCCAGTGACTGTGTTGCAAATATTTTCTGAGAATGTGAACTGGCACAATTTTCACATACAGCCTTCTCCTCCCTCTCTAATTCTTGCTGAACTATAAAATAATAATAATAATAATAATAATAAAATCCCAAATGCATTCCCAGCAGCAGTGGAAAACGGGAAAGGGTGGCATCTAGGAACCAGAGATTAAGAGTCAGTGGAAGATATGAAGCCAAATGCCCGGCAGCTGGTACTCCTGCCCAGTGATGGCCTCCCCCATCTACCAGCCAGCAGAGGACCCTGGATCATGAGCCTTGGGGATGGCGGCAGAGGGGGCACGCAGGCTAATGTGGCAAACCCTTTGAGCTTCCTCCTCTGTGTCGTCCTGTGCTAGCTTGTCGCCAGGACCTGACAGGGCCAGCCTGTCACTGGTGCTCACACATGTGCCTGTCTGACTCCTTCACTAGACCCAGAGCATGGTGGGTGTGTGTCCCAGACAGTGAGTAGCATTTGGTCCAGAAGTATTTGCTGAGAGATAGCAATGAACATTACAGACACAATCCCTATTCTCACAAAGCTTCATCCAGCAGGGGAGACAGACATGAGACAGATCATTTCCCATAGAGTTCCTCATCAATTTAGCGCTGTGATAAGTGCTACCAAGGAACTGTGCAGGGCACTCTGAGAACACACAACAGGAGACCTGACCTCGACTGGAGCTTCTCAGAGGATGTAATGTTTAAACTGAGAACTGAAGGAGGCTGAGCATGGTGGCTCATGCCTATAATCCCAGCACTTTGGGAGTCTGAGGTGGGAGGATCACTTAAGCCCAGGAGGTTAAGGCTGCAGCGAGCTATGATCACACCACTGCACTCCAGCCTGGGTGATGGAGCAAGACCCTGTCTCAAAAAAAGGAAAAAAAAAAAAAAAAGAACTGAAGGATAAGACAAGTGAGTGGGGAGATTCCAGACAGAGGGAGCTGCTTGTTCAAAGGCCCTGAAGAGGGAAGGATCATGGTTAGTTCAGGGAACAGACAGCAGCAGGGCACAGCTTGTGCTTGGCAAGCTGGTGGGGTGAGGCTGCCACAGCAGGCCTTGAAAAAGCAGTTCAACTCGTCAGGAGGCCAGTTCTAGTTCTATGGAGGAATCTGGGAGCTGCAGCTCTGAACCACCGCCCCCTTCCATTCCCAGCTCCCTCAACACACATACATGCACACGCACACACACACATGTATGCGTGCAGCAGGCTGCCTTGTCTTACCTGCCACTCTAACTCCTCCCTTGAGAATCTGTCCGTGGGCCCATCAGGGCTGTCCCGAGAGTTCTCGATTCCATCTTGCTCCAGAATTGGCAGCAAGTACTGAGAAGGGGGGTAGTATTCCAGCCCTGACTCTGTAAGAGACGGGACACAAGCTGACCAGGAGGGAGGAGACAGCTGAGGTACCCAGAGACACCCGCTCCCACTGCCAGGGCAGCCGGCCCCACCCTGACTCAGCCACTGCTCTCCTCTTCCCTAGCCTGGGCGCTTCGTGTTTTTCACCGGTCCTAGCCCTGGGCCTGGAATGTGGCAGGTGCTCAGTAAATGTCAGTGGAGTGAGTCAATGGGTACTGGCTACCCCTTACACCTCTTTACCATCCAAGTGAGAATGAAGTGATGAAAAAGCCTGAGATAAGCAGTGAAACCTGCGTCCTAGATCCAGCTCTACCAATAATTCCCTGAATGTGAGACCTTGGGCAAGATGCTTTCCTTCTCTGGCCATGTGTGGTTTTGCCTGTAAAATTTCAAAGGGTTCATACCTTAGACTCACTTCCTATTTGGCTGTTTGTCTTTTTCCTGTTGATTTGTAGGTGCTCTTTATATATTGTAGTTAATAACCTTAGGTCTATAATATGTTGTAACTATCTTCTTCCAGGTGGTAACTGGTCTTTTAACTTTGATGATGGTGTCCTTCCGGGGTAAACAAGTTGTAAGTTTTGATGTACTCAAAGTTATCTTCTTTCCCCTCATGGGAAGGATACAGTCACGTCACAAGAAATACTAAAAATGGGCAGGAGACGTATGAAAAATATTCACAGAATCAAGGAAGTGACATTAGAATAATAATGGGCTCTCTTGTTATCCATCCGATTAGCAGACTCTTTAATAAAATACTTCATGTTACGCAGGTTGTGAAGGGGGAGAGAGGTCCTCCCAGCCACTCCTCATGGGATGGAGACTGATGGGACCTCTTCCCAGGCACCCTAGGGCGCTCGTGCCCTCTCACACACCCTAGGGGAAAGTGCACACGGTGACAGAGAGGTGTCAGTTCAAATGTTCAGAACAGCAGGAAACTGGAAATGCCTTCCAACAGGGATGGCTACGAAGCTACAGGTGCCACCACATGAAATCCTGTGACCAGTTTAAGGGGACATTCAAACCGTACTATGAGACAGGAAAATACCCAAGACTTTTCTTGAGAGACAAAAAAAGCAAGGCATAGAATCACATCATATGATACCTTTTATGGTTTCTTTAATGTTTATTTTTATTTTTATTTATTTATTTATTTTTTGAGATGGAGTCTTGCTCTGTCACCCAGGCTGGAGTGCAGTGGCATGATCTCTGCTCACTGCAACCTCCTCCTCCTGGGTTCAAGCCATTCTCCTGCCTCAGCCTCCTGAGTAGCTGGGATTATAGGCATGCGCCACTACACCCAGCTAATTTTGTATTTTTAGTAGAGACAGGGTTTCCGCATGTTGGTAAAGGTGGTCTCGAACTCCTGACCTCAGGGGATCTGCCAGCCTTGGTCTCCCAAAGTTATGGGATTATAGGTGTGAGTCACCATGCCCAGCCTCTTTAATGTTTTTTAAAAGGTCAAAAAACAAATTTTACACACACATATATATATATATATACTTCTACATAGTTTAGGTAAATTGAAAAATTATTTCTTGGCCAGGCGTGGTGTCTCACGCCTGTAATCCCAGCATTTTGGGAGGCTGAGGCGGGTGGATCACGAGGTCAGGAGTTCGAGACCAGCCTGACCAACATGGTGAAACCCCGTCTCTACTAAAAATACAAAAATTAGCCAGGCGTGGTGGTGGGCGCCTGTAATCCCAGCTACTCAGGAGGCTGAGGCAGGAGAATCGCTTGAACCCAGGAGGCAGAGGTTGTAGTGAGCCAAGATTGCGCCACCGCACTCCAGCCTGGGCGACAGTGAGACTCTGTCTCAAAAAAAAAAATTATTTCTTGCAGGGCGTGGTGGCTCACACTTGTAATGCCAGCGCTTCGGGAGGCCGAGGTGGGTGGATCACCTTAGGTCAAGAGTATGAGACCACCCTGGTCAACATGGCGAAACCCTGTCTTTACTAAAAATACAAAAATTAGCCAGGCGTGGTGGCTAATTGTTCTTTTTTCTTTTTTTTTGAGATGGAGTCTTGCTCTGTCGCCCAGGCTGGAGTGCAGTGGCGAGATCTCAGCTCACTGCAGCCTCTGCCTCATGGGTTCAAGCGATTCTCCTGCCTCAGCCTCCTGAGTAGCTGGGATTACAGGCATGCATCACCACGCCTGGCTAGTCTTTGTATTTTTAGTAAAGATGGCGTTTCTCCATGTTGGTCAGGCTGGTCTCGAACTCCCGACCTCAGGTGATCCACCCACCTCGACCTCCTAAAGTGCTGGGATTACAGGCGTGAGCCACCGCGCCCAGCCCAAAATCTTTTTTTTTTTTTTTTTTTTTTTTTATAACATAAGGTCTCTCTCTGTCACCCAGGCTGCAGTGCAGTGGCACAATCTTGGCTCACTGCAACCTCCACTTCTTAGGCTCAAGCAATCCTCCCACCTAAGACTCCCGAGCAGCTGGCACTACAGGTGTGCCACCAAGCTGGGCTAATTTTTGCATTTTTTGTAGAGATGAAGTTTTGCCATGTTGCCCATGTTGAACTCCTGGGCTCAAGCGATCCACCCGCCTTGGCCTCCCAAAATGTTGGGATTACAGGCGTGAGCCACCTTGTTCGGCCCCAAAATCTTTTTAAAGAAAATAAAGGCTTTTGTCTAGCTAGCTCAGCCATTGGCCAGGGTGTATATTGGAATCACCTGTTGCTCGAAGACTCTAATTTGCATATGTGTGGCCTGGTGGCTATGATCGCAGCCACCCCCCTCCACTTTCTTTTAAAGTAAAATATAACATACATACAGAAAAGAGCACAAAATCTTTCTCTCTCTTTTTTTAAGATTAGTCAAGTGCAGCGGTGAGAAGAGGAGAAAGAGTGGAACAAGGCCTTAAATCTGTAACTGACTGTGAGCAATCAATTGAGATAACTCACTGCCTTTGGGCCGAGAGCACAGAATCTTCATGCAGAGCTTGATGAATGTTTAAAGGTGAACACACTCTCATGACCAGGAACCAGTGCTGGTTCAAAGCTCTGTGGTGACTGATAAGAGCACATATTCCTTTGTGTCTGGCTCCTCACACTCCACATTGTTTGTGAGACTCATCCAGGTTGTTGAAAGGAGCAGTGGCTCATTCTTTCCACTTGCCGTGTGGTATCCACACATTGAGTATAAAACAGTTTAGTTATCCATTCTACTCCTAATGGACATTAAAGCTGTTTCCAGGTTGGACTGGCATAAATAGTGCTGCTATGAACATTTTTGCACATGGCTTTTGGCATTTATTCATATGCATTTCCATTGGGCATTGATATGGTCTGGCTCTGTGTCCCCACCTCAATCTCTGAATTGTAATCCCCACGTGTTGGGGGCGGGAACTCGTGGGAGGTGATTAGATCATGGGAGCAGTTCCCCCATGCTATTCTTATGGTGGTGGGTGAGTTCTCACAAGATCTGATGGTTTTATAAGGGGCTTCCCTCTTCACTTGGCACTAATTCTCTCTCCTGCTGCCCTGTGAAGAGGTGCCTTCCACCATGACTGTAAGTTTCCTGAGGCCTCCCGGCCATGTGAAACTGTGAGTCAATTAAACTTCTTTTCTTTATAAAGAATTTCTTCATAGAAATTGGGAATTTCTTCATAGCGGTGTGAGAACAGACTAATACAGGCATGTACCTAGGAATGGAACTCATGGGCCATAGGATATTTGAATGTTCAGCTTGAGTAGATATTGAGAATAATTTTTAAGGTAATTTTCACTTTACATTCCCACCTGCAGTATATGGAAGTTCCTGTTGCTCCACATCTTTGCTAATTCTTGGTATCACCAGTTCAATTTTGGCCATTTTATTTTATTTTTTTGAGATGGAGTCTTGCTCTGTATCCCAGGCTGGAGTGCAGTGGCGCAATCTCGGCTCACTGCAAGCTCCTCCTCCCGGGTTCACGCCATTCTCCTGCTTCAGCCTCCCTAGTAGCTGGGACTACAGGCGCCCGCCACCACGCCTTGCTAATTTTTTTTGTATTTTTAGTAGAGACAGGGTTTCACTGTGTTAGTCAGGATGGTCTCAATCTTCTGACGTCATGATCCGCCCACCTCGGCCTCCCAAAGTGCTGGGATTACAGGCGCGAGCCACCGCGCCCGGCCTATTTTTTGTTTTTTTATTTCTGGTTGACTTGTCAGCAGGAAGTTTTTTGTTTTTTTTTTTCCATTGAAAAGTTCTGGCCATTTTAGTGGGTTTGTCAAAGTATCTCTTTGCAGTTTTAATTTGCATTTTCCCATTGACTAAGATGATGTTGTGCAATTTTTTCAGATACTGTTTGCTATCTGTATATCATCTCTTTTTTTTTTTTCTTTTTGAGATGGAGTTTTGCTCTGTCATCCAGACTGGAGTGCAGTGGCACAATCTCAGCTCACTGCAACCTCTGCCTCCCGGGTTCAAGTGATTCTCCTGCCTCAGCCTCCTGAGTAGCTGGGATTACAGGTGCCTGCCACCATGCCCAGTTAGTTTTTGTATTTTTAGTAGAGATGGAGTTTTACCATGTTGACCAGGCTGGTCTCAAACTCCTGACCTCAGGTTATCTGCCCACCTCAGCCTCCCAAAGTGCTGGGATTACAGGTGTGAGCCACCGTGTGGATATTCTCTTGTGTAAAAATTCTTAGTCAAGTCTTTTGCTAATGTCTTTTCCTTGTGGATCTGTAGGATTTCTGTTTATAGTCCAGATCCCAGTCCTTTGTTGGATATATATGTATTGCAAATATCATCTCTAACTTTATGGCTTTCCTTTTCTTTCCCTAAATGGTATCTTTTGAGGAAGAGACATTTTGATTTTAATTAAACCTTTTTTTTGAGATAGGGTATTGCTTTGTTGGAGTCTTGCTCCAGGCTGGAGTGCAGTGGCATGACCACAGCTCAGGCTCAAATGATCCTTCCACCTCAGCCTCCCAAGTAGCTGGGAACACAGGCACGTGCCACCACGCCTGGCTGATTTTTTTTTTTTTTTTTTTTTTTTTTTTTGTAGAGACAGGGTTTCACCATGTTGCCTAGGCTGGTCTCAAACTCCTGGGCTCGAGATCCTCCTGCCTCAGCCTCCCATAGTGCTGGGATTACAGGCGCAAGCCACCATGTCTGGCCTTAATTAAATCTAAGGTACCAATCTTTTATCATGAGTACTGCCTGCTTCCTGTTTAAGGAAGAGGTTAAAGTTCATTTTTTCCACAGGGACAACCAGTTGATCCAGAATCAGCTATTGAAAAGACCATCCTTCCCCACTGTTTTGCAATGGCCATGATAAGTCATAGGCATGTGTGTCTTGGTTGCATTCTGAAAGTCCCACAGGTGACCAGAACCACTAGCTAAGAACTTCCAGCCTGACAGGGCATCCTGCTCTCCTCCCGCCTCCAGCCAGTGCTGGCTCCGGGTTTTAGCTCCTTCTGCTGTGCATCTCTCCTGGATGACCCCGACAGCCTCCTAACTGGTCCCCTGTCCTGCACTCTTTCTTTCCTCCTCCAATCCCTTCTCCTCCCTGCAGCCTAATGACTGATCACATGCTCTCCCACTGGACACTGGGCCCGGGCACTGTCTTTGGCTTCTCCCATCTCTCTTCTCTCTGCTTCCTCCCTCCAGCTACACTGGCCCTCTCTCTGTCAAACTTCCCATCAAGGCCCTTCCATATGCACCTACTGGCGGAACAGCTTTCTGCTTTTTCTAGATCTTAACCATGACTCCGTGTCAGTGGAGCCACACTCTCAAAGACAGGCCTTCCCTGTGGCCCCAACCTAAATCAGCTGCACCACTGCACTCCCATAACCACAGTCTGTATCTATTTCCCTGTGTAAACATTTGTTTTGCCTGTTTCCCTTGCCAGACCTCGAACTCCAAGCAGGTAGGCACTGTGGCCATTTCTGTCTCTGCTGTTCCCCAGCCTGGGCTGGCACAGGGTGGCCATGGGGGTCATAGTTCCTCAATGAGGGGAGGAGGCAGCGGCCTGGCTTTACCTTTGCAGAGGAACTGCAAGATGGCCGCAGTGCCGGCACCACACACCTCCCGCGGCGGGTAGACCATGGCCGAGGCGTCAAGGCTCAGCATCTGCAGACACAAGGGTAACCCGCTTTACTGTTCGCTACCAACGCAACCGGAGACCACACGATTTCCTTATCAATTTGTGTGTTCTCTGTCACCTCTACCCAGCAGGAATGGCCTGACAGCAGAGGTGGCTGAACTGTCTTGTTACTTACAGCTGCGTTCCCAGTGCCTGGGATGACTGTAGGCAGGCAGTGTGATGCCCTACCTTGTTTTAACCTGAGTGACTCTCTCCTAGCAGAGAGAGAGCCGGACAGACTCCATTTTAGTTTCTTCACCTGCAGCCCCCTTCCCTCCCTCCCTTAAGGGCATAACTAGTGTAAACTGACTCAAAGCACATCCAGGAATGCACTTACTGATAAGATATTGAGGTGAGCTGCACCAGCAGCTCCTGGGGACACGCGCAGTGGATGGCACATAAAGCCCCTGCATTTATCCCTTTGTGATAGTTTAAGCCCCTGCACCTGGAACTGTTTATTTTTTGTAACTGCTTTTGTAACCAATTAATTTTTTAACTTTTTGCCAGTTCTGCTTCTGTAAAAATTGCTTCAGCTAAACTCCCCCCTCCCCTATTTAGACCACAGTATAAAAACAAAACTAGCCCCTTCCTCAGGGCCAAGAGAATTTTGAGCATTAGCTGCCTCTCGGTTGCCAGCTAATAAAGGACTCCTCAATTTGTCTCAAAGTGTGGTGTTTCTCTATAACTCGCTTGGTTACAACAGCAGCAAGCACTTTTTTACATTTTTCTGAGACAGGGTCTCATTCCCATTGCCCAGACTGGAGTGCAGTGGCACGAACACTGCAGTCTCGACCTCCCCAGGTTTAAGCAATCCTCCCACTTCAGCCTCCTGAGTAGCTGGGACTATAAGCACATGCCACCATGCCTAATTTTTGTATTTTTTGTAGAGATAAAGTCCTACTATGTTACCCAGGCTAGTCTCAAAGTCTTGGGCCCAAGCAATTCGCCCGCCTCCCAAAGTGCTGGAATTACAGGTGTGAGTCATACACCCAGCCTCTCAGTTCACTTTGGATAAATACATAAGTGAGTGAAAAAAAGGAAGTTATAGGACAGCATATAGAATATGATTCCACTGGCTGGGTGTGGTGGCTCATGCGTGTAATCCCAGCACTTTGGGAGGCCAAGGTGGGAGGATCACTTCAGCCCAGGAGTTCGAGACCAGCCTGGGCAACATAGCGAGACCCCATCTCTAGTGGAAAAAAAAAAAAAAAAAAAAAAAAAATATATATATATATATATATATATATATATGATTCTTCCTTTGTTAGATAATATATTCATATAATATATTCATACACTTTCACATTCATATTTTATAGAAAAAAATTGGAGGGATATCTATCAAACTAAAAGTGGTTTCCTCTAAAAGGAGATTTTGGGTTACTATCTACATGAAATGCTATTATTATTACTATTTTTTGAGACAGAGTCTTGCTGTGTGGCAGGCTGGAGTGCAGTGGTGTGATCTCAGCTCATTGCAACCTTTGCCTCCCCAGTTCAAGCAATTCTCTTGCCTCAGCCTCCCGAGTAGCTGGAACTATAGGCATGCGCCACCACACCCGGCTAATTTTTGTATTTTTAGTAGAGATGGGGTTTCACCATGTTGGCCAGGCTGGTCTTGAACTCCTGACCTCAAGTGATCCACCCACCTCGTCTTCCCAAAGTGCTAGGATTACAAGCTTGAGCCACTGTGCCTGGCAGAAATGTTTCTTAATATTTGCATTTTTTTTGTTTTACAATATACAGTATGACTTTTAAATTATGTAATGACAAATGTTTATCAGCGCACACATGCAGATGCCTCCGTGTTTATGAAGCCCAGGAAGCAGGGGCCTCAGCTCACAGCCACAGAACTGCCCCATCCACGGTGTGAGTTGTGTTGGACCCTGCCCTCCCGCTGCCAACCTCTGACTTCCCACAGGCCCTCTCATCCCAGAGTGCTGGCAGGCACTGATATCCTCTATGCCTGGGTATCAGGGGAGTCCTGGAAAAGGAGAAGGCCTGGGAAGCTCTGATTTTGCTGTAACACAAGTGGCTGGGTGGGAAGGGTAGCTCAGGTCCCCCAGCCCTGGCCAGCCCAGCCCTCACACGGTGGGTGTTGAGTGAACGTGCTTTGCACAGGGAGTGGGAGACTGCCCCAGGGAAGAGGAACTGACCGCCCAGATGCTGAGGGCCCAACAGCAGAAAACCCCATACCTGGAAGCAAATGAACCCCACATGGGTGCTCTTAGTCACCATCAGTAAAGCGTGGTGGCTTAAGGGCACGGACTGTGGGCTATACCAGGATGCTGGCTACAAGCCATGTGTGGCCATTTATGGTTACATTTTAAGTAACTGAAAATAAATCTGATTTAAAGTTTGAGTCCATGGTTGGTTGCAGTCACCACATTTCAAGGGCCCAGCAGCTACAAGTGGCTGGGGTGGCCATGTTGGCTGCACAGATCATAGAGCATTCTCATCGTGGGCAGCAGGAGCAGTGACTGGACATTGCTGTGCCAAAGACACCGCCATGGCTTCAGATCCCGGCTCATTGCATGCTGGCCATGTGTTTGCTTAATCAGGCCCCTTAGTGTCCTGGGGCTGTGGTCTCCTCATAGCCAAACAGGCAGTGTTACCGACCTGGTGGGCTGTTTGGTGGGTGGCGTGCGTGACACCTGAAGATCTTGCCCACAGTACGGCCTGAACTCAGAACGGTTATCTCATCCTAAAAGAAGGTTTGTCCGAGGTGCCACCAAGAAACCCAAAAGATTTTTTTTAAAGGAATCAAAATAAAATGAAGTGTCCAGGTTGGGTGTGGTGGCTCACACCTGTAATCCCACCTACTTGGGAGTCAAGGCGGGAGGATTGCTTGAGCCCAAGACTTTGAGACCAGGCTGGGCAACATAGTGGGACCTCATCTCTACAAAAAATAAAAAAATTAGCCAAGAGTGATGGGGTACACCTGTGGTCCCAGTCTCTTGGGAGGCTGAGGAGGAGGATCTCTTGAGCCCAGGAGTTTGAGGCTGCAGTGAGCTATGATTGAGCCACTGCACTCCAGCCTGGGTGACAGCATGAGAGCCTGTCTCAAAGAAAAAAAAATTGAAGTGTCCAGAACTCATACTAGATGTCGAGATGGCTTCAGGATTGGGAACGTGCTCTGAGCTGTATTGTCTAAAATGGTAGCCACTAAGGACCCACGGCTATTTAAATATAAATTAATTAAAATTCAATGAAATCAAACTTTTAGTTCCTGGCTGTACACACAAGCCACATTCCAGGTGCTCCATAGATACATATGGCCAGCGGCTGCCGCTCTGGACAGCACGGTCTCCAGGTGCTCAATAGATACACGTGGCCAGTGGCCGCCGCTCTGGACAGCACGGTCACCAGGTGCTCATTAGATACACATGGCCAGTGGCTGCCGCTCTGGACAGCACGGTCACTGAACATTTCCATCATTGCAGAAAGTTCCAGTAGGCAGCAGAGAGGACAAGCCATGTTGGCCCATCTCCCCAGCCGGCCCTTTCTCAGGCAGGAGGGCCCCAGCTGCTGAGGTCAGTCCTTCCTCTGCTGTCTCTGTGATCACCCACCCACTCTGACACAGACACCTCTGCTCAGCAGGCTGGGCTGGCTGAGAGTGGGGTCAACTCCAGGCCACTCCGGAATGCTGGCCAGACTGCGTGCCACCATGAATGGAGAAGTCCCTGTTCCAGAAGCCGAGTCATACAGAGGTGGGGAGCACAGGCGTCAGCTTCAGACGGCCTGGTTTACAACGATCTCTGCTGTCAGTGACTGTGTGGCCCTTGGGCAAGTTTCTTAAACTGCCTGTGCCTCAGTTTCTTCATCTACAAAGTAGCACAATAGTATCTGCCTCACAAGAGTTCTGTGACGATACACGGAGCGATTCCAGGTTATGCCCAGTCTTAGAAAGCCCCAGATAAAGGTGAGCTACCTCATTAGCATGACTGTGAGAGCTGCTTTCCGTGAGCAGCTGCCTCTGTCAGTGTCTGTCATGGGCTGAACTATGTCCCCCTCCCAAGTTCCTATGTGGAAATCCTAATCCCCCCATCCCTCAGAATGTGGCTGTATGTGGAGATAGCATCTTTAAGGAGGTAATTAAGTTAAAAAGGGGTCATTAGGCTGGGCCCTAATCCAATGTGACTGGTGTGCTTCTAAGAGGAGGGAATTTGGACCCGGACATGTACACAGGGAAGATGAGGTGAAGACACAGGGAGGGAAGACAGCACCTACAAGCCAAGGAGGGAGGCCTCAGAAGTCACCAACCCTGCCAACACCTTGATCTTGGACTTCTAGCCTATAGAACTCCCCTGGCCTGGATAATTCTGAACCCCCATCCCAACGGCTCCCTACCTCCTTCTCTCCCTCCCAGCTTTCTGGGCCCCATATCACACAAGCTCAGCAGCTTCCAACCACATCACTTCCTCGACCCTCCCTGAGACAATCTGTGCTTCCCACCACCTGCCTCCTGCACCTGGGCTGCCCCTGTTATCCAGGTCTGCTCAGAATTTTTTTTTTTTTTTTTTTTTTTGAGACAAAGTCTTGCTTTGTTGTCCAGGCTGGAATGCAATGGCGCAATCTCGGCTCACTGCAATCTCCGCCTCCCGGGTTCAAGCAATTCTCCTGTCTCAGCCTCCCCCGAGTAGCTGGGATTACAGGTGCGCACCACCACGCCTGGATAATTTCTTGTATTTTTAGTAGAGACAGGGTTTCACCATGTTGGCCAGGCTGGTCTCGAACTCCTAACCTCAAGTGATCCACCTGCTTTGGCCTCCCAAAGTGCTGGGATTACAGGAGTGAGCCACGGTGCCCAGCCCAGAAATCTTATTCCTCCTTTAAGGTCTGGCTTGAATATCACAACTTTTTTTTTTTTTAACTTTTTTTTTCTTCTGCAACTTTTAAGCTCAGGAGTACATGTGCAGCACGTGCAGGTTTGTTACAAAGGTAAACATGTGCCACGGTGGTTTGCTGCACAGATCGTCCCATCACCCAGGTTTGAAGCCCAGCATCCATTAGCTTTTCTTCCTGATGCTCTCCCTCCCCACCACCCTCCTCCGACAGGCCTCACTGTGTTGTTCCCCTACCGACAACTTTCTTAAAGTGTCAGCCTCTTCTGGATTCAGCATTCTTTCTTCTTCATTCTTAATGTATGTTTTTCTGCCTCTATTATGGCAGCAAAAGTCATATAATTACGAATGTTCACACATTGGCCTCTCTACAAGCCTCCAAGGACCATGCCTTGGGATCTCTGTGTGGCCCTGGTACCGTGAGATCAGAGCAAGCACTCAGTAATGTGGGAGAGAGGGGAGGTGGGCAGGCCAGAGAGCACCCCAGGCAAGAACAGCTTCCCATTTACCTCCAGGGTTCGAACGTGAGCCAGCATCTGCGGCAATCTCTGGATCTCGTTTCCACTGATGTTGAGGGTACGCAGGCTTCGAAGCTCCCCCACGGTGTCTGGAAGCTCCTTCAGCTTGTTGTCTGCAGAGACCCCAATAGCACAGCTCAACACCCCAAATCCCCATCACCAGCTTCCTGCCTGATGCCCGCTGGGAGCCACTCTGACCTCTAGGGCACACAACAGATCCTGGGCTCTGAGGTTTCCTAGGCTCAAGAAGGTGGAGTTCCAGTTCAAGTCCCCACTCCACCAATTACTAGCCAAGAGACTTTAGACAACTGGCTTTGCCTCCTTGTGCCAGTTTTCTCACCTGGAAAATGGGGATGACACTGCCACCCAGCCTTATAAGAACACGGGGAGATTGGAGGTTCAGGTAGATGATGTGTGAGGTCCTCCGCACAGGGCCCCTCATGCTGTAATGGCTGAGCAATGGGGCGCCACTGTTGTTCTCATTACTCATATGTTACAGTTGATAAACAGAGGCACTCTGCAGGAAGTGCTTAAGGACAGCCAGGAGAAGGGAGAGAGCTGGGTGTGGCGAGCAGAGCGCTCCTGCGGGTAAGGCGCCTGTGCAGTGGTCTTGGCTCTGTCACCATCCCACGGGGTGGTCTTGAGCAAGTCACACTTGATTTCCCGGGCCTTGTTTTCCTCGTGTGTAAACTGGGGATGGCACCACTGCCCTCAGCCTGCCCAGTGGACTCCTCAGGAGGCTTGGTGCGTCGCTGGAGGTGGAAGCACTGCTCAGAACCTTACTGCGGCTCCTTAGGAGCTCTCGCCCCATCAGTCCTCTACACTCACCATTATAAATATGAGTGACTGAGGCTCGGGGCCCAGCTGCCCTCCTCCCCATACGGCCATACGGCCCTGGCTCTCAGGAGCCACAGGAACCCTCCAGACAGCCTGTCTCTGGTTACCATGAAGACAGCTGACCCAGCAGGGGTCAGTCCATTTACAGCGACCCCCGGAGACTGGCTGCCCTCCTGCTCAATGGCTCCCGGGCGGGGCAGCCTGTGGATCCCGGCCAGGATGGCCCAGAGCTGATGGAGGGTCACACGGACACGGCTTCTTGGTCCCTACCTTTAACATTGAGAGTCTGGAGCTGGGTCAGGTTCCCAATGGAACGTGGGAGCTGCATCAGTTGATTCCTTTCCACGTTTAAGACCTAAGAAAGAGGAAGAGGCAGCCAGGCGCAGTGGCTTATGCCTGTAATCCCAGCACTTTGGGAGGCCGAGGCAGGTGGATCACAAGGTCAAGAGTTCAAGACCAGCCTGGCCAACATAGTGAAATCCCATCTCTACTAAAAATACAAAAATTAGCTGGGCATGGTGGCACACACCTGTAGTCCCAGCTACTCGGGAGGCTGAGGCAGGAGAATTGCTTGAACCCAGGAGGCAGAGGTTGCGGTGAGCTGAGATTGCACCATTGCACTCCGGCCTGGGCAACAGAGTGAGACTCCGTCTCAAAAAAAAAAAAAAAAAAAAAAAAAAGAAAGAAACAGGAAGAGGTGACACGAGAACCCACACACAGACCACAGTGATGACCCCCGCACCCCTCGCCCTGCCGGGCCAGGGCACCCAGGCACTACACACACAAGCTCTTATCTCCCCCTACCGGCCCTTGAGGAAGACAGAAATTCTTGTTTCCGCTGGAGACAGGAAAAAAACTGAAGCTCAGGGTGGCAAAGTCACGTGCTCAGGAGAGCACAGCCAGGCCTTGAACCCCTTCTGGCTGAGGTTCCAGCACTTACACCGACCACAAAATGCTCAGTAACTGCCCCACCATCAGGGAAGGAGGGAGAAGGGGACTACAGACTTGGGGATCTGGGGAGGCAGCACAGGAGGCTCTAGTTCCCCTGGCCTTAAGGAAAAGGCTGCCCTAAGGCCGTGTGATCCACCCAAGGCCTCAGGCCGGCAGTGGTGCTGGGACTGAACCAGGGCTTGTTGGATTCCGAAGCTGTGCTCCCTCCAGAAGGTGGTACCTCGAGGTGAGCAAGGCTAGCAGGATGACACACTAACCATTAAAAATAGATGCAATGGGGGCCAGGCACGGTGGCTAACACCTGTAATCCCAGCACTTTGGGAGGCTGAGGTGGGTGGATCATGAGATCAGGAGATTGAGACCATCCTGGTGAACATGGTGAAACCCCGTCTCTACTAAAATATAAAAAATTAGCCAGGCATAGTGGTGGGCGCCTGTAATTCCAGCTACTTAGGAGGCTGAGGCAGGGGAATCGCTTGAACCCGGGAGGTGGAGATTGCAGTGAGCCGAGATCACACCACTGCACTCCAGCCTGGTGATAGAGCGAGACTCTATCTCAAAAATACAAACAAACAAAAAATGATGCAATGGAAAGCTAAGTAGCCATTAAAAATAATAAGATGAATATTTGATGAACCAAAGGATGCTATGAGTTATTGTCAGGTATCCAAAAGTTACAAATTAGTGAATGCAGCAATTCTATAAAAATACACCTACTGGCCAGGTGCAGTGGCTCATGCCTGTAATTCCAGCACTTTGGGAGGCCAAGACGGGTGGATCACCTGAGGCCAGGAGTTTGAGGTCAGCCTGGCCAACATGGTGAAAACAAGTCTCTACTGAAAATACAAAAATTGTCCAGGTGTGGTGGCGTGTGCCTGTAATCCCAGATACTCAGGAGGCTGAGGCATGAGAATCTCTTGAACCCGGGAGGCAGATGTTGCAGTGAGTTGAGATGGTGCCACTGCACTCCAGCCTGGGTGACAAGAGTGAGAAAAAAAAAATACACATACAAAAAGTCCTACACCAAGGTATTTATTGTGGCTCAAAGTGGTACAATTGGTCAGGCGTGGTGGCTCACACCTGTAATCCCAGCACTTTGGGAGGCCAAAGTGAGTGGATAACTTGAGGTCAGGAGTTTGAGACCAGTCAGGCCAACAAGGCGAAACACCATCTCTACTAAAAATACAAAAACTAGCTGGGAGTGGTGGCACACACCTGTAATCCCAGCTACTAGGGAGGCTGAGGCAGGAGAATCGCTTGAACTCGGGAGGCAGAGGTTGCCTCTGCAACTCTGATGGCGCCACTGCACCCCAGCCTGGGCAACGCAGTGAGGCACTGCCTCAAAAAAAAAAAAAAAAACCCCAAAGGGCCAAGGGGAGGGTGGAGCTGGCACTGATTGCAGCCTGCTTCCACTGGCTGGAGCCCGGCCAGAACATTCCAGGCTTGAGTGACTGCCTGGTCTCACTAAGGCCATCCGAGGTGGGTTTCTGTTTCTGCAGCCTTACCTGGAGGGCAGTCAGCTGCCCCAGATCGTCAGGAAGGGCTGTCAGCTGATTATCGTGGAGATCTAGAACCTGCAGAAGAAAGACCCCTGTGAGTCTCCAAGTGAGAAAGTCCCTCAGACTCCGGGCTCCAGAGCGCTGAGGAGGGGCTGGGGCCACCTCACACCCCCAGTGCAGAAACAGAGTGCCTGCCACTCCTTTCCCACTCAGTGTTGATCATTCCCGCCTCATTTTCCTTCTCAAACCATTATACCATTTTCTTATTTTATGTATATTTATTTTTACTGTTAACTGAAAAACTATGCTATAAAACAGTATGCCTAGATACTAATATGTTAAAAAGAAACACTCCATTGTATAAATATGTAAGACTTTCAAATATGCGATAAAATATTGACAGTGGTACTCCACAGTGTAAAATTATAGATGTTTCCCCCTTTGCTTAACTGTACTTGCTAATTTTTAATTTAATTTTATTTTATTTTGTTTTATTTTGAGACAGAGTCTCACTCTGTCACCCAGGCTGGAGTGCAGTGGCACGACCTCAGCTCACTGCAACCTCCACCTCCTGGGTTCAAGTGATTCTCGTGCCTCAGCCTCCCAAGTAGCTGGGATTACAAGCACAAGCCAACATGCTCTGCTGGTGTTTTTTTTTGTTTTGTTTTGTTTTGTTTTGTTTTGTTTTTGAGACGAAGTCTCGCTCTGTCGCCCACGCCGGACTGCGGACTGCAGTGGCGCAATCTCGGCTCACTGCAAGCTCCGCTTCCCGGGTTCACGCCATTCTCCTGCCTCAGCCTCCCGAGTAGCTGGGACTACAGGCGCCCGCCACCGCGCCCGGCTAATTTTTTGTATTTTTAGTAGAGACGGGGTTTCACCATGTTGGCCAGGCTGGTCTTGAACTCCTGACCTCAAGTGACCCACCCGCCTTGGCCTCCCAAAGTGCTAGGATTATGGGTGTGAGCCACCACGACTGACTGCTAATTTTTTAAAAATGAAAATGCACAAAAAAGGCCTTGGAGAAATATTTATACATGTGCACACACAGGTACCCTCCATATCTATGGATTCAACCAAACTCAGGTGCAAAATATTAAAAAAAAAAAAAAGAAAGAAAGCATCTGTAGTGAACACATACAGGCTTTTCTCTTGTCATTATTCCCTAAACAATATAGTATAACAGATTGGGCCTGTGCTGCTGGGCTGACACCTGTGCTGCCGGCCTCCTCTGAAGGTGCATATCACTCTCCCAAGCTCAGGTCTGCGCATAACAACCCTGGGCTCACACCTCCCACATGTTGTGAATGCCTCCCAGCCCATCCGGGGAGGAGCTCACAGTCAGCAGGGAGTCCTTCCAGATCACCTGCGCGTCCCTCCTCTTCCTTCTTGCCTGGGACCATCAGTCTCCTCGCCCTCTGCTAGCTGACTCGCCATGAGGCTGTCACTTGGCTTTCCTCCTGGCATGTAAACTCCCCAGGGACAGGGCCTGTGGCTGGTCATCTTTGTCACCCTAACCCACACACAGCCCACAGAAGTATCCAGTAAACCATACTGATCAAATCCCAGACTGACTGGTAGATTGGGCCCCTCTGACATGCAAGAGGCAGCCCAAAAGGAGCAGGCGCTCAGCTGCCGCGTGGAACCCCATGCAGAGCCCCAGCTGCCTGGGAGGAGGGCCCAGTACCTTGATGGTTGCCAGACTCAGGAGGCTGCAGGATTTGGGAAGCAGGGAAGTGAGGTGATTCGTGTGGACGATCAGCACCTGTGTGGAGAGATGTGCGGCCATGCTGGGCTGAGGAAGAGCAGCAGGCAGGGCAGGCTAAGGGCGTGGGAGCCAGCCCAGCGCCGTGCCACGCCCCACCATCTTGCTCTCCCAGACACCACCACGGGGATGCGGGTCAGTATCATGAACTCTCCCAATGGGGAATCTAATGCCCTTCCTTAAAACCTGGATCTTCAAGGGTGAAAGAGACCTTAGAGGTCTACATCTTCCTTCCATCTGAGAAGGGATCCCCCTGCAGCCATCCTGATCATAACCTTCCCAGCACCAGCGTCTTCACGTGGAAAATAGAGAATAATAAAGTGCTTGCCTCCCAGGGCTGCCATGATGTTAAATAAAAGCTCATGCGCAAAACTTCCAGGGCTGGCAGAGGGGCCAGGGCTCAGTCCAGGTCATCTACTGCTATTTTTCCTTTTCTTTTTTTTTTTTTTTGAGACCAACTCTTGCTCTGTCGCCCAAGCTGGAGTGCAGTGGTGTGATCTCAGCTCACTGCAACCTCCGCCTCCCAGGTTCAAGCAATTCTCCTGTCTCGCCCTCCCGAGTAGCTGGGACTACAGGCGCATGCCACCACACCCAGCTGATTTTTTTTTTATTTTTGGTAGAGACCGGGTTTCACCATGGTAGCCAGGATGGTCTTGATCTCCTGACCTCGTGATCTGCCCACCTCGGCCTCCCGAAGTGCTGGGATTACAGGCATGAGCCACCGCACCCGGCCAATCTACTGCATTTTTCTTAGGCATTGACTGCGGCCCAACACTTCCAGCACAGACTGGGCGTGGTGGCTCACACCTGTAATCCCAGCACTTTGGCAGGCTAAGGCAGGTGGATCACTTGAGGTCAGGAGTTCGAGACCAGCCTGGCCAACATGGCAAAACCTCATCTCTAAAAATACAAAAATTAGTTGGGCATGGTGGTGGGCGCCTATAATCCCAGCTACTCAGGAGGCTGAGGCAGGAGAATTGCTTGAACCCAGGAGGCGGAGGTTTCAGTGAGCTGAGATTGCACCACTGCACTCCAGCCTGGGTGACAGAGCAGAGCGTCCGTCTTCAAAAAAAAAAAAAAACAAACAAAACTTCCAGCGCCAAGGAGCTCACTACTCTGTTGGCAGGGAACACTTTTTTTTTTTTTTTTTTTTGCATATTCTCATTTAGATACTTCACTTAGAGCGCTTCTACCCATCTGCATTCAAAGCTGCAATGCTCTGCTGAAAAATCATTCACTCCCCTCTGAATCTCCCCTGGGTGACCAGAATAAAAGGCGTGAGTTTCTATTATTACTAACACCGGGGTTCATAAGCCTTTACTACGTGGTAGGCATGTACACTCAGTATATTTCTATCTCTATCTAGCTATCTACCACTCATTTAATTCTCACAATACCTCAGGAAGGAGAACTATGAATGTCTTCATTTCACAGGGGAAGAAACTGAGAAGTAAGAGTTTAAGGAAGTTGCCCAAGTCATGAAGCCAGTGAGGGCAGAGTTAGAATGTGACACAGGAAGGTCCAACCCCAAAGCCTACTCTCCTATCTGTGAAAACACCTGCTGCAGGCCAAGAGCATAAGAAGCAGAGAGAAAGGAGGTGTCTACGCCGGGAAGACAGCTCCTCAAAGTCCCTTGTGGGTTCAAACAAGCAGACATGCAACAAGAAAGTCTCTGAAGATGAAGCTCCATCTTACCTTCTTCTGCAGAACTTTGCATGTTGCAAAAGCTCCAAATGGAATCTAAGATAAGATAAAGAAGAGTAAGTGTCTCCCCTCCTGCCAGTTTTTAGCTTGTTCTCTGAGTGGCATTCACGTGAGGAAGAGACAGGCAGGAGGTGAACAAGGGCAAAACGCCACAGCAGGTGGCAGTGCTGAGCCCAGGGGCAAGGCTGGCAAGCAGTGGTGTTGGGGATGTGGCCAGCCCTTCCCTCGGTCAGCTGGCAGGAGACTGCCCTGCCCCACCCACCCTGTCCCCATTGTGAACCCCTTCAGGGGCTGGAGAATGCCAGGCCCTTCCAGCAATGTAGGAGTCTATGGGTACATTTTCTACCTAGACTCCTTGACTCTTGGAGACTACGTTATATTGAGGCCAAAGGATCATCTTCAATTATTTTGGACGAGAACAAAATCTAAGGAAACATCTCGTGACTAGAGCTTCTGGCCTTTCTAAAGCCCCAGTCCACCTCTGTCTTTCCTAGGGACACAAGATCCAAGAAAACGGGACAGATCCAATTCACAGCCCAACACTATCCTCAGTTTACCTCTGAGAGCTCACATTTAGAGATGTCGAGAATGTCATCTGCCCCAGCTTCTTTTGCCTAAGGATAAAAAGAATTTTTAAAAAGTATTAAGACAAAACACCTTTGCAGAGTGGACAAGCCAGGCAAAGAACATAAATGTAAGCAGCTGCAAAGGACCATAGACACTATCTGGTTCCACTGGTCCATTTGGCAGGTGAACCAATGACCCCTGCTTTCCCAGAGCTTGAGGCCCAGAGGGATGAGGAACTGAAAAGCAATGACAGTGCGCTCAGTCTACAGGGGAGAAGCACCCTTGGCAGGGGGCCTCATCTGTTGGGTCTAAGTCAAATATTTCTTCTGTGGGTGGGGGAGGCAGATGGGAAGGAGCACGGCTTGTTGGGGGCAGTGCGGAGGCCTACTCCATGGGGACCGAGGAGGAGATGGGATAGAGTTAGAGGAAACCCACTTTCCCTCACCAAACACATCTGGTACTCCAGGCGTTTCCGAGCCTCCTCACTGGGTTTCCGCTTCCGGAAGAAGAGCGGCATCCTTCCCTTTTCCCAGAGCGATCTTTAGGACCCTGGGGCACAGGAGAGAAGTTAGGGACTGGGGAATTTGTCACAGCCCCCAACACCCGGGACAGGTAGTGCAGTAACACAGAGCATGCAGCTGGTCTGCTGGACCATGAGTTCCATGGAGGCAGGGGCTGTGTCTCCCTAGTGAGTTCCACGGAGGCAGCGGCTGGGTCTTTCTAGAGAGTTCCATGGAGGCAGCAACTTTCTAGTGAGTTCCATGGGGGCAGAGGCTGCATCTTTTTAGTGAGTTCCACGGGGGCAGAGGCTGCGACTTTCCAGTGAGTTCCACGGGGTCAGGGACAGCGTCTTTCTAGTGAGTTTCACGGAGGCAGGGGCTGCGTCTTTCTAGTGAGTTCCACGGGGGCAGGGGCTGCGTCTTTCTAGTGAGTTCCACGGGGGCAGGGGCTGCGTCTTTCTAGTGAGTTCCACGGGGGCAGGGGCTGCGTCTTTCTATTGAGTTCCATGGAGGCAGGGGCTGTGTCTTTCTAGTGAGTTCCATGGGGTAAGGGTCAGTGTCTTTCTAGCGAGTTCCATGGAGCCAGGGACTGCGTCTTCCTAGTTTCATGGAGTTCCATGGGGGCAGGGGCCACATCTTTCTAGTGAGTTCCATGGGGTCAGGGGCCACATCTTTCTAGTGAATTCCATGAGGTGAGGGGCTGCGTCTTTCTAGTTCTTCCATCTGTGTCCTGAGCCCACAGCAGGCACTCAGTACTCCTTGTTCTTTGTTGACTAAACATTGAGCAGCAGGATGAGGTGGAGACAGACAAGCCAGATGACCTGGGTTGGGGCCCATATTTGCCACCGACCCATAGTGAGGCCTTGGCATTATCCTTTTCCTGTTCTAGGGAAACTTAGAGACGTTTCCTCAGGTGCTTTCCAAGGCTGTTCTTTGAGGACTCTAACAGACTCTGCCAATGAATCACTTCTAGCCCCCCAAACGCTGTCAGAGCAGGATCAGCAGGAGCAATCCAGAGCCAGCCAGGACCTCAGGGAGCTCAACTACATCATGACCAAAGAGACCTCTGCGGTGAATACAAATTAAAAAGCAATTCTCAGCTTACCACCCTCGTTATTATTCCATTTTGTTCTCACCATAACCCTTTTTAAAGTGAAGAAACACGCCGGGTGTGGTGGCTCATGCCTGTAATCCCAGCACTTTGGGAGGCCAAGACAGGTGGGTCACTTGAGCCCAGGAGTTCGAGACCAGCCTGGGTAACATGGTCAAACCCCGTCTCTACTAAAAATACACAAAGAAGCTGGGCGTGGTGATATGCGCCTGTAGTCCCAGCCACTTGGAAGGCTGAGGAACGAGAATTGCTTGAACCCAGGAGGCAGAGGTTGCAGTGAGCCAAGATCATGCCACTGCACTCCAGCCTGGGTGACAGAGGGAGTCTCTGTCTCAGAAAATAATAATAAATAAATAAATAAAGTGAAGAAGTAGATGCTTATTAAGTTCAGTGGCCTGGCTGTACAGCCTGGATTGCAGCCTGGAACCGTGGTCTCTCAAGTCCTGACCTATGGGATTTGCCCGACTGCTTGGTGCTCACATAACTTGGCACACACGAAGTACACTGTCCTGAACTCAGAGCCAGGTGCTCACTGCCTGCCCAGGGCCTGCACAGTGTCTGTAAATACCAGAGCTGGATAAGGGATGGCAATGAGCCAGGAGGCAATCACCCAGGGAAGTGCATGGTGAGCAGCACAGGCTTTGGGATGAAAAGAGAACTGGGTTTGAATCCGAAATCTGCCACCCACAACTGCAGAGGTCACCTTGGTTCACCTCTCAGAGCCTCAGTTTCCTCATCTGTAAAGTGTGAGTAACCATGCTACCAACACTGGCTTCTATGAGGATCCAGCGACTTCATGTATGTCAAGCCCCTAGTACAGTACCTGGCACATGAGCGCTCAATAAATGTTAGCCACAAAGCAACCCACATGCAAGCAACATTGATTCAGGGCCCGCTAGAGGAGCTAGGGAGAAGATAGTCATGGGAGGAGATGCAGTTGAAGAAGACATACACCCAGTCCTCAGAGGGATGGGCAAAGATGGCAGCTCTGCACCCACGGGGGCGGGGCTGTCTGGGGAGGCAGCCAGGCCTGCAGAGCCAGTTCAGGCCCTCTTGTCACCCCACCTGCCTGCAAGGATGGGGAATGGTTTGAAAACAGCCCTCCCCCATCCGTCCCTGATGACCAGCACTTACCCTTCTGCTCCCCAATCACTAACCCTCTTGCACCCCCTTCCTGATGTGCAGCCCTCCCCACTTCCTCCCAACCACCATCGCTCTCCCACCCCTCCCCGAAGATCAGTTCTTTCCAGGCTGCCCCACATGCCTGTCCCTCCCTCTCCGACGTCCAGCCTAGATGCGGGGGGAGGGCCACACCCATATTTCCTGGGGTGGGGTGGGCAGTGGCTGACCTGGCTTTGCGGATGGAGGGATCCCCCACGTTGGGACCCGCGGGTGCACCCGAGGGCAGGCCGATCACTCGGAGGGCTTGGTCACGGACTCGGGGCCGCAGACCACCCGGCACGGGCCGGGCGGAGCCGGAGTCTGGTCTCCTTCAAAGGCAGGTGCTGGGAACAGAAACTCAGAATCTCATAAAGTCACGCAGACCGGGATGACGAAGTCTGAGGCTCTAGGAATCGCGGACTCTCCGAATGAAGAGCGGGACTGGATTTCCACATAGACTGTTTTGATAACTAAAGTGCACACAACAAGTGCTCGAGGGAGCAGGGGTCGCCGCGGTACTGGGGTCTCGGAATGGGACTACGGACCCCTCAGGGGAGGGGCGGGGCTCTGGGATTGGGTGACGGGGACCGGGGTGACACTCACGATAAAGGAATATGGGAAACAGCTAGGGCTGGGATCACCGGAGCCACCCTTCTCAGACTTCTCCGGAGCGAACTACCCGAACCCCCTTTCGGAATCTCTAGCTTCAGCGCACCGCGGTGCCCTGCTTGCCAGCCGTCAGCCTCAGGCGCCTGCCCACAACAAACATGGCGACAAGGGCGTCTCTGGAAGGCCGGGCAGTGACGACAGTTCTCGCGATAGCCGCGTTTTCCTGCCTATATCTGGCTTGTCCGCGCGATTTCCGGCCTCTCGGCTTTCGGCTCGGAGGAGGCCAAGGTGCAACTTCCTTCGGTCGTCCCGAATCCGGGTTCATCCGACACCAGCCGCCTCCACCATGCCGCCGAAGTTCGACCCCAACGAGATCAAAGTCGGTGCGTGCTCTGGTTGTGGCCGGGGCTGCGGGATGGAGCATCCCTCGGCCCTGCCGCGCGTGCAAAGCTTTCCCCGTATGGGGCTCTTAAAGCCGCTGCCTCCCAGAGACCTTCCCGGTGTTGCGCCGCCCCGGCCAAGCCTCAGCCTTTCTGGGCCTTAGCTTCTTCACGTGTAGGTGGGGAGGGAGGACTGGACCACCTGTGGCGGCTTGGGAGCCCGCACGCCCTAGGGTAAGGCTTGTCTCCGGGCGTTTCGCCCCATTGGCCTGGGTTAGCGGGCGACGGGGCTCTCTCCACGCCTCCCCGGTGTGAGTTTCGGAGCTGCCCACACCCGAGGGAGGAGCGGGTGGCCCGCCTCGCGCTCTGTGCTGTTTCGAGAAGAGGCAGAGGGTGGCGTGTCCAACCCCGGAAAGACGCTGAGAGGGCTGTGGCTCGGGGCTCCCTCTGCACAGACACTAACTCTTCTTTTCCCCCAGTATACCTGAGGTGCACCGGAGGTGAAGTCGGTGCCACTTCTGCCCTGGCCCCCAAGATCGGCCCCCTGGGTCTGGTACGTTATCCCCTCCAAGGGGCATTTTTTTCACATTTGTTTCACTTTAAGCGCCGGCTCGTGGAGTCACGCCTGTGCCAGAGGTGCCCTCGTGGCTTGGACTGTCACCCTCAGTAGGCCTGAGCCACTGAACAAGTACTAGGTACCTTAGGAAGGTCGTGTGTGAAAAATCGAACCTGGTGCCTTTAAATTGTAATTAGCTCCATGTGTCTCCACTGCTGCTTTAGTGTACCTGAGGGGTGGGCCCAAGGGGGAGTTTTGAAGTTAGGACTGGCTTAGAGACATTGGGCAGCCAACATCTGTATTTCCTCGTCAGGAAGTGGGCATGGCGTTGTTGGGAGATTAAACGGGGTGTGGGTGAAGATCCAGTGAGCGTTTCCAGCTGTGTTGTAGATGTAAACCTAGCAGTTAATGTGGCAGGCTGTGTCTCATGCCTGCTGAGCAACTGCTGGCTTCCCCGTCATTCTGTCCTCTTGGATTTCTCTGAATTTCATTAGGCCTTTATTTAATCCTTGCACAGTGCTCCCCTGCCCCAAATGCTCTTCCCCATTGGTCTTTTTTAACCTGTATCTTAACTATTCTTCCTTGGCCGTTAGCTGGCACTTAAGGGACACTTAGCCTCCTGTTGAGGCTAAGGATTACTAGAGGAGGAGAACTTCAGAGTAGCAAATAATCAGACCTCCATCCAGGAAGATGGACGTGGGTGGTCTGACATGGGAGCCTAGTATTTTGAAAGCTCCTTAGGTGATTCTAATGTCAGCAGGGCTGAAAATCCCCCTCCTTAAGCACATGGGCACTTAGGAGGGGGTCTAGGTTACATTGTGGCCAAGTCTGCAGTTTACAGTTCTGGACAAGAACCCCAACCCCCAATTTATGCTATGGTGATAGCTGTGCTCTGATTGAGAAGGTGCCCTTAGGTACTTGAGATAGCTTCCTTTGTTGCCAAGTGAGAAGTGGTGGGCAGGTTTCAAGGCTGTGGTTCACCTCTGGACACCATGTTGATTACATGCCTTTATTTCTAGTCTCCAAAAAAAGTTGGTGATGACATTGCCAAGGCAACGGGTGACTGGAAGGGCCTGAGGATTACAGTGAAACTGACCATTCAGAACAGACAGGCCCAGGTATTTGCTTGTGCTTGGTTTCGGGAGAGGAGGGTGGGGGGACAGGTAGCAACCCTCTGGGATTCCTGAAGAGTATTTCTGCCACCAGTGGTGAGCCGAGAGTGATTTCACCTTGTTGGGGAGGCTTTGTCAAGAGTACGGACCTAGGGCAAAGACTTGGACAGTGTGTGGCCATGATTTTTGAGAGCCAGCGTGCATGGCAGTATTCACTGGAGGTGGAGTATTCACTCAGGAATCTCTTCTGCAGATTGAGGTGGTGCCTTCTGCCTCTGCCCTGATCATCAAAGCCCTCAAGGAACCACCAAGAGACAGAAAGAAACAGAAAAACAGTAAGTTGTCTTTTCCCTAGTTTGGTTTTGGTAATGGTTTGTGAGATGTTTGATATATGTGGCTGTGTTTTCCCTTAAAGGAAACCTGGGGTTGACATGGGTATTGGGTGTTGATATGGTTAGGGCTGCTAGAGCCAGGTAGTATGAAAAAGTGCCACGTATGCTGGGTGGCTCACACCTGTAATCCCAGCACTGGGAGGCTGAGGCGGGTGGATCAGTTGAGATCAGGAGTTCGAGACCAGCCTGGCCAACATGGTGAAACCCCATCTCCACCAAAAAATACAAAATTAGCCTGGTGGTGCTCGCCTGTAGACCTGGCTACTCAGACGGCTGAGGCAGGAGAATCACTCGAACCCAGGAGGTGGAGGTTGTAGCAGTGAGCCAAGATTGTGCCACTGCACTCCAGCCTGGGTAACAGTGAGACTCCGTCTCAAAAAAAAAAAAAAAAGTGCCATGTAGTCCCTGTGTGGGGCAGGCCCCAATCAGTGCATGTGGGAGGAAGATGTCAGCAATAATGACCTATAATCAGGAGACCACATACAGGTGGCAGGTACTGGGCAGTTTAACTCCCTGGCAATTTAAGCTTGTCATTTCTCTAAAACAGTTTCTGCCATGTCAGATTTGTGAAGGCTTGGTTTTGCCCTCAGCCACCCGCCACTGCACCTGACCAGGTCTCTGTTGGCTGGTGCAATCCAGTGGTGAGCTGATAGTAAACCCCAGCTTAGGAAACAGGGTTGTTCTTCATGTGGATGACTCTGTGCCGAAAGCATGGGAACAGCCTAGAAATGAAATGAAGGACACATGATCTGCTTTGGCTTCAGACTTTAAAAGAGCTTTTGCTGTTTCCTCTTCTGCAGTTAAACACAGTGGGAATATCACTTTTGATGAGATTGTCAACATTGCTCGACAGATGCGGCACCGATCCTTAGCCAGAGAACTCTCTGGTAAGAGCAGGACAACATGTAACCGCCATAACTGTAGTTGTGTTTTTCACTGAGTGATAACATTCTTCTTACTTGAAGGGTGCTCAGTGAGACCCAAGATGGGGTGCAGTTTTCTGGGACTGAAAGGATGGATCGTAAATTGGATGTGTTTAATCTGGGCATCAAGGACCCATGGAAGCTTTGCATTCCGGGTTATGGAACTAGATGGAACTCTATATTCTATATTAGGGGAGCAGGAACCTCATTCCTTCCATTGCCTGCTATGAACCCCTTCAGTATTCCCCAGTATCTGCAGATTGTGAGGGACTGAGCCAGCACCTCCAATGCCACCATTTCTTTACTTAAAGGAACCATTAAAGAGATCCTGGGGACTGCCCAGTCAGTGGGCTGTAATGTTGATGGCCGCCATCCTCATGACATCATCGATGACATCAACAGTGGTGCTGTGGAATGCCCAGCCGTAAGTGACATTTTCATTGTTACAGTAGGGGTGAAAGGGGGGCCACCCAGTGTATTCACAGAGATAAGCTGGGAAGTTTTGGAAATGGTTACTGGTGGGGTGGGATAATCCTTTTAAACTTTTTACTGATTTTTTTTTTCTTTCCCACAGAGTTAAGCACAAAGGAAAACATTTCAATAAAGGATCATTTGACAACTGGTGGATTTTCTGGTGTGGCGTCTTCCTTGAGGGAGCTAGCTCCTTTGTGGGGTGGTCAGTGGGGTCAGGGTGGCAGAACCTGTGGAGAAGTAACAAGCACCTTGTGGTGGGTAACAAAACTGCCCTGTATGGGCTGGGCTGAGCTCAGAAAGGAAGCCTTTCTTTCCTTTTTTTTTTTTTGAGACAGAGTTTCGCTCGTTGCCCAGGCTGGAGTGCAATGGTGCAATCTCGGCTCACCACAACCTCTGCCTTCTAGATTCAAGCAATTCTCCAGCCTCAGCCTCCTAAGTAGCTGGGATTACAGGCACGTGCTAAAAGACAGGGTTTCTCCATGTTGGTCAGGTCAACTCCTGACCTCTTGATACGCCTGCCTTTGGCCTCCCAAAGTGTTGGGATTATAGGCATGAGCCACCATGCCTGGCCAGGAAGCACTTTTTGTAGACTATCATGAAGCCTTTCCTAAGAAATGCTCTAACAAAACCGGAACACATGGGGAGTGTAGCTCTCCATCCCCGACCAACTGAAGTTATGAGTGGGTTGGGGGCCCAGGATCCATTTTGCTAGCCATTCCAGTGCACAGCCAGGGCTCAGAACCACTGACCTGACCACTCTCCGAGTCCTGGACTAATTCTTTGGTCCTGTGAAAGTGAGGTTCACATCATCTGTTGAAGTAACTATAAACTGTTACTCCAACCTTTCCTCTGAACTCATGTGGCTTAAAGTATTTTCTGCTGTCTCACGTTTCTCAAGTCTCATCTTCCCACAGTTCTGTTCCTTCTGATGAACTTTATAGAGCCTGTGTTCATCACTCCCTTTTGTTTTGCGATGAACCCTAAAGCACTCCTGAGCAGCTTGAAGCACCACCTGGGAGAGGATTCTGGGTACTGGAGTAAAGGGAGTTGGAAGTTGTAGCCCAGAGAAATTGATTTCCCCTATATGACTCATTTCTTTGCACATTAGTTTTTGCCAGTGTCTCTAGATCAGTGCTTTTATGTCACCTCAGGTTGGAGAACTGCCTTAAGTGGAAAAGACTAACTACCTGGACCTCCTGAGTTAGGGATAGGATTCTATTTCAGATACAGTGGCTTGTGCCTCAATCCCAGCACTTTGGGAGGCTGTGGCAGGAGCATTCCTTGAGGTCAGGAATTAAGACCAGCCTGGGCAACATAGCCAGACACTTTTCTCCAAAAAACTAGCTGGGTATGGTGGTGTGTGTGCCTGGCTACTTAGGATGCTGAGGTAGGAGGGTGCAGGAGTGGAGACTTCAGCAAGCTATGATTGTACCACTGCACTCCAGCCTAGGTGACGAGAGTGAGGGGCTGGCACAAAAGCATTCCAGTGTCCTAGAAGGGACTACCAAGTCACCAAGGAAACAGACAGTAAGCAGGCCAAAGGCAAAAATCTGGATCTATAATACAAGGGGAACACAACTGTTCTCCATGAGGGAGAAGGGAGAATGAGGAGCCTGGGGCAGTTTATGACACCTGCCTCTGAGTCCAGCATGGCTGTCACACACCTCCCCATTCTCGGGGCTTCCTATTCTCCATGGAAAAGGATGTGCCTCTTGGTTCATTAGCAGCAAGCTCTACCCTCAACACCAGTAGCCTCTTTTTTTGTTGAGATGTGTGTGCTCTTTTTTTGTTGAGATGGAGTCTCGCTCTTGCCCAGGCTGGAGTGCAGTGTTGCAATCTTGGCCCACTGCAACCTCTGCCTCCTGGGTTCAAGTGATTCTCCTGCTTCAGCCTCCTGAGTAGCTGGGATTATAGGCACATGCCACCATACCGGGCAAGTTTTTGTATTTTTAGTAGAGATGGGGTTTCACCATGTTGGTCAGGCTGGTCTCAAACTCCTGACCTTGTGATCTGCCTGGGTGGGCTCTTAACAGCAACAAACTCTACAAAGACTGGCCCTGGGTGTGCTTTTCTCAGTTTTGGAACATCAAGGAATGTTCCCCACCTCAAGGAGATTGTGGTATTTCATAGGTGGCTCTAGAATCCCTTTTCTCACTTGTATTTACACCTCCTGCTGCCCCAAATTTGATGGTTTTTCAATCATTTCTGGCCAATGCGCTGAGTTCTTTCACAACATTTCTCATTACTTCCAGGAGAAACTGCCAGCATTGCCCAAAGACTTGGCTTTGATGTAGGAGCCAAGTTCTTTTACTCATTGATTTGGTCACTTACTCTGAATAAACTCAGGTTTCTGGATTGCTTACCAAATAAAGTGCTTTGGCCCACTACCTGAATAAAGGCAAACCTGCAATTGAGTGGAGCCCTGATCTTTTGATGGAGAGCTGAGCGTCCATATACAGCATGTGAAATAGTGGCTGTTTATTGAAGGTGTTTTGCATGTGGCTCTGGGCTGCAGACTCTAAGTTAGATGTCTTCAGATGCTTTCAAGCCTTTAGCATTTCTCAGATCCTCACCCACCTGTCCTGAGTCGGCATGTCCGGGACTCTCTCCACTTCTACCATGTTCCTAGTTACTCTCCGGCGTGGAGTCTCTGATGTCTAACGAAGGCAGAGCTGCACCGGAAGGCCTTCCCACACTCGCTGCATTCGTAGGGTTTCACGCCTGTGTGGATTCTCTGATGCTGACTAAGGGATGAGCTCTGGTTAAACGCTTTACCACACTCATTACACTCATAAGGTTTTTCTCCGGTGTGGATTATATGATGCCGAATGAGGGCTGAGCTCTCACTGAAGAATTTCCCACATTCATTACATTTATATGGCTTCTCCCCGGTGTGGGTCTTTTGGTGGATTATGAGATTGGTACTCTGGCTGAAGGCCTTCCCACACTCGCTGCACTTGTAGGGTTTCTCCCCAGTGTGAGTCCTCTGATGGTTTGTGAGGTTTGCACTCTGGCTGAAGGCCTTCCCACACGCGGCACATCTGTAGGGCTTCTCCCCGGTGTGAATCCTCTGGTGCTGAATGAACGCTGCGCAGTAACTGAAGGCCTTCCCACACTCGCTGCACTTGTAGGGCTTCTCCCCGGTGTGAGTCCTCTGATGGTTCGTGAGGTTTGCACTGTGACGGAAGGCCTTCCCACAGTCGCTGCATTCGTAGGGCTTCTCTCCGGTATGAATTCTCTGATGCTGAACAAGAGCTGAGCAGTCACTGAAGGCTTTCTCACACTCGCTGCATCTGTAGGGCTTCTCTCCGGTGTGGGTTCGCTGGTGTTTGGTGAGGTTGGCGTTCTGGCTGAAGGCTCTTCCACATTCACTGCACTTGTAAGGCTTCTCTCCAGTGTGAATCCTCTGGTGCTGAATGAGAGATGAGCTCTGGCTGAAGGCCTTCCCACATTCACTGCACTCATAGGGCTTCTCTCCAGTGTGGCTCTTCTGATGCTGAGAAAGGGAAGAACAGTAACTGAAGGCTTTGCCACATTCATTACATGCATATGGTTTTGCTCTGTGAGGTTTCAGGATTTCCGAGTTCTTGAAGCTCTCGGTGTGTGTCTCACATTTGCGAGGTCTCGCTTCCACGGGCACTCTCTGTTGCGGAGAGAGGACTGGTCTCAGATTGAAGCTCTTCTCAAGGTCACTGGTCCCGTGGTCTGAATCCCCAGGGGGCATCTCTACACATGGGTCTTGGAATGAAGCTTCAGAAAGGGCTTGCTCTGGTGGTGATCCAGATATAATCTTCCAGCCTGAAAAAAAAATGAAAAGCTGTTGTGTTCCCTTGGTGGAAGGAATACCAAAGGCTGAAGGAGTCTGGCCAAGCTCTTACACACACAGGTTTGATGACTCATCTCCTTTTTTTTTTTTTTTTTTTTTTGAGACGGAGTCTCGCTCTGTCGCCCAGGCTGGAGTGCAGTGGCACGATCTCAGCTCACTGCAACCTCCGCCTCCTGGGTTCACGCCATTCTCCTGCCTCAGCCTCCCGAGTAGCTGGGACTACAGTCTCCTGCCACCAGGCCCAGCTAATTTTTTGTATTTTTAGTAGAGACGGGGTTTCACCGTGTTAGCCAGGATAGTCTCGATTTCCTGACCTCGTGATCCACCCGCCTCGGCCTCCCAAAGTACTGGGATTACAGGCGTGAGCCACCGCGCCCAGCCACCTCCTTTCATAAGGGTGTAATGGAGCCTACTACCTACTGAATTCAAAGCCATCGTAATGTCATAGTGCAACACATTACTCACGTTTGTGGTGATGCTGGTGTAAATAAACTTACTGCGCTGCCAGTCATATGAAAGTACAGCACATAATACTTAATAAACAACTATGTTACCAGATTATATATTTACTATACTTAATATATATTTTTAATTGAGACAGAGTCTCACTCAGGCTGGAGGGCGGTGGCACAGTCACAGCTCACTGCAGCCTCAACCTCCTGGGCTCAAGCAATCCTGCCACCTCAGCCTCCTGAATAGCTGGAACTAAAGGAGCATACCACCATGCCTGGGTAATTTTGATATTTTGGAGAGGCTGGTCTCGAACTCCTGGACTCAAGCGACCCTCCTGCCTCAGCCTCCCAAAGTGCTGGGGATTATAGGTGTGAGCCACCACACCCAGCCTATACTATGCTTTTAATAGTTATTTTACACTGTACTCCTTCCACTACAACAAAGTTATCTGTAAAACAGCCTCAGGCGGGTCCTTCAGGAGGTTTTCCAGAAGGCATTGTTATCTTAGAGATGACAGCTTCGTGCTTGTTATTGCCCCTGAAGATCTTCCAGTTGGACAAGATGTGGAGGTGGAGACAGTGATACGCATGATCCTGTTAGGTCTAGGCTAATGTGTGAGTTTCTTAGTTTTTAACAAGAGTTTAAAAAGTAAAAAATAGTGCCACACACACACACACACACAGATTTTGAGACAGGATCTCACTGTCACCCAGGCTGAAGCATGGTGGCACGATCATGGCTCACTGCAGCCTCGACCTCCTGGGCTCAATTGATCCTCCCACCTCAGCCTCTGAGCAGCTGGGACTACAGGCCCATGCTACCACATCCAGCTAATTTTTGTATTTTTTGCTGAGATAGGGTTTTGCCAAGTTGCCTGGGCTGGTCTCAAACTCCTGGGCTCAAGGGATCCTCCGCCTCAGCCTCCCAAAGAAAAATGTGTAAAGTAAACTTAGTGTAGCCTAAGTGCACAGTGTTTCTAAAGTCTATGTACAGCAATGCCCTCGGCCTTCACATCCATCTACCACTTACCCACTCACCCAGAGTCCTGCAAGCTCCACTCATGGTAAGTGCCCTATACAGGTGTACCATTTTTTATCTTTTATACTGTATTTTTACCATACCTTTTCTTTTCTTTTTTTTTTTTTTGAGATGGAGTTTCACTCTTGTTGCCCAGGCTGGAGTGCAATGGTGCTATCTTGGCTCACTGCAACCTTCGCCTCCTGAGTTCAAGCAATTCTCCTGCCTCAGCCTCCCAAGTGGCTGGGATTACAGGTGCCCGCCACCATGCCTGGCTAATTTTTGTATTTTTGGTAAAGACAGGGTTTCACCATGTTGGCCAGGCTGATCTTAAACTCCTGACCTCAGGTGATCCACTCACCTCGGCCTCCCAAAGTGCTGGAAATACAGGCATGAGCTAGCACACCCGGCCTAATATGGAGCTTCGCTCTTGCTGCCCAGGCTGGAGTGCAATAGTGTGATCTCAGCTCACTGCAACCTCCACCTCCTGGGTTCAAGCAATTTTCCTGCCTCAGCCTCCCAAGTAGCTAGGATTACAGGCATGCGCCACCACACCCGGCTAATTTTGTATTTTTTTTTTTTTTTTGAGACGGAGTCTCACTCTGTCACCCAGGCTGGAGTGCAGTGGCACAATCTCGGCTCACTGCAAGCTCTGCCTCCCGGGTTCATGCCATTCTCCTGCCTCAGCCTCCCAAGTAGCTGGGATTACAGGCTCCCGCCACCACGCCCGGCTAATTTTTTGGATTTTTAGTAGAGACAGGGTTTTACCGTGTTAGCCAGGATGGTCTCGATCTTCTGACCTTGTGATCTGCCTGCCTCGGCCTCCCAAAGTGCTGGGATTACAGGCATGAGCCACCGCACCCAGCCAATTTTGTATTTTTAGTAGAGATGGGGTTTCAACATGTTGGTCAGGCTGGTCTCGAACTCCTGACCTCAGGTGATTCACCTACCTCAGACTCCCAAAGTGCTCGGATTACAGGTGTGAGCCACCACGCCCAACTGTTTCCTTGAATTTCTATACACAGTCTTCAACCAGACTGGCTGGGTTCAAATCTGGGCTCCACCTCTTACGTGCTCTGTGACTTTGGGAAAATTGTGTAATCTTTTGAAACCTTGGATTTATCACCTGTGAAAGCAGCTCCCTCACAGAATCACTGTGAGGATTAAATGAGTTAAGACACATAAAGGACCCAGAATGGTAGTTGAGACACAGTAAGTGCTATCTGCATGGTTCTTGTTATTCTGTACCTTCTCCTTATAAACCATCCTAAAGCATTAAGTAGGCTTCCCTCAGAACTGCAAGTGCACACCAATGCCCCCAGTCCACCAAGAGCACAGAGGCCCCACTGCAGGCTGAGAGCGTCTCTGTGTAACTTGGGGTCCGATCATCTATGGGTTTGACAGTTTTTAAAAGCAGACCATCTATTTGAGTAAAAAAAAATCAAAAGGAGAGGAAGAGTGACAAGAAGCCATGGGAAGAAGGGGCAATTCAGAGGACCACATGATGCTCACAAATGGCCTGTCCCTCAGCTCACCTCTCTCGAGTGCTGGCTCCAGTAGAAGACTGTCTGATGACATCTCAGGCCTGACACACCCCAAACAGAGCTACTGATCTCCCTTTTAACCCAGCGCCTTTGTTAATCTTCCTACTTACCCAACTGTTCAGGCCAAAACCTAGGGTCATCCTTAATGCCACCTCCCCTACATCTCACATCCAATCCACCAGCAAGTCCTGTTGGCTTTAACACCAAAATATGTCCTGACCCCTCTCTTACAGGCCACCATCACCTCACATTCCCATGTCTGCAAGAGCCGCCTCCTAACTGACCTCCCCGCTCCCATGCCTGAGCCTCGAATGTCCATTCTTCACACATAACGCTGAATTCTTTTTCATTTTTTTCACCAGTGTCACTTGCCAAATGCTGAACTCTTTTCAAACATAAATCTCATCCCTTCCCTGCATCAAAACTCTTTAATGGCTTATTTTCTTAGGTGACTAAAACCCAAACGCCTTACCATGGCTCCAGTGGCCCCACACAATCTGTCCCCTGCACACCACTCTTCCTCGTGTTTACTAAGCTCTGGCCACACAGGTCTTCTAATCCTTAAGCAAGCTCATTCCCACATTAAGGTCTCAACATACGCTGTGGCCCAGAATGTTCCTCTCCTAGGTCTCCTCCAAACAGCTGGCTCATCCCCTTCCTTCAGATCTCAGCTCCCATGTCACCTCCAAAGAGTCTTTCCTCTTCATCAGCTCCCAAACAGCTCCCTCCCTTCTATTCCCGACTCAGCCTTGTGCCCCAGTCACTAATCCCTTGCGCAGCTTTATTTTCTTCACACAACTCATCACCATAAAAAGTAGATTAGTGGGCCGGGCGCGGTGGCTCATGCCTGTAATCCCAGCACTTTGGGAGGCCGAGGCAGGCAGATCACGAGGTCAGGAGATCGAGACCATCCTGGCTAACACGGTGAAACCCCGTCTCTACTAAAAATCCAAAAAATTAGCCGGGCGTGGTGGTGGGTGCCTGTAGTCCCAGCTACTCGGGAGGCTGGGGCAGGAGAATGGCATGAACCCGGGAGGTGGAGCTTGCAGTGAACTGAGATCGCGCCACTGCACTCCAGCCTGGGAGACAGAATGAGACTCCGTCTCAAGAAAAAAAAAGTAGATTAGTTATTGTTTGCTCAGTTTATGTCCTTCACGAAGATGTAAGCAGAAACTACGTCTTCATCCCCACTCAACAAAGGGAATACATATTACCCATGGCAGCTAAAATGATGCCAGGTATGTACCAAATGCTTAAGGCACATTTGCTGATTGATGAATGATTCAATGAATCAGAATGAGTAGAACTGGCCAGCAGGGTCTGCGAAAGTGTTAACACCCACCACAGAAGTCCCTAAAGTGAGCAGCAGGGAGAATGGCACTTTCAACTCCTGGGTCTGTCACTTGGGAGGGGTAGGGTAGAATAACCCAGGGCCCAAACCCAGCCCTCAGAGGCACAGTGATGCCCAGGACATGCTGTGAGTTAGAACAGAGGCCATGTTGAACTCCTCTAATAGCTAGAGTGGAAACTTGCCCCTGACGACTTCTGTTCACTATCATATAGCTTATATAACTCTACAGTTGACAATTTTTTTCAGATATATGTTAATTGGTGAAATAAGAAAGATTTTATCATCTACATTTTTCATATATGGAAACATGACTACATAATTCAGTGGTGTGCCTGGAATCCATGTAGTTAATGCATGGCAAGCAGGGATTATGTGTCTTTCATATTCACCGAGATATGAGATATACGTGTATATGTGTGTGTGTGCGCGTTGTGTGTGTGTGTGTGTGTGTGTGTATTTCACCCACAGTTCCTGGCTCATAACTCCCATAGCCACTGCTACAGTCTTTCTTTTTCTTTTTTTTTGTGACAGAGTCTCGCTTAGTCGCCCAGGCTGGAGTGCAGTGGCACGATCTTGGCTCATGGCAGTCTCTGCCTCCCGGGTTCAAGCGATTCTCGTGCCTCAGCCTCCCTAGTAGCTGGGACTATAGATATGTGCTACCATGCCCAGCTAATTTTTGTATTTTTAGTACAGATGGAGTTTCCCTATGTTGGCCAGGCTGGTCTCAAAACTCCTGACCTCGGGTGATCTGCCCAACTCGGCCTCCCAAAGTGCTAGGATTACAAGCGTGAGCCACTGCGCCCAGCCATTGCTACAGTCTTTTGTTAAAACGTAAGAGCACTTTAGGCCTCAGAAACAGAATCTCTCTCTCTGACCTCCCCCTGCCCTTCTTTCACCTGCCCGAGCAGGACTCTAATGTGATTGTGGGCCTTACGACCCCCATTTCAGAGAAGATCCTGCCCCATACCCTGGAGGAAGGAATGCTGCACAGAGGCCAGGAAGAATCCGCACGGACAGGCTCTGCCAGGTGTCCTCACTCAGTCTACAGTGTTCAGTCAGACCCTTTCTGTCCAATCTCATCTCAACATGCTGTCCGTGTTTCAATCACGCCTATCCAATGAATCAAAGGCCCAGGAGGGCAGGGTTTAGAGAGCTTCCAGAGAGCTGAACACATGGAGGCTCCTGCAGGGCGGCGGCCCAGGGAAGGCATGAAAGCTCCCTGCACCTTCCCCACCCCTCGTCCCATGCATCTCTTCATCTTCATCTTTTCTAAAATAAGTGCTTCCCCAAGTTCTGTGTCCTTTCTCTAATAAATTAATGTAATCCAAAGGGGGGTCGTGGGAACCCCAATCTGAAGCCAGTGTAGTTCTGGAGGCCTGGACTTGCGACTGGTGGGAAGGGGCAGGGGGTGCCTTGTGGGACTGAGCCCTCAACTAGTGGGATCTGATGCTATCTCCAGGTAGACGGTGTCTGCTTGCTTGGTGTGTGGGGGAAAACCTCAGTCCTCTCTGCTGGCAGAAGCCTCCTATGTTGACTCCTGCTGTGCGTAAGGGCAGAGGTTGTGGTTTTCCGCTCAGGGGCACCCACACCAAGAGCTGCTTCTACTGCCCTACACTGCTGCCTCAGAGCACCTTCTTGGTGGAAATGCCCCTTTCCAACTCCTGTTTCTAACGATGTGGTGATTTTAACCTTTGGGGCCACTGTACTGGGGTGAACAGTGCCCCCACATCATGTCAACCTCAAAATACAGAATGTGTCTGTGCTTGGAAACAAGGTCTTTGTAGATGTAATCAAGCTAAAATGAGGCCACACTGGATTGGGGTATTTTAATGCCCTAAAAAGAAGGAAATCCAGACACAGATCGAGAATGCCACATGCTGACAGGGACAGAGATTGGCGTGATGCAGCTAAAAGCCAACAAATGCCGAAGATTGCGGGCAACCACCGGAAACTAGAAAGAGGCAAGGAAGATCCTTCCCAGAGCCTGCAGAGGGAGCCCAGGCCTGCTGACACCTCAGTTTCAGACCTCTAGCCTCCAGAACTGTGAGCGAATCAACTGCTATTGTTTTAGTCCACCCAGTTTGTGGTTATTTCTTATGAGAGCCCCAAAAAACTAATACAGCGACCTTTTCAGGGTCTTGAACCCCTCTGAGACTATGATGAACACTCTTCCCAGAAAAAGGCAGTTGTTCCCCTCGCCACTAAACACTGCTCTCAATTTCTGAAGCTCCACAGAGGACTTCAGTCCTCTGTATAGACTATATAGAACACAGAGATGCCCAGGCAGCGGGGGGGGGCCTTGAGAGAAGGAAGCAGCAGGGCCAGGGAGGCTCCCTGCCACAGGCAGTGTCAACAAGCATGAGTAGTGCCAGGCACACCATGAGGGGGAGGTAACATGCAACAGTCTGCTTAGAGGATGGTAAGATGGGAAGGAGAAGAGGCAGCTCCAGGGAACCATGCAAAGAATGCTCCAGGGGCTTGTGCCCATTGCCCTATCAGCAGCAATAACTTATAACTCAAGAAATAAAGCAACAAACAGACAGGTTGCATCTTCTTTTTTTTTTTTTTTTTTTTTAAGACAGAGTTTCACTCTTGTCACCCAGGCTGGAGTGCAATGGCACAATCTCGGCTCACTGCAACCTCTGCCTCCCAGGTTCAAGTGATTCTCCTGCCTCAGCCTCCTGAAGTAGCTGGCATTACATGTGCCCGCCACCACGCCCAGCTGATTTTTTTGTATTTTTAGTTGAGATGGGGTTTTACCATGTTGGCCAGGCTGGTCTTGAACTCCTAACCTCAGGTGATCCACCTGCCTCGGCCTCCCCAAGTGCTGGGATTACAGGCGTGAGCCACTGCACCTGGCCCAGGCTGCATCTTTAGAAACATGTCAAATGTTGTCACCTCAAAGTGGTTTAATTCATTTGTACCTTTGATGTCTTAAGTCTCAAACATTCAAAAGTGACTGGGTCCCCAGGGAAAAGCTGCTGAGGCCCTGCCAGAGGTGGCACCAAGGCAGAGGCTGAGAGAGATTAGGGGAGAGAGCAGCTGTACGTGGGTGGTAAGAGAGACGCAGTGGAAACTATGGTCTCCTTTCCTTCTGTTTTCCCTGAGTTTCTTAGTATCAGCCCTTTGGAAAATTCTGGCATGGCCACGCAGTGAGAAAGCAGGAGCAGAATGAATTAAGGGGCCAGATGGGGTGGCAGCAGGAACTGTGACACCCAGTGGCATGGGTAAAGGTGGCACCTAGGATCCTCAGTGAGGGAGACCCCAAGCAGGGAATGTGCCAGCAAAGATGACTCTTGCTTCCCAACAATAAGGAAGGATACTCTTTAGAGGCCAGGAACATCACACGTGCCCCCAAACACCTCCTGGCCCTGGCAGCCTCCATAAGGATGAGGTGAGGAAGAGTGTGTTTTAGAGGCAGACAGAGCTTGCTTCAAATCCCAGCCTTGCCACTATCTAGCTGTGAAGCTTTGAACCAGTGAGCCAGCCTTTCTCAGCTCCATTTCCTCATCTGTAGAATGGGGGTAATAGCGCCTACCTCACAGTTGTTATGATAATCAAATACACTCATGCGTGATTTAAAGGCGCTTTTGCTCCCAAGACTCCCACTGGCTAAGTGCTTGCTCACATACCTGGAGAGGGACTTCGCAGGTCTTCGCCCTCCAGCATCCATGCGCCTTCCCTTTGTTCCAACTGGGAGTTCATGCCAGGCTGGGAAACTGGAAGTCCTATTCAACGGGAAAAAACAGGCTTTAGAAATTGTAAGTAAGTATGAACAGCCACCCAGAACTCAGGAGAGAGCAAGTAGGCCAGTTGGACTGTTCATTTCATTCAGCCAACAAATCCTTATTGAGCTCTTACTTAGTGCCTACACCAGGGGCTATAGCAGTACATAAGAGACATGGTGCCAAGGTCTTTTTAAACATCCTTTTAATTTTAGAGGCAGGGTCTCACTGTGTTCCTCAGGCTGGTCTCAGGTGACTGTTCCACCTTGGCCTCCCAAAATGCTGGGATTACAGGTGTGAGCCACCTCACCCAGCCATGCCAAGGCTACATAAAACGTTTCTGGAAGGAGCTAGGAAACAGCCTCAAGGAGGGGTCAAGCCAGGGAGCTAAGCTAAACTCCCAAGTCCCCAATTTAGGAAGATGGAAACGTACTGAACATAGAGGAAATGACCTGAGGGTTACCCCACCCCTCCTGCGAAATGAGAGAATGGGGAGGTGCAGCCTTAGAGAAAGCAAAGGGAAACTGCCTATTTGCCAAGTGAGCATGCAGAGACCTTCCCCAAGAGAACAAGAGGAATAAACACCATCCCTCTGGTACATCACACCAGTCAGAAACCCCTACATGCTGGAAAGCAAGTGCCACAGATTTTCAGAATTGAGTGATTCTAAATCTTAAAGAAACAGTTTCCTTACCTAGTAGGACAAGGCTCCTGGACTTTCCTGGTATCCCCTCCTTGAACCTGTCCCGTGGAGTAGACACGAGGCACCTCCACCTTTCCTGTGCAAAAGCTACCGTCACACTGCTGAAGAATGTGGATCCCTGAAAAAACAAGCACATTTCATCTTGCCAGTGGCCTTAGGATCTAGGGTGATAGGGGTGGTTAACGTTGGCAGTTTTGGGGGAGCTGGAAAAGTCTTTGAAAAGATTCAGGTCTCTGGGTAGTTGAAGAAAATGGCCAGGTGCGGTGGCTCACGCCTGTACTCCCAGCGCCTTGGGAGGCCAAGAGGTGAGGCAGGCGGATCACTTGAGGCCAGGAGTTCAAGACCAGCCTGGCCAACACGGCAAAACCCTGTCTCTACTAAAAATACAAAAATTAGTTGGGCGTGGTGGTGCGTGCCTGTAATCCCAGCTTCTCAGGAGGCTGAGGCAGAAGAATTGCTTGAACCCGGGAGGCAGAGGTTGCAGTGAGCCGAGATCACGCCACTGCACTCCAGCCTGTGTGACACGGCAAGACTCTGTCTCAAAAAACGGAGAAAGCATTTATTGATCACCAGCATTGCAGTGCCTAACACTATGATAATTTCACACATACACACACACACACCACTGTCTCTTGTCTTCACACATTTATGTATAAATAGACTTTATGTATAAATAGAGCGTGTGTATGCGTGTGAAGTAACTGGGCAAAAATTAATGGGTGCTTGGGACTTGAAGAGGTAATATAGAAAGAGCGAAATTAGAATGTGAGTTGATACAGTGAAGAATCAGGTACAAATTATCAAAGAAATGTGAAAGATGAATTTTCAGAACATTTAACAAATATTTCTGTGAATGCAGATATCACCCAGTACAGCAGGAGAGCCAGGTATGAGCACAATCAAATGTAGCACAAGTCAAAGAAACACAGACTAGTTGCCAGGAGAACAGGAAGGCGGGGAGGGAGGACCACAGAGAGAAGGCAATTACTGAGCTGGCCTTGAAGGAGAAGGTTCGCGGATGGAGCAAGAGAAGGCTATCCAAGGCAGGAGAGGCACCATGAGCAGAAGCATGGAGGTGACACAGTCCTCGTGTGTTTAGGAAATGGCAGGCAGTTTGGGTGGGGGGATGAAGAGTGGTAGAAAGGTTGTTGAGGTCAGAATGTAAAAAGCCTTGAATCACTTGATAAATGTGATGCTTTTATCCCTCAGGCAACAGGGAGCCGCTGGAAGGCAACTGTGTCTTGAGATGGAGGCATGGAGAGGTGGTTTTAAGGACTCCAACAGTGTCAGTGTCAAGTTGAGAGAGGATCCTGCTTGAGGAGAGGGACTAGATGCAAGGCCAGAAATGAACTTTGTGAGAGAAGAGCTGAGAATGAATCAAAGATGTTTCCTGCTTGGAAGAGCAGACAGATGACAGTGTCATCACAAAGAGAAGAAACATGGGAAGAAAGGGTCTGTTAGCAAGGTAACTAGTTTGTTTTGGGGCCCACAGAGTTTAAGGTGGCCATAGGAAATCCAGGTGTAGATGTTCTATCACAGGTGAAAACACGGATCTGGAGTTAGGAGACTCTGGGCAGGAGCTGTAAGGCACACAGGTCAGCTAAAGCTGTTCATGTAACAAAGCGGCACCTACTCTGTGTAATGCATCCTCTGCTAGGTACAGGGCGGGAGGACAAGGGTAGCCAGATGGAAAGGGAAGAAATGAATCAGGAGATAACACACGGTATTAACCTAAGGCAGAAATCATTTCCTGGTCAGGCCCCACAGGAACCTCAAACTCAACAAAATGCAACAGAGAAACCCATCTTCACCTGCTGTTCCTTGTCTGTTCCCAGCTCAGGGAATGGGGCCTCTGTTCACCTAGCTGGCCAAGCCAGCAACCTGGGTGTTATCCTCTCCTTTCCCGCAGCATCAATCCCCATTGATTCTTCCTCCTAATATCATGAGAATTCATTCACCCGATTATTTCCACTCCCCTACCACTGCTTTGCAAACCAGCAACAATTTCCATATTGGAACCAGTCTCCAGGCCTCTGATTTTACCTGCTCTTCCAATCCATTCATTACACCGAGAGGTACATTCAGTGGAACAAAGAGGGTCATCTTTTAAAACAAAGAAATATCTATGCCAGGCACGATGGCTCATGCCTGTAATCCCAGCACTTTGGGAGGCCAAAGCAGGTGGATCACCTGCGGTCAGGAGTTCAAGACCACCCTGGCCAACATGGTGAAACCCCATCTCTACTAAAAATACAAAAAACTAAAAAATATTTAAAATCTTTGTGTAACTTCAAAATAATCAGGAAAGTAATATCCATTATAAAGATATAAATGTCATGAACCAAATAACAAAAATATATAATACGTAAAGAAAAAGCTGCAGGAAATGCAAAGAGAAATTTAGAATATTAGGGTTTTGAGAGATGTTAAAATAACCCAGTCATTGACAGTCAGCCCAAAGTGAATAAACAACAAAAAGAATAAAGATATGGAAGATGGAGCAATTTAATAAGGCTGAGCTGACAGAGCTATCAAACCCTATACCCTGCAATCAGACTGTGCTGGCATTTTTTGTTGACAAGAGACACAAACTCCATCCTCATAAAGCACAGACCAGCCAAATGGGCAGATAAAGAAAGCAAAATAATAATTTTAGAATACCTAAAAAAAAAAAAAATACATAGCCAAAAACTTTCAACGTAAACAAGGAAGAAGGTGAGTTAAGGATTCAACTCAAGAAGTTAAAAAATGAATTTTAGGCCGGGCGTGGTGGCTCACGCCTGTAATCCCAGCACTTTGGGAGGCCGAGGCGGGTGGATCACCTGAGGTCAGGAGATCGAGACCATCCTGGCTAACATGGTGAAACCCTGTCTCTACTAAAAATACAAAAAAATTAGCCGGGTGTGGTGGCGGACGCCTGTATTCCCAGCTACTCGGGAGGCTGAGGCAGCAGAATGGCATGAACCCGGGAGGCGGAGCTTGCAGTGAGCCGACATCGCGCCACTGCACTCCAGCCTGGGCGACAGTCAGACTCCATCAAAAAAAAAAAAAAAAAATTTAAAAATAAACCTGAGGAAAGCAGAAGCAAAAGATTAATAAAGAAAAAAATGTATTAATAAAGAACAGAACTGACAAGGAAATCCAAGAGCAAATTTTAAAAATGAAAATAAATAGCTAATTACCTAGTCAAGAAAAAAGGACAGTTCCTACTCTCATAGGACTACGTGAAACAAACAATGTGTTAGAGAGCACAGCACTGGGACAAAAACAGACACATAGACCCAGAAAGGAGAACCCGGAAATAAAGTTGCACACCTCTAACCACCTGATCTTCAACAAAGCCCACAGAAACAAGCAATGGGAAAAAGACTCCCTACTCAATCAATGATGCTGGGATAGCTGGCTAGCCATATGCAGAAGAGTGAAACTGGGCCCCTACCTTTCACCATCGACAAAAATTAACTCAAGATAGATTAAAGATTTAAATGTAAATCCTTAAACTATAAAAACCATAGGAGAAAACCAAGGAAATACCCTTCTTGACCTTGGTTCTGGCAAAGAATCCTTGGCTTAAGTCCTCAAAAGCAATTGCAACAAAAACAAAAACTGACAAGTGGGACCTGACTAAAAAGCTTCTATACAGCAAAAGAAACTATTAGGGTCAGGCACAGTGGCTCACACTTGTAATCTTAGCACTTTGGAAGGCCAAGGCAGGAGGATCGCCTGACGTTAGGAGTTCAAGAACAGCCTAGCCAAAAAGGAAAAACCCCGTCTCTACTAAAAATACAAAAATTAGCCGGGTCTGGTGGTAATCCCAGCTACTCAGGAGGCTGAGGCACGAGAATCGCTTGAGCATTGGGGGGGTGGAGGCTGCAGTGAGCTGAGATTGTGCCACTGCACTCCAGACTGGGTGACAGAGTGAGACTCTGTCTCTAAAAAAAAAAAAAAGAAAAGAAAAAGAAACTATCAACAGACTCAATACACAACTGACAGAATAGGAAAAGATAATCAAAAGTTTGCAACTGACAAAAGTCTAATATCCAGAATCTATAAGGAACTTAAAGCAAGAAACAAAAAACAAATAACCACGTTAAAAAGCAGGCAAAAGACATGAGCAGACACACTTAAGAGACATACAAGTGGCCAAAAAAGAGACGAAAAAAATGCTCATCATCACTAATCACCAGAGAAATGCAAATCAAAACCATGACGAGATATTCTCTCACACCAGAAATAATGGCTAATATGACAAAGTAAAAAATAACAGATGCTGGCGAGGCTGCAGAGAAAAGGGAAAGGTTATCACTGCTGATGGCAAAGTTAACTAAATTAGTTCAGTCACTCCGGAAAAACAGTTTGGAGATTTCTCAAAAAACTTAAAACAGAGCTACCATTCGACCCGGCAATCCCATTACTGTGTAAATACTCAAAGGAAAAGAAATCATTCTACCAAAAGACGCATGCATGCGCTTGTTCCTCGTTGTGCTGTTCACAACAGCCAAGACATGCAGTCAACCCAGGTGCCTGCCAATGGTGGTCTAGATAAAGAAAATATACACGTGGAACAGGAAATACATGTGGAATACGATGCAGCCATAAAAAATGAAGTCATGTCCTTTGCAGTGACATGGATGCATCTGGAGTCCATTATCTTAAGTGAATTAATGCAGGAACAGAAAACCAAATACCGCATGTTCTTATTGATAAGTGGGGAAGCTAAATACCAAGTATATATGGACACAAAGATGGGAACAAAAACTGCTGGGGACTACTAGAGGGAGGAGAGAGGAAAGGGGGCATCAGCTGAAAAACTGCCTATGGGGTACTATGCTCCCTACCTGAGTGATGGTACATCATCTGTACCCCAAACCCTGGCATCATATAATACAACCATTTAACAACCCTGCACACATACCCCCGAATCTAAAATAGTAAGGTGAAATTATTTAAGAAAAAAAAATGTGTTAGAAATGATTTGGTAGAATATGCAGTGAAATGGGAGAATGTTCATCGAATTCTGGTAAGTGGAAATAAAAACATTACAGAGCAGAATACACCCACTTTGGGAAAAATATAGAAAAGAGAGAATATGACCTGGGCACAGTGGCTCACACCTATAGTTCCAGCACTTTGGGAGGCTGAGGCGGGTAGATCACTTGAGGTCAGGAGTTCCAGGCCAGCCTGGCCAACATGGTGAACCCCATCTCTACTAAAAATACAAAAATTAGCTGGGCGTGGTAGGGCGCACCTGTAATTCCAGCTACTTGGGAGGCTGAGGCAGGAGAATCGCTTGAACCTGGGAGGTGGAGGTTGCAGTGAGCCTAGATTGTGACACTGCACTCCGGCCTGGGTGACAGAGCAAGATTCCATCAAAAAAAAAAAAAAGGAAAAAGAAATAAAAGAGAGAATATGACTGAGGACACAAATCAAAATGTTAGGTGCCATCTTTTTGTGGGATTAAGAGTGATTTTTAACTTTTTGTGTTTTCTCTATTTTCCAGGTTTTCTGTGGGGAACATGAATTACTTTGTTCATTGCAGAAAACTTGTAAAAAACAAAACAAAACAAAACCAACAATGATGGGGTGGAGTGGCCCACACCTGTAATCCCAGCACTTTGGGAGGCAAAGGCTGGAGGATAGCTTGAGCCCAGGAGTTCAAGACCAGACTGGGCAACATGGCAAAACCCTGACTCTACAAAAGTTAAAAAAAAAAAAAAAAATTAGCTAGGCATGGTGGCACGAGCCTGTGGTCCCAGCTACTTGGGAGGCTGAGGTGGGAGGATTGCTTGAGCTCAGGAGGTTGAGGCTGCAGTGAGTCGTGATTTCACCACTGCGCTGCATTCTAGGTGACAGACTGAAGCCCTGTCTCAAAAAAAAAAAAATAATAAAACAGGCCAACCACAGTGGCTCACACCTGTAATACCAGCACTTTGGGAGGCCAAGTCGGGCAGATCAGTTGAGGTCAGGACCTCGAGACCAGCCTGGCCAACATGGTGAAACCCCATCTCTACTAAAAATACAAAAAAATTAGCTGGGTGTGGTGATGCGTGCCTGTAATCCCAGCTACCTGGGAGCTGAAGCAAGAGAATTGCTTGAACCCAGCATGTGGAGGTTGCAGTGAGCCAAGATCATGCCACTGCACTCCAGCCTGGGCGACAGAGTGAGACTCAGTCTCAAAAAATAAAGAAAGAAAGAAAACAAACAATGACAACAAAAAACAAGGCAACCCTACCATTAGTATTAGGGGGGAAGAAAAGGATGCCTTCCAAAGTTAATTTCCAACTTACCCGGGGCCCAGCTGTGAGGAGACCAGCAGCCATTCCTTCCTCTCCTGTGTTTTCCTCTTGGGGAAGGGCAGGGCCTGGGGAAGGCAGTACTAGAGAAAGAGAAAAAAACTAATAATGTTAAAAGCAGTTTATGAAGTCACCAGTTCTCACTGTGAAGAGGGGACATAGCAGGTATCAGGGCACGTGGGCTGAATCTGCAGACCTGTAGTGTGATGTAAATTTCTCCATTCCCTCCTACCTCAGAAATTCCATCAACTCACTCAGATGTAGGGAGGCATTAGAGTGTTCACAGACTCTCAAGTATCCATGATCCACCACTCAGCAGCAGTGTGCAAATCACGTAACCTCTCTAAGTCTCATTTTTCTCATCTGCAAAATGGGGATGATAAACCCTTGTAAGGGATAATCTGCTGTGAAGATTAAAGGAACATACAGATAAAGCAGTCGGCAAATGCCCAGCACATAAGTATACAGTTTAAAGAGATTATCTATTACTTAGTTCTTTGGAGAAAGTGACTCTGCAAATTTAAGGCATTTGCTTAAATGAAAAGAAGAGGGCTGGGCAGAGAGTCTCACTTCACACCATATATAAAAATTAACCCAAAATAGATCAGAGACCTAAAGTTAAGAAGTAACTCTTGGCTAGGTGCGGTGGCTTATGCCTGTAATCCCAGCAATTTGGGAGGCTGATGTGGGCAGACTGCTTGAGCCCAGGAGTTCGAGACCAGCCTGGGCAACATGGCGAGACCCCGTCTCTATTAAAAATACAAAAATTAGCCAGGCTTGGTAGCGCATACCCATAGCCCTAGCTACTTGGGGGACTGAGGTGGGAGGATCGCTTGAGCCAGGGAGGTCGAGGCTGCAGCAAGTTGTGATCACACCACTACACTGCAGCCTGGTTGACAGAGTGAGACACTATCTCAAAAAAAAAGAAAAAGGGGTAGAACTCTTAGAAGAAAACCATACATCTTTGAGAGGTTGGATTAGGCAATGATTTCTTAGATATGACACCAAAAGCACAAGCAGCAAAAGAGAAAATAGGTAAGTTGGATATCTTCAAAATTAAAAACTTTGTGCTCCAACAGGCTCTGTCAAGAAAGTGAAGAGGCTGAGTGAAAACGACTCACATCTATAATCACAGCACTTAGGGAGCCCAAGAGTTCGAGATCAGCCTGGGCAACATAATGAAACCCCATCTCTACTAAAAATACAAAAATTAGCCGTGGTGGCGCATGCCTGCAGGCCCAGCTACCTGGGAGGCTGAGGTGGAAAGATGGCTTGAGCCCAGGAGGCAGAGGTTGCAGTAACCTGAGATCACGCCATTACGCTCCAGCGTGGGCAACAAAGCAAGACTCTGCCTCAAAAAAAAAAAAAAAAAGAATTTAGTTATTGACTGGGTACAGTGGCTCACACCTCTAATCCCAGCACTTTGGGAGGCCGAAATGCTGGCGTAGCACATAATTTTCTGTGTGTATGTTTTGTGTTTTTTTTTTTTTTGAGACGGAGTTTCGCTTTTGTTGCCCAGACTAGAGTGCAATGGCACAATCTTGGCTCACTGCAACCTCCACCTCCCAGGTTCAAGCGATTCTCCTACCTCAGCCTCCCAAGTAGCTGGGATTACAGGCACGCACCACCACGCCCGGCTAACTTTTTTTTTTTTTTTTTTTAGTAGACGGGGTTTCACCACGTTGGCCAGGCTGGTCTCGAACTCCTGACCTCAAGTAATCTGCTTGCCTAGGCCTCCCAAAGTGCTGGGATTACAGGTGTGAGCCACTGTGCCTGGCCCTACTAAATTCTTAAATGGGCAAAAGATTTGAACAGATATTTCTCCAAGCAAGAGATACAAATAGCCACTCCCTACATGAAACTGAACATCATTAGTCATTGGGGAAAAGCAAATGAAAACCACAATGAGAGAACACATCACACCTACTAACATGACTATAATAAACAAGATGGAGAATAACAAGTGTTGATGAGGATGTAAGGAAACTGGAAACCTCATACACTGCTGAGAATAGAAAATGATGCCGCCACAGTGGAAAAAGTTCAGCAGTTCCTGTGAAAGTCAAAGAGGGTTGTATGACGCAGTAATTCCACTTCTAAGTATATGCCCAAGAGAAATCAAACATACACACACACAAAAATTCACTGAAGAATGGATACACAAAATGTGATCTCTCCATACAATGGAATATCATTCTACCACAAAAAGGGATGAAGTACTGACGCATGCTATAACCTGGATGAACCCTGAAAATGATGTGCTAAGCGAGACACAAAAGGTCACATATTGGCAGGTGGATTGCCTGAGGTCAGGCGTTCAAGACCAGCCTGGCCAACACAGTGAAACCCTGTGTCTACTAAAAATACAAAAAATTAGCTGGGTGTGGTGGCGGGTGCCTGTAATCCCAACTACTCGGGAGGCTGAGGCAGGAGAATCACTTGAACGCGGGAGGCGGAGGTTGCGGTGAGCTGAGATCGCACCATCGCACTCCAGCCTGGGCAACAAGAGCAAAACTCCGTCTCAAAAAAAAAAAAAAAAAAAGTCACATATTATGAGTCCACTTATTTGAAATGTCCTAGGCAAATCCATAGTGACAGAAAGCAGATTAGTGGTTGCCAGTGACTTGTGGAGAAATGAGGGACTGGGGAGTCACTGCTACAGGCTATGGGGTTTCTTCTTCAGATAACAAAAATGTTCTGGAATTAAATAGTGATGGTTGCAAGACTTTGTGAAAATACTAAAAACCACTGAATTGTTCACTTTAAAAGGGTGAATATTATGGTATGTGAATGATATCTGAATAAAATAAATAAATAGATCTGGATCCTGATCTTAGGACAGACCTTCTGTTACTGAGAGTTATCTAACCTGACAGCACTTCCTTTCCTGTTTTGCAGTATGGGGAAGATGACGACCCATCTGCTCTGCTTTCCCAGGTGTCTGGGGAAGATAACACAAAATACTGGATGTGAAATTGCACTCTCTACTCTTCAAGTGCAAGACCAAATATAAGGATCTCTTGGCCAGGAGCAGTGGCTCACGCCTGTAATCCCAGCACTTTGGGATGCCGAAGCCAGTGGATCACTTGAGGTCAGGAGTTTGAGGCCAGCTTGGCCAACATGGTGAAACCCCGTCTCTACTAAAAATACAAAAATTAGCTGGACTTGGTGTCGGGCACCTGTAGTCCCAGCTACTCAGGAGGCTGAGGCAGGAGAATCGCTTGAACCTGGGAGGCGGAGGTTGCAGTGAGCTGAGATTGCGCCACTGCACTCCAGCCTCGGCGACAGAGCGAGACTCTGTCTCAAAAACAAAACAAAACAAACAAAAAAAAACAAATACAAGGACCTCTTGATCTTGGGGACAGCACCAAATTCTGGATGTAAAATTGCACTTGTAGAGTAAAAGACCAAATACAGTTGATCTAGGGGTGAACAGCAGAGGTGTTGGTGGTTAAGACTTAAAAGAGGTTGCCTGCTTACACATTTGTTCTGTACCACATTCAGGGTGCTTTCAAAAGTGTTATTTCATTTGAGAATTACAATTCTCAGAGGTAAACAAAGTAGTTAACATTATTTTGTCCTTTCTTCCATGGAGAAATACAGGTTAAGAGACCTGGCTGGTACCTCACAGCTTTCACAAGAACCTGTGCCTTCTAACTGCAAATTCCCCTGTCCTCCACAACTTCACAATCCTACTGGGCTGGCCTGCCCCCAAACTTTCCCGGGCTTCCAGGCATTCCTGGCTGCTTCGAGAAGGGCTAGAAGGAGAAAAGTGACAGAGGAGTCCCCAGGAACCCACTTCTCCCTACTCTCCACTGTCATTGGTCCATCTGGGCAGACTGGGGTACGTGGTACAATACTCAGAAATCACGCAGTCTGAGGTCCTCAAACTTTTTTGACCCCCGAATTCTTTACTCAAAAAAGGACTGTAGGGGCACATGTTCTCAGGATCTCCTGGGGCTGTGTCATGGGCAAAGAAAGAAAAAATGATTGTCTCCAACTACCTGTAGGAGAGATAAAGAGAGTTCTGATTCGGCTCACACAGCGGCAGTCGTGGGCAAACGAAGCAGCAGCCGATCTCTTGACAATCGCTCCCTCTACCACTCCTCACCTCCTTCCTCCAGCATTTGAGTCCCGCCTCGCGCCACAGCCTCCCAGCAGTTCTCTGGGCGTAAGGGTCTATCTACAGCAGCCCCCACCCCGTTCTGCAGGGCTGCTCTGACGGCTCCCAGGCCGGACTCTTCCTCTCCAGCCTCTCCCCGCAGAGGCACGGTCTGATCCTGCGGTGCTGGGTCGCGGGAGCTGTCCGGGCCTGCCCAGCCGGGTGTTCCACTCCGTCTCCCGAGTCACAGCCACTCTTTGGCTCGGCCTCAAGCAGAACCCGGTGAAAAAGCCGCTGCCAGCTTTCCGAAAAACGACTGGCAACTGGCAACTGGCAACAATCTACCGGCAACCGCGAGAGCTCAAGAACCGCTGTCCAAGTACCGCCCAACGCCAGGTCCTGGCTCCAGCGCCAGAGGGACGCGCCTGATTGGCGCCACTTCCGGTCATGCGCACATGCCCCGCGGCGGCCACACCGGACTCCATTTCCCAGAAGTCGCCGCGGGGCTCTGTTTCTGGCCAAAGTCTTTTTCATTCCTGCAGCCCGGTTTATGATACACACACGCTCAGGGATTGTACTTCCCAGAGAGGCTTCCGCCTGTGCTTGCTCCCGGAATCTATTATCCATCGTGCTTTTTTGTTGCACACGTCTTTAAAGTCCACCAGAATCCAACGAAATGGAGCCTCGAGGAAAAGAAGAGATTTAGCCGCGAAGGATTCTGGGAATGCTGGGCTTACAGGGGCGCCGATCTTCGCTGGCGCTAGGCGCTTGGTTTCCTCTCCGCAGCTCTCTGCGCACGGTACGCCTGTCCCTCGTTGGCCTTCCACTCAGGGCAATCACCAGCCACTCTCAGGGTCCTCTTGAGCCGTACTAAAAGTTTGGGAAGACTAAAGGAAATCAGAAGTCCCTCAGTCTGAACAGGACAGCCGTGAGTGGGTGGCCTGGGACCCTCAAAGTATAAAAACCTATCGGCCGGCGGGAACTGCTTCAGTCATTTCAGGGGCAGTGTTTGATCAGCACTTCTGCGGGAGGAGATTCCTGAATCCTGTGTTCCTTAAGGGCTTCCCTGCTGCAGGCTGGGGATGTTTCAATGGACTTTCCCTCGAGCCCTTTGGAAATTACTTCTTAAGCAATTTTTCGATGATCAGCTCCTTTTTATAGGCATTTTGTCGTTAAGGGGAGGGGACTGGGTTACCCAGGAAATAAGTGAGTATGGGGATTCTAAGGCTCCTTTTCATTTTGTCTTGTCTCTTTCCCTTTCAATCACAGCCGGTGGCATTTTTGCCAGTGTAAGTTTCTTAATTTTGTGGGTCTTCCTATGAATCTTAATGGGATTGGCTCCATCGGAGAAGCCACACTCACAAATGTCTTTGAGCTAGCCCTTCTCTATATTGGGCAGCTGTAGTTTGGGGCTTACAGTTTTGTAAGAAGTCTGAAGTGGGTCTCACTGGGCTAAAATCAAGGTGTCGACAGTGCTGCATTCCTTCTGGAGGTTCCAGGGGAGAATCTTTTCTTGCCTTTTCCAACTTCCAGAGGCTGCCTGCATCCTTGACTCGCAGCCCCTTCTTCCAACTTCAAAGTAGCAACCTCAGCCAGAGTCCGTCCATTGCTGCCCTCTGTATGGTTCTCTCTCCTCCGCAGCCCTCTTCCACTTTTAAGGACCCTCATGGTTAACACTGGGCTCACCCAGCTAATTGAGGAGAATCGTTAAGGCCAGCTGATTAGCAACCTTAATTCCATTTGCAATTTTATTCCCTTTTGTCATGTAACCTAACATATTCAGAGGTTCCGGGGATTAGGACATGTATATCTTTGGGGGGTGGTATTCTGCTGACCACAGCAGGATTAGAAAACCAGATGGAAGTGAATGGATACCGGGAATCTAGGATCCAGCTGGCTGTCAGGCTGGCAGAGGTATCCCAGACCTGTCAGCTCTCAGGAAAGCTGCATCCAGAGTGCTTTTTGGATCACTGGGGGATACCTGGCCTCACTCTAGACTCACTGCCGTGGTCGTTTCAGAATTGAATCCGTGATCAGGAAATGTTCCCAGTGTTGCTAATGTACTCCTCCCACACTTGAGAGTCCTGAATCCCATCTCCTGAGAAGAGGCGTTGGGCTCAAGTGGCTAGAGAGAAGTTTCTTGTCAGAGAAATCTTGCTACCTTGAGGAGAGGAAGCATAACTAGACTGGGATGGATAGGACACTTAGGGAAGAGGAAGTGTTTCATATCCCTGGGACCAGGAGGCCAGAATGAGGCAAACTTGCCCCTCTGTCTGGCCTCCTGTGTTGAGGAGGCCTGAGGTGGCAGAAGGAAGATGGGAGAAGGGCCCCCAAGAAAGCTCTGGCCAGCCTCAGGCTGTCCCCACCCCGCTGATATAGCGTATGTGGAGATAAGGGAGCACCCAGGAGCAAGTGTCACCCCTCCCCTTCCAACAGCAGCCAAAAGGGTCATGACCCTGGCTGCCCTAACTTGGCCCTTGTGTGTCCTGAAGCACAGACACACTGCTTAGAAAGATCATCCTGGTCGCAGTGGCTCACGCCTGTAATCACAGCACTTTGGGAGGCCGAGGTGGACAGATCACGAGGTCAGGAGTTCAAGACCAGCCTGACCAACATGGTGAAGCCCCGCCTCCACTAAAAATACAAAAATTAGCTGGGCGGGGTGGCACGCACCTGTAATCCCAGCTACTCAGGGAGCTGGAGCAGGAGAATCACTTGAACCCGGAGGCAAAGGTCGCAGTGAGCCGAGATCGCACCACTGTATTCCAGCCTGGGCGACAAAGCAAGACTCCATCTCAAAAAAAAAAAAAAGAGATTCTCCTTTGTCTTGCCTCTCAGCTGTCATAAGCAATCAGTGTCCTGTCCCCTTAATAATGTGGTGGTTCTCAAAGTGGGATCCCCAGGCCAGCAGCAGCAGCATCCCCCTTAAAAGTTGTTAGAAAAGCAAATTCAGGGGTCCCACTCCACACCTATAAAACAAATTCTGGGGTCAGGGCTTAGCAGCCTTTGTTTTGACAATCCTTGTAGTTGATACGCTATAAAGTTTGAAAATCACTGACTCAGAGGAAATGGCTTTGTGGAGAAAATGAGCCAAGGCCGGGTGTGGTGGCTCACGCCTGTAATTCCAGCACTTTGGAATGCTGAGGCAGGTGCATCACCTGAGGTCAGGAGTTTGAGACCAGCCTGGCCAACATGGTGAAACCCCGTCTCGACTAAAAATTAAAAAAATAGCTGGGCATGGTGGCACACACCTGTAATCCCAGCTACTCAGGAGGCTGAGGTGGGACAATCACTTGAACCCAGGAGGTGGAGGTTGCAGTGAGCTGAGAGCTCACTGGGAGACAAAGTGAGACTCCGTCTCAAAAAAACAAAAAAACAAAAAAAAAAAGAAAGAAAATAAACGAGCCATAGGAAAGGCCACAAGACAGCTACTTACTTCCACAAGCACATGCTGCGGCTCCCTGCCTCTCCTTTTGCTCAGAGCCACACTGGCTCTTAATGGCTTCAGAGGTCACACCAGCCTCCGTCCTGCCACACAACCTTTGCACTTGCGGGGCCATGACCAGCAGCACTCAACACAGCTGGCCGCTTCTCATGCATGATGTCTGAGCGTACGTCTCAGGAGGGGCCCTCACTTAGTACCCTGTACAGTAACAGCCCTTGCTGCTCCCATGGTGACTTTTTATTTCCTTTTAGCATTTTCCACTGTTGAATAAGTTCACATAGATTGGGTTTACTTTTTTTTTTTTCTTAATTTAGACACAGTGTCTTGCTCTGTCACCCAGGCTGGAGTGCAGTGGCACACCACTCATATAGCTCACTGCAACCTTGGACTTCTGAGCTTAAGCAGTCCTCCCACCTCAGCCTTCTGAGTAGCTGGGATTCCAGGTCTGCACCACCACACCTGGCTAATTTTATTATTTATTTATTTATTTATTTTTTAGACAGAGTTTCGCTCTTGTTGCCCAGGCTGGAGCACAATGGCACGATCTTGGCTCGCCACAACCTCCGCCTCCTGGGTTCAAGCGATTCTCCTGCCTCATCCTCCCAAGTAGCTGGGATTACAGGCATGCGCCACCATGCCAGGCTAATTTTTTGTACTTTTAGTAGAGACAGAGTTTCTCCATGTTGGTCAGGCTGGTCTTGAACTCCCGACCTCAGGTCATCGGCCCGCCTTGGCCTCCCAAAATGCTGGGATTACAGGCATAAACTACTGTACCTGGCCTATACATACACACACACACACACACACACATATGTGTATATATAGATATATATGTGTATATATGTATATATATGTGTGTGTGTGTGTGTGTGTATATATATATATATATTTTTTTTTTTTTTTGAGATGGAGTCTCACTCTGATGCCTAGGCTGGAGTGCAGTGGCGGGATCTCGGCTCACTGCAATCTCCGCCTCCCGGGTTCAAGCGATTTTCCTGTCTCAGCCTCCCAAGTAGCTGGGATTACAGACACGCACCACCATACCCGGCTAGTTTTTGTATTTTTAGTAGAGACGGGGTTTTACCATGTTGGCTAGGCTGGTCTCGAACTCCTGACCTCAGGTGATCTGCCCACCTCGGCCTCCCAAAGTGCTGGGATTATAGGCGTGAGCCACCACGCCAGGCCAGACCTGGCTAATTAAAAAAAAAAAAATACTCCCAAAGCACTGGGCTGACAGGTGTGACCTGTTTAATTCTTTTGTTTGTTTCTTTACTTCTTATTGTCTGCCTCTCTTCAGAAGCTAATTCCCATTAGAGCAGGTGCTGTATTCTTTGCCACCACCATATCACCAGTGTCTACAACTGCCTGACACACAGTAGGTAGTCAGATGCTGAAAGAGTGAATGAATGATGTTCCCCCAGGGCAGGCACGGGTTCTCCAAGTGCCTGTTTCAACACTCCTCCCATGCCACCACCCCTAGACCCAAGCTTGGCATTCCTTTTTTCCTGAGTGATCAGGAAGGCACAGCCACTGTCCCCGGCCTAGTGTGTGATGTCTGTAGCTAAGAAAAAGGCTCCGTCCTTGCCTCAGCTCTGAGGGGTGGGGCCTCAGAGATAAGGAGGACCCTACCCTTGTGTTGCTGGCCCTTCTTTTCAGCATGTCAGACGAATTTGTAATTTCAACCCCAGCCTTTCCCTGCCCCAGCCATAGTTGCTAAGGCAACAATTGGGCCTCAATTTCCTGATGACCAGAGTCCACCAATGGCTGCCATCATCCTGTTATCTCCTGGTCAGCTATTTGTGGCACCATCTCAGCAGTGCCCCAGTCCGGCCAACGCAGAGGAAGTCACCAAGGAGGCTGGGAGGAGGAGCCTCAAGTTTTGCAGAAACTATACACGGCATCTGCTGTGTCACACCTCATATGTGCTGTTCCCTTCCTTTGGGTGCCTCTCTTGTCTCCTGGCCTGCTCTTCTGTCATCAAGGCTGGGCTCGAAGCCTTCTCTGGGAAGCCCTATGCGCATAACGATCCCTTCTGTGCAAGCCTGCAGAGCCTTTCCTGTCTCACTGCTCAGTGACTGACCTGCCCTAAGTCCTTTTCTCCTAGATTTGCTCCCCAAAGACCAAGGAGGGTCTGGGTCATTTCATCTGGTGTCAAGCAAGGTGTGCCTCGGTCTCCCAGTGAGAGACCGTGCATAGCAGGTGTTCCAACAGTGGGACTTCTGACACATCGACAATCCTAATGACCCAGGGACTGAGACCGATCATCTTGTGGGTGGTCAGGACAGCAGGACTGAAGCGGTGACTTAGTTACAGCAGAGGAAGCCAGGCCAGACCCTACCGGGTGTCCCCCCTAACACAGGGTCCCATGTGAGGTTGCAGCTCCCATGCCACCACCCCCAGTGTCCTTGAGGGCGAGTTGGGTTGCCCTTCTGGAGGCCATTAGTGCTTGTCACAGCAGCGTGTTGGGAGATGGAGTCTGAGGGCCGTGATCTGTGCTCCCTCTGGGAGTGTGGTCTGGAAGGGACAGAGGAAAGAGGAGCAGAAGGAGCCAGAAACCAAGCAGGCGCGGTGGCTCATGTCTGGAATCCCAGCACTTTGGGAGGCCGAGACAGGCGGATCACCTGAGGTCAGGAGTTTGAGACGAGCCTGGCCAACATGGTGAAACCCGTCTCTACTAAAAATACAAAAAATTAGCTGGGCGTTGTGGTGCACGCCTGTAATCCCAGCTACTCAGTTGGCTGAGGTAGGAGAATCGCTTGAACCATGGAAGCGGACATTGCAGTGAGCCGAGATCACGCCACTACACTCCAGCCTGGGCGACAGAGTGATACTCTGTCTCAAAAACAATCAAACAAACAAAAGAAACCAAGCAGAAGCAGGTTTCAACCCCTTCGGCTGATCCTGCCTTGTCCAGCAGGCTGAATGAGCTTTGGAGTCATAATCAATCACTTTCACTCTGTTGGGGACCAGAGGCAGTGTCATCCTGCCCAGGCCACAAGGCAGCGGCAGAGAGCGTCACACCTCAGCTGGTGCGATTCTGCGTGCAGCCCCAGGCTCAGTAGGTGCCAACCCCAATGGCCACTACAGGGTTGCTGGCTTAGCCCTGGGATCCCGCACACGCCCACCGTGAGGTAGCCTAGTGTGTCTTGCTCCAGCTGATGCACTTCCACCCCTGGTCCCCGGGGGGCATCAGGGACAAGTCTCTCTGGTTTGCAGAAGCCAAGTTACTCTGGGGCAGGAGCTGGGATGGTGTAAGGGGGTAGTGGGCGTCCGTGGGCCGTGCAGATTTCGGCCCTGGGCTGGGTAAAGCAAGCTTATGCTGCACCTGTCCCCTGGGGCTGTTCTATCCAGTGCTCCTCTCCATAATCCTTTACTGATGGCGCCAGGCTGGGCTTCTGGGGCCCCTACAGGATGGTCAATGGGGGCTGGCTCTGGGTCCGCGAAGCATTCTGTGCTCTGATGGGAAGACTTAAAGGGAAACAAAGGGACCTCTGAAGAGTATGAATCACATTATTGGCACGGGTAAGTGGGTACTGGTAGCAACAGCAGGTGGTGTGGGTGGGGGTTGCCAAGAGGGCGAGGTAGGAAATAGAATATAAGGAGAAAAATGATTGAAGATCTCAAATGTCCCTTTATGAACCCCCCCCAGGGCCTCCCACCCGCCTAGCACAGCTCCCCACCTTCACCACGCCCCCTGCCCCACCCTCACTCGCACCAGTAACAACAGCGACCATTGCCGGAGCACTCACTCTGTCCCGTCCCCAGGTTCAGGTGCTTTACATAATTCTTGCCTTTCATCCTCACAACTCCATGAGGGAGGTAGTGCCATGACGCCCATTTGACAGATGAAGAAACAGGCCGAGAGGGGTCAGGTGACTTGTCCACATCACATAGGCAGGGAGTGGAACAACCAGAGTTGGAACTAAGCACACTCTTACCCTCCATGCAGACTCCAGCAGAGAGCAAAGGAGAGAGGCTGAGGAAGAGTTTGAAGCCACAGTGACATGTTCCTTGCCCACATGTTTACCATCTATCTTGTAGCCTGGGGGCTGACACATCATCCTGCCTTCCCTCTTTTTTTTACAAGCCCTGCTTTGCAGAGGCTGGAGAACAGCCAAGCCAGAGCTGGGAGCAGCCTCTGGCCTGAAGCCCCAGTTGGAGAACTCATCCAGGACAAAGACCAGTCTTCTGCGAGGTGGATGAGAGTGGGTGTCCCGAGCAGAGGCTGTAGTTTAGGGAGGTTAGGCTGCTTGCTCAAGCCCTGTGTGGCCTGAGGTATCAAGCAAAACAGCTGTCCCAGTCATTAGACACCTAATGTGTGCATGAACCTGTCTCGGGTCCTCTTCCTTGGTCCATGGTGTGGACTCCCTGATAACTGATTTGGAGATGAGGGAATAGGTCCCTTTCAGACACAGCCCATGTGTAACCTTCTGGGGTGTAATAGCTTTGACAATGTACACCCCTTGGCCAGCAATGACACCTCTAATGCTCTAATGTTCCCTCCTATGGAAGTTTCTGTTCAGTTAGGCACAGGTTTCTTTTTTTTTTTTTTTTTTTTTTTGTTTGAGACAGAGTCTTGCTCTGTCAACAGGATGGAGTGCAATGGTGTGATCTTGGCTCACTGCAATCTCCACCTCCCTGGTTCAAGTGATTCTCCTACCTCAGCCTCCCCAGTAGCTGGGATTACAGCCACGCACCACCACTCCCAGCTAATTTTTTGTTTTTTGTAGAGACAGGGTTTCACCATGTTGGCCAGGATGGTCTCAATCTCTTGACTTCGTGATCTGCCTGCCTCGGCCTCCCAAAGTGCTGGGATTACAGGCATGAGCCACCACGCCCGGCTGGCACAGGTCTATCTCTAGTTCTACCATCTCTATCTCCAACTCCATCATCTCCCTTTTCCCCACCATCACCATCACCTCTGTCTCCATCTCCATCACTCATCTCCATCATCTCTCTTCTGTGCCATTGCTCTCCCCTCTCTCCTCTTTGATGCTGCTATTGTCTCTCTCATCTCCCTCTAAATTTATATCTATATAATAGCAAAATTAGCAATAAGCAGAAAACTGGAAACAACGTAAATGTGGAGCAATTGGAGTTAAGTTCTGATGTATTTAATATGGGGTTGACTTCAGTTCTGATATATTTATATGATGAAATAACCCTACATTCAACATATTTGAGTACCTGTCTTTGCCAGGCACCACGACTCCAAAGGCAAACAATACTAAGTAATTATTAAAATGATGCAAAAAGTTTAGTTCAGGATGGTGAATTAAACTTACACATTTACCTCCTTTTCTCCTTTGCCAAATCCCACTGAAATGACATTGGAGATGTACAGAAATGAACACATCCATAACAGAGCATAGAATAGGTAGAGAGGTGGGGGAGGGGGAAGGCTTATACCAGCTACTGCAGTTAAGCTGCCTAGTTCTTTATTCCTAAATATGGACAACCAAAGCTCACCAGATATTTGAGATAAACCAGCAGCATAAAAGAGATGGCCCAACATAAACAAGCAGATCAACTGATCCCAGAGGAAGTCAGAGAACAGAAGACAACTTTGAAAAAGCGTGTAAGTAGCTATATTCCTCACAGTGAATGCCAGGTTTGGTGTGGTGGAGGATGTGAGCAGCTGGAACTCCCCTACACTGCTGGTGGGAATGCAAAATGGTGCAGCCACTTTGGAAAACAGTTTGGCAGCTTCTTAAACATAAGACATGACCCAGCGAGTCCACTCCACAGAAAGACTTGTATGTAACTGTTTATAGTGGCTTTATTCATATAGCCCCAAGTTGGAAATAGCTGCACTACCATGCTGTTACGTAGGCTGAAAGAGGTTTCCTCACTACACTAGGGTCCTCCATCATTAATGCTTCTTTAATAAAAACTCTTCTCAAGGCTGCTTTACTTCCAAAGGAAGCTGGAGTCATTCACTGCAAAGGCCATCAAAAGGCCCCACACTCCATTGCTCAAGGCAACAATTATGCTGATAAGACAGAAAAAGCAGCAGCCACTATTCCTACTTCTGTCCCTCATGGCCAGTTTTTCTCCTCATCAGTCACGCCTACTTACTCTCGCACTGAAGTTTCCACCTATCAATCCCTCCCCACTGAAGGCAAATGGTTCTTAGACCAAGGAAATACCTCCTTTCACCCTCACAGGCTCATTCCATTCTGTCATCTTTTCGTAACCTCTTCCATGTAGGTTACAAGCCACTAGCCAGCCTCATAGAACCTCTCATTTCCTTTAAGACATTTACCCTGCATTTCACTCCATCCTTGGCTACCTTCCCCCTGTAAGCCAGAGCGGGTGTGAGGAGGGGAGATGATAGAAGGATTATAGGGTTGGGGAGCGGAGGCTGAGGAAGAATTGGGACGTGGCTCAGCCTGGCGAGGAGCAGCCTGGGGAGGAAGGAAGAGGTCAGATGGGTCCGTAGAAAAGGAGGATTCAAAGGACTTAGAGCTTGGGGTGGAGACTGAAGGAACAGACAGGAGAGAAGAAATATTTAGGACGAGTCACATTGGGAGCAGAGACTAGGGAGGGACAAATGTGTAAAAGAATGCCTGGATGTCAGGCACCTCAGACTATGCCCATTTTATGACAAAAATTATCTAGATCTTGTAGGATGGAGAAATTGAAAGCACTGTTTTCTGGCTATTTAGAACCATTATCAAGGTTTGTATTGGAGCCAAATGGTGTTGCAGAAGAAAATAAGACACTTAGGTTTTAGGTCAGGCGAAAGTTGAAGAGGTTTTACGTTTTTGAGAACACAGGTTAAGGGAGAAGAAGGGGGAATAGAGGGTGGAAGGTTGCCCATAGTGAAGGAGGCAAGCCCAGAGAAAAGAGAGGGTAGAGACACAGAGGTGGGGGCGGGCACTTGCCACCCAGGGGAGGTGGTACTTGCCACCCCGGTGGGGGGGGGGGTGGTACTTGCCACCAAGGTGAAGGATCAAGGCAGGCGTCCCCATGGTAATCAGACACCTCTAGAATGTGGGTGAATGATCAGGCAGGCATCCCCGCAGTGATTAAACACCAAGGGAAGACTTGTCTTCCCAAGTCCATGACGGGCGCCGGCATTTTTGGTTCACAGATAAAACGTGTCTCGGGCCGGGCGCGGTGGCTCACGCCTGTAATCCCAGCACTTTGGGAGGCCGAGGCAGGTGGATCATGAGGTCAGGAGATCGAGACCATCCTGGCTAACACAGTGAAACCCCGTCTCTACTAAAAATACAAAAAAAAAAATTAGCCGGACATGGTGGCGGGCGCCTGTAGTCCCAGCTACTCGGGAGGCTGAGGCAGGAGAATGGCGGGAACCCAGGAGGTGGAGCTTGCAGTGAGCCAAGATGGCACCACTGCACTCCAGCCTGGGTGACAGAGCAAAACTCTCTCAAAAAAAAAAAAAAAAAAAAAAAAAGCGTCTCCTCTGTTTCTACTGGAAAAGGAAAGGAACTGAAATTAAGGGAAGGGAGAGACTGAAGGGTGGCGCCGAAATTGAAAGGAGAAAGAGGTTGAGGGATAATGAGAGAGGTTGGAGAAGAGTAAAAAGAGGCCGCTTACCCGATTTAAAATTGGTGAGGTGTTTCTTGGTCTGGTCTGAGGACCCGAGCTTGTGGGTGGATTTTTCTCATGGAGCAAAGAGCAGGAGGACAGGGGATTGATCTCCCAAGGGAGGTCCCCCGATCCGAGTCACGGCACCAAATGTCATGCGTGTCCGTGTGAAGAGACCACCAACAGGCTTTGTGTGAGCAATAAAGCTTTTTAATCACCTGGGTGCAGGCAGGCTGAGTCCATAAAAGGAGTCAGCAAAGGGAGATGGGGTGGGGCACTTTTATGGGATTTGGGTGGGCAGTGGAAAATTATAGTCAAAGGGGGTCGTTCTCTTACGGGCAGGGGTAGGGGTCACAAGGTGCTCAGTGAAGGAACTTCTGAGCCAGGAGAAGGAATTTCACAAGGTAATGTCATCAGTTAAGGCAGAAACTGGCCATTTTTCACTTCTTTTGTGATTCTTCAGGCTATCTGGATGTATACGTGCAGGCTTGGGCTCAGAGGCCTGACAGTTACATGACTGTATACATTTGTCATAAGTCATTAAATTTTATACTTACAATTATTGAATTTTACTTAAGTAAATAATGCCTCAATCAAAGCTGGTTTTTTTTGTTTTTTGTTTCTTTTGGAGACAGAGTCATGCTCTGTCACCCAGGCTGGAGTACAGTGGTGTGATCTCAGCTCACTACAACCTCCTCCTTCCAGGTTCAAGCAATTCTCCTGCCTCAGCCTCCCAAATAGCTGGAATTAGAGGCATGCACCACCACGCCTGGCTAATTTTTGTATTTTTAGTAGAGACAAGGATTTGCCATGTTGGCCAGGCTGGTCTCGAACTCCTGACCTCAAATGATCCGCCCACGTTGGCCTCCCAAAGTGTTGGGATTTCAGGTGTGAGCCACTGTGCCCAGCCTAAAGCTGATATTTAAAAAGTGAAAATATGTATCCTTAGAGAAATTCAAACAGGCAAGCCATTAAAAAGAAGAGCACAGGATGCTACGAAAAAGGCACAGGTTTAGAAGACACCAAGGAAACCAGGAAAATTAAAAAAATAATAATAAATAAAATAAAAAGGCACAGGGAATAAGACAATATTAGAAATTACTGCCAAAACAGAGTGGCGATTTTCATGTCAGACAGGGTCAGACCTCAGAACAAGGGGCAGTACCAGGGATAAAGAGGACCATTTCCTAAAGATAAAGGATGGAGCAGTCAGGAGAACGGTACAATCCTAAATGCACAGGTGCCTAAGAGCAGAGCTCCAAAGTGCCAGACAAAGGCCAACGAACTACAGAGCTGGACAATACACATGCAGAGGTGAGATTCCAACACCCTCTCTCAGTAATCGACAGAATCAGTGGACAGAAAACCTGGATTTAGAAGACATGATAGTTAATTTTATGTGTCAACCTGACAGGTCAAATATTATTCTGTAAAGGTGTTTTGGATGAAATTAACATTTGAATCAGTAGACTGAGTGAAGCGGATTGCCCCCCTCAATGTAGGTGAGCCTCATCCAATCCATGAAGGCCTGAGTAGAACGAAAGTAAGGGGAAACGCTTCCTGACTCTCTTGAGTGGGGATGACTGACAGTCTTTTCCTGCCTTCAGACTTGAACTGCAATATTGGTTCTTCCTGTATCTCCAGCCTGCTGGCCTTTGGATTGGAACTGCACCATCAGCTCTCCTGGGCCTCCAGCTGCTAACTCACCCTGCAGATCTTGTGACCTCAGCCTTCATAATCATGTGAACTGATTTCTTCTCTTTTTTTTTTTTTTTTTTTTTTTGAGACGGAGTCTCTGTTGCCCAGGCTGGAGTGCAGTGGTGCGATCTCGGCTCACTGCAGCCTCTGCCTCCCAGGTTCAAGTAATTCTCCTGCCTCCCAAGTGGCTGGGATTACAGGAGTATGCCACCATGCCCAGCTAATTTTTTTGTATTTTTAGTAGAGACAGGGTTTCATCATGTTGGCCATGCTGGTCTCGAACTCCTGACCTCAAGTGGTCTGCCTGCCTTGGCCTCCCAAAGTGCTGGGGTTACAGGCGTGAGCCACCGTGCTTGGCCATCATGTGAACTGATTTCTTATTTCTCTCTCTATGTATCTCTCTCTACATACACATACATCCCCCCCCCACACACACACACACCATTAGTTTAATCTCTGGAGAACCCTGATTAATACAGAAGACATGAAGCAGACTATTAAACAACTTGACCTAAGTGACATTTATAGAACACTCCGCCCAGCAACAGCACAGTACATATTCTTTTCAATTGCACATGGAACATTCACCAAGATAGGTCTCAATACATTTAAAAGGATCAAAATTATGTTAAACATGATTAACAAAACAGAACATTTTGTAGAAGAGCTAGAGGATTAAGTAAAAAAAAAATTCCTAGAATACGAAGACACTAAAAGAGTATATAAGTGAAAAATTGAGGGAGGATACTGTGCCAGGAAGTACAGTGTCTACTAGAAGTTTCAGAAAGAGGAAACAGAGAAAATCAGGGGCTGGGATGTGAGAATGAAGAAGTAAAAGAAGAACAAGTTCCCAGAAGAAAGTATCGAGATTCAAAATCTCATGGTATCAGAGGCGTTTGAACCAGAGCAACTTCATCTTGAGTAGGGGCGGGGTAAAATGAGGCTGAGACCTACTGGGCTGCACTGCCAATGCCAATGGTGAAGGCATTCTAAGTAATAGGATGAGATAGGAGGTCATCACAAGATACAGGTTGTAAAGACCTTGCTGATAAAACAGGTTGCGGTAAAGAAGGCAGCCCAAAACCCACCAAAACCAAGATGGCAACCAGAGTGATCTTGGTCGTCCTCACTGCCACACTCCTGCCAGCGCCATGACAGGTTACAGATGCCATGGCAATGCCAGGAAGTTACTTAATATGGTCTAAAAAAGGGTGGCATGAATAATCCGCCTCTTGTTTAGCATATAATCAAGAAATAACCATAAAAATGGGCAACCAGCAGCGCTCGGGGCTGCTCTATGGAGCAGCTTTTCTTTAGTCCTTTACTTTGCTAATAAACTTGCTTTCACTTTACTGTATGGACTCGCCCTGTCTCTACAAAAAAGAAAGAAAAAAAAAGTGACAGTAAAATAAAGGCTTTTTAGGCATGCAGAAACTCGCTCCCTCTGTACCTGTCCTGAAAAAATGACTGATATCAGACATGGTAGCCCTGTGAAGGTGTAGCCCTGCAAATTGAAATGGAATCCAAGAGGCCGGGCGCGGTGGTTCATGCCTGTAATCCCAGCACTTTGGGAGGCTGAGGTGGGCGGATCACTTGAGGTCAAGAGTTCAAGACCAGCCTGGCCAACATGGTGAAACCCCGTCTCTACTAAAAATACAAGAAGTTAGCCTGGCATGGTGGCGGGTGCCTGTAATGCCAGCTACTCGGGAGGCTGAGGCAGGAGAATCACTTGAACCCAGGAGGCGGAGGTTGCAGTGAGCCGAGATCGAGCCATTGCACTCCAGCCTGGGGAACAAGAGCGAAACCCCGTCTCAAAAAAAAAAAAAAAAAGAAAGAAAAAAGAAATGGAATCCAAGGAGCAAGGTGTGGAACCCAAGAAGCAGAGAAATTAACCCAGGAATCAATGAAACGAAAACAGCTTTGCCGCAGGTCCCCCAAAACAAGAGGTCAGAAGGAGAAAAAAATGGATTCCATGCAACAGCTAGCATTATTACAAAGGGGAAAGACCTCAGTCATATGGTGAAGAAAATGACACGTTTCTTAAGAAGGAAAAACAACAACAACAAAACTCCAGGTAAAAAAGAAATCTAATATTATCATGTCCTAAATAAGGTACAAACTCAAATCTGGCATTATTTTAATTAACTGATGTAGTATAAGAGAAAATCCATTTTATATTGCTGCTTAGAATATTCCTTTTTGAGTAACACAGGCTGACTGACATAGGATTATGTCTTTAAGTCCATTTCATTAGGTTTACAGTAACGATGTTTATATAACCATAATGTTGTGAATACTTCCTCCCCGAACTCATAAGCTCTGGGTTTTATATATTACTAACCTAAAGCCATGTATCAGTGGCTTTGCTTGAGCAAAGGATCATTTGGACCCAGAAAGCTTATTTTCAAGGCAGCTTTCAAAAAGTCAAGTGGCAGGGCAGCACTGTTCACATTTTGATGTGCACCTCCCCATCATCTCCCCTCACCTCCCCCCACCTCCCCATCATCTCCCCATCACCTACCCCCACCTCACTATCATCTCCCCCCACCTCCCCATCATCTCCCCTACCTCCCCATCACCTCCCACCTCCCCATCACCTCCCCCACTTCCCCATCACCTCTCCCACCTCCCCATCACCTCCCCCACCCCATCAGCTCCCCCCACATGACCTCCCCCACCTCATCATCTCCCCCCACCTCCCCATCGTCTACCCCACCTCTCCATCATCTCCCCCCACCTCCCCATCATCTCCCCCACCTCTCCATCATCTCCCCCCACCTCCCCATCATCTTCCTCCACCTCCCCATCATCTCCCCATCGTCTCCCCCACCTCCCTATCGTCTCCCCCACCTCCCCATCATCTCCCCCTACCTCCCCATCGTCTCCCCCACCTCCTCATCATCTCCCCCATCTCCCCATCATCTCCCCCGACCTCCCCATCTTTTTCCCCACCTCCCTATCATCTCCCCCCGCCTCCCCATCGTCTCCCCCCCACCTCCCCATCGTCTCCCCCCCACCTCCCCATCGTCTCCCCCACCTCCCCATCATCTCCCCCTACCTCCCCATCTCCCCCACCTCATCATCTCCCCGTCATCTCTCCCTACCTCCCCATCATCTCCCCCACCTCATCATCTCCCCATCATCTCCCCCACCTCCCCATCATCTCCCCCCACCTCCCCATCGTCTCCCCCACCTCCCCATCTCCCCCACCTCCCCATCATCTCCCCCAACCTCCCTATCTCTCCTACATGCTTGCTTTGGCCCATGTTAAGCTTCAGTCTGAAGCTCCAGTCGGTGGCAAGAGGGCAGCCAGAGCCCCACATCCATAACCTCCAGGCACAAAGCTGGTGGAAAGAGAATATATCTCTAATGATTTTTATTTTATGTATGTATGTATTTTTGAGACAGAGTCTCACTCTGTCCCCCAGGCTGGAGTGCAGTGGCACGATCTTGGCTCACTGCAACCTCTGCCTCCTGGGTTCAAGGGATTCTCTCACCTCAGCCTCAGCGAATTCTCTTGCCTCAGCCTCCTGAGTAGCTGGGATTACAGGCATGTGCCACCACGCCCGGCTAATTTTCTATTTTTAGCAGAGACGAGGGTTTCACCATGTTAGTCAGGCTGGTCTTGAACTCCTGACTCCACACGCCTTGGCCTCCCAAAGTGTTGGGATTACAGGCGTGAGCCACCGTGCCCTGTTCCCTTTTGTATTTTACTTTTATTGTTAAATGGTTTACAAAAGCACATACAATTTTATACCAGTCTGGAAAAAAAAGTGCTTGATAAATTGCTACTATTGCTTCATTGAGATGCAAAAAGCAATATGGTTCTCACCCGATTAGTGGACTGCCACGCAAGCACTGGTAATGCGGATGCCGAGGTGCGTGCAGCCTCGAATTTCTGGGCTCAAGAGATCCTCCTGCCTCAGCCTCCCAAAGCACTGGGATTAAAGGTGTGAGCCACCGTGCCTGGCAGAACAAAATCCCAACAGAGATGTTATCTCTGGAAAGGGGTGGCTGTAAATAGTTTTATCATTGTTTATCCAAATAAATGAGTTAATATTTGTAAAGTGCTTAGGACAGTGCATAGCAGCTGGTTAACAGCTATAAAAATGATATTAAATCTTTTTTAATTTCCCTACAATGAACACATATTAGCTAATTAATAATAAAATTATAAAAGACTTCTGGCTCCATTAAAGTCAACAGAACAAAAGGTGTTTTTTTTTGTTTTGTTTTGTTTTTTTTTGCTGTTTATTTTTTAAACTCAACAAGATTTGATGGCTGATGACCCAGGGAACTGAGCCCAAGGAAGTAGCCAGAAATGACTTCTCAGTGTGAAGGGTAAGCTTGGCTGACCATGAGCAAGTAAAGCCACAGGGTGTCCTGGGCAGTGATGGGAATAAACCCTTTTCAAACTGAGCTTGCACAAAGCCCAGAGACACTGACCTGATTTTCTGTGTCAGTCTTTATTTGGCAAACAAATTTCCTTCCCGATAAGGCAGCCGCGTGAGAGGAGCGACTGAATGCCCAGCACCCAACCTCCAAAAGCACCTCCAGCCAGAAGACAAAGATCCTAGAGGCCCACCTCCTCTTCCGCTGCTTTAGTCTTGCGCATGGAGGGCTGACCGCAGGTCTGCAAAGCTCGAAGGTGTTCCTGAGTCCTCAGAGCAGCAGCAGGAGCTGGAACAGGAGGCAGTGAGCCTCCTAGCCCCGGGTCATGGGCTGGAGGGAGCATGACAGGAAGGAGGGACCCTGCAGACCAAGGCTCCAAGGGGCTGGATTCTGGCTCCCCTGGGGCAGGCAGGGGCTCTGGGCTTGGGCCCAGCTTGGAGTCACAGGCTTGCTCCATCCCCTAGTGAGTGGCTGTCATCGCCCCTCAAAATGGGCTGTGATTTGTTCCAGAGTCTTTCCTTTAGTTTCAGGGACACAGAACAAAGTGAAAAGGACACTGAAGATGCAGAAAGCGGAGGCAAGCCAGAAGGCTCCATAGGGCCTGAGGACCTCCTGCAGAGAGAGGAAAGGCCATGGGTGGACGCGGGGAGAGATCAGGAAGCCCCACGCGATCACTGAGACAGCTCTGCCACCAGGGGGTCCAGTCCCCTGACCCCAGCCTGCCCTGCCCAAGGCCACACCCATTTTATCTCCACCCAGCTCTGGGACATGGAGGATAGTCTGGCATCCAGTCTGGTGGCTTGGGCCGAGCACTGTCCAAGATACCGAGGTCGTATGGCTGGGGAAACTGAGGCTCACAGCAATGAAGTGACTGCCTCAAGGCCAGAGACCCGCTATCCAGTGACAGCTGGGCTCCTGTTCCAGGTCTGACTCCAGGGCCCACAGACCAACCCTCCACCCTCAGCTTTGGCCCCACCCTGAGGCCCCCGGTGGGTTCTTTCATAGTGTGGTGGAAATGGGTGAGACAGGGCAAAGCGAGCATGGCCCCAGGAGCACATGGGGCCTTCAGTCAGAACCTGTCCCTGCCATCCACCACCACTGTGACCTCCCACGTGCCAGAACTAAAAAGGTGCTTCTCAGCTCCTGGTCCTCTGGGACCTGGCGATCTCTCCCTCCTCGAAGGCCTTCTCTTGGCCTCTTGGACATTTTCTCTCCTAAAAAAGGACTGTTAGGTCCTTTGTCACCTCCTTCTTGGCTTCTTTTCCTCCTTCCTTTGCTGCGCATCCCCTCCCAGCTGCAGCAAGTAATCTCCACCCCCAGGCATCGGCCTGGCCCCCTCGATGTGCTCCCCGGGCAGTCCTGCCTAAGCGGGTCCCAAGCTCTGCACAGACTCCAGGCTGGCCCCTCATGACCCGCCCCACCACATCCTAACCCAGCCCCACTGGGGTTCATTCTCCCACCACTGCCATGGCCTTTCCCGTCCTTGTCATAAAGGGGACCCTGTCCATCTTGTTCATTGCTCTCCCTGGCGCCTTGAATGGGCCTGGACATGGCACATGCCAGGAGACCTGGAGGGCACAAATGACTGAACAAACAACCAGATCATCTACCCCAGAACTGTCTCTCTGTTGGCTGGGAAGCCCCGGGACAGGGGCCACACCTGTGCCAGTCCATCCGTGAGAAGGCAGCAACAGGATGAACTGAATTAATGCTCCCATCCGTCTTAAGAGCAAGCTGCTGTTACTCTCCTCCAGTTTCAGCCAAAGAAGCGGGCTCAGAGAAGGTAAGCATCATACCCAAGGTCACACAGCAAGGAAGTAGCCAGGGTGGGGCTGCAGCCCAGCCCTGTCAACTCTTCCCATGTAAGACCTTAGGCTCAAGGCCCGCTTTCCTGACGTTCACTAAGGGGAGAGGCCAGCTGTGCTGTCTGACTGCCAAGACAGGCAGAGGACTCCCAAGGGGTCACAGCCTGGGTTCCCCATCTGGCCTAGCCCATCTGCCTCCACGTCGCCTTGCCCAAGATGGCCAGTGGCCCAGGCATGGTGGGGCTCAGGCTGCATGTAAGGCCACGACCCTGGGTCTTCTGCAATACAAGTGGTTTTAGAAAGTGCTTCTCGGCTGACTGCACGAACGCGGTGCTGGTGGAGCCTGCCCTCACCATGAGGCTGCTGAACTCCTTGGTCACGAGAAAGGCCATGAGCCAGTTGGTGAGGACGCAGATGCCTGTCGCCACGCCCTTGACATGCAGAGGGAAGATCTCTGACATGAGGAGCCAGGGGATGGGCCCCCAGCCCACCGCAAAGCCTGTGGGAGCGAGACAGGCAAGACAGGCATCAGGGTCCGCAGGGCTGGGCTCCTCAGCTTGCTGCAGAGCCAAGAGACCCAGCTTCCCAGCCTGTGGGGCTGTGGGGTCCCGGATCCCAGTGTGGTCCCACCAGCTCCATGCTTTCCTGCCAAGGCCTCGGCCAGCCTCTTCCCTCCTCAGGCACAGGCTCTGTCTCTGAGATGGGGTCACAACGGGGCCTGCTCGAGGGCTGCTCAGGGGATTAAGTGAAAGGAACGCAGAGGGGCCTAGTTCCACAGCTGCATGTGGTCAGAGCTAGAAATGCAGAGCTTGGAACTTACGAGAGGAGAGGTGAGGCTGGGGAAGACCCCACCTGCCGGGAGCCGCCACAGCAGGGCCGGGGGGATCACCTCCCACTCCTCGCCCAGCCTCCCACAGGCCCCCTTACCGGCGATGAAGAGGCACATGCTGCCCACGGCCAGCCAGGCCAGCCCCACGCTGGCATCAACAGGCTGTGCAGAGACAGGCGCCGAGATGGCCACGTGCGAGGAGTTGCCAGGGCCACCCTGGGTCAGCTTGAAGTAGGCGCCGAAGGCACTCGTGCTGAACACCATGACCACACCTGCAGGCGGGAGGGCGGCAGTGGGCGGGGCACCCGGGGAACGGCCCAGGGCGCAGCAGCATGGCCTGGATGCCTCTGAGAGGGGCAGGCCCGGCTCCCAGAGAACGGCCAGCTTGGTGTTCTGGCACCTTGGCCGCAGAAGCCCTGACTGGGTGGCAGCCACCCCGCCTTGGACCTCAGCGAACTGCAAAAAGTTCCCGGAGCAGACCCTCTGGGCCGAGGAAATGGGAGGTACCGGCACAGAAGCAGCAGCGAGTAACCCTCAGCCCCGACGGTCGTCTTCGCAGCAGCTGCTGGGTACCAAATGTCCGTGGGCCGCAGCTCTTGCTGAAGGCCTCACGTGGATCACCTCCCACTCCTCAAAATGGTGCTGAGGGAGGCACTGCCATTACCCCCACTTCCCAGAGGGGGAGACTGAGGCTCAGAGAGGTAAAGTCACTTGTCCAAAAGGACCCACAAACTCTTGAGTCACTTCACCTTCCTGGCCCTCAGTTTTCCCGTCATAAGCTGGGGCTGTGAGAGTGCCTTCTGGTGGGTTCACCACAGAGGTTAAAGGCGTGGTGTGGGAGTGCCACTGGCATGGACAGGCCTGCAGTGAGTGCTTGGTGACAAGCTGCTGTCAAATCATGGCCGCATTAGTCCATGATGTTTGTCATCACAAATGCTCCCTGTCCTCCTCCTGCAGTGTGGTGGCCTTGGCGAAGGCCCTCCCCCGCATGGCGGGGAGGCTGCACAGGGGTGAACCCTCACCTGACAAGACCAGGAGCAGCCTCCGCCCTGCTCTGTCCATGATGAGAGCCGCCACAGCTGTGAACAGCACCTGGATGACACCCACGACGACCGAGGCCAGGCTGCTGTCCTGGGGGAGACAGAGCCCAGGCAGGTCAGGTGGGCCAGCTGAGAGCTGGGTCCCTCCCTCTCCAGGCCTGTGCTGGATGGCTGGGCCCTGGGCTTGGGGAGGAAGCTCCATCTATGTGGGGGCTGGACGAGGCAGGCCAGGCAGGGCCCTTTTACCTTGAACTTGGCCTCTTCAAAGATGGTCTCTGCATAGAACATGACGGCGTTGACCCCCGACAGCTGCTGGAAGGCCATCAGGGAGACGCCGATGATGAAGGGCTTGTAGATGCCGGGCTGCCGCAGCAGGGCCAGGTGAAAGCTCTGCTCTGACGGATACTGGCCATCAGGATTTCTCTCTCCCCTCCCGCAAGCGGCCCCCCTCTGGGGGTCTACTGTCCTAAGGCTTGGGGAGCGCTGACTCCCACGTCTTGGCTCCTCATCCCAGCACCCCCTGTGTCCTCAGGTGTGCAGACAAGTCCCAGCCTCCCCATGTGTCAGGTGAGATGACCCTCACCTGCCCAGGGCACTTCCTGATAGGTGGGGGGGAGCCACAAAGAGGTAATCTGGGCAAAGAGCAAGCTGCTGCCCTCATCCCTGCCACCACCAACACATCCAGCACCTGCCTCAGGTCTGGGCCTGGCCCTAGCTAAGCACCTCCTACAGCCCTGACCCTCCCCTCCCCACTGAACCCATCCTCCTCGCTGACCCCACCCTCCCCACTGAGCCCCCCTCCTCCCTAAGCCCCGCCTTCCTTTCCCCCACTGAGTCCCACCCAGCACTGTGAAGCAGGTGCTGACTCCCACATCACAGGTGAAGAGCTAAAGCTTAGGTGAGGGGCAGCGTGGGGGCTTCAAACCCATGCCTGGGTGACTCTAAAACCCAGACTTTTAGCCCTCTACCCTGCCTTGCAACTCCTTTGTTAAATCCAAGTCCTCAGCTCTGCCTCTGTATCCCCCACCAGGCCTGGCCATTCTCTTCCTGGGACAGTAAGGGTCAAAGCTCGGGCTTTGCTGGTGACTTTGGAGGCCAGGGCCCAGCTCCGTGGGGCTCCAGCTGTCTTGGCCTGCTCAAAGACAGGACACACTGGGCCTGTCCTCGCTGAGGGTGGAGGGTGGATAGGCACCTCCCTGTCCCCCACCCCCCAAGTGTGTGGCCTTGGGAACAGGCTGTGCTACCCTCCCGTGACTGCTGTCCCACTCCTGTCAGCTCTGCCTTCCAGCCTCTCACCTGCTCAGCCCCGATGGGGGGGTCTTCCCAGCCCTGCTCGGAGCCCCACAGGAACCGCAGGGCGGCCATGGCCTCCTGGCGCCTGTGCTGAGTCAGCAGGAAGCGCGGGGTCTCGGGCATGAAGCACATGAGAAGCAGCATGAGGGAGGGGGGCACGCAGCCCAGCACAGCCAGCCAGCGCCACTCCAGCACCCAGCCTGCGGGGGGTGGGTGGAGGAGGCTGGCGTCAGAGCCAGGGTGAGCCAGCCTGGGCCTTGCCAGCCTCAAAGACTCAGCTTCAGAGATGGGGCCTCGCTGCCTCTGCACATCTGCCCTCATGTTCGCTACTGACATTGCCATTATCACAACTGTTCATGAAGGCACATGGCACGGGCCAATCACACCAGCTGCGGAAGCGACAGTGGGTATGACAACGCGGACATTACTAGGCTGCATCCGTTCAACGAAACATTTATGTAGCCACAAAAATGAAGGATGAGGTGCTTGCTGCGTGTCCGCATGGTATGATGTGGCACCATTTGTAGAAGAGGTGGGGGAGGGAGGATAAATATGCATGTCCCTCATATGAACAGACTCTCTGAAGGCTACCAAGAAACAGGCAATGGGGACTCCCCCAGACAAGAAAGGGACAGAGGCGGAGGAAGCTTTTCACTGGACATCTCTCCACTCTGGCACTTGAGTGTTGAGTCATTTGAATGCATTATCTATTCAAAGTATACATGAAAGTAGAGAGGTGAGAGGATTTTGCTGTCTTGACGTATGAAGAACAGCATAAGTGCAGAATTACCTAGTTTTATATAAAGTTAAAAGGTTCTCTTACAAAGGGGCCCTGGAATAAATGAGTCTAGGGCATTGCTGCTCTAATTACTAATTTTTCCTAAGCCCAAGGCTTACCCATCCCTGGTTCCCAGTGGAAAAATACCTCTAAGGTAGCCATGATGTCCCTATTTTTCTTCTGTGCTGGGGGTGCAGACAATTGTTCTATGAAGTCTAGTCGTTGGAACATGATTGCCCCAATGTGAAGCAAACGTGCCACCACCATGTCACTTTGTGGAGTTATCAGAGTTCACCCACCCCAGTGGATCGAAACTCACAGAAATTGATCAGGAAAGGCAGGAGAAGCAACAAGCACATATTAAGATGAGCTGAAGATAGTGCCACGGGTGGGTGGACACCCAGTACCTGTCCCCGAAATGATGAATGTCAACACCTGCACACAGTGGGGGCTTTGGTTTACTCAGGTCTCCCAAGGTAGCCAGATCGCTGGCAGGATTCTGAATTTGTTAGGGTGGTTAAGTGGGTAAAAATGAAACACCAAAGACCTGTGTATCATCCGCCCTGACGATGCAGAGGGCTTGTGCCCTGGGCCAGGCCATAGCCCGTCAGGCCCCCGAGGCCTCCTACCCCGATGATCCCCATGGTTCTCAAGTCATCCCTTGACAATTCTCATTTGGAACCCACTGTTAGGCACTTTTCATGTGTCAATTAATTTAATGGACAGGTACTGGACTAGATGAGGTTATGCCCATTTCAAGACAGAGAAACTGAGGCTTTCAGAGGTGGTATGACTTGGCCAAGGTCACACAGCACGTAGGAGAGGCTATCCCCAAACTCAGGATGGTCAGATTTGAAGCCTGCCCTTGTTTTTTCTTTCTTTTTGAGACAGAGTCTCACTGTGTCGCCCACACTGGAGTGCAGTGGCGCGATCTCAGCTCACTGAAACCTCAGCCTTCTGGGTTCAAGCAATTCTTGTGCCTCAGCCCCCCAGGTAGCTGGGATTACAGGTGCCCACCACCACGCCTGGCTAATTTTTGTATTTTAAATAGAAATGGGTTTTCACCATGTTGGCCAGGCTGATCTCGAACTCCTGACCTCAAGTGATCCGCCCACCTCTGCCTCCCAAAGTGCTGGGATTACAGGTGTGAGCCACTGGGTCTGGCCTCTAAAGCCTGGCCTCTTTCTAATGAGAACACACCTGTCTCCTGAAGTTTCTTCATGCTGGCCCAGCTTTGCCCCTCGGGGTCCCCAGGACCCCGGCCTCCTTCACGTTGCAACTCGCCGACATGGTGAATCTGGCACTGACATTCTCAGGGGACTTGCTCAGCCCTTTACTCGCCCGGGCTGAAGATTTTTACAGGGACCCACCCACCTCTGGAGCCCTCTGGTTTGTCACTGCACAGTAAGGTACTGACCTAAGCAGTCAGCCCTTCCCACACCCCTAGAGGGGGCTTCAGGAAAGCTGAGGGTATCACCTTCTCCAGCTGTCCCTGGAACTCAGTCATAAGACACACCTATCGGCCGGGCGCGGTGGCTCACACCTGTAATCCCAGCACTTTGGGAAGCTGAGGTTTGGCGGTTCATGAGGTCAGGAGATCAAGACCATCCTGGCTAACACGGTGAAACCCCCTTTCTACCAAAAATACAAACAATTAGCCAGGTGTGGTGGCACATGCCTGTAGTCCCAGCTACTTGGGAAGCTGAGACAGGAGAATCGCTTGAACCCAGGAGGCAGAGGTTGCAGAGAGCCACCACTGCACTCCAGCCTGGGCGACAGAGCGGGACTCTGTCTCAAAAAAAAAAAAAAAAAGACTCACCTATCCCAAGGTCCCAGGAAGGCGAGCCTGGCATGTTGGGCACTGGCTATGTGACCTCAGACAAGTCCCTTGACCTCACTGAACCTCTGTTTACACATCTGTAAAATGGCCACATGACCACAAACAGGAAGCAAGAGATAATGACAACTATACCTGCCAGGTAGGCCAGGAGGATGCCGACGACGACCATTAGCTGCACACAGGAGCCGAGCAACCCCCGGACTGCTGGGTAGGCGATTTCGGAGATGTAGACCTGCCAGCAATCAGATGAGGATTTATGGCTGGGCGCAGTGGCTCATGCCTGCAATCCCAGCACTCTGGGAGGCCGAGGCGGGCAGATCACCAGAGGTTGGGAGTTTGAGACTGGCCTGACCAACAGGGAGAAACCCCATCTCTACTAAAAATACAAAATTAGCTGGGCCTAGTGGCACACATCTGTAATCCCAGCTACTCAGGAGGTTGAGGGAGGAGAATCACTTGAACCCTGGAGGTGGAGGTTGCGGTGAGCCAAGATCCCACCATTGCACTCCAGCCTGGGCAACAAGAGCGAAACTCCGAAATTTTTAAATAAAAATTAAAAAAAAAAAAAAAAAGATGAGGCTTTACTCAGGCTCCAAGAGTTCTTAAAATGGAAAGGTCTCAGCCATTCAGAGCTGAGGAAAGTCCTTGCAGGGGGTTACGGCAGGCCCTGAAGCCCCTTAGTGGAACCTGCCTAGGTGAGCAGAGCCATCCCCAGGTCCCCACCACTGAAAGATCTGTGGCAGGTGTTTAAAGGGGATTAAGGGTAACGGAGAGGGCTGCATATGATGACGAGAGGCGGTGGGCACAGAGCTTCTCAAGCCTTCGTTTAATGTGCACAGACACCCTGGATAAATCATAGATTCCGATGCAGTAGGTCTGGACAGGCGAAAGATTCCACCTTGTTAACCAGCTCCACGTGACGCCCACCCAGGATCCTAGCCCAGGGCCCACGCTTTGAGTGGTGGCCTTGGACTAGAAGCACGAACTCTCTGCCTCGGTCACTACCAGTGGCTGCCACTAGCTCCCTCCTGGGCCCACAGGCCACCAGGCCCTCACCCATGCATCTAAGGTTATTCCATAGCTTAGGCCCCTAACACAGGTGTGTTTCTGCCCAGTTAAAAAAACCAAAGACATAAAAGGCCCAGCTTCTTCCCCACCCTCTTCTGGTCCAGCTGCTGCTGCCGGTTAGCAAACGTTGGTGAAATGAGCACCCAGGGAGGGGCCTGAGTGGCTGCTTTCAACCTCACTTGGGGGAGATATTGTCCAAGCCCATGGCTGGGGGCAGTTCATGGGTCACCAAGCTGTCAGGATCCAGTCCTCTACAAGCCATGCCAGGGGCTGTCTATCCAAAGTCCCACTGAATCCTGACCACTACCTCAGGGGCTAATGCCATAATCCCTGTTTTCCAGAGAAGGAAACTGAGGCCCAGGGAGGCACTCTGCTCAGGTTAGTGGCAGAACCAGGATTTGACCCAGATGTTCGGGGCTCCCAAGTGGGCAGCCTGGGTCAGGAGGGGGAAAGGGGGAAGATGGGGAAGCCAGAGGGGCTGGCCTGTGAGAAGGGAAGGGGAACACAGAGGCCAGCAGCCTTTGCCCCAAGAGAAATCAGGACAGGAACTTCCTGCTAATTGCAGTCATTGACCCGAAGCCAGGGATGAAAACCAAAATGTAGGGAGTGGGCTCCTGTGGATCATCCGCAGGTTTGCAGAGCAAAAGAGGGGCACGGCTAAGTGGGACAACCCTGGGTTCCTGCAACTGCTTCCCCTCTGACTAGCTGTGGACCTCGCCTGGGCAAAGGACTTCACCTTTCCGAGACTGCATGTCATGACCTCAGTGTAAAATGGAGAGAACAGTAGGATCCTTCCCAGGGTCGACGGGAGGGACCGCGAGATAACGCAGGGACTTCAAGCCTGGCACCCAGAAGGTCCCGCCAGGGGGAGCCGCGCCCCCAGGCCTGGGGAGCGGTTTGTCCCACTCCCCCTCGGTCTCAGGCCGCGAGACAGGACACTCGAGAGACGGGACACTCACCGGGGCCACTAGGGAGGCAACACCGCAGGCCAGGCCGGTGAGGAGGCGGCCCCCCAGCAGCATCCACACGTCCTGGGCCGCGGTGATGACGGCAAAGCCGGCCACGAAGGGCACGGAGCACAGCAAGAGGCTCAGCTTGCGCCCGGCGCGGTCCACCAGCCAGCCGCCCAGCACTCCCCCCGCCGCGGCACCCAGGGTCACGACAGCCTGGAGGCGGGCGGCTGCTGAGGAGGGGGCGCCGAAGCCGCAGCCCATCCTCCCCCTCCACCCACTCCCCGCGGGCTCAGAGGTAAAAGAGCCGGGGCCCCGCGCCCGTCCCGAGGGGAGGGGTAGGGGGCTGAGGGGCCCGGTGCTCGTCCCGAGGGGAGGGGTGGGGGCTGAGGGGCTCGATGCCCGTCCCGAGGGAAGGGATGGGGGGCAGAGAGGCCCAATGCCTGTCTCGTGGGGAAAGGTGGTGGCGGCGGGGCCCGATGCCTGTCCCGAGGGGAAGGGTGGGGGGCGGAGGGTCCCGATGCCCGTCCCGAGAGGAGGGCGTGGGGTCCCAGGGCGGGAGGAGCGAGCCCGGGGCCTCACCCCGAACCAGGAGGCGGCGGCGTCGTCCAGGCGCGGGGCCGGGGGCGCGGCGCGCTGCAGGCTAGGGATGGCCGGGGAGCTGTAGCCGAGCGCGAAGCCGAAGCTGAGTGGGCCCAGGGCAGCGGCGAAGGCGGCGAGGAAGACGCGGCGGCCGCGGGGCGCGCTGGGGGGACAGGGCCGAGGGTGAGCGGAGCGGACGCGGAGGGGCGGGAGGGCGAGGCCGCATCCGGGCCCGGGTTCCCCGGAGCTCACCTGCCGCCAGGAGGCCCCAGAAGCGGCTGGGTTTCCTCTGGGTCCTCGGGCGTCATGTCGGCGGCCAACGCCGATCGGCCAGCTCTGGCGCCTGAACCGCCACGGGCCCTGCGAGTGCGGCCCGCACCGGCCTCTCGCAGCCAATGGGCGGCGGGGGGTGGGGGACGGTGCTGGGCGGGATCGGAACCGCAGAGCAGGAGCAGCCAATAGGAACGCAAGGCGGGGCTAGCGAATCAGCTAGGACCCGCCCTTCACATTAAAGCAGACCAATGGGAGCATAGAACCGATTAGCGAAGCGCGCTGGAACCGCCCCTAGGGCGGAGCGGTCCAAGGTACAGGTGGGGCGGAGTTTCCGTCTGGGAGAACAACCACCCAATTGGAGTGTAGTGCGAGCCCATAGACGGGGCCAGAGAGCTGCCTCAGAACTGAGCTGGCCAATGAGGTTGGAGGGAGGAGTTTTTTTTCTGGCACCTCCTCTCAATCTGGCTTCAACCAATGAGGGTAGAGGCGGGGCGAAGGCGAAGCACGTGGGCCTCAGCCCGAGACTTCCCGCCCCCAACTCCGAGAAGCTGCACCTGTCCTGCCCGGTCGGGTCTGCAGTTCCTGCTCCGCTTTAATCGCTGCCCTGGGGACTGTATTGGAGGCGTCTGACCTATGCCTGGGCCCAGCTCTGCAGGGGAGAGAGCCTCTAAGCAGACCGTCCTGGGCCGCCTCTCTCTCCTCTCGGAGGGCGAGACTGGTCAGACGCTCCCGCTGGGCTGCTGGCGGCGGAGGCGTGGCCCTGTGCACCGAAACCCACTTTCATGCTTCCCAGATTGCTGAAGGCTCGGGTCTCCAGGTGCTGAGGACCAGTGGTAGGTGGGGTCCCCCACGCCGTATGTGTGACAGATCTGGGCTCCACTCCCCCTCTTAAGTGTCACTCACTTCACAGGGAGTCCTGACTCTTGAATCTTCATCTACCTGCCTCCATATTTTGAGTTCCCTGTGGATTTTAATGCCACCTTCTCCCGTGTGCACCCAAGTCGAATGATGAGGCACTGTTGGATCTCACCAGTTGTACCCGATTCATACCCAACACTCTGGGTGCAGGCAGCTGTGGTGGAATGCTGGTGTAATTCTGGAAAGAGCCAGGGCATGGGAGTAAGAGGCTTGGCTTGTAATCCCTCTCTGGGCCTTGTGTTTCCTCATCTCTAAGTGGGGATGACCATTATCTTCCAGGAGAGTTGTGAAGCAAGGTAATGTATATAAGACATGTGAAGCACTCAAAGGCTAACCGGTATGATGAAGACAGTCATCTGATATGTTGCAGTCACTTGATGGTTCTAGCAACCAACATTTTTCAGTCCTGACCACAAGCCTATCCTTAAAGACTTAGGCAACTGCCCTTCTGTACTCCCACAGCATCTAATGCTTGATAACTCGAGCACTAGATGTGTATTCTTATCACAGCATTTATCACTGCTTTGTGATCCCTTGTTTACTTCCGTCCTTCCCCCAATGGACATGACCTCCTCTGGAGAGGAGGCACTTGGTGTGTGCAGAGTGGATCAATGCCTCCAACTCCATAGGCAGACACTGCAGTTAGATGATTTTCTGTGTGACTCAGCCAGTCGGGTACACAGAAAGGATTATGTAGGCAGGGTGCTCCTACCCTGTGGCCGATGGCTTCCCTTCCCGTGAGTGTGCAGAACTCACTTCTTGGCCTTTGTAGACAAATAATGTTGCCAGAACAGCCTCCTGCCCCCTTTTCATAGGCAAAGCACCATCAGCCTGATCAGTAGGGTCCACCTCTTGCCCTTGCTACATCACTCCTCAGACCTGTGACTCTTGTCAAATTGTGGGTGGCTCTAATGCTGCTGATTTGGAAGAATGCTCTAAAATAGTCCTTGGGTTTTTTTTATGCTACACTGTGAAGCAAGAAACTTCCAGAAAAAAAGGAAAAACACAGATACAAGCTCATAAAGCTTACAAATTAGTTTAACATGAAAAACACCAGCCAGATCCAGCTGACACAAGGCACTGAGCCTGGCTCTGCATGGCAGACGTGGGGAAAGCAAGGGCTCTGGAGTCAAAGAACTTGCAGGTTCAAACCATTGCCCCTTCCTAAGCCTATTTCCTTATTTGAAAAGCAAGAATAATAAAACATAATTCATTAAACTGTTGGTGGGGTTGAGACACAGTGTTTTTTTCCCCCTATATAGGAAAAGGGCATAAAACACACAAAGGAAGAATGGGCATGCTAACTGCTGCAAAGAATATGAGCAGACACATTTGGTTATAAACAGCCCCATCTGGGTATACCTAAAAAGCACTGTCTTTACTACTCTTGACTCTTGCCTTCTGCCAAAGATGAACCAAGCAACCTTCAGCTTGGGCTATCATGCTGATCTGTTTGTACAAAAGACAGAGAGGGGAACTTTCCCCACAGTGTGCAAGGCCCACTAGGAGGTACGACCCAAACTTCTATAAAATCTGTCAGACCAAGGTCCTGTCAAACTCAGTTCTCCACACTCACAAAGAAGGCCTGCTGGCCGGGCATAGTGGCTCACACCTATAATCCCAGCATTTTGGGAGGCCAAGGTGGGCGGATCACGAGGTCAGGAGTTCGAGACCAGCCTGGCCAACATGGTGAAACCCCATCTCTACTAAAATACAAAAATTAGCTGGGTGTGGTGATGCGTGCCTGTAATCCCAGCTACTTAGGAGGCTGAGGCAGCAGAATGGCTTGAACCTGGGAGGTGGAGGTTGCAGAGAGCCGAGATCGTGCCACTGCACTCCAGCCTGGGCAATAGAGTAAGACTCTGTCTAAAAAAAAAAAAAAAAAAAAGCCTGCAGAAGAACTCTTCTGAGCTGCTTTAACGGGGTAACAGGAAGTTTCCTTTGATGAATAATGTAATAATATAAGTAGGAAGAGACAGAATAAAATTGAATTGGCTAGACTAAAGCCAAAGGTAAAATACCTTCTTCACACAGATTAAAATATTTGCAAACAATGCTAGTGAAACTGGATCTCCCCTTGGCTAGTGGCTGAGATTTCACTATTTCTTTTGCACTTGGCCCAGTCCACATTTCTTTCTGTTCACACTGGAGAGGGAGCCAGGAAAGGCAGATAAACCAAATTATTATCTTCATATCATTTATGTGAAAGAGTGAGGGGGACTCAAAAAGAAGGAGGAGTTTGAAAATGCTTTCTTTTTTTTTTCTTTTCTTTTCTTTTTTTTTTTTTTTTTTTTGAGACAGGGTCTCCCTCTGTTGCCCAGACTGGAGAACAGTGGTGCAATCTTAGCTCACTGCAGCCTTAAACTCCTGGGCACAAGGGATCCTTCCACCTTGGCCTTCCAAAGCACTGGGATTACAATGAGAATACTTTTAACCACAAGGAGTAGCTGTTCTCTGGTTACATTATTGCAGAGTAACAATAAAACCACACAAAATAATCTGAAGACTTTTGACAAGCTCCTATGCCTTAATATTTTTCATGAGATGCAGGGAAGAAGGAGGAGCTTCTAAGATCTAACCATTCAACTTTTCTCAAAAGTCTACAGGCAGGAATGCAGCTGGTTCCAATCACGGTGAACTGAAACAGCAACCGGGGCCAAAGGTGCAGAAAAAAAACTTACTTATAATAAAGTTAAAAAGCAACGACTTTTCTTTATAAAAGAAACACATTATGTGACATAAATCAAAACTGTAATGAAAAAATAATTTTCCATCTAAGTATATAAAATATGAGAAGGTTGCAGTAAATAAGAATGAGTATTTTTGATTTATTCAAAGTTTCAATCTAAAACCTCAATGAAATCTACCACCTTTATTACAAGGGGACTGATGGTTCCTGAACAGAAAGAAACAAAGGTCAGGAAAGATGGCACCGGACATTGGAGAGGGAACTGGCCGAGTGTGCAGAAGGTTTGGTCCAATAGATCACTGACAGGCTAAAAGCCACATTTTGTTGAGAAATTACATCAGAACTGTTTAAAGAGTATAAACCTCCATAAGAAAACTAAAGATGGCAAATGAGATTCAACTCTGTTACTTCAAGTCTATAATGTCTTCATCGGAGAAAGCCGTGAGCTGGAAGGGGCTGCTGCCGGAGACCGGGCTGCCCTCTCTGTCTGCCACAGGGTCCTGGTCAGAGCTGGCTGAGTGCCCCTCAGGGTTGGCTTCGGAAGTAGAAGCACTTTCCAAGGAGCCTGATGGGATCCTAGAAGAGAAAAGTCACTGTAAGAGGATCTTTGGGAGTACCACAGAACTGGGCCTATTTTTTTCTGGCAATTTCCTGCTCATCTGAGCTCATGAGTTTGGCTCACCAAACCCTCACTGTTATGTGGTAGAGGTGGGGAAGTGCTGGAATGCCACCCCCATCACCTCAGGGGGTTTTGAGGATTAAAGGCCGAGTGTGTGACACATGGAAGGTGTTTGTGAGGCATTATTTACCTACCTTTCTAAAGTGCAAATCCAGATAATGTCATCCTGCCTAAAACCCTCCCATGGGTGCCCAGGGCCTGAGGATCAGGCTGAAACTCATAGCCAAGGTTCCGGGACTAGGCCTGTGATCCCTCCAGCCTCCCAGGGCACCCCTGACTCCCTCTGTTTCCTCCAGCTCCTCAGGACTCTCTCAATAGCTGCATATTAATTTGACCAATATTGGTTTCCACTTCTCAGAGAGTTAATGCATTCCACAAATACTCATTGGCCTGCAAAAGCCCACCTGGCTCAGCTGCTGCCCACTCTCGGCCTCACACAGTTCCTGGCTCCGTTCTCTATGCTCAAGCCTGTCCACTCTTCCTCCTGCCTTTTAACTGGCCATGCTAGGCCTGCTTCGGGGCCCTTGCCCTGAGGTAGTTGCTGTCAGAAGGGCTGTTCCCCTAGCTTCTTACCGTTTATTCCAAGCCCAGCCCAATGCTACTTCCTCAAAAAGCTTTCCTTGACCCCTCTCTCAGAGTAGACCTTCTATGTGCCAGCCCCGTCACTTCTTCTCAATTTCTTGTAGCACTTGTCACTATTTGAAATGATTTTATTTGCTTACTTGTTTACAGGTTGGCTGTCTGTTTTCCCACACTAGAATGCAAAGTCCCTGAGGGCAGGGGCCTTGTCAGGTTATGACTTCTGAGAGGAGGCTCAGCCTCCCCTGATGTTTGAGACCCTCCCTGCCCCAGGTGTGGGCTGGATGGCAACCCTCCTTACACATCACCTGCCATGCTGGAATGCAGTCATTTTCTGGACGCTTGTTGGTCTTTGCCACTGGCCTGGGAACCCCTTGAAGGCACAGGTGGGGGCTTAGTCCTTTCCATATCTTAATACCCAACTAAGTCCTAGGTGCTCCAAGAATGTGTGTTGAGTGAATGAATGAAGCTTGGACATACGAACTATCACTCCCCACACTGGAGCACGTGTGATGTTGCTTGAAGGATAACAGAGATCTTACAGGACAAATCAGTGTGACTTAACTACTATTCATTGACGTGTGATGCTGACCTGGCATTCGGATAGGCTGGACTGTGTATGTGCTACCAGTACTGCATTACTGCATAGAGAGCACCTGTTTCCCTGCAGTCTTACTAAGTGTTTTTTTTTTTTTTTTTTGACACGGGGTCTTGCTCTGTTACCCAGGCTGGAGTGCAGTGGTGTGATCATGGCTCATTGCAGCCTTGACCTCCCAGAAGGAAGGTGATCTTTCTACCTTAGCCTCCCAAGTAACTGGGACTACAGGCTCATGCCACCAGACCCAGCCTATATATATATATATATATTTTTTTTTTGTAGAGATGGGTCTTGCTGTGTTGCCCAGGCTGGGATTGAACTCTTGGGCTCATGTGACCTTCTCTTCTCATCCTCCCAAAGTGTTGGGATTACAGGCATGAGCCACCATGCCTAGCCAGCATTTTTATTTTAAAAACTCTCTGTCAATCTGGTGAGGAAAAAGTCTCTCTCTCTCTACATATATATATAATAGATATTAAATATATAAATATAAAATATATATTATATATATATTTTTTGAGATGAAGTCTTGCTCTGTTACCCAGGCTGGAGTGCAGTGGCACGATCTTGGCTGACTGCAGCCTCCGCCTCTCATGTTCAAGCGATTCTTCTGCCTCAACCTCCCAAGTAGCTGGGACCACAGGGATGTGCCACCACGCCCGGCTACTTTTTGTATTTTTAGTAGAGATGGGGTTTCACCGTGTTGGCCAGCCTAGTCTCGAACTCCTGACCTTGGGTGATCTGCCCGCCTTGGCCTCCCAAACTGCTGGGATTAAAGGCATGAGCCACTGTGCCTGGCCAGGTCTCAATAGATTTGAATTAGCAGTTGACTGCTGGTAAGTGTGCCCATTTGTCTAGATCCCTCCCTGGCAGGCCTGAGGGTCTGGGGACCCTCAGAGAGGAACAGGCTGCTGGCCCTCTGCTGTAGCTGCCAGGGGCCACTAGTGGCATTATCAATCCCCAGAAGGGGCCTCCTGGGCAGTGCTGTGACTCATAGGTCCACCACCCCAAGCAGGGGCCTCTCCCTCTCTTTACCTGTCACTGCTAGATGACCTCACTGCCCCTGGCTTGGGGCCTCCTTGGCTTTCTTCTAACCGCTTCCGGGGTTTTGATTTGGCCTTTGGCGCTCCTTCTGACTTGGGTCCACCTTCATCCGAGAGGCCTGGATTGAGAATCATAGGTCAGAGGGTCACTACCACAGGGCTGCCACGGAGACAGAAAAGACCCTTATTTTTTCTTGGTTGGGAACTGGTGCATTGTTGTGCTAGAGTCAGGAAGAAAGATGATAGAATATATATTTTCAAATTATTGGTTTTCTGGTTGGTAGAAGGTTTTTCTTTTCTGATTATAAAGTATACACACTTTGCAAAAAAATTAGACTCAAAGAGCCTAATGAGGACAGATGATTTACAGTCCTACCGTTGATAACCCTGTAATTCTCCAATTCAGAGGTTCCGTTTTGCAAAAGCTCAGTGGTTTGTAAACAGTGGTGGGCAGATCAAGCTTTGATATGGAAGGCTGCATTAAAAATAGCAATACATTTATTTTCAAAACACAGTAGAAGGCACCAACTTGAAAAACCAATGGACTTTGTTAGTGTCTAGTCCTGCCCTGTCAGGTGGCCTGAATCCCCTCCTGCAGTTGTTCAGGGAATATTACTGCAGGGCAGGGGTGTGCCCAGGCCAACGTTCATGCAGGTCCCAGTCTAAGTTTTCAAACCAGTTTCTCCTGGTTTAACATGTCACTTCCATATTTCCTTATTTTGTTTCCACAAATCTGAACAAAAAGGTTTCTAACAGTCTAACCTTTTCACACTTATCAGGGGCTTTATGTTTCTCTGATTTGGCCTCTCATCTTTTTTTTTTTTTTTTTTTTTTTTTTAAAGACAGGGTGTCACTCTGTCACCCAGGCTGGAGTGCAGTGGTGTAATCATGGGTCCCTGTAGCCTTGACCTCCCGGACTCAATCGATTCTCTTGCCTCAGCTTCTTGAGTAGCTGGGACTATAGGCACATGCCACCATGGCTGGCTAATTTTTTTATTTTTTATAGAGATGGGGTTTCACCATGTTACCCAGGCTGGTCTTGAACTCCTGCACTCAAGTGATCTGCCTGCCTCAGCCTCTCCCAAAATGCTGAGATAACAGGTGTGAGCCCAGTCCCATAGTTATACTGAGAGAAATGAGCTCAACACATATCTTGCATCTGTTCTATCCACAGACCTGCCCCCACTGTCTAGGGCTGGGAGAAGTAATAAGGGAACTGAACACACACGTGTAAAAACATGGTACATTTCCACTTTGGGACATACCAACATAAAATGTTGTCTGAGGACTGTGGGATATAAATCCTTCTAGACACCTTTCTAGGAAATCATACATAGATTGGTACTTTTATTTTTAAAAATGGTATCAGACTAGACATAGTGTTTTATAAACTGCCCATTTCCCCCCTTCACATGGCTTGAGCAGCTTTCCACACCAATAAATATAGATCAACAACATCACTGTTGGTGGCTACATTATAGTGTATTCCTTGGTATAGAGGTATTAGAACTTACTTAAAAATCCCTTCTTAAAAGGAAACTTTCCTTTTAAACTCATTGTTTCTGAGGACAATTCATATCCAAAGATAAAACCAGCTGGTCTGTTCACAGACAGTGGAAACCAGGATTGAGAACCATTACCCAGTAGTTCCCTGCGGGTCCTGCTTGCTATTTCTTTGATCTCCATGCGAGACAGGGACAAGGAGTGCGTGACTGGAATGGCAGCAAGGCCCACACTGATGGGAGTGGGTGGGGTGATGACCTTGGAGACTAAGGGTGACTTCAGAGGTCGTTCGATGCTTCTGCCCACGAGGTTTCTAAGTGGAATCTTGTACAGATTTTTTGATTGAATTTCACCTGAAATGTGATTTCAAAAAGAACATCAGAACTTTAAGAAAAGTGCACATTATTTACAAGAGAGTAATTTCTTGTTCCTTAACATAGCATGAAGGAAGACGTTATGTCACACACTGATCTGTAATGTCCCACTGGGAGGGCTGGCCAGGAGCACTGATTTGAGGGTGCCTGATGGCTTTGCGTTTTCTAAGAGCATTTTCATGTGTAAATTAGGTAAAATGCACTCGTGACTGCACAGGAAAAAAGACTAGACAAGAAAAGCAAAAAGCTGCCCTGCTTGGGGAATTCTGTGCTTTATCTTAACTGCGTGCAATAAAGATGAGTGATGTGGTAAGAATTTATGAAAAGCGCTGTGTTCAAAGCGATGAGGTAACCACAGCAGAGGCCTCTGGGGTTTGCGGGCAAAGCCAGATAGAGTGAAAGACTGCATGTGCTGGGGAATGTCTAGGCTTGATGACTCTATTCTTTTAGCTTTCAAAACCCACTACTGTTAACAGCCCTGAAGGAAAAATAACTGCTGTTGCAAGTTGGAAACTCTATAGCCTTTAACTCCCTCCTCCCCACTGAAACTTTTTTTTTTTTTTTTTTGAGACAAGGTCTTGTTCTGTCGCTCAGGCTGGAGTGCAATGATGCAATCATGACTTACTGCAGCCTTGACCTCCCAGGCTCAAGTGATCCTCCCACCTCAGTCTCCTGAGTAGCTGGGACCACAGGTGCATGCCACCACAGCCAGCTAATTTAATTTTAGTTTTTGTAGAGACAGGGTCTCTCACTCTGTTGCCCAGGCTGGAGTGCAGAGGTGCAATCCCGGCTCAATGCAGCCTTGACCTCCGCTGCTCAGGTGATCCTCCCACCTCAGCCTCCCAAGTAGCTGGGACTACAGGCACATGTTACCATGCCCAGCTAGTTTTTGTATTTTTTTTTAGAGACAGGGTTTTGCCATGTTGCCCAGCTGGTCTTGAACTGCTGGGCTCAAGCGATCCATCTGCCTCAGCCCGCCAAAGTGCTGGGATTACAAGTGTGAGCCACAGCGCCTAGCCCAGTTTATTTATTTATTTATTATTTTTATAATGGAGTTTTGTCGTTGTTATCACCAGGTTTCTTAAGAACACAACCATGTATTCAGACTGCAAGATTTCTTTCTTTTTTTTTTTTTTTTTGTAGACAGAGTCTCGCTCTATCGCCCAGGCTGGAGTGCAATGGCGTGCTCTCGGCTCACTGCAACATCCACCTCCCAGGGTCAAGTGATTCTCCTGCCTCAGCCTCCCAAGTAGCTGGGATTACAGGTGTGTGCCACCACACCCGGCTAATTTTTGTATTTTTAGTAGAGATGGGGTTTCACCATGTTGGTCAGGCTGGTCTTGAACTCCTGGCCTTAGGTGATCCGCCCGCCTCAGCTTCCCAAAGTGCTGGGATTATAGGGGTGAGCCACCACGCTCAGCTAGTTTCTTTTTTTAATGGCTTTAAATAGTAACTTCTTTAAACAGTAATCACATGTAGATATTAGACAACAAACTAGAGAAATTAGAGTGAATTACAAATATTAATAAAACAGTAAAACTTGGACTTCACCTTCCCCCAGGGAAGAAGGAAATACTGGAGTATCTCGGCCCGGGGGTGTCTGAGGAGAATTTCGGGCACTGGCCCCCTTGGAGCTGCCTCCAGATGAGACCTCATTCACAGCTGCAGTTGCTGTGAAGTATATATCCGACTAGAAAGGAAGAGAGAGCATTACCGGGCTGCCTGGTGTTCTAGGCCTTGCATCCACTGGCCCTCCTGCCATCACTGCAAACCCTCCAACTGGTCCCCATCCTTGGAGCATACAGTGCAGTGCGGGATGCCGGGGCGAGGGATGGAGAGAGCCTTCTGGAGGAAAGCCCAGCGTGGCTAGTTACACTTTTCCTGAGTATTCCACTCCCCGCCACTTTTCATCATCTATTTGTTGATCCACAATAGAAAACAGTCAGTGTTCCACCACACATCTTCTGCAATCACAAACACAGCACACACTTCCCTAACAGGAATCTCAGGCACCTGGAGTGTTAGAACGGGAAAGATCTTAGGGATTCAGTTAGGCCCATTTGGCAGATGGGGAAATGGATTCTTCATTCACTGATCCAGCAGATACTCAGGCACACCCGTGATGCGCTGGCGCTGCTGCTAACAGCAGTGGTGTGCTGGATGTGATCTATGAAATCCAATTTTCAGGAATTTTGCAAACTGGCTGTTAAACACACATGATTAGAAATTAAATTATACAAACCTAAAAAAACAAAGGCCCTAAATATCCAAATCCAGCCATTCCTAATTATTTGACTGTGCTTACTATTACATCTGCTCTGGAGTTATTGACACCAACAGTGTCTGTGTGGGGCTTGGGGGAGAGATACTGCACCATGGGGGATAATGCACGTCTCCCCAGCACCACCTGCAGTGGCGTCACGCTGGCAGCTTGAAATCAATCATGCAGGGACTCTTTACACCATGGAATCCAGCAAAGACTATCAGTTTGACTTTGATTTGTTGTTTTGTTGATTGTCTAGACTTACAGTGATGGAGAAAGTACTAGTAATGAACAAGAAACGTAGAAGTGTGTTTAGTCTGGTACAGAAGCTGAAAGAAGTTTCAGTTTAATGACTATGAGTTGTATGAGGGTGAAAAATAGTTTTATAGCAGATTACCTATCAGATTAAATGACAATATACATTGGAAAAAAATGAGTGGATTGAGATATAACTCCAAGTGTAAAATCATGGTTGAACTGCAACTGTAGGTTGGCTATGGATACAAGAGTTCAGCAAATATTAACAAAAACATTTTGTAAGAACCAATTGGCTAAGTGGATTTTTATGATAAACAGCATTGTATATTTATTATTTGTAAATTGTAAGCTATTTACAATCAACTAATGTACACGCATATGATACATACATGCAGATATGTACACATATCATACATATATGCACATATGTGCACACACACACATTTTCCAGAGCACTGCGGGACTGAAGCATTGAGCACACCACTGGTACTATGATGGTAAGACAGCATGGCATCTGCTCTCACAGAACCATCAGTGCAGCAGCAAAGATGAACAAATAGGCAGTCACCTACCACCAAATGTGATGGATGTCAGGACCAGGGAAGGGAACAGGGGACACAGCGGGGGAGCCAGCCCAGTCTGGCAGGGCTGGGGAGGACTTTGTGGGCCTGACTCAGGGGAGGGGACTAGAACAAGACCCCCCAGATTATATGCCAGCGACAAAAGACATCTTGGAAGGCATCTTTGTTCCTGCATCCCTCCGTTTTGCCCTAGCTGTGGGTTATGAGGCAGGGATTAATCAATTAGCCATGTTTCATAGGCTAAGAATTCAAACTGAGGATAGAGGGTGGGAAAGGAAGAAAGATTGCAAGCTCTGACTTTTCTAGACTTGGACTGTCCTCCAGGGCAGCAGTGACATGAATAACTGACCCAGTCTCTGAGCGGGGATATCTCTTTTCAGCTAAGTGCTCCCCAGCTGCCACCAGCACCAGTTAATGACTATTAACAAAGCTGAGGAGTGTTCTGAAAGCCCACAGAAATCACACATGAAAACCCAACAGATCAGTCTGGTTTCAGGCTTTCCATCTCGTGCTGGCATTCTGACACCGGTCTTCATCAGCCTAACTTGACAAGAGGCGGCTTCTGTGCTCACCTGAAATCCCACAGTGCCGGGGTCCCCCAAACCACTCAGAGATAAAATCCCAGTCCTACTCACCCTGGAGGCCACCAGCTGCAGCTGCGGCACGACTGCAGTGTGGACCAGGTTCCCGTTCACCACCAGGCGGATCTCCATGGAGTCGGTGGTGAAGGCCAGGAGATACGGGAAAGCACAGACTGCAAGGGAACGGGAGTGTCACCTCCCAGCTGCTGGCTTGGTGGCCGCGAAGGGGCTGTGACTGTGTCATAGTCACACTCACTTCTCTAGAAACTTCCATCTCTCATTCCTCTGGCTGCTTCTCTCCTTCCTTCACATGTGCAAGTCACCCTGATCCTAAGGTAGCCTGGGTTCCCAAGACAGCCTCCCCTCGGTTGCCACACTGCGCCTCCCAGGAGGTGTGCACTGTCACCATGCTTGCTGCCATTTTCCCCCATGGAAACCCCACTGCCTGATCTTCCAGCGAGGCAGCTCACTTGCCATAGTCCTGTGGGGAGTCCCTTCTGTTGTTCAGACGCCAGCCTGACATTCTGTCTGCAGGCCCAGGCCATCCTGCCTGGGACCCTTCCCTTTGGTCGCTCTTCAAGGCCCAGCCCTGGTGTCCCTCAGTGCTCCTCGCTCCTCCCATGTGCTCCTCCAGCTGCACGTCTGAGCCGGGGCTGCATCTTATTCCTCACTGGCCCTCGCAGTGTCCCTCGGCATCAAGGGGTTTGCTGAGTTATTTGTTAAGGGCTGGCCCCTCTGCTTGAAATGATTTGGATGACACACTGGCTTCCAGGCACTGTGCCTGCCCTGGCTGCCCTGGGGCACACCTCTTTCTTCCTGGCACTTCGTGTTGTCCCCTTCTTCGCACTGGCTCTCTCTGCACTCTTTCCATGGATGAGCGCATCTGCTCTCCTGGCTTTCCTGGTGACTGTGCCTACCACATCTATGCCTCCAGCCATGACTTTCAAGCCCCTCCAGCAACGTGGTTCAAAATCTCCCTTTCCTGTCTACCAGATCTAATCTGTCATCAAGTCTAACTGGTCCTCCCAGGATCTTAGGTTGGTCCCTCTGCCTTCCTCTCAAAATGCTGTCCTGTGGACCTATTAACACACAGTTTTATTGTGAGGACAAAAGAATGAACTGGAACATTCTTGGCTCTGATCTGACTTCCAAAAGGCAATGGCCAGTTGTGGATCTTGAATCACAAACACAAAGCATCGCCGCTCATGTCCTGACATTTTAGTGGCAGGCAGGTACCTGAATTTCTATGAAACATATACCAATGGCCCTGAAAGCACTGTGCTTCTCCCCGAGGTCAGTCAGCATTTTGAGGCTGGAGACCTTACACTTGAATTTTAGAAAAAGGAAAGTGAGGCCCAGAAATGAACTGAGGTGCTGAAATGATAACCAAGTACTGAAAAATGACATTTAATTGCTCTCAAATGCATACATGCTCAGGCACTGAGAGAAACTAGGAAGAACAGTAGAAGACGATAGTCCCAAAAGGGGAACAAAAATAAAAGAAAAAGAAAAAGAACGCTGTGAATATTCATCATACGCGTATAATTTATAGCAATTTCGCAGTAAGCCAGTGATTTGCTTACATAGGATTTGCTTACAATAGTTCAGACATATCCATGAAGGAGAAAAGCATTATGATAAAGACTTTTCTTACCAATTGCATAGGGAGCCTGGTTCCAACAGAACTGGAAATCTGACGCAGAAGGTTGAACCAAAAAAGAGCCACCATTAAAGGGGCAAACCTTTTTATAGATGCAACTGTCTGCAATGAAAACAACAGCAACTCATTTTTGTTAGAGACAACACTTAGATGACTGTAATTAAAGAAATGAAAAACAGGCAACAAGAATAGTACCCTATCTGCTAGTTCTTTATAAATAGCCAGTATGAATACCGCCATGATGCTGGATACTTAGGGTCAAAGGCATTCTGAGCCAGAATAATATTACTACTACAAATAATAAGAGCTGCTGTTTTGGGAGAATTTACTATGTGCCAGGCACTGAGCTTTAAAGCCATTATCCCATTTAATCTGTAGAACTTCACAAAGTAGATACCATTATTACACTCACTTTACAGATGAGAAAATTGAGGTTAGGAGAGATGAAGTAGTTTGTCCAAAGTCTCACAAGCACTGTGTGGGGGAAGCAGGGTTTGAACACAGGTCTGCGTGACTGCAGAGCCCGTGTGCTGAATGCCTATGCCCTACTGTCTCCCACACTTGTGAACGGTCAAGAAGGGACACCTGACGGCAGCCCTTGGGTGGAGAATGCCCTCCTGCAAGGTGGATCACACCTTGAGCCTCATTCAGGACAAGGATGGTGGGAGCCAGATACCCCCTAACATTTTATTATTATTCAAGAGGACTTGAAGCCATACGCTTGTATCCTCTTGGTGAACCTCAACCAGTATTAGATTAACACAAGGTTCATTCAAGTACATTGTTCCTGGCCTGCTGCAAGCTCTAAACACAAGTCCACGTGGTTCAGACCCTCTTAGAGTGAGAAAGTCAGTGGAGAAACAAAGGCCCCATTTATTACAGAGGTCCATCACATTTTTAAAATTTAAATTAAAAAAATTTTTTTTTGGAGACAGAGTCTTGTTCTGTCACACAGGCTGGAGTGCAGTGGCATGATTACAGCTGACTGCAGCCTCCCCATCCCAGGCTAAAGTGAGCCTCCTACTTTAAATCCCCCAGTAGCTGGGGCTACAGGTGCACACCAGCACACCCAGCTAATTTTTTTTTTTCAGTAGAGACAAGGTCTATGTTGCCTAGCCTGGTTTCCAACTCCTGAGCTCAAGCAATCCTCTTGTCTCAGCCTCCCAAACCATCATGTTTTAGCCATACATTTCTTTCTCAATGAAAGATGGAGTTATTATTATTATTATTTTTAATTTTTGAGACGGAGTCTTGCTCTGTTGCCTGGACTGGAGTGCAATGGTGAGATCTCAGCTCATTGCAACCTCTGCCTCCCAGGTTCAAGCGATTCTCCTGCCTCAGCCTCCCAAGTAGCTGGGACTACAGACGCCCGCCACCATGCCCAGCTAGTTTTTGCATTTTTAGTAGAGGTGGGGTTTCTCCATTTGGCCAGGCTGGTGTCGAACTCCTGACCTCAAGTGATCCACTCGCCCCAGCCTCCCACAGTGCTGGGATTACAGGCATGAGCCACCGAGCTGGCCTGAATTTTTATTAACATCATAAAGAATGGATGTTACTAAACATCTGAATGTTAATTATTGACACACAACAACAGGGATGACTCACAGACATAATATTGAGCAAAAAAAGAAAAGCGGCCAGGTGCAGTGGCTCACGCTTGTAATCCTGGCACTTTGTGAGTCCCAGGCGGGAGGATCACAAGGTCAGGAGATCGAGACCATCCTGGCTAACACGGTGAAACTCCGTCTCTACTAAAAATACAAAAAAAAAAAAAAATTAGCCGGGCGTGGTGGCGGGCGCCTGTAGTCCCAGCTACTCAGGAGGCTGAGGCAGGAGAATGGTGTGAACCCGGGAGGCGGAGCTTGCAGTGAGCCGAGATCACGCCACTGCACTCCAGCCTGGGTGACACAGCGAGACTCCATCTCAAAAAAGAAAAGAAAAGAAAAGAAAAGCTAGAAGCTAGATATCTGAGTACATACTGTATAATTTCATTCGTTTAAATGTTTAAAACTGTCTACAGAGGGTAGAGGTAAAGATGGTAGTGTTACTCTGAGAAGAGATAATGACATGTAGGACCAGTATCTTGGATTCTGCTAATGCATTTTAGTTCACAAAATGTCCCCACCTACATTTTAGAATCACATTTCTAATTTCTGAAAAAAAAAGGAATAAAAAATGATATAATTAGCAACTTGATGAGTCTGTAGATATAGAGTTTTGTTGCAATTGGGTCTTGGCTGTATTAGTATGTTTACTGTTTGAAAAATAATGAAACCAATTTTATTTTTTAATTATTAAAAATAACAGCTTTACTGAGATCATTTATAGACCACAAAATTCATCCATTAAAAAGGTACAATTCGGGCAGGTGTAGTGGCTCTCGCCTGTAATCCCAGCACTTTTGGGAAGCCGAGGTGGGCGGATCACGAGGTCAGGAGATCGAGGCCATCCTGGCCAACATGGTGAAACTCTATCTCTACCAAAAATACAAAAATCAGCTGGGCGTGGTGGCGCATGCCTGTAATCCCAGCTATTCGGGAGGCTGAGGCAGGAGAATCACTTGAACCCGGGGGGTAGAGGTTGCAGTGAGCCAAGATCACGCCACTGCACTCCAGCCTGGTGACAAAGCTAGACTGTCTCAAAAAAATAAAATAAAATGTACAATTCAATGAATTTTAGCATATTTACAGGGTTGTCTAACATCATCATGATCTAATTTTAGAACTCTCATCATCCTAAAATGAAACCTCACTCCCCATTTCTTCCCCTAGCCCTGGTCAACCACTTATTTGCTTCTGTGTCTGTGGACTTGCCTTTTCCGGACATTTCATATAAATTGCATCATGCAACATGTGGCCTTTTGTGTCTGGCTTCTTTGACTGAGCTCGATGTTTTCGAGGCTCACCCATGTGTCAGTGCATCATTCCTTTTTATGGCCAAATAATATTCCACTGTATGAATAGCCTACATTTTGTTGATCTACTTACCATTTGATGGGCATTTGGGTTGTTTCTGCTTTTTGCTATTGTTAATAAAGATGCTATGAACATTCCTGTACAAGTCTGCATGGACATATATTCATTTCTCTTGTATAGATTGCTGGGTTATATGTAAGTCACATGATTTTATTTTATTCAGAATGTTATTTACTGTTAAATACTTTGTATCTATATCTACATCTTTATGAGCTTTGTTATTTTTTTCTGTGTTTTGTTGTAGAATATTTGAGGAACAAAGAAAAACATAAAGAAGAAAATTTTAAAAATCATCTGCAACCTTATGTCCCAGGGAGAAATACTGACACACACACACACACACACACACACACACACACACACATATTTTTTGAGACAGAGTCTTGCTCTATCACCCAGGCTGGAGTGCGGTGGCGCGATTTTGGCTCACTGCAACCTATGCCTCTTGGGTTCTGCCTCTTGGGTTCAAGCAATTCTCCTGCCTCAGCCTCCCGAGTAGCTGGGACTAAGGCGTGCCCCACCACGCCTGGCTAATTTTTTTATTTTTGGTAGAGATGGGGTTTCACCATGTTGGCCAGGCTGGTCTCGAACTCCTGACCACAAGTGATCCACCCGCTTTGGCCTCCCAAAGCGCTGGGATTACAAGTGTGAGCCACCGCACCCGGCCAGTACTGATAGCATTTTGGTATTTCTCCTTCAAGTATTTTTATTCAGAATGAATAAGCAAGATAAATGTTATAAAGAAAAACAGAATTGGACTTTAACATATAATTTGCTTTCTTCACTATATTGTATATTTTCTTCTATGCATTTTTCAAGAACATAACTTTAACTCACTGTATGGCACTTCAGTATTTGAATGTAACAAAACATCTTTACCAGTTTCCTCCTGTTTCCATTTAGTTTCCAAAGCTTTCTGCTTTATAAATGATGTTGTAACAGACAATCAAGAACTCATTATTCACAGTTTGCTGATTATGTCTTAAAATAATTGCCTGTGAGTACACAGGCTGTGTCCATTAAAAATCACATCCTGCCAACTTCTTCCCCAGAAGGCTGTACCATCTAGACCACTTCTAGCAGTGCAGAGAGAGGGTGCCAGAATCCATGACTCTGACAGTCTCAGCCAGTCTGAGTGACCAAATAATTACAATGATAATTTGCATATTAAAATTCTCAGTGGGGCACAGTTTTTCCCATGATGTTAAAATAATTGCAAGGCCATTAGAACGAGGTGGTCCCAGTGCTGTGAGTTCCTACATAAGCAAACCAAAACCCAACTCAGTGTAAAAGGTCATATTCTAGGAGCCAACCAGAAACAGTCAACTAACCTCTAACCAAGGACTTTCCATTGGAATGAGCCAAGTAAAGCTACTGCTCCATTTTAGCAAATCAAATACTTGCTTTGCTTTGCTTCTGCATTCACCCTATAAAAGCCTCCCTTTGTTCCCTCAGGTTTGGAGCTGCCTGATTAATAAATCACTGTTGTCCGGGCTCAGTGGCTCACACCTGTAATCTCAGCACTTTGGGAGGCCAAGGCGGGCAGATCACTTGAGGTCAGGAGTTTGAGACCAGCCTGGCCACCATGGTGAAACCCCATCTCCACTAAAAATACAAAAAAATTAGCCGGACCTAGTGGTGGGGACCTGTAATCCCAGCTACTCGGGAGGCTGAGGTGGGAGAATCACTTGGACTTGGGAGGCGGAGGTTGCAGTGAGCTGAGATGGCACCACTGCACTCCAGCCTGGGCTATAAAGTGAGACTCCATCTCAAAACAAACAAACAAACAAACAAACAAAAAATATATATATAAAAATCACTGCTCAAACTCTTAAAAATTTTAATGTGTCAAAATTTATCTTTTAACAATGCTTATTGGGTAACTGGATTTCTTTCTTTTGTAAATTATCTGCTCATATCCTTCTCTCATATTTTAATGGGTGCTCATGCCTTTATCTGTTTTTTTTTTTTTTTTTTGTGACGGAGTTTCACTCTTGTTGCCTAGGCTGAAATGCAATGGCACGATCTCGGCTCACCACAACCTCCGCCTCCTGGGTTCAAGCGATTCTCCTGCCTAAGCCTCCCGAATAGCTGGGATTACAGGCACGGGCCACCAAGCCCAGTTGATTTTTATATTTTTAGTAGAGACGGGGTTTCTCCAAGTTGGCCAGGCTGGTCTTGAACTCCCGACCTCAGGTGATCTGCCCTCTTGGCCTCCCAAAGTGCTGGGATTACAGGCGTGACCATGGTGCCCAGCCGTCTTTATCTTTTTGATATGTAAGATCTCTTTTTATGTTAATGATTTTTTTTTTTTTTTTTTTGAGACAGAGTCTTGCTTTGTTGCCCAGGCTGGAGTGCAGTGGCACGAGAATCTTGGCTCATTGCATCCTGTGCCTCCCTGGTTCAAGCAATTCTTGTGCCTTGGCCTCCTGAGTAGCTGGGATTACAAGCATGTGCCACCATGCCTGGCTAATTTTTTGTATTTTTAGTAGAGACTGGGTTTACCATGTTGGCCAGACTGGTCTCGAACTCCTGAGCTCAAGTGATCTGTCCGACTTGGTTTCCCAAAGTGCTGGGATTACTGGTGTGAGCCACCGTGCCCAGCCTATACTAATGATATTGGCCCTTTTGGAAACTCACACATATTTTCCCCAGTTTGCTGTTTCTCTTTTAATTTTATGGTTCTTTTTGGCATAGAAATTTTAAGTTTTGTGTAATCAGATCTTTCAAACTTTGTTCATGGATTCTGCATTTTTTTTTTTTTTTTTTTTTGAGACGGAGTCTGGTTCTTTTGCCCAGGCTGGACTGGTGTGCAATGGCACGATCTCAGCTTACTGCAACCTCTGCCCCACTGAGTTCAAGCGATTCCCCTGCCTCAGCCTCCCAAGTAGCTGGGATTACAGGCACATGCCACCACGCCCGGCTAATTTTTGTATTTTTAATAGAGATAGGGTCTCACCATGTTGGCCAGTCTGGTCTCGAACTCCTGACCTCAAGTGATCTGCCCGCCTTAGCCTCCCAAAGTGCTGGGATTACGGGTGTGAGCCACCCCTCCTGGCCGGCTTCTGCTTTAATGTCATCCTTATAAAGGCTCTCTCCACCGCTAAGACTTGGTACACAGTGGTCCATGTTTTCTTTTATAAATTTCAGACACTGACTTTTTATATTTCACTTTTAATTTATTTAGAACTAAAAACAGAGGCATACATTTACTTTTTCCAAAAGTTTGTCCAATTGTCCTAACGTTATCTTTAAAAAAATTCATCATGTCTCTACAGATTTGAAATGCTACTTTCATCGTATACATTTTATATATACTTGAGTTTATTTCTGGACTTTATTCTGTTGTATTGAGTGGCTTGTCTATTCTTGCACCAGCATCATACTGTGTTAATTATTGTAGCTTTGCAATAAATTATAATGTTAAAGAAATAATCATCCTTCATGACAAATCTTTTAAAAAATTTTTGGCAAATCACTCATCTAATCACTTAGCAGATATTTATGGAGTGCCTACTACATGCCAGGCATAAAGAGAAAAGAATTGGGATTCTGACTGGAATCACATTAATTTATTTCATCTGAGGAGAAATATACATCTTTGCAAGATGAAGTCTTCCCATTCAGTAGCATAGTATATTTGTCCATTTGTTCAAACTTTTTCTTAGATTCTACAGTGATGTTGGATTGTCCTTGTCCCAAATTCCACGAGGGTTGGAACCCTTTTGTGGAGGCTAGTTTTTAAAAAACTTTCCAATATCTTCTATACTTACTGACTCAGTCAGGTTTTCTGCCATTTTTTAGGACAATTTTAAGAATTTATTTTCAACTACAAAATTGTTCTTCTTACCTAGATTTCAAAACTTACCATATTTCATTGAATCTAGGATGTCACTGAATAAAAGATGTACTGTTTTTCTGGCAAAAGTAATAAGACATCCTTTAAAACGTCCCATAAAAAAGAAAGAAAGAAAGAAAGAAAGAAAGCTGTCCACTATAATTATAAGATGCATGCTAAATTCAGAGACGTTAAAATGTTAAGAGGCTGGCCCAGCACGGTGACTCATGCCTGTAATCTCAGCACTCTGGGAGGCCGAGGCGGGCGGATCACTAGGTCAGGAGATCGAGACCATCCTGGCTAACACGGTGAAACCCCGTCTCCACTAAAAATACAAAAAATTAGCCGGGCAAGGTGGCAGGCGCCTGTAGTCCCAGCTACTCGGGAAGCTGAGGCAGGAGAATGGCGTGAACTCGGGGTGCGGAGCCTGCAGTAAGCGAGACTGTCTCAAAAAAAAAATGTTAAGAGGCTGGGTGCAGTGGCTCACGCCTCTAATCCCAGCATTTTGGGAGGCCGAGGCAGGTGGATCACTTGAGGTCAGGAGTTCGAGACCAGCCTGGCTGACATGGTGAAACCCTGTCTTTACCAAAAATACAAAAATTAGCTGGGCGTGGTGGTGTGTGCCTGTAATCCCAGCCTACTTGGGAGGCTGAGGCATGAGAATCGCTTGAACCCAGAAGCAGGGGTTGCAGTGAGCCAAGATCACGCCACTATACTCCAGCCTGGGTGACAGAGTAAGACTCTGTCTCACAAACAAACAAAAAAAGATGTCATTGGAGGTTACAGTCATCAGAAGGCTTGACTTGGGTCTGCTTCCAAGATGGTGCACTCACATGCTTCTTGGCAGAGGACTTAGTTCCTCACCACAAGGACCTCTCCCCTGGGCTGCTTGAGTGTCCTCAGGACATCACAGCTGGCTTCTCCAGAGTGAGTGACACAAGAAGGAACCATAAGGCAGTCGCAATGCCTTTTTTGACCTAGTCTTAGAAGTTGCATACCTTCACTTCTACGATATTCTGTTTGGTAGACAGGAATCACTAAGTCCAGCCTGCCTACAAAGGAAGAGGAATGATCTTCACCTCTTGAGGGAAGAAGTATCAAGGAACTTGTGGACATATTTTAAAACCTCCACAATGGACATTTGTGTTGTTTTCAGTTTTGGGCTAATACAAATAATGCTGCTATGAATATTTGGATACAAATCTTTGTGGGGACATACATATGCTTTCATTTCTTTCTTTTCTTTTTTTTTTTTTTTTCTGAGACAGAGTCTTGCTCTGTCACCCAGGCTGGAGTGCAACGGCGCGATCTTGGCTCACTGCAACCTCTGCCTCCCGGGTTCCAGCAATTCTCCTGCCTCAGCCTCCTGAGTAGCTAGAATTACAGGTGCCTGCCACCGCGCCTGGCTAATTTTTTTTGTATTTTCAGTAGAGACAGGGTTTCACCATGTTGACCAGGCTGGTCTTGAACTCCTAACCTTAGGTGATCTGCCTGCCTTGGCCTCTCAAAGTGCTGAGATTACAGGTGTGAGCCACCGCACCCAGCCTGTGCTTTTATTTCTTTTGCATCCATTCCTAGAAGTGGAACGGCTGGGCCATATGGTGAGCGAATGTTTAACTTTTTGAAGAACTGTTTTCCAAAGTGATTATACCAATTTACATTTCCACCAGCCACACATGAGAAAGCCATTTTCTTCACATCCTTACCAACACTGATTACGAGCAATCGTTTTCATTTTAGCCATTTAATAGTTGTGTGGTGGTATCTCATTATAGTTTTTTAAAAAAGTTTTTCTTTGTTGTTTTTTTTTTTTTTTTGTAGAGATGGAGTCTCATGATACTGCCCAGGCTAATCTTGAACTCTGGCCTCAAGTGTTCCTCCCATCTCAGCCTCCCAAAGTGTTGGGATTACAGGTGTAAGCCACTTTGTCCAGCCCTCATTGTGGTTTTGATTTGCATTGCCCTAATAGCTAATGATATTGAACACCTTTTCATGTGCTTATTTACCATCCATAAATCTTCTCTGATGGACTACCTCATCAAGTGTTTTGCCCTCTTTTTAACTGGGTTATTTTCTTATCATTGAGAGTTCTTTATATTTTCCCTTTACCAGTCCTGTATGAGATAGGTGATTTGCAAATATTTTCTCTGTCTGTGCCTTGCCTTTTCATTTGCTTGTGTTTTTCAAGGAAGTTCTTAGTTTTGATGAAGTTCAATTTATTAATTTTTTCTTTTATGGATTATGCTTTTGATGCAATATCTAAGAAACTTTTGCCAATCCAAGCTCATAAATATCTTCTATGCTTTCTTGTAGAAGTTTTTATTAGGTTTTAGGTTTTTCATGTAGTTTTATGATCCATTTTGAATGAATTTTTAAATCTGATGTGAGAGGAGTCTTTCCTTTTTTTTTTTCTTTTTGTTTTTTTGAGACAGAGTTTTGCTCTTGTTGCCCAGGCTGGAGCGCAATGGCGCAATCTCAGCTCACTGCAGCCTCCGCCTCCTGGGTTCAAGTGATTCTCCTGCCTCAGCCTCCCAATTAGCTGGGATTACAGGCATGAGCCACCACGCCTGGCTAATTTTTTGTATTTAGTAGAGGCGAGGTTTTACCATGTTGGTCAGGCTGCTCTCGAACTCCTGACCTCAGGTGATCCACCCACCTCGGCCTCCTAAAGTGCCTGGATTACAGGCGTGAAGCACCGCACCCAGCCTCCTTTTTTTTTTTGAGACGGAGTCTCACTCTGTCACCCAGGCTGGAGTGCAGTAGCCTGATCTTGGCTCACTGCAGTCTCCGCCTCTTGGGTTCAGGTGATTCTTGTGCCTCGGTCTCCCAAGTAGCTGGGATTGCAGGTGTGCACTACCATGCCCAGCTAATTTTTTGTAATTTTAGTAGAGACAGCATTTCACCATGTTGGCCAGACTCAAGTGATCTGCCCACATCAACCTCCCAAAGTGTTGGGATTACAGGCATGAGCCATCGCGCCCAGCCAGGAGTCCTTCTAAACAGCAGCAAAATCAAAGTGGCCAATATTTTCATTCACTCTTCCACCAAGGGGGTGATGGACCATGTCTTATCTCTGCAACCTGAAAGACCTCTTTTGTACTTTTAGGCTTTGATGTTCTTTTTTTTAGAGACCAGGGTCTCACTATATTGCTCAGGCTGGTTTTGAACTCCTGGCCTCAAGAGATCCTCCTGCCTCAGCCTCCCAAAGTGCTGGGAAAACAGGCGTGAGCCATCGGACCCGGCTGATTTTATCTTTTTAAAAAGGCTGGGTGGGTGCCAGTATAACAGCATCTAGGACCAAATCACTGTAAATTATCTTGAACTCAGCCACTTAAAGTTATAGCACCACCTACACATTTAACCTATATTCCTATGTTGTTGTTTTGGTTCCCAGAGCTCATGTAGGCCACCTGATCTCAACCTAACTCACTAAAACACCCACTCTGATGCCTGTACGCTACAGCAATAGCAATACTTGAGGCTTCTTTTCAGTTCTCTAGGAAGGTCCCTGGTTCATCTGGTGGTTCGATCTTACTCACTTTAAAATTCTCTGGGACTTGCAATCTATGAGTATTTGTTTTCCCTTTCCTAGGATTTAGCTTCCCAACAAGAAGTACATTCTCTTTGTTCTAAGAAAGTAGGAAGTTTTGTTTTAGCCTGAATATTTCTTCTCTGGCTTTTGAATGACATCAGGCTCACAAATTATCTATTAGGTAACACAAAACTTTCTATGCATATTCTCAAGGACAGCCTTCAAAATTTAATTCAGCTGTAATTTTGTTCTTCATAATAATGTGGTTACAGCTAGGTAGGCCCCTGTATCTTCTGGAGTCCACCCCTGACTCCAAGCTTCCACACTGGGAAGTATATTCAAATGTTAAAATTCCCAAAAGGCAATCAACACAGAGGGTTTTCTGCAACTGGTACTTCTCTGTTTCTTGCATTATCTGGGTAGAGTTTAAAGTTTGAAGCAAAGTAGCAGATCTAATAAAAAGCCAGTTTTGAACTGTAGCATTTTGTGTTTTTGTCTCTTAATTTGATAAACACATTCCAAAGCTGTTGCCACCAGTCTGTGCAAAAAGAAGTGTGTTGTTCCTTAGTGTGTCTCAACATTCAGATAAAACATATATTACACTATGTAGAGCTAAAATTTACAAAGTAAGTAAGACCCAGGAAAACTTAAGGGGTCCCAGAGTTCTTGCATAATTTTAATTTGCCAGCATAAAAACTACTGTCCCTAAAAGATATTTTGTACAAGTCAGATATCATTATGTGGACCATTGTTTTACAAATATAGATTAAGAATACATAGTAGACTAAACACATATTATCATTATCTCCTACAGGAAACACTTCTTGTATCCTCAGCCCCACAAACACCCATAACCTCATGGCTTCTTTCTTGGTACTCTTATTCCCCTACACATCTCTTATAGCACATTGCACCAATTTGTTTATGTGTCAAGAATCCTGGGATGGGGATGGGCAAGGATAGTGTCTTCCTCCTCTAAAACAATACCTGACATATTGTACTTCTTATTTATATATTCTGAATAAATGAGTGAATGCTTTGAAGAAAAATGAATGAATGAATGAATGAATGTGAGGTATGGAACAAAGTTTTTGGTTAGCCGGGCATGGTGGCATGCACCTGTCATCCCAGCTACTCGGGAGGCTGACGCAGGAGAATCATTTGGACCCAGGAGGCGGAGGTTTCCGTGAGCCAAAATCGCGCCACTGAACTTCAGCCTGGGCAACAAGAGCTAAACTCCTTCTCAAAAAAAATTTTTTTTGCACATGTCTATCCAATTATTCTGGTATCATTTGTTAAAAAAGACTCTTATTTTGCTATTGAACTGCCTTCGCACCTTTGTCAAAAATCAATTTACCAAATATGTGTAAATCTATTTCTGGATTCTTTATTTTGTTCAATTGACCAATTTGTTTATGTAATTATATGTGATAACAAAATATATAACACATTAATGATATGTTATTATGTGACTCACTTGATTAAAAAACATTTAAAATATATTTGTCATTATGAAACCAAAAACTATGACATTGAAAATCTTGAATAAAGTCTTATGACACTTTTTCTGTAATAGCATTTTATATTCTACATAAAATTTGCCTTGAACCAAGGCACAGCTGGCAGGTAAACAGATGGGGAATGTATCCCTCAATCTTCAGCCTCTTGCTCAGAACAAGACTGGTGAGCTGCTCCCGTTGTCACCCAACACTGTGACACACACAGCCTGCACCAGTTCCTTCCGTGCTTCCCACAGAATCAGGGCACACCTTCTCCTGTCTCCAGGAATCTCTGGAAATCACATAGAGATTTCCTACGTGAAGGAAGGCAGAGGAAGGCAGAGGCTGGCTTGGGAAAGGGAGTCCTGGCTAGGGAAAGTGAGAGGATAGCATCAGGGTTCTAGGAAGCTGACTCCAGCAGCAGTGCAGAGGGGAGAGGTGGGTTGCTCTAAGACGGAGCCAAAGTCCAAGAAATTCCGTGCGTGCTACACCGACCAGGTGAGGAGTGACTGGTCCATAAAAGATAGGCCATTTGGAATGAATCTGAGCTGTGTGGGAAGACAGCTTGGAGATGGGGAGTAAAGGCAGGGAGAAGTCCATTGTGCCAACTGTGTCTCTGGCTTGGGTGATGGGTGGAAGGTGCTGCCCTTGCACTGGGGTGGGGCACATCAGAGGAGGAGCACATGTGAGGAGGAAAGATCTCGAGTTCAGGGTGGACAGGTTGAGTCCGAGGTGCCCTTGAGCTGCTGAAGTGGGCTGTACAGTAAGGAGTGTGACACATTGGTGCAGAGTTCAGCAGTGGGTCTGGACTGGAGAGACCTGGGAGTCAGCAGCAGCACACTGGCAATCAAGCTTGCAGGGGAGAATGAGCACGCCAGATGGAAAGGCGAGGACAGGGCCCTCTGGAATGCCAGCGTTTAAGGGGTGACTGGAGAAGAGACTGTGAACGGCACAGTACTGAGACAAGAGGGCCAGAGGGGCAGAAAGAAAGCAAGAAGATGGGACAGAAGCTGGGAGAGAAGGAAGTCTGAAAAGGAGAGTGGACAGCAATGTCAGAAAGGTGGGGACAGAAAAGTCTCCTTGGATAGATCTGCCTCTGATATGGCTCTCTGATACAGGGCACAGGTTTGGCTCAGTCCAGCAAAGTTTATGGACACAAGCACTGTGCCAGCTGGGTCCTGGGGTCCGGGCCAGAGAGCTGGGCCATGGTCTGGCCTTCTGGGTGTTTGTGGTTCACTGAAGGAGGCTCTCCCCTTCTTTTCATGCCATCTGCTTCCTTGTTCCCTTCTCTCTGGGCAGCACACTTTCAACGGCATCCTGTCATATGGAATCCTGTACAGTTTAACAGTTCTTTTTTTAAACTCCTGATATTTCCCACTTCCGTGGGAGAGAGAGGTGTAGAAAGCCAGAGCTTCGGATCAAGGCCTGTGCTGCGGGGCAGGAACAGGGGAGGTGACAGCGCCATCAGAAGCTCCAGAAACAAGTACCTCTCCCACCATGTCCAATCTTTTTGGAATGTCCTGGCCCATCGGGCTTAGGGACTCCTTTGATGCGACCACTGTGCCTTGTAAAACAGTTATCTTAGTGTCTTACAGTTGTGTATCTGACAGAGTGAATTAAGACAAAAAGCTAACCACAGTCAAGAGAGCCCTTACTTCCCGAGAGAACAAATGCTCCAGAGAGGACACCTTGGGCACCACTGCCACGGCTGCCTGTGGCTCTGATGCTCTCAGGTGTGGCCAATCCTTCCTCTTCCCACTGTGTCCTGATGGCTTCCACAGATGCAGGGACTTGCTCCAGCAATTCTCCCCCTCTCCCTGGCACCACTAGTCCTCCCTTCCCTATTGGAGCTTCCCCCATGGCCTTACAAACTTACTATTTATCCCACACTTCAGAAAAACAAAAAGACCCTTCCTGTAGCTATTACATCCCGCCTCTCTTTTTCCCTTAAAGCAAGTCTCTGAAGAGTCATCTGTGCTCCCAGTCTGCTTTCTCTTCTCCCACCGCCTCACAACCCCTGTGAAAAAGTGCTCCCCCTGCTTTCCAGAGACGCCCGCTCTTGTCTTCCAAATGACCTCCACCTCGCTGGGTCCAAGGGTCCCTCTCAGACAGGCCTCGCCTGCTCTGGCAGGGGCACAGGTGGGGACGCCCTCCTTCCTGCAGGCTCCTGGTAATCCCTGCCTTTCCGGGCACTCTTCCTCAGTCTACTTTGCTGGTGCCTCTGTCTCTCCCTTCCCTTTGGTAATTTCTTTAGTTTCATGACTTTAAACATCATTTATATGCTAATGAAAGAGTTCCAGGCACAGCTCTTTCTTGAGTGCCTTGGACTTGCACATCCAGGTCACTGGGCATCTCCACGGGGGTACAGGAAGGCACTGATGGGTCCAGGCTGGACTCTTGAGCTTTTCCTCAAACTTGCTCTTGGCCGAGCTTTCCTCATTCAGGAAGCCGTATTCTCCATTCTCCCAGCTGCTCAGGCTCCAAACTGCAGAGTCTTCCTTTTTTTTTCTTCTTCCTCTCACATCCCAAATTTGATTAATCAGCAAATTAGCTTGGTTCTTTTTTTTTTTTTTTTTTAACTGAACACCATTTAATAAAAAAGCAGTAGTGTAAACAGGAAAGCTGCACGAAGATACCGTGTTGCCGTGGAAGGCTGGTGCTTGCTGCTGGGAAGCTGAAGGCAGGGGAAGCAGCAGATTTGAGGGATGAGTACTGGATCTTGGTTCTTACATTTGAAATGTTTTTGTTTTGTTTTGTTTTGTTTTGACAGTCTTGCTCTGTCACCCAGGCTGGAGTGCAGTGGTGTGATCTCAGCTCACTGCAACCTCCACCTTCTGGGCTCAAGCGATTCTCCTGCCTCAGTCACCCCAGTAGATAGGACTACAGGCGCGCACCACCACTCCTGGCTGATTTTTGTATTTTTAGTAGAGACGGGGTTTCACCATGTTGGCTAGGCTGGTTTTGAACTCCTGACCTCAAATGATCTGCCCGCCTCAGCCTCTCAAAGTGCTGGGATTACAGGCGTGAGCCACTGCACTTGGCCCTTATATTTGAAATGCATTTCGGGGTGGGCACAGTGGTTCACGCCTGTAATCCCAGCACTTTGGGAGGCTGAGGCAGGTGGATCACCTGAGGTCAGGAGTTCGAGACCAGCCTGACCAACATGGTGAAACCCCGTCTCTAACTAAAAATACAAAATTGGCCGGGTGTGGTGCCACGTGCCTGTAATCCCAGCTACTCAGGAGGCTGAGACGGGAGAATTGCTTGAACTTGGGAGGCAGAGGTTGCAGTGAGCCGAGATTGTGCCACTGCACTCCAGCCTGGGCTACAGAGCTAGACTCTATCTGGAAAAAAAAAAAAAAAAAGAAATGTATTTTGGACCTGACCTTCTCAGCATCTCCACTGCTGTAGTTCTGGTCCCACTGCTGTCCTCTCATCAGACATACGCAGTCACCTTCTCCCTGGTCTCCCTACCCCTACCCCTTCGGCGAATGCCCCACAGCAGCCAGAGTGCTCCTCTTCAACCTTGTGGATCCCGTCGCCTCTCTGTTATTTAGGAGGCTGAGGCAGGAGAATCGCTTGAACCTGGGAGGCAGAGGTTGCAGTGAGCTGAGATCACACCACCATACTCCAGCCTAGGCAACAAGAGCGAAACTCCACCTCAAAAAAAAAAAAAAAAAAAAAAAAGAAAGTCTATGAAGGTTAAAAAACTGAGTTCTGAATAAATACTCTGATGATTCTGGAATAAATAGTGGGAAAATAAAATCCTGTCATGTCAGGCAATGTGTTGTGGGCTTTACATGTATCATCCTGCTTAGTACTTACAACAGTTGTTAAGAAGCAGGTTTTGTATTCTTACTATTACTTATCTGAAAGTGAAGACTTAGTGAGGTTAAATATGATCGCATCAAAAACAAGGGGCACTTATGCGAGCTTTTCTAGTTTTCCTGGCATGATTATCTTTAAAGCATCATCAGCAAACACAAGAGTTTGCCCTTAGCACTGAAATTACTTGCATTAAAGGTGAATGATTACTGGGTGCTAAGGGCAGAGCCAAGTTTTCTTTTTCTTTGTCTTTTTAAACAGTTAAAGACAGATTCTGGTAATAAAAATAGAGTTTAATTATTTAAAAAACCCAATATTAGTAGCATATTGAACAATTTATACTATTTTTTCCCCTAAAGGTTACCAAGTGAATATATATTTTTTTCAAATAACACATAACTGAAAGTTGCAATCTCCATTATAAAATATTTTCAACTCTAACATATCTGAGATAAAAATTCCTCCACATAAAGTTTATTTTTAATTTTGCTTTATTTTTAATACAGAAAAAAACTTCAATGATACAAATCAGTTTCAGATTTTGGGGAAAGCATTATCATTCTGCAGCACCTTGTTGAAAAGGGGCTTTATTGTACAGGCGTCTGTGATCAAGTCAAGAACATAGACTAAACAGGCAAATTCCACGTGTGCTGTGTGTGCAGGAATGAGTTAGAGAAGTGACCTGGATGACCGTGGGGAGAGAACTGTTTTATTGGTGTTGTTCACCAGATGCCTCCCAATGTCTTGGGAAAAAGAAATATGGAAAACAAAAGCCAGATTCCTGACCCAAAGAAATGGGAGGAAGTGGCATGGTTTGGGGAAGACTGAAGCTATGGGAACCTCTGAGGTTGCCAGGGCCTTGACCTTGGGATGTAAAGATACAGAGATGTAAAGATACTTCTGATGTAGTGGATCTATGAAAACAGACACACACCGATCCCATCCTGAGATGAAGTCAGAGCCTGAAGCCGGAAGATGAGCAAAGCCATGAGAAATGGAACTCCCAAGGAAGGGTTCCGTGAGACCCAGAGGCTGCGGGAACCACAGCTGAGGCAGGAGCCGCTGAGTGAGGAGCCCGGCCTGTTCCAGTCAGCACTGGCAAGTCTGGCACAGAGCCCATGGCATCCACATTTGTTTCCATGCCCTCTTTTTCTTTGGGATTAATTCTCCCACTCTAAAAACCTGCTCTATCTTTCTGTTCTTAACTTCTCTTCCACCTAAAATCCCTTCCATCCTTTCACACGGTTAAAGGATAAAAAAAATCCAAATCAGTTTTTAAAACACTCTGCCACAAGTTATTCTATAGATGTCTCAGAAAAAAGAGCATACTTTATTTTAGAAAGGTGAATTTCTTACAGAAGTGACTTCTACCATGCAGCCATAAACCTGGGGATGCAGGGCAGCAGGAGTGGCAGTGGCCTGGCCCATGGGGTGTGGGAGAGTGGCCCATTCCTGCTGCCTTGATGGGGCCCTTCTCATCACATGGGCCATTAAAGACCTGCTGTTCTGAGGAGGGTGCACAGTTCTGTGCATAAAATGTCCCCAAAGAGCAATTTATTGTTGAAGAGGTTTAACCACCTTCTCCTAATTTATTCCCCATAAATCTCGAATTTTGAAAGATGATGTTTATAAAACAACCTTCTCTTCTAATAATTAGCTTTCTTATACTTATTAATCAAAGATTAATTAATCAAAACATCTGACCCAGCATTACCACTCTAAATTGATAAAATCCTAGGCCGAAAAACATGTTTTATGTCTTGTTAGACTGGGCAGCTTTATCTAGGAAAATAGCTTACTTCTTTTCTTTTACCCTTAAAACATCATTTTTATGAAAATGTATTATAATATTAGCTTTTGAAATGCTGAAAATCCTTAAAGATCCCATTTGATACCTTTGGTCTGCCCAACACCTACCCTGCCACCTAATCCAAACTAGGCCAACTGAGGCTGGATACCCTGGGTTGAGGCTGATTTCATTAATACCTGAGAAACAGCAAAATGTAGAATAGCGACAGTGGTTAAAATTGTGGGTGCTGGAGTCAAGAGAGCACCCGATGCAAACCCTGGCCCTGCTGCTTAGTAGCCACAAGACCTTGACGAGTTCACCTCTCTAGGCCTCAGTTGCCTCATCTCTAAACTGGGGATAATAACCGAGCCTGCTGCGGGCATTCATTGTGAGAATCAAGTGAGACAATGACCACAGCATACCGAGCACGGCACCTGGCACACAGTAAGGGCCTCCTAACTGGAAGCCATTGTCATCACTGGCGCATCCTGGAGATAGCATCACAAGTGCCAGTTCTTGCACTGTGTCACCAAGAGGCCTGGTGCGCAGCGGGAGACTCAGGGAGGAAGGTATTTTTCAGTTCCTTCCTGGAAGGCAATTACAAACCCAGGAATGATACACTGGGTAAATCTAAGGACAATCTTTTTAAATTGCCCAGAAAAAAAAAAAGCAGTCCATTTAAGCAAATAAAGATAAAAGCACATCCTTAACTTACAGTTGTAACACAACAGCAAACCAGCTTCTCCATCTTCGTACACATCAATAGCTGCAACAAAATTAACCTGCAATGATAACGGGCAACGGTAGTGGGCAGGCTGGATGCTGACCCTGTGAAAAGACTTTTACAAGTTGTGAGCATTTGTGGAGGCCGAGGCCCTCTGTCATGCAGGTGCCATAGGGTCATGTCTGCCCCACCAGCACCCACAATGCACATTGGGGGCTGGGATTATAATACAATGGAAGTGAGAAAGAAAAGAAAAGAAAAAAAAGAAAGAAAAGTCTCTCCATTCTTTCTTCTCTGGGACTTTCTCATCATCTTTTCATAGCCGTTGAGAAGCTCTGTGTTTGGTATGTCTCCTCTCTCTATTGAAATGCCTCAGGTTTATATGCCATTATTTCCAATGGCAAAAACTGCAATTACTTTTGCATCAACCTAATATTATTGACATTATGGTATAATTATCATTTTACAGAAGATGAAAGTGAGGCTCAGGGTGAAGTCACTTAAGTCCCTTGACTGGTACACGCCACAGCCAACATCTGAACTAATGTTCTGGTTCTCTTTCAACCTTACCGCTCTCGTACCTCCAGCGAGGCATCCTTCTGCCTCCAACAGATAAAGTCTGTGCACCTTAAAATCGCCACGGCATGTCTTCACACTTTATTCTTTCTCTGTTCTTCATGTCAAGAGAGGCAGCATGGTGCAATGAAAAGGGTGTCAGAACACCTAGTTCCGTGGTCTGGGGCAAACTCCTCTCTCTGGGCCTCAGTTTCTGCATTTGAGAGGAGGGCACTCAACCTGATGGTGTCCTTGGTCCTTCTTGATTTTCAAAACTCCAGCCCTCTAAGAGCCTCCTGCTCCTTTCACTTCCTCACTTGTATTCTCAACCCTTAGAGCCTGGCCTCCTGTGCTTCCAGGAAAACCACCCTTTGAGCTCAGCCAAGATCTCCTTCTCCCCAACCGAAGGCCTTGGCCTCTGCTCATCTATCCATCCTGCCCTCTGCAGCCTCTGATGGGTGACATCTTCTGCCTCCTGCCCTCTCTCCCACCTCAGATTATTCTTCAATTTCTTGGCTCTTCTCTCCTTAGTAAAACCCCACTTCTATAGCTCCAAATTTTGCTTTGTGCCCAAAACCCTAAATTCACGGGCTCAGGCACACATTCTCCCCAGGGCTGCAGCCCCTAGACTATGTCGTTTGTTCTCAGATGTAACTGATTCCACATCCAAGTCATTAAAAGCAGGAGGTAGTGGATTGGGGGTGGGGTGGTTGGAGGGGCACAGACTGGGCAGACAGATGGGAGATCAAGCCCTGTCTAGGCCACTTACTGCCTCTGTGGTGTGTGGCAAATGGCTTAGCCTCTGGCCTTAGGTCTTCGTCTGTAAAGCAGGCATCATGAGAACACTGACCCTGCTGGATTGTAATGGGAATTCAGTGAGACAAGGCAGAGATTTTAGCACAGGGCCTCATGCATGATGAGCACTCAGTGAAGGCTATTGGCTTTTTATCTCCCACACAACCAGCTTTCCTTCTAAAACTCCTCCTTTTTGTTAGCATAACTATTCTCAAAGTCTCAGGGCCACCTCCAACCCAAGTCCAGCAGCAGCCTCTTCATACAGTTTCTCAGGTGTTTTTTTGTGCCCCTGCTGCTGTTCTAGGCTAAGCCCTGACCTCCTCACAGGAGCACCATGTTGTGGGCTCCTGCTGGCTCCTCTGTCCCAGCCCTTCCGTCCACACTGTGCTCCTCCCACTGGCCCTGCACTGGCTGACCCTTCTCTTCACTGGTGTCACCAGAACACAGCCTTCACCTCTAAAAGGTCTCATTATGGTGCCAAGGCCCCAACTGGCCATCCTCAGCCAGTGCCACTGCCTGGGCTTGGGTGCCCCTTCCAATGGAATCCCCAGCTCTCTCCCATCTGTCATTATCTAGCACTGTATTCAGTGCCACTAGGATACAGAAAAGAATAAGGTGAGGTTGACCCCTTAAGAAAAAAAACCAGAAAAGCACATAAGTACATAAAACAAGGTATAATGGGGCAAATGCCTCAACCAAAAGTTGCAGGAGCTCAGCAGGGAGTGACAGTGAGGACCAGTGGCCAAGAGCTCCAGCACTGGCATTGGACAGACCCGGGGGTTGTCAAATCCAAAATAATCCCCATGGCTCCTATCATGCCCTGTGTTTTAGGCTCTCTGCAGAGTGTCCCTCACCCTCTGGTGCTCTCTTGTCTGTTTGTTCCCTGTGGCTCCCCTCCCCATGAGATCTAAGGCTCATGACGCAAAGGCCTGTCTGTGCTGCTCACTGCTGGCCCCTCATCATCCAGATCAGGGCCTGGCGGGTGGCAGGGATAGAATAAACTCATCGGATGGGCAAGTGAGTAAATGAAATCCCAGCTCCATCACTTCAGAGGCATGCGCACTCACGCCAGTTGTTTCCCCTCTCGGACCTTCAGTTTCTTCGTTTGTAAGATGGTAGAAAATAAGAGTATCTAGGCCTACTGGCTTGAGGACTCCAGGAGGTAACTTATCTAAGCACCTAGCACAGGGCCTGGAGCTCGGTAAATGCTCAATGTTGGCTGATACCTTTATTTAGATAAGGAACCAGCACCAATGGGTATATTACATGAAGGATGGTCCTGGAGTCTCCTCTGACCCCAGAAAGGAGCCTTCCTGGCCCCACCACTTTGACTTAAAATCCCTTCCTCCTCAGATGTCCCTGTACATGTTAGTTTTACTTCACTATCTCAGCTAGAGGCTTTGTGCTGCACCGTGTCTGCTCTGCCAGACTGGGAGCTTCTCCACGGGAGGGGCCGAGTGCTACCAGCTTTGTGGCTGGACCTGCTATCCCCACCAGCTGTGGGAACATGGTCTCTGGAGTCAGCCAGCTGGGGTCCAAGTCCTGCCTCTGCCACTTACTAGCTGTGTGCTCTGGGGTAAGTAAGTGACTTCTTCTTTCTGACTTCAGTATCCTTTTCAATAAAAATGGAGAAATGTGCCAGGCATGGTGGCTCATGCCTGTAATCCCAGCACTTTGGGAGGCCGAGGTGGGCCTGAAGTCAGGAGTTCAGGACAAGCCTGGCTAGCATGGCAAAACCCTGTCTCTACTAAAAATACAAAAAAAAAAAAAAATTAGTCGGGTGTGGTGGTGGGCACCTAATCCCAGTTACTTGGGAGGCTGAGGCAGGAGAATCGCTTGAACCTGGGAGGTGGAGGTTGCAGTGAGCCAAGATCGTGCCTTGCACTCCAGCCTGGGGTACAAGAGCGAAACTCTGTCTCAAAAAAAAAAAAAAAAAAAAGGAGAAATGAAGAGCCCCTTCCAAGACATAACGCTTATGACATGCTCTGACCCAGGGCCTGGTACACAGAGGTGGCCATTCAGTGATGGCCACAATTATTATAATTATGGGAGGGTTGACTGCAGTGGGAAAGGTGGAACTAGACAGGCTTTTAGTTTAGAGATAAGGCCTGTGTGTGTGTTTGGGGTGGGGTGAGGGAGGGTGGCAGTGGTGACACGTATGGAGGAAGTTCAGGCAGCCTTTTAGACCAAGATCTATGCACAATGACCACAGACACCAGGGGGGTACTTGGCATCAAGTAAGTCTACCAAGGGGCTCCAACGCTGTGCTGACAGGCAGACAGACGTGGCAATATTCAGAGAGTTGGGCTGCAGGACAGGTGGTGGCAGGCTTCAGCCCCAGGGCCAGGATTCAGAAACAGGCTTGGACTTAACCCTTAACCACTTCCTCCTCAGGCATGCCACAGCACTTTATTATTCAGACCTTTATTAACACTTAGCACAATGAGATCTATTTTATGCTTTGATATAGGTGTCTGTCTCCACCTTGGGACAGGGGCCTGGTGGGGTTCTTGCTCCTGGAGACCCTGATATGGCAGGTCTGTTGTAGGACATAGGCATTAAATCTTTATTTCATAAGTTTGATTAACAATAAGTAGTTCTGGCTGGGCATGGTGGCTCACGCCTGTAATTCTAGTGCTTTGGTAGGCCAACGAGGGAGAATTGAACTATGATTGCACCACTGCACTCCAGCCTGGGACAGAGCTAGACCCTGTCTCTCTCTCTCTCTCTCTCTCTTAAAAAAAATAAAAAGTAATAAGTAGTTCATTCTATTGGTACTTTAAAATGATAACAAATAATGTATGGTGGTTGTAAAAATTCAAAACACAGACTTGTAACAAGTGAAGTAGGAACTGTACCTCTCCTAGCTGGCTCTGCCTTCAGCCTTCCCTGTGATTCTGGGCTCAGCCCCCAGCTGAGAACCACTGGATTCTGGGCAGACGTCAAGATGAGGACCTGAGCCCCTCCCATAAACCAGGGACCCAGATCCCATGGCTATGCCTGCAGTTCCCCCTAGAGGAGCACTTGGTTTTGGGAATGAGGTCAGTGCTGGTGGTTAAAGCAGCGGCAGTGGGTCACAGCAGGCCCACTGGTACAGTGAACTTGTCAGTGACTTTCAGAATGTTGCTTTAGTGCTTCTTAAACATTTCCTCTCTTGAGCTAGGATTGTTACAGAACCCGGGGTGGGTACAAGCCTGAAATAGGTATCAAGTGGTCCTGGCTAAGAGAGGAGGAATGGGAGCAGGAAGCGAGGCCTGCCCAGTTAACACTGGTGCCCACAGAGGCGGGCAGGCAGCGAATGTAGACGGAATGGAAATGAAATTCCAATGACCTACGCTGTGTCAGCTTCTCTCTCCTGTCCCCACTGCCCTGGGTGCTGAGCTGCAGGAACATCTTGGTAAAAAGCTAGTCCTGTTCCCACAAGGCCTATTTCTAACCAGCTATTAGAAAACATACAGCTCATTATCTTTTTCATTTTCTTAGGGCTCATCTCCCCAGACAGACAGTACCCTCCTTGAAAGATGAGTGAGTGCATCTGACTAAGCACTGCTGGGAGCTGTGCACTGCACCGTGCCTGCTGGGAGCTGTGCAGCCGCCATTCTACCACGGGAGGGCTGTACACGCTGATCCTCTCAGAGCCAGGAAATAGGGAAGGGTTTTTTTTTCCTTAAAAACTTTTTTTTCTTGGCCGGGTGCGGTGGCTCACACCTGTAATCCTAGCACTTTGGGAGGCCAAGGTGGGCGGGATCACGAGGTCAGGAGATTGAGACCATCCTGGCCAACATGGTGAAACCCTGTCTCTACTAAAAATACAAAAATTAGCTGGGCATGGTGGCTGTGCCTGTAATCCCAGCTACTCGTCAGGAGGCTGAGGCAGGAGAATCGCATGAACCAGGGAGTCAGAGGTTGCAGTGAGCCGAGATTGCGCCACTGCACTCCAGCCTGGGCGACAGAGCGAGACTCAGTCTCAACAACAACAACAAAAATACATTTTTTTTTCTCTTAGGAAAAAACTTTGTATATTTGTCTTTTAAGAAGCACATAGAAGAGAGGACAGAAAACTTGAGAGTTGTTCCTGACAGCCATCCAAAAAACAAAGCACAGAAGTCATCAAAGAAAATGGTTTTTAACCCAATTTATCCAGGGTCTTTACAAATCATAGGAAAAAGAAATCCTATAATGAATTATAGGACATTAAATATAGGTAAATAATAAAAACCACCATATAAAAGAAATTTAATAAAATGATATTCTCTATAGCTACCCTGATGAGTAAGTAAACTGCATAATTTTCAGCCACTTAAGCATGATTTATTTTAAAATAGAACTTGTCAGAAAGTTTCTCTGAAATGAGGTGAGGACTTTTCCACTAGCAAAAGCTGGCTAAGTCTTAGGAAACTAGCTGCCAGGAAAAGGACTGATTGAACAAGGACCTGCTGCACCATGGCATTTCTGCTTTGTTTGGCTGCTTACACAGTTTTGAGAAGGAAGAAGGGGGTGAGAACTTTTTTTTTTTTTGGAGACGGAGTCTCACTCTGTCGCCAGGCTGGAGTGCAGTGGCACGATCTTGGCTCACTGCAACCTCCGCCTCCTGGCTTCAAGCGATTCTCTTTCCTCAGCTTCCTGAGTAGCTGGGATTACAGGCGTGTGCCACCAGACCCGGCTAATTTTTGTATATTTAGTACAGATGGGGTTTCGCCATGTTGGCCAGGCTGGTCTCGAACTCCTGACCTCAGGTGATCCGCCGGCCTTGGCCGCCCAAAGTGCTGGGATTACAGGTGTGAGCCACTGTGCCCGGCCAAGAGGGTGAGAACTTTTAAAGTACAAATCAGGGCTCCAGCTCCTCAGAAGTCAGTGGCAGGAAGACATGCTGGTCCAGGGATGCCCAGGCAGTGGGGGGCGGCGGGTGGGGGGAGTGGGCGGCATTCCTCCCAGCTTTAAATTAGGAAGTTTCAGGACCCACTCCTTCTCCTAGGTCTATATTAGTATCACCTGGGGGCAGACTTAAACAAATATTGGTTCTCAAGTACCACACCCCCCCAGATTCTGATATAATTGGCTTGGCCTGGGGTCAGACACTGACCTTTTTAAAGCTCTCCAAGGGATGACAGCCAGGGTTGCAAAGCAATGAAATATACCAGGGATTCCCAACTTGGCTAAATATTACAATTATCTGGGGACCATTTAAACATACCCAAACCCATGCCACACCCCAGACCCAGGAAATCCCTGGAGGAGGAACACAGGCAGTGGTATATTTTCAAACTCCTCAGATGACTCCAATTGCAGACAAGTCTGGCCACCACCAATATAGATAAGAGAAATGACAGACCACTCTATGATCAATAATAGCTGAAGACAAGAAGGTCTCCTAATCACAACTACAGTTTTCTATTTCTTATTTTTCTGTTTCTTAAAATCTTGCTCTAATTAGGTCTTAAGTCTTCCTAAAATAGTAATTAGCAATTTTAATATTTATACAGAGCATATTTACAATTAATACAAGTTGTAAAGCATAATTGGAAGAATTCTGCAGTCTGTTTGATTTAGCTGAACAGGACTGGAGGTAGCCTGTGGGTCTGGAAGCCCTCACTAGGAGTTAGTCTCCCTGGGGCTGACATCCCCATTCTGTGGTTTCCTCAGTACCTAGGCCAGAATACTGGCTTGCACTGCATGCTGCAAACCTCAATGGCTCACTGACAAGCAGGCCTTGTCCTGCCTCACAGAGATACATACGTGGGCTGAAAAGCTCTGTGATCTGCTAATGTCAGTGTCAGTGCTGAACGCTCTCCAGTGACAGACAGGCTGCCAGGCCTCAGGGTGGTGAGTGCTCACCACTGTCCAGTGGGCGCCAAGGTTCAAACCCCACACAGTCACCTTTAGAACATGAGAGCAGTTTTGGGTGGCCCTAGATTTTGTGCCACACTAGGACATCCTTGTTCTCTGTGCATCAGGCCAGGGGTGTAGACTCTCAGGGCAAATCTGCCTGCTCACTCCCTCCTAATGGGTTTCCACCCCTTCTTCCTTTCCTAGTGGGTTTTTAAGGGGGTAGGGAGGGTGCAGTACCCACCCCAAACACCCAGTCCCCAAGATGAGAGTCTGCAGTGCCTCAGAGGTCAAGCTTATTCTCCAAGGACCCTCCCAGGACAAATCATCTAACAAATGCTCTCATTTATTTAGTTATTATAGTCAGCCTTTTGACTCTTCATGTCTTTTTTTTTTTTTAATTTTAAATACAGACAGGGTCTTGCCATGTTGCCCAGACCAGTCTCGAACTCCTGGGCTCAGGCAATCCTCCTGCCTCGGCCTCCCAAAGTGCTGGGATTACAGGCGTGAGCCATTGTGCCCGGCCTTTTCATATCTCTTTTATTCGGAAGGATGGAATGGCAAGGAAAGATCTGAAAACTAAACAGGGCAAATGGGACAGTCACATGATAATAGATAGAACCATTCTGACCTATAAAAATGGTAACTTCACATGGCTCAGTCTAAATAGTGAATCACATAATACTGATGTGATGAATAGTACATAATTTTAAAGAAATCCAAATCATGGCATGTCAGGGTTAGAATACACAACGATGATTACTCTTTTCTGATTCTCACTTGTCCCCACAACCGCTGGCTTACCCTGTTGGCCTCCACGTGGTGCAGCCTGAAGGCTTCTCCTGTGCTCTCATTCACCACATCAAATTGGTGTCGATAAGCCACACAGATGAGATTGTCACTCTCTTCAGCTGGCCCATCCACTAAGGTCATCACCATGGGAGAGTCAGACAGACAGATCTCCTGTGTGGTTGGTGAGGATACAAGAGACAGGGGTGAGAACAGAGCAGCCAGCTCCATGCCAAGCCCCACTGCCCATTCCCTCCTTACAGAGAAGGCACCCTCTCCAGGCTCCTGCAGAGCCCCGTGCTACAGGGAAGAAGGGACAAGAGAGGAGTGCCAGGGGTCACATCCGACATCTCCTTCCCATAACCTGTCCTCAAGACTCAGGCCTCTGTCTACTGGAAAGGGTCGAGGCCAGGAAACAATTAAACAAAATGCAATCAACAGTATGGTCTGCTTTATCCCTTATGTCGTCTGGTCCTGTCCTGGGATTCAGTAATAGTATTAATAATTGCTAACTAATCTATTTGTGTACTTAACATGTGCTAGGCACTGTTCTCATTGAATCCTACTTATAAGGTAGGTACAGCTACTATTCTGTCTTACAGATGAGGAAACTGAGGCTTAAAAGTCATCACAAAGTTTACACAGGGTAGAGCTAAGATATAAACTCAGGAGATTTAATTTCAGTGCTCATATTACATAAATGTATATGCTGCATGTAAATCTTCATTAAAATAGCAAATCACTATAGGAAGAAAGCTAACACTTAAGTAGAGCAAGATTTTAACGTGTTTTAACTTAACTGTCATGTTGCTCTGTCCCCTGAAGTTGAACATTAGCAGAAATTGATAGGCATAATTCAAAAGGCTTTAACTCTAAGCAAAAAATACCTTCTCAGCTCTCCAGTAGAAATACTCCATCTTAGTGGCCAATGCTAGATATATTCCATACCTTAATGTACCCTAGTCTTTAAAAGATAAGAGATGGTGATGTCAGGGAGGGAACTTGAGCCTGGAGGTTTCTCTCACAAGCTCCCCCTTCAATCTCCCAGCAAATCCCGCTGACTGAGGCAAGCAGGAAAGCATTGCCCACGGCTTCTTCCCATCTCTCCTGCTACCAAAGCCACCAACCTTTCTTGCCAGGATGCTGCACTGGTCTCGTGGCAGGCCTTCTTATTTCCACCCTTGGCCTCCTAAGCTCCCCTCTACCCAGAAGCCAGGACAATCTTTTCAAAACCTGCCACTTCTCTGCTTCAAACCTTCCAGTGGTTTCCCATCTCACTCAGAGTCAAGGCCGAAGTCTTTGCAATGGCCTGAGGGCTCAAGAGTATATTTCCCAGTTCTCTCTGACCTGCCTGCCTTGTTCCCTCTGCTCTTGACTGTGCCTTCAACAGGACCTCAGGGCCCTTGCCTGGCTGCTCCCTCTGCCTGGAATATCCTTTCCCTAGATACCCTCATCACTCACTCCCATACTTCTTTTGGATCTCTGCTCACAGGTAACCTATTCAGAGAGGGCTTCCTGGGACATTCTTTCTAAACAGAATCTCCCAACTCCCTGCTCCATTATCCTTTGTTCCCTGGCCCTCCTCTATGTTTAATTTTAGTATTTCTTTATGCCAGCCATCATAGCTTTATTTGCTTATTTCTGTTAACTGTCAACTGGAAAGTAATCCCCATCAGAAGACTTTGTTTTGGTCATCGCTGTGTCCTTCGTACCTAGAACAGCACCCGTAGATGTTCACTGGAATGAATGAGCTTTAGCTTTAGTCTTCTGGGGGAAACAAGGGCACCAGAGATGAGGGTTTCCCTAGTTGGCTACTAAACAGTGGGACAACCTCAGTGGGTAACAAACTCTGGGTGGAAGGACAGAGTCTGCTTCAAGACAACTTGGTTGGGAGATAAATGATTTAAAGAGCAAACCTACCCTGATGTACTGGAATTCTTCAACAGGTGACTCAGACAGGGGAGATAACAATGAGGTGCTGGTGACCCCGCTTGGCTTGTTGTGTTTTCTTGTGATCAGAAGCAGTTTATTCCGAATTGCAACCACAATCCTCAGCTCTCTGCTGTGGTGAGTGTTAATAGCATACAGGTGGCAGCCTGGGAGGAGAAAGAAATGATGCCTTACACATGACATGCGGGTGTGGAAGCCCCCAGACCTTGACAATTTGGCAATACCTAGGAACCCTGGAAATTAAGCATAACTCAGTGAATGGACTGAGAATGTTTCCGACACTAGGCAAAATGGAGACTACATATTAAAATTAGGTTGAGTTACAGGAAAATTAAGAAAGTCCTATTCCCAGCTGGGTGCGGTGGTTCACGCCTATAATCCCAGCACTTAGAGAGGCCGAGGCGGGCGAATAACCTGAGGTCGGGAATTCGAGACCAGCCTGGCCAACTTGGGGGAACCCCATCTCTACTAAAAATACAAAAGTTAGCTGGGAATGCTGGCGGGCACCTGTAATCCCAGCTACTTAGGAGGCTGAGGCAGGAGAATCGCTTGAACCCAGGAGGCGGAGGTTGTAGTGAGCCGAGATTGTGCCACTGCACTCCAGCCTGGGCAACAAGAGTGAGACTCTGCCGAAAGGAAAGGAAAGGAAAAAGGAAGGGAAAGGAAAGAAAGTCCTACTTCCTATATTCTAGAGTTTGTGGACTTAACTTCATACCTACGACATGACATCAATTAAAGTAATTAGAGCTCTGGGAACCAGTCTAAACATTTCTTCAGTAATAGATTTGCTAATAGAGTTTAATGCATCTCTAGAACCTGTTATGCAAGGCCTAGAATTTCTTCTAGTCCTCAATGTGTTTGTCTAGCTTTCAAGCTCCTTCTGGAAACAGTGATGCTATTTTTGTGATGTTTCCAAACAAAAAACAAACTAATAAGATCAAATTCCTACTCATTTTTATTTTCAGTAAAACCTGGGCAGCCTGAGGAAAAAAAAAAACGAATCGAATGGAATCTACCAATCTATCAAGTCACCTTTTGTTTTCTCCAACTTGTTTTCTCTGCAGTCAGACCTGCTCTTCCCAGCCTGCTTCCCCTCAAGGCCCTTTTGCAGAGCACTTAGCCTGAAGACAAAGAGGCGAGCATCTTTTCCTGGTGACATAAAAAAGACAGAGGAGGAGATTAAATGGAAAAGTAAGGTAACCTGGAGGGCCTCCAGGGGCAGACTGTGTAGAAAAACTAGGATTGGAGGTGTTCTGGAATTCAGGAGGCACCCCACACCACTTTAACCTGACAATGCAATTACGTATGCACCCCTTTCCCCCAACGGCTTCCCTCCCCAGAGAACAAAGGGGCCACTGAGGGATCCCAAGCACTGAGCATCAGGAAAGGAAACAGCTGGCAGAACTTATGCAGTCAGACCCTGGCGACCTGTGGTGTGGGCCGCAGAAGGCAACTGTTTTCCTTCCTCCACAGCATGCCACCCGGCAGGGAATACCACCTTTGTCTGCTCTGAGAACCAGAAGGTCCAGGGTCTCAAGCACATGCATTTGCTTCACTGGCAGAGTTCTGTCAAACACGGGCACTGATGGAAGGTCATCTGGAAAAGGAAACCTGGTTACCCATCACTGCAACCCAGCCCACGCTTTCCAGAACCCACCAAACGTGCCTGTGGGTAGTTTTGAACCCAAGTTATCTCTAGGCAAGGAAGGAAGTCAGCTTCTAGGGCTTTCATAAGCTCTACAAAATACATTCAAGCACTATTCTCCTCCTAGCTCAGGAAGAAGTACTGATGCTTTCTTCCCATAGGCAATTCTATATCCCGAACTCTATATAGGGGGCGTAGCAGCAGAGGCATGAAAACGCTATTTTTGTTCATCAAAGAAAAAGCAACATCTCTCAATACCAATTTTTACTAGGGTTGTACCAAAGGCCTGAACACCAAGTTAAAAAAAAAAAAAAAAGAGCAGCCATTTTTCTCAAGTATTTTCTCATTTTTATGTAATATTTGAAATTGCATTATATCTTAGGTCATATTGTACATACCTCAAGAAAGCAAAATTAAAATTTCCTTTTGGACTTAAGATAAATATAAACACACTCTACCCTAATATGTCCCGTGTTTGTAGCAGTAGTAGTTTGCCTATACATTTTCAGTATTTTTTCCCAAAGGAATAGGAAATCTCCTTTTTAGACAAAAACATAAATAAAGAGAAATATTAACTAAATTGCCAAAACAGCAGGAAAAACGAACTGAAGTGGGAATGCTCAGGGAAATCTCCAATAAATGGATGGTTCAAGACATTGCACTTCCACACAGGATTTGTTGTTGAGGTTACTTACTGAGAATCTAAGTTGCTAACAATTACTTTGCTCCTGAGGGCTCCGAGGACACAGGGGGCTAAAATAATTACTAAGGCTGTTCCATTCAGTTCTGTAAGCAAAAGGGTCTGTTCTGAGATGGATGGCAGAATCAGGGCAAGGCAGAGGTGTCCGGGATGGTGGAGACATTTGGGGCAGGAGAAGTGGCTGGCTCATTCTTTACCTGCATTTATTCTGCAAATGCTCTGCTGTGGGGTTGGGTTTAATTAAAATTTAGGAGCAAGGGGCCCTGAGGATCTTTTCTTTTCCAGAAATCTAAGTGTGGTTGGGAGTTCATCCCGTCCTGGATGGTCCAGGAGGGAGCAGAGCTTTCACCATCAGGATTAATAACTGCCCCCACAGTGGGGAGAGGAGCTCCCACTCCTGCAGGCCTCTGAGGGCTCAGATTTGTCAGAACACAGACTAAGCTAAGCTTAGTATTACACCTAGGGCTTGTCTCTTGTTCCTCTCAATTACTGGGGCAAATGTAAATTTTATGATAGCTCATCAACCACTTTTCTTCCTCCTCTACCCTGGGCTCCCACAAAATGGAACTAATTCTCAGGGTCTTTGTACTTCCGCTGGGGCAGACTTAATTTTTCAAAACACTGGACGATCATCCTCATACCCATCATCATAGTTGGCTAAATAACTACAATTATTCCATTTGTGGGAGAAGAGCAGTCACAGCAAGGACAGGTAACATATACTAAGGGCTTTCCATATGCCAGACCCTAATGCTTAGGGTTTCATATGTTTAAATTAAATGTCCCAATGACCTTATTAGGTAGGAACTTATAATACTCCCATTGAACAAAGGAGGAGCCTGAGGCCTGGTGTTAATACTTGTCTGAGGTCACACCTCCAGGATGTGGAGCCCAAGCCTGTGCAAGGACAAAGCCATGCTCTCTTCACCAGTGTTGGAACATAAAATGGGATGTTGGAGCAGCCCCATATCCCAGTGGATAGAGATGCGACCACAGCAGCAACAGCACTCCAGGGAATTAATAAATGACAGAGGCCCTTCATTTTACATAGGAACAGAGGTATACATTGTACAGCTGCCGAGCTGTGTACAGAGTGAATTAGCACTTAATCTCCATCCAGTCTTTCTCAGATGGCTGAACAGGTTTGTATACAACACAAGAAGGAGGAGGAGGCAAGGACCTGACAGAGTGACAGGTGGATTTAATGACTGATTGATGACAATGCTTTCCTTCCTGTAATCTCTTTATGAAGAACAATCTTTTAGAACCAGCTTTTCTGTTACTGCAAAACCAAAACACAGGGCGAGAGCATATTTAATCAGTATTCAGTTTCCTTTCAAAGTAGGTTTTGCTAACTTAGGATACAAAAGGTCTTGATTTTTAATAATGACCTTGAAAGGAGTAGACTCTCAAGGGATACATCTAATGAAATTAAGCAAAGGCTAATGGGATAGAGTGGAACTCAGTCTGAAACAAAATGGATGGATTCACTCATGGAAACATTTCATAATATGATTAAATGTAGACAAGAGAAAGGTAAACAAAGAAATAAGAGAATTGTGGCTTAAAAGCACAACAAGAAATATAAAGAAGGCCCTGAAGATTCTTCTTCTTTTTTTTTTAAGCAAAAACAAACAGAAGCATCATTGTACAATAAGGACATGAAAAAACTAGTTTAAATCATAAACCAAAGCAATGGTGGGTGTAAACAGCTACACCCACCATCCTGTTGAAGGCGACTTCCTTCAAATTTGGAAGAAAGAATTTCCTGGCAAATCACAATACTCCTTACATCTGACATTTCCATTAAATTTTGGATCCTTAAGATAAAAATTTCAGAAAGGAACCTGGTAATTTTGGTTTGGATTTTGCATTTAAAAAAATAGAGGCAACTCAAATAGAATCTTTTGGTTTTAGGCAAGCTTACGAATAGTCATTATGAAGCATGCTTTCTCTTTCCCAAAAGGGCAAAAGGGAAGGAGTGAACATTCTTTAAATCACAAAATTTTTCATAATTATTTGCCCAGGGCTATATTTTTGGAAATCTGTGTTAGAGACATTGGTAGAGTTTAATATAATGTAGTTGGTTTAGTGGAAAGAGCCCTGGACTAACAATCACATCTGGGTACTAGTCCCAGACGTGCCACTAACCAGTTTTGTGATCTTGGGTAACTCATATCATTTATTTAGGCCTCAGCTTGTTCATCAATAAAACTAACAGACTGCACTAAACTTCTAAAGTCTGTTGTTTGCATTCTTGTTTGTTGTTGTTGTTGTTTCACTTTTGGCAAGATCTAAGGATTTTATTACTTTTTTTTTTTTGAGATGGAGTCTTGCTCCGTTGCCCAGGCTGGAGTGCAGTGCTGCGATCTTGGCTCACTGCAACCTCCGCCTCCTGGGTTCAAGTGATTCTCCTGCTTCAGCCTCCTGAGCAGCTGGGACTACAGGCATCCGCCACCACATCCGGCTAATTTTTGTATTTTTTTAGTTAGAGACAGGGTTTCACCATATTAGCCAAGCTGGTCTCGAACACCTGATCTTGTGATCCGCTCACCTCAGCCTCCCAAAGTCCTGGGATTACAGGCGTGAGCCACTGCGCCCGGAAGGATTTTATTACCTCTTAGCAAGTTCATAGAGACATAGTAAAGATAATAGCTGCCATTTAATAAGTTACTACTATGTGCCAACCACTATGTAAACACTTAATACAGATAACTTTATTTAGCCCCTACAATCCCCTCCTTCTAGTTGTGATCATCATCCCATTTTGTTTCACCGATTTTCATCATTATAAACTATTCTCAGCATCTTAAAAAATTATCTCCAATTTAGAGAAACTCGAGGCTCATAGAGGTTTTCTTTCAGATCACAGTTTCCAATCATTTTGTAATTTCAAAAATTACATACTGAATTTAAATTATAAATTTATGAATTTTAAATTATCTGCCTTAAGTTCGTTATAGATACAATGACTATGGGCACACAATTGAAACACATATCAAAAATAACAGATGAGGTCAGAAATAGATCCATTATGAAGCACGGCCCACATCTCCTATCATGCTTCAGAAGGCACCTGGCGTGGGGCCCCGGCACACAGCAGGTGTTCGGTAAATGTGCCCAGTAAGCGTCGGAGGGAGGACGTATAGGTTGTACTGAAGGATGGGAAGATGCCACAGTTTTAGGCCATTATGTCATTCTCACAGTGGTGGCTTTGGGATTCTCACAAAATGTCACTACGGTAACCAGAGACTGGGCAGCTGTTTCTGGGCAGTCCGAGGAAATGCCCTTTGGAGACATTGTCTCTGTGCCTATGGCTCCCTCTGAAGCCCAGGAGACAACCTGTTACTAGTGTTTAGCTCCTCTGTCATTCATTCAGGGTCTGGAATAATCTAAAGGGGACTCCTGATGGAAGGGACCACACTGTCCTTGAGTCTACACCTGCTCTGAAGTTGCACCCTCTCTGGGCGACGGTGGCTGATCTGTGGCGACAGAGAACTGACTAACTCCCCAGGAAGGCTGATCTATCTGGCTGTCAGAATGTGTGATTTTATATTGAGCTGGAATCTGTCTCCTTGTCAAAATCTTTTTGTTTCTATATCCATCAAAAATGGGTTATCTAAGATTCTTATTGTTTGTTTTGGACATCAGTACTTTTTGAATCAGAAATCTTTTTTTTTTTTTTAAGACTTCGAGAGAGGGAATGTCCCAGAGACAGTGGTTCTAAATAATGTATCCTTGTTGATTTAAAGTAAAATGTTGGAGTGATAATAAGTATTGGCTGAAAAGGAGATTCTTTTTGCAGGTCATTTGATATCCACAGTCCCATCATATATTTTGGGAAGAGAACCTATGGCCCACCCTCCAGCATGCTTGGTTCAGAGTATATTTCCTCTGCTTGCCCTGGAAACAAGGGTTTAATTTCATAAGGAAATAAAACTTCGCTAAACTCTCTGCAGATCACACATTTATGGCCCAAAGGGAGTTGGTTGGTGGTCACTCATCTTAGAAGTACTACAAGTTACATGAAAAAGACATTTGTAGGAGCAGCTACTCACTAACCATCCACTAGCAAGACGCCAGCATCAGTGGAAACCAGCAAGGCCTGGCCCCAGGGATCTGCACACACGGCTTCATGAGGGAAATTACTGCAGAAACACTGGGGCTCCCACGGCTGTGAGGCAATACAAGCATCGGAAGATAAGTGCACCAGAAAAAATACACTGCAGCCCACCAAATGGAAATGTACAGTACCACACCTGAAACAGTAACACAGATACCCCCGTGGGAGCGGAGTCACTCCAAACCCTGGGGTCTGGACTCAATTACCTTTCTTAGGAAGAAAAGTCTCCTTTCAAATACGTATGCAATAGGAAAAGAGTGAATTCACAGGTTTCTGGCACCATAACCTGTCTCTGTATTATAATGTTTTTCAGAGGCAATTGACGCATTCGTAATGGTTTCTAAGGAAGCATTTTGCTTTAACACCTGGGAGTTGGGCCAAATGGTGCCTCTGTTTTAGAGAATTCATATTAGTTCATCATTAAAGGAAGTCCCACATAATTCTATAAAAAAGTCAGATTCCTGTGTTGCTGATTCAGCAAATTAGTAAAACATACATGATGCACTAAAAGGTTGATATTGTTTTCACGTGAAAATGCCTATTGACCCACATAAGATACAAAATCTTAAAGAAAAAATAACATCTGTTTGGCAAGAGCTGTAAACAGAGCTAGTCAGGTTTCCGCATGACATATCTATACCAAGCAAACTCTTCTTAGTTCATTTCCATCTCAGGCATAAAGGGGGAGCCTTAGAGCCACACGTGGATGTGTGGAGTAGGAGGCATTGTGTTCCATGATCTTAGTCACACCAGAATTGTGGACATTTTCAACAGAATTCTTAGCTTCCCTCCAAAGCACTGGATAAGCCTCAGTTTGTGGAGATTCTCAGGCCCAAGTTGAAGTCTTACATCTTCACTTTTACTCTCAATCAGGCATCAGGGCCTGATGTGTCCCACCTGGGGCTGTAGTAGAGCCTGCATGTGCACATGTAGGTGTGTTCTTAAGTACCCAAGCAAACATGCATTTGCATACTCAAGGTAAAGCAAAGGGCTCTGAGGACCACCTTTGAAAACGGCATTAGGGCTGAGGGTAAATGCTGTGTGTTACTGCTCTCTTAGAAAAGGAAAGGATGCTCTCCCTTTAGGAAATGCACGGTCTCAAAAAGAATATTCCAATTGCTAAGATGGAACTTGTGATGTTCTAAAAAGATCCCCTAAAGAATGTGACAACATTTTGTAAATGGAAAAAAGGCTAAACAAGTGCAGGTCATTAATTGAAATGACGTTTCCCCAAGAAAATTTCTGGCAATTCTGAGTTTGTGACTTACACCAAAAGGACATAAAAAAAGCAAAGTTAATATAAATGTCAATAGGGAGAAGACACAGACATCAGCATTAGGTAACACCAACAGAACAACCAGTTCTTAGTAACAATATGTTTTCTGCCCAGAAGACACAAGTTTGGAACACTAAGGCAGAAAGAAGTTCTTCCCCCATAAGATTCAAGGGCCCTACAGGATCCACAGAGGTCTCAAGGAGGTCTGTGAAACCCCCAAAATTGTACTCAAATGCTGCATATATATGCCATTTTACCTTTTTTTAAATTTTATTTTGAGACGAGGTCTTGCTCTGTCACCCAGGCTGGAGTGCAGTGGTGTGAACATGGCTCACTGCAGCCTTGACCTCCTGGGCTCAAGTGATCCTCCTGCCTCAGCCTCCTGAGTAGTTGGGACCATAGGCATGAGCCACCATGCCCGGCTAATTTTTTTAATTTTTTTTGTGGAGACAGGGTCTCACCATGTTGCCCAGGGTGGTCTCCAATCCTGGGCTCAAGTAGTCCTCCGGCCTCAACCTCCCAAAGTGCTGGGATTATAGGCATGAACCACTGCACCCGGCCCCATTTTAATGGGCAGGTGCACGCAGGGTGTCCATTGCTTTACACGGGTGCCAGTGACCATGTGAGGTCTGAGGAACTGTTGAATATTGGGGCGTGCAGTGTCAGCAGCAAACTCAGATCTGGTCCCACAGTTGCTCTGGTCTGACGACAGACAGTGTTTGCCATTGCCCTGGACTCCCTTCCATGGGGGAGCCTTCATGTGGATTCCACCAGGTGAGAATGTGGTCTCCAGGCTTTCATGTCTAAGTGCAGACTGTTCCTGGGCACTCTCTAAGAACATGACCACAGCTCATGAAACGATGAGTGCTGAAGAGGTGGGCAAAGCCGGGTTCTCTGGGCACAGAACACTTGGGAACAGCAGGGGGCTCTGGCCTCTGCAGAGCCAACTGCACAGCAGCAGCCCATGGGGCCCTCTGGAGCTGAGTTTCTCTGAGGTGGTCTACGGCCTGCGGGTGGGTTATAAGTACTGACCTCAACAATGGACGCTCGCTCTGTTATTACCTGGTGAACAAGTTATGGTTCCACAGACTTCTGTTTTTAATATAAGCCTAAAAACTTCTTATCATTATTAAATCTTACTGGAATCTGGTATCTATAACGTACTTGGAAACAGTAAATTCCTACTGTGCATGGGAACAAGCAGACACTGGAACTGCTGCAGCCTTTGGGAAGGATGCTTTTCCAGTAGTCTTGTCTGAAGTTGGTTGTGGTTTTTAGGGTTAATTATATTTTGAGCTCATCATTTTCCTGAAACCAGACTTTAAAGCACGTAGGCTCACATCATCTATACCTTTATCAGTAAGGTAAATGTATTCATAATTATTTTGCTTTTATAATGGACACTTCTCTGGTGATGTGCTGTAAATCTGTCCCATTTAACTTTTATGTATTCTGAATGGAGATATAATTAAGTACATGGGGTACTGTTCTACAATACAAAATCATATTCATAATATAATTTGTGTATTTTTGTCTGTTTTATTTTTGATGATCACCTAGTTTTTACCCCCATGGAAAGTGGAACAGGATGTAGATAAATAGCCAAAGAATTTTTTGGCTGGCTGAGTGAACTGTAGATTAAGCATTGGTTTTTCAACTGTGGTCCTCTAACCAACAGCATCAAGATCACCTGGGAAGCCATTAGAGATGCAAACTTTCAGGTCCCACCCCAGACCTGTTCAATCAGAAACTCTGGGGGTGAATTCAATACACACTGAAGCTTGAGCAGCACTGCCCAGGAGCCTTGCTGTTTAAAGCATGTCTGTGGTCAGCAGCACAGGAACCACGTGCAAGTTTGTTGGAAACACAGACTCTCAGCCCCACTCCAGACCTACTGGATCAGAACACGCATTTGGTCAAGGTGTCCAAGTGATGTGTATGCACATAAAGCTTGAGAGGCCCTGTGGGGCCTGGCCTGCCTGACCAGGTCGGTCCTCCAGCAGCTCTGCTCCATTGAAGCAGGTGAAGGCATGTGCATACCATGGCAACACAGAGGCTCTCACTAAATGGCCACTCAGTTTTATCTAGGGCTTTCCCTGAGGACTCTGCAGTAGACATGCTCTTCTTCCTTCTGCTCTCAAACCTTTTTCCAATAATCTCAATCATTTTCATTAAGGAAAAGGGGAATTCAAAGTTCAAATTGAAAGTATCATGAACTCACCTCTTTTTTACAGATCCCTGAAGCTGCCAAGCTTGATGGAGCATCCCCTCTCACAATGGATTTCAGTTTTAGTGCCTTACAGAACAGAGATCTCTATTAAAGTTTACTAGGCGGCAAAAGTACAGCAGGATAAACAATTGTGATTTGACAAAAATTTAATAAAACAGGAGTAATTGCAGGCTAACATTTCGGGTTCCTCTACTGACTTGTTAATCAAGAATTGAAGTTAGCTGGACACAGTGAAGCCTTAATGACAATGTCGCAACCCAAATTATCCAAATGCATTTTATCATTTCAATGAATCAATATATCATTACTGTGATTTATAAACCATGAGCTTGAAAAAATGCAGATTCTCAGGTCCCTCCTCAAACTTGATGAATCAGAATCTCTGGGAATAAAGTCTGGGTATCTTTAAACAAGAACCAATGTTTGAGAACCTTGTAACTAAGCTTCCCTTGATTACATGGCTTTCCTCTCTCCACCTGCCTTGTCTAGCTTTCTACTTCTGGGCCAGAACCTTATTTGCAGCTGAGGGCACTCCTCCTTCTCCATGCTGTGATGTGTGATCAAGGCAGACAGCTGTGTCGCCTCCCGGAACTGAGAAATACCAGTGTCACATGCGAGCGGGGCAAAGGGAGTGATTTTCTCCAATGCCTGGAATAAGGGGATGACTGGGCACCACCTAACTTGGTGGTGACTTGGATTGTTTCCAAGTCATAGGGTGGTAATTCAAGTCTTCTGTGAGTGCCACTGCCACTCTGTGCTTCCTCCTGCCAGTCATGGGTTTAAGGGGCATTTCCCAAATCGGCTCCTCACTCTTCAGAAAATTCCTAGGAGGCAGGCAAGAGATCTGTGTTCTCTGGAAGAGGGGGGCCCAGAGCTGGGCCCTGTGGCTACTTGCCTTGAGGCAGTAGCATTCCTACCTCTGCAGAGTGTTGCTCTCTCAGTGATGCCTGCAGAGAACTGCACCTACTCGGTTCTCAAAAATCTCACTCGTGGTTGCCACAACAATCCTAACAGAAATTACAGAGCTCCTACAGCAGCAGGCAAACAAAGTCTTTGCACATGGGCCATCTGGTTAGGATGGAACTCAAAACTACATGTCTCGCAGAAAAGGTTTCAGAAGAAAACCCACCTGCCCTATTCTAACAAACTCCGCCTGGCGGGCCTCCTCTTTCTTCCGCGCTGACTTGGGTGACTCTGGTAAGACATCACTAAAAGATCGTCTATTAAGCATGTTCTAAAAAAGAAAAACAAGTTATGAATTCCACAAACAGTTGTTAAGTCTCATCTTTTGGCTTCTCATAGTGCACAAAACTATTTATCCAAATGGTCCTATTTCTACCTTCTGTTTCATTCACTCAATAAGCATTGATGGAGCACCTGCTGTGTACCAGGTCCATGGTAGATACTAGATTCAGAGTCACTAGGTGGAGAGCCAGCATTGCATGGGGGCTGAGGACACGGCTTTGAAATCAGCAGACCTGCAGCTGTATCACTTACTAACTTACTAACAGTGTGACCTGGGCCACCACATTGCACAGCTCTGGGATGCCAATCTTACACAGCAGCACCCCCTGGAACACAACAAACTGAATTCTATGAGAACAGTACCCCTAGAGCTGTGCAAATCTGCAGCCTTGTGGGTCGCCTTGAGCAAATTAGTTAATTTCCGAATCTCAGTGTCTTTGTGTGGTTAATACCTGTCTCCTAGGTGTGTTATGAGGTTTAAATGAGGCAATGCATGTAAGGTACTTCGCACAGTGCCTAGTGCATACTTAGTAATGTTAGTTCTCTTTAAAACTGTAGTCACTGAATGGGGTATGCTCATTCAATCAGCAAGTACCGACTGAGCACCTAGTCTTCTGCCAGATTTTGGGAATGTGATAGACATAGTCTCTATCCTTGTGGAGCACAGAGTCTACTGGGAAGACAGATTAAGCAACGACATGTTTAGCACATGTGATCACTGCTATGAAGGGGAAGTGTGGCAAGTACATGAAAACATTTAACAGGGGACCTGGCTTCAACTGGGGGGCTAGGGAAGCCTGGCTCAGGCAGTGATGCTTCAGCTGGGATATGATTACTTATCTTGAAGGACATCATTGCTCATCTTGGTACCCTCTCTGTGTCTTCCCTGACCTTACGGAATTGAGAGATTACCAATTGAGGTTTGCTCTTTAGGGTCCTGGGGTTAGCCTGGCCCAATCCCTGCGAGTGGTTGGGGTACACCGACCAGACAAGAGTCAAGGAGTGCCTATAAAATGGTGCTGGTCGGCCGGGCGCAGTGACTCATGACAGTAATCCCAGCACTTTGGGAGGCCAAGGCAGGTGGATCACCTGAAGTTGGGAGTTTGAGACCAGCCTGACTACCATGGAGAAACCCCGTCCCTACTAAAAATACAAAAAATTAGCCAGGTGCAGTGGTGTATGCCTATAACCCCAGCTACTTGGGAGGCTGAGGTAGGAGAATTGCTTGAACCCAGGAGGTGGAGGTTGCAGTGAGCCGAGATCATGCCATGGCACTCCAGCCTGGGCAACAAGAGAGAAGCTCTGTCTCCAAAAAAAAAAAAAAAAAAAAAGAAAAGAGCACATGTGCACCTGAAGTGATAGAAAGGTGTTGGGTCTCATCAGTGTGGCTATGTCTCAGGCCTACGAAGTGTCTGGGTCTTCAGTAAATGGGAATGCTTGTTTCAGTGCCTGAATATGGGGCTGGCCAATAAATCTCCAAAAAAAAGCACCCTATGTCTTTCTAAAAATCCCACCTTTGCCTGCCCATCAGCTCATGTGACTGGCAATGCTGAGTAGTATTACCAAGAACAGCCACCCCAAAAAAAGCACTCTTCAATGCTCCAGAGATTGCTGATTGATACCCAACCTCCCTGTCCCTGGTTTGCACCTTGATTTCCACAGGCCCTGGCTTTCTGGAAATCGCATTCCTGTGTATGGAAACCCAATGTCCTTCCTTCTTGTGTCACAATGAGAGACTGTCAGCCCATGGTGGCCACAGCACAGTCCTGACAGCAAGGATCAAGGCGCCTCCTACGCTTTTCTCACCAGGGCCTCATCGCTGAGTTGAGGACTTGTGTTCTCAACTCAGACCCCATAAGAAGGAAAGAAGACCATGGACCCAGAATTACCTTATGCAAATCTGGCATCAAATCCTGGTGTAAAGATCTAATCAACATATCCAGGGTACGCCGACGTTTCTGGGCAAATGTTGGGGTTTCCAAAGTGGCTTTTTCACCATTAATTACTAAAATAAATCAAGTTAAAAAGGGAATTACAAGATATCTCTTGACACACACACAAGAATTGAAACTATGCTTGTCTGTTCTTTTCTTTAGTTCTGTGAATCTAGGAATTTTTTTGTTTGAGGTTTTTTTTCTGCTTAGTACCTTGGAACAATCCATTTTAAAGCCTCGCTTCGGCTGAAAAGGAAAAGGTCAAGATTTTTGTTGAAATGCCATCTCCTGTAATCTCAGAGTTTTCAACCTCGCTGCTCAATCCACTTTGGAATTCCGAGACTCTATGATCCGCCGGCTGCTACCTGTCCTCTCAGCGCACCAACCCCTCCTGGTCCTTCCTGGCCCCACACTCCATCTCCTCAACACACCCTCTCCATCACCTTGAGCCTGCATTCTTCTGCTGTTTCTACTTTCAAATCTTCAATGTCAAATCAACCCAGCCCTTCGTTTCATTTCACCTCAAGTCTTTGACAACGCTGATGAAAGTCCATCTGTTGACTGGCTCCACTTATAAGCCGGGTCCCTAGTGCTGCTGAGTGATCTCCAATTGGTGGTTACAGGTCTTTAGCGGCCCCTTCCTTGCCACAGGCCCCCTACAGTGAATGCTGTCTTCCTGAGCCCCATGCTGCCAACACCCTTTCAGCTTCCAGTAGCTACACCCACTCTGTTGCTGACTCTGTTTCAGATCTGTTTCTTGCTCTCTGTCTGATCCTCTGGACTTGAACACATGAGACTCGGACAATTTCACATACAATTTCAGCTTTCTGGCTTGATTTGAAAACTCAGAGTATCTGGCAACCCTGGCCATGGTGCATGCTCTGAAAGGCCTCAGCTGGATGGAGTGAGCACATGCTCTCAAGTGTGTCACAGCTCCCAGCACTCCTGACTGTCCTCCACTCAGCCCGCCTCACTTGCTCATGCTCCCTGCCTGGCTCTCCAGGCATCTGAGTTTGGGACCTTGTTGTAGCATTTGAAATAATGAGTATAAATACTGGAAAGGGAGAGACAAAATCATCATCTGTTGCACATGGTTTGCAGTGTCTGCTGCCTCTAATGTGTCGAGGGAGACATCACCCATGGACCCTGGTATAGGTTGGAGTATGGGAGGTAACAACGCTGGTGGTCCAGCTGGGAAGAGAGGCAGCCCAGCTGGAAAGCAGAGGGAGCCTCAGCAAAGGTGTCTTTCATGTCTCTGTTCTCCAGGACAAAGTTGTGGAATCATGCCAAGGTCTCTGAAAGGGAAGGGAGGGGTTTCCTATGGAAGAGAGGCTACCAAACAGCCTGGCCAGGACTTGGATGTTTCTGGTGACTAGAACTGACACTCATGCTTGGCACTGTTTCTGTGCAGGAGAAGTCATGTTTGGGACTGTGAAGGAGTGACTGGGGAGACAGGAAGACAGAGGAGAAACAACATGTGCCTGTCCCTTGCCCTGGCCTGAGGGACTGGCTTGGGCCAGTACTGGAGTAGGATTAAGATTGGAGGTTGGGTAACACTTGTCCACGTAGGACTCAGTGAGGCTTTGGGCTCAGTCAATGCTTCCTTGAGGCCAGGTGACCAGGACGGACAGAGTGAAGAGAGGGGCATTCTAGATGTCTCAGAGCTGCACGGCAACAGTGACAGACTTAGGCAAAGACTGTAGTGGGGAGGAGTTGCAGGTGGGGACAGGAGGCAGCCAGCAAAGCAGCTGCAATGCCCAGCATACCTGGCAGGAGGCTGGAAAGCAGTATCTTCATGGAGGGCATAGACCAAGCAGCCCTGCCAGGGCGTGCGGCTAGCAAGCTGCAGCAGATGAACCCGAGTAACTTGTTTCTGATCAATGACACAGTCCCACCATGGGACTACCAGAAATAATTCCCAGGGGTGCCCTGAGGAGGGATGCGCAGAGCTCTTGTGCTTTAAGAGATGTGGCCTCAGAGTCGGGTATTTGGGTATTACCAGTAGAGTGAAAATATGTGCTCACCAGCAAGTGATGCCTGGCAGTCATGGTCTACACACATTATGTTCTCATTCTGTCTTTCTCTTTCCCACACATGTGCATGGGTGCACATATACACTCACGCAAGTGTGCACACACATTCCCCAACAACTCTCCCTATCCCTAAGCATATACCCACAACCACTCTTTCCCCCACCTACATCCCACTCTCTGACAGATACAGATACATATACAAGCAGAGATTCAGCAATGGCTCTATCAGAACACAGGGCAGAAAGGCAAATTTGAGGCCCGAGGGTCCTTAGTGGGTGAGTGTAGAGAAGCTTCAAGGCAGGTGACAGGATGGAAGGTGGGGATGAAAACATAGGAGAAAACGTGCACAACATGACCAGAATACTAAACACATGTTGTGCAAAGAATTAACGGAACATGGAATGCTTAAACAATGACATTTCCTTAAACAGCATTCTGGGAGAATCTGAAGAAATGTATTCTGACATAGAACAAGTTGCAAAATTGTTTCAAAACAGAAACTTACATTTCACTAGCAAAAAGTCCCTGAATTCCTGGTGGTCTGTAAACACTGGTGGAGTTGGCAAGGGAGGGCCAAAGAGTGGTACGCTCTCTTCTGAAAATATTTTCAGCCTAAGTAGAGAATATTGCAGAATTAATATTAGCACTTGATATGGTTTGGCTGTGTCCCCACCCAAATCGCCACTTGAATTGTATCTCCCAGAATTCCCACATGCCATGGGTGGGACCCAGGGAGAGGTAACTGAATCATGGGGGCCAGTCTTTCCCGTGCTATTCTCGTGATAGTGAATAAGTCTCATGAGATCTGATAGGCCTATCAGGGGTTTCTGCTTTTGTTTCCTCCTCATTTTCTCTTGCCGCCACCATGTAAGACATGACTTTTGCCTCCCACCATAATTCTGAGGCCTCCCCAGCCATGTGGAACCGTAAGTACAATTAAACCTCTTTTTTTTTTTTTTTGAGACGGAGTCTCGCTCTGTCACCCGGGCTAGAGTGCAGTGGTGCGATCTGGGCTCACTGCAAGCTCCGCCTCCCGGGTTCACACCATTCTCCTGCCTCAGCCTCCCAAGTAGCTGGGACTACAGGCACCTGCCACCACGCCCGGCTAATTTTTTGTATTTTTAGTACAGACGGGGTTTCATCGTGTTAGCCAGGATGGTCTCGATCTCCTGACCTCGTGATCCGCCCGCCTCAGCCTTCCAAAGTGCTGGGATTACAGGCATGAGCCACCACGCCAGGCCCAATTAAACCTCTTTTTCTTCCCAGTCTTGGGTATGTCTTTATTAGCAGTATGAAAATGAAGTAATACACCACTATTCTGTCCTTCCATTTATCCAGCTGCATATGGGATGTGTCAGGAATATTTGCTCCATGCCAGGAGTGCCTTCTCTGGTCTGCCAGGGCCGAGGCCACTACCTCGCTTTCCCCTCCAGCTTAGTCAATGTGCTTTGAGGATAGAGACCAGGTCTTCCTGAATCCTTCATGGTCCAACCCATCAAGCCAGGTACCCAGGAAGAAGAGCAATGGCCATCACTGAGCACCTGCTGCATACCAGGCAGCATACTTGGTATTTTAAGATACAGTATTGCCTCTGATTGTCACTACACCTGCCGGGGTAGTGTCATTACCTTCACTCTACACAGAAGGCCTGAGGCTTCAAGAAGATAAAACATTTTTTTCAAAGCCTCAAATAAATGATAGAACTGGGATTCGAACTCAAATCTATTTGGCTCAAAGTTCAGGTTCTTTTTACAACATAATACCTTTTAACAGATTAATATTTGAGAACAGAAAGATAAGCAGGCAAGAATGTAGACTAGGAAAGGATGAAGATCAAATATATCAAACCTGTTCCCATGGTAAAGTACAATAAAATATCAAACTAACCCTGACCCCTAGGTCTCCTTCATGGAACAACACTGGATGGAGTAAATGTTTCCTGAAGAGATGGTGGCCTTGAAGAAAGTTTTGTAAGGTGCAGGCACTCATATTAAATCAATCAAGAAATATGTATATCAAGAGTCTTGTAAAAATCAATGCTAAATTAACAAGCATGAGAATTAGGACAAGCAATCGAGACAAAGTCATTACCTACCTGTAATTGTCATTTTGTTGATTGTATCTCACTAAGGCAAAAATATCTGTGGTGATGGTTAAGGGAACTAATCACAACACTGATGCTCACGACTGACAGCTTGCGCTCTGAAAATCCCTTGTGCAGAGTCATTCTCGACCAGCGCTTCTGTGCTTAGGGCACCTATCACTCTTAGGTTGGGACAGAACCCATACTTCTTTCCAAGAGACAGCCCAGGGAGACTTATGTGAGGGCACCATGAGTAGGTTCAATGTTTGTATGTGCATCCTTTGGGGAAAAGGTTTAAATCTCCAAAGCTGTCAGAAAAGCAATAGAAATATAGCTATTAAACAACTAAGCAGTCAGCAAAGCAAAAAGAGCAGTTCCCTTGCCTGGAAGTACAAACAAGATCCCAATAGGAAATTAGTAATACATTTCATCTCACACATTTGGAAAGGGAAAGCAATTTAAATGTTTCCGCTGTATACCTTCCCTTTCTCTCCTTTTGGGTTTGGTAGACAAAACAAAACAAGCCTGTTGTAGCTGGTGGCAGATTCTGAGCAGAATCTACTTAGCTTGTGCTGGGGTTTGCAGAGTCTAAAATAGTAGGAAAGAATCCATCCAGCTTCTTCCTTTCTCCCACTCTTCTTCCTCCCCTTCCACCTCCACCCACCATCTCCCAACCCCTGCTTTCCTTGGCTAGGGCTATGGAGCCATCAATTCCTTAGTGTCTCCATTTCTAGGCTCCCTGGAATGAATCTGCCTTAATGATCTGCTTGCCCCTTTTCAGGAACAAATGTGCCAAGCCCCAAATCTAAAACGTATAACTCAGGGAAATTCTAAAAAATAATGACTACCTCTCAATCACCTGAACAGTCACCTCACCACTGCTTCTACTGTGAATTTGGAGAAGTTTTCTGTTATACAAGAAGAACCACCTCTAGAAAGGGGAAATATTAGTCCTAAATCCCAGGGGACAGGGGCAGATATTACTCAGAAAGCAGGGATGAAAAGGGAAGAAAATTCTAATGAAGGTGCAAGTGCATATTGTTTGCTTCCCTACCCTCATGGAAGAAAGTTTGGAAACTGTTAACTTTTAAACACTTACTTCCATCCTCTATTTTTATGTCACAAGGAACAAGTCCAAGTCTCCAGATGCCATGAGTCACCGTGGGCCTGTCTCCAAACATGTTTACTTGGAGCCTCCAGGGAAATGAGTAACTCGACTAGAATTTATTCTGAAAATGCTGATTTGTTGCCTTTTGCTTATTATGTATAACCAGTAGAGCCACCAACTTTGGGTTTTGCTGTCATGGTCTGGGACCCAGAGCAACAGGGCCACAACTGAGTGTCTGCTGGGCAGGTCAAGCTCATGCCCCATGCCTGTCTGGCAGAGCTGAGCTCAGACACTGCAGAAGCTTCAGCCCCATTGCTGGACTTTGCCAGCAATATGAGCTGAACAGGGATTAGGGGAATCAGATAAAAATACTATTAATTCTATCATTTCTCAAATTTCAAGAGATGGTAATACAACAGCGATTACCAGGGCTTAAATCAACAAGAAAAATTATTTTGGCCTTTTATCTTAACTTGCAAGTTTTTATGCCTAAAGCAAATTTCTCAGAGAATTCAGCACCTATAATTCTTCTAAATCATTTATGACTGAAGGATAGCAGGAAGTTTTCCTCATTTTGTAGACTACCTGAGAAAAGAGACCATATTTCAGGAGTCAAGAATTCTCTGAGAATTAATCCATCTACTACTGAAATGGAAGGAGAGAGGAAGGGGGAACTATACACAATGCTTAGGAAAAATTCCCCAAAAGTGAGTCTAAAGCTAGCATTACAAAACAAGTCCATGACAAGATTTGGTTTAAGGGTCATGGAAGTCCAGTGAGGCTGAACCACAGCTTGCCACACTGGAGCATTTACAAAGGCCCAGGATACGTGTAAAGTGGGAGCGGATCATGGAAGGCTTAAAGGCAGGAGAAGATTCCTCTCCTTCTTGGAACACAATGGTGACGATATCGTTTCCAATGTGGCGTTTCCTTTCCACCTGTAGTGAGCATAAATAACATCACTGAGAAAGACTCTCAAACATGGCACATTCACAGAGTTAAAAAAACATAACCCAATATAACAAACCACAGCCACTATGACAGAGCCCTGAACTTCAGACATCTTTGACTTCAGGCTTCCCATGTTTTGCCAGCCTAGGCCCTTGCTCACCAACCCATCTCCTCTGCTCCTGTCTCAGTGGCCAAGCTCTGGGGTGGGTGAGGAGTATCTTAGATAGAGGTTTTTTCCCAGCCTGGTACATCCCATGTAGATACTCAGTGTTAACTTCCTGCAGTGACCTGATAACAATACTTGTCAACCATCACACAGGACCACTTATGATATGTCCTGGAGAGTCTCATTTTGACAAGACACAAGGCACACTGAGAGAAGGCACAGAGAAAAGGTAACACCTATACAAAATAGTCTCTCAAGAGTCCATGTTGGATAGAAGAATGTTTGAATCAAATATATTAAAAAAAAAGAGAGAGACAAAAAAGAGTCTATGAAACCACACTCACACACATACAAATACCTATACATGTTTACACATACACACGCATGCACATTATTATCTCTGACCCCTTATTTCTCTAAGGTGACAGCACCAGTGAGAATAGCTCTTCCTAAGATTTGTAGAAAGTTCCAATACAGACCGCCAAAAGCATCCCTAAATTGGTGGCCACAGCTCAGCTCATATGTTAACCGGCATAGCCCCTAATTCTATGGAATCATAATGGTGCCCTCTCCACATTCACATCACTATTTGATGGTTTGTATGTTCACATGTACCTGCTGTTTGTTCTCTTTGGAATATGGCAACATGGTGGAAACATGAAACATGATCTCATGCCCTTGGTACACAGTATAAACTGAATGTATCCCTGTGGTATCATCTGCAAAATATAAATATGCATTCAGTGAGCACAGAGAATTCGAGCCAAAAGGAAAGCATTTTCATTTGCAGACTAGGGAAATACTGTATACAGGACATTCTCCAAGATATTTGGATTATCCACCTGCATGGAAGCAACAACCCTCCACTTGATGCAACCCCCCACATGGAAAGGCCTCTTCCTCTCTCCCTAAGCTCACTTGCTGTCCAATTCATGCCTTGCCTCAGAATGGAGAAGGTCATAAGAAGTCCAGGCTAAAGAGGAGAGTATTGAGCTTCCTTGCCTTGCAGTTGCTGTGGGAGGTACGGGATGAAATTAACACAAGATGACACAAACAATTATGTCCATAAGCCAAAAGGAAGTGGTATTTGTGACAGAATTGTTTGTGATTAAAAGCAAAGGCTTTACAATGAGGCCGACTTGGATTCAATTTGTCATTGGCTATGTGGCTTTTGACAAGTTACCTCACTTCTCTCTGAGCCTCAGTTCCTTAATTTGAAAATGAGGATAAAAGTCGTATCTAACTCCTAGGGATATTGGGGAGACTCAATGAGATTATATTTGCAAAGTGCTTAGCAGAATGCCTGGCTGTATCAAGGGCTCAGTGGATGGTTGTTATGACCATATTGGAGACGCTGAGGGTTGGCAGCGGGGGTATGAGAGGCAGGCATTGAAGAATTCACCTTGTGCACTCTATGTGTGTTCGAGTGAAGCTGGAACCTGACAACTGGGGCCCAATCCCCTATCCCTGCATCTGTCAGTTAGGGCACACTTAGCTCTCCCGAATTCAGAATCCGTGATGCCATGGCAGGCTGGTGGGAAGATGAGGCTCCCAGAGGGTAAGGAGACCTGCACTCGAAGCCTATCACTATTAGGCCAAAAGGGCCTCACACCCGCTGCCTGACTTACCTCAAGGACTGACTGTGAAGATCAAATAAAGCAAAAAAACAGAAACAAAGGGAAAAGCTAGCAATGCTACACAAAAATGAGATGGTGAAAGAACTTCCAACCCTAAGCTTGTAATCTTACCTACCTTCCCCACTCAGGCCCCCATCCTCAAAATGCTTCCTTTCAGGTGTTTCCAATCTCACCGCTGGTGCCAACCCCACCCAGCTACCCAGGGCAGAAACCCTGAAGTGTCTTCAAGTACTGTCTCCTCTTTCAACCTCCACTTGCCAATTCTACCATGAAAATGGCTCTTGAATTAGTTCCCCTGTCTCCCTTCTGACCTATGGCCCTCTCCCAAGGCAACCCTGTCTCTTGTTTGGACTGTTGCCACAGCCTCTGAGAGCAGGCTTCTCCTCTGCCTCCCCTGTCTGCTCAAAGGTACAGATCTAATCTCACCACTCCCCTACTTGAAACCCCTTAATGACAGAGAATAAAATGCAGACTTATTAATATAACCTCAAAACTCCCTTCAGGGTCATGCCCCCTCTCCTACTCCAGGCCACATTGCATCATTCTCAGTGCCTCGTTCCCTCCAGCCATAAACAAATTCTCTTAGTTTCTAGAACACAACATGTTCTTTTCTGCCACAAGGTCTTCATGGATGTTCTCTCTGCTTGGAATTCTCTTCTCCCCTCGAGACCCTCCAATTATTCCGACTCGCCCCTCCCTCTGGCCTCAAAAAAGCTCAGAGAAGCCTTCCTTAATCCCCCAGATTAGGCAAAATGCCCCATAGCACTCTGTACTTTTTCTTCTCAGTTGCCTTCTGTACTTAGTGCTAAACCATTTGATGATTATCTGCATAACATCTGCTGGATGTCCCCTGGACTGCAGGCTCCTAGAAAGGAGGACCCCATGTTGGTTTATCCACTTCTATATCCCCAGAGTCCTGGCACACAGATGGTGCTGAGCAGTAATATTCATGGGCAGACCAGGACTTCTGACACTGTCCAGGGCTGTGAGGGCTGATTTAGTTTTACGAAGCTCAATGGAAATGCCAAACAGGTCCATGACTCTATGTTGAACAGGGTGTGGAGCTCACCTCCCTCCAGTCTTCTCTCATCCATCCCTTCCCCCTTCTCTGGTATAAGTTCAGACACGGGTCAGGCTGACTTACAAAAGTTATACAAATTACAACAGAATAGATCAAGAGGCAGGCTTACTTTTGGTATCCAGACCGCCACGGTAGCCCGTCCAGCCCTTTAGAGTGATTGTGTCACCCAGAAGATTTAAAAATTTTTGAAAAGGCTCGCTTCCAATTTCTGCAGGAAGAAGTAGAGTATGAGGAAAGTATGGGCATCAACAAGTCCTCATTTTCTAACTATGGACCGGAATCGCTGGAAAATTAACTGGGCTCTGCCGATTCATGCATGGTAAACAGCATGGGTAAGTCACATTTCCTTCTTCTTGAGCACCATGAGGAAGCCCCACAATTCCCAGGACTCCAAGGAAAGGAAAACTGCAGAATCAGATGAACCCAGCTTACTACTGCCAGCCTGGGACCACAGGTGTTTACTATCGCAAAACAAAAATGTTATTACTGCTTGCGTTCAGAATAAGCAGGTATTTAACACGAAAAGTGCTAAATATTAGGAAGATGACGCCATCTTATAATTCTTCCTCTCATAAAAATCACAGAAAAATCTTCCACTGCTCTTGGGACTGTGTAGAACCAAATTCTCCAAATCCCATGTGCTCTTCTGTCTCTCCAGTGCCCGGAACAGTGACTGGGTACAAACGAGGTGATCAATAAATATTTGCCAAATGAATGAAACTGGGCAACAACTGCCCTACAAAATTCACGCTGAAATTGTGTAAAACTATCTCCTCGTATTAAAGACTCCAACTCAACAGACAAGTTAAGCTCCAACTGGCAAGAATGCAACAAGGCAGGACAGGGTCTCTGGCAGCAGAGAGCGGGAGGAGATCACTCACCATTGCTGAACATCTCATCATCAGTGAGCTGCCCATCTTTGGCAAAAAGAACCCCAAACTTGAAATTCACAGAGCCCTTAGGATAATAACAAAAGGTGTTACAGTTAATTTTATCATCACAGCGTATATAGTTTTGAGATGGGCTGTTCGTGACTTAGCACAATGGCAGTCACCAGGATGGACAGTCAGGGGATCCCTTCCTCCCATCCATCTGGGTTATTGACCAATGTTAACAACAATCATTCCTTCATTTTGATAGGTATTTATAGCTTACAGATGAGACTGTATGCTTTTATGAATTCGTTCATTTGTAATTTCATTACTAATGGCATCTCTAGGATACCAGTTCTGTTCTGTGGCAAAACAGGGTTCCAACAAATGGCCACAGGAACTCACAGGCCTGGCACCATCTTCCAATCAACCCATGAGCAACCGTCCAAATCCCAGTCAGCGAAGAAGAGTTCGTTGTAATTCAAAGCTTAACATAATCTCAGGCTGATATATTGTGGACTCTTTTAGACACAGAAATGAAAATTATAGGCAATTTATACTAAAAGCTCATTTTCCCCAATTCCTAAAGATATTCAATCTGAAGAAGTCACAAAACAGATGTGAAAAAAAAAAAAAAAGCAAGCCCAAGCCAAGCAAGCAGTAGCTGGTACAAATGTGCAATCTACCATCTCCAACTTTAAACCGAATTAATTCTGATCTGGTGGAAATGATAGATAGCAGCTTCCACAGGGAAGGGAGGAAGACAGAGGAACAGGGGCAGGGAGGCGTAAACAGGGACTCAATCATATTTTTAATGCTTTTCTTCCTTAAATTGGGTAGTGGTTTTTTTTTTTCTTTCTTTTTTTGAGACAGAGTCTTACTCTGTCACCCAGGCTGGAGTGCAGTGGCGTGATCTCAGCTCACTGCAACCTCCACCTCCCTGGTTCAAGCAATTCCCCTGCCTCAGCCTCCTGAGTAGCTGGGATTACAAGCATATGCCACCATGCCTGGCTAATTTTTTTTTGTATTTTTAGTAGAGATGGGGTTTCACCATGTTGGCCAGACTGGTCTTGAACTCCTGACCTCAGGCAATCCACCTGCCTCAGCCTCCCAAAGTGCTGGGATTACAGGTGTGAGCCACCATGCCCGGCCAGTAGTGGTTTTGTAGGTCTTCATTATGTTATTCCCTATACTTTTTTTTGTATACCTGAAGTATTTCATAATAAACACAAAATCAAATGTTGGAAGAGAATCGACCTCTACAAGGTTGGTTGACCCACCACTAGATGAAGAAATTCTTGGTGGTCAATTAAGGGTAGACAAGGGACAAAGATATTTAAAGCACACTGGCCAATGGGTCAGAGGCAGGAAGTCAAGGCGATTGCCAGGATTCAGGATAGCTGGATCTGAGAGTATTAAAAATCCGAAAATCCAAGTTCTAAGGCTGTGCATCCGAACATTTTTCTGTCCCCAACACACCTGAGATGCACACTCATCACTAACAGTGGTTTTCTATACAGGAAGAGAGAGGACACTCCCAAACTGACCCCTCCACCTGGAACTCTTCCACAGTTCCGGGGATGACTGGCTCTCTCCCATCACGTAGGTTTCAGCTCAAGTGTCAATTTCCAGAGTGGCCTTTCCTGATCTCCCCATATAAAGCCACCCTCCTTCCTGCTGTTATTCTCCATCGGAGAACCTTGTTTATTCTCCTCGAAGCACTATTTACACTCTGTAAATCTTTTATTGAACTTGCGTATCTGTTTCTACCACTAGAACCTGAGTCCTGTGCAGGAGAAATCATACACTGTTTTCTTTCCATTGAATCCCCAGTGTTGACCATAGTACATTGGAAAAGATTAATAAATATTCATGACATAAGTGACTGTATGCATAATAAATGAGAAAAGAAACTTTGTCAGAAACAACTTATTTTTCATACGATGTCTCCAAATGATCACTGCTTCCTTACAAACTAGCATTTGATAAATTTCTTAGAATGTTTCCAGGGACCTCTATTCACTTTAGGGTTTTATGGTTTATAACTTTTCTTTCTCTGTTTTCGAAGTGATGACAGTAAGCACATGTCTCAAGGGTCCCTTAAAAAGCACCTACAGTAATTTGGGGTCTGACATATGATCCTCTTAGAATAATAGTGCAGGAACTACAGTAGTGGTTCTCAAACTTGACTAGGCATCAGAATCACCTGAAGGGCTTGTTAAACTGAAGATTGCTGGGTTCCACCCCAGGAGTTTTCAATTCAGCAGGTTTGGGATAGGGCCTGATAATTTGCATTTCTAACAAGTTCCGAGGTGATGCTGATACTGCTGGCCTAGGGCCCCCACTTTGAGAACCACTAGACTAAAGAAAAAACCAAGAGGCTGTCAGGAGGCCCAGGATCAGGTCCAGCTGAGCTGACAGCTAGCAAGAAGGACTAGGTCAATGACCATAACTCTGAGCCATAAACTGACAGCCTGCTAAAACCAGAAAGGACCCTATAGTCCACTGAGTCCATGCTTTTATTTTAAGACAGGACAGGGAAGCTCAGGGAAGACAGGGACTTGCGCATGGCTGGAACTAAGTGAACGGTAGGACCGGAGCTGGAACTTGGGTCTTCTGACTTTTGATCCAGCATTCTTTCCAGTATCATGGCATAATCTTCTCTGAAAAGTTTCAAGTGAAACTGAGATGTACAAGCAGAGATGGGGCCTACTACCACCTGATCACTGGCCAATGCTTTTAAAAGGTTTTATAGGATTGCTCTGAGACTGGCACCATGCTACCATACCCCTGCTGAGGACCTCTTCTGCTTCAGGTGGAGACTCCAGAAAGACTGGTTTTGCAAGGTCTTGTCAAGTCTTCATCACAAGTTATTAGGGTCAGACAAGAGCAAAGTCTGTAAAGCAGCAAGGGTTGCATGATGGGGGTCTTTTAAGTACCTGTGCACCCAAGGGTGTAGGATCTTCAAGGTAGGGAGATCATGTGTCCAAGTTTGCCAAGACAGCCCTAGCTTATATCTGTTTTATCTGTTGTCCTGATGTTATTAGTAATTACTCTCAAAGGGTCCCAGTTTAAATGATAAATTATATGAAATCCTCCTGTTTCAGGTGGAGATTCCAGAAAGACTGGAAGTACTTGTTAAGTACTTGAACCTACTTATACAGCCTCATTTAGGTAATATGGTGTCCAGGACTTCCCAAATTATGTCCATGACTAACAGTTTTCACCTATCTCCAGAAATCAAGGTATGGCTCATTATAATGAGGTATTTCATATTTTAGGAGGGGATAGTTTGATCTGGTGCAAGTGGACTGTCGCAGATAATATTTTAACCAGCCATTCAGAGCTCTCAAGGTCTCAAGGCCAGACCTGGGTCCCTGGAGGGAGGTGCTGCTGGAGGGAATTCACAGGTACTGGTTTTCTCAGGATGTAAGTCTTGCTCAGACATTCAACATACAGATAAGGTCACATCTGTCATTCCTGCTTGGATGGAATTTAAATTTTCTAAGTTCTAAATTTTACAAGACAAAACTCAACCTGATTACAAACCAACAGGCAGTCACATTCTTGGAAATCAGTAGTATGCTATGAATTATAGTTCTTCTGAGAAAAACAAACTATGGGGGGAAACTAAAGTCCCAATGATTCCAGAAGAATTTTTTGGACCTGAGAAATGATGGCCTTATTCAAAATGAGACACCCCTGGTTCCTTGTTACTCTTGTTTAGGCAACACCTCCATATTTCTAGGGTTCCACAAGTTCCTACACATCTTTCCTCTCTCCATGTGTAGTACAGCTTGGGATGCCATGTTCTCTTGTGGGGGTGCCTCTCTATGCAGCAAACAAAACATGGGTTTCAGGACACTGACATCATTTTACCAAAGTGCTAACCTTTCGGGAGCCTCACTAGTATTCTTTATTGGATTACCTGCCCATCTTTGCAGCTAATAGTTTACCACTAGAATAGGCTGGAATTGGGATAAATGCTCCCAATTTATCCCAGTTGAGAAGCAGCAGGATTAAATAGAGTGCCTCGCCACACAGCTCTCAGAGAAGCTCTGGAGGATCATGGCCATTGTTCACACTCCAAGATGTCATGACAAGTGACTAGTGTTGTCTCAAGCTAATATCCCCCTAATAAGGAAATAAAATTGAAAAATAAAGAGATCAGCAACTTATTTTTCACAACTTGGGAGTTTCAAAAAAAGCAGAGGAGGATGCAATGAACAGTGAACAGGCGTTCTTTCAGGGTCCAGCCCCTGAAAAAGTGGTGAAGTCGGGGCAGGGGAAGTAAGTGTTCACATTTCCCATCAGTGCATTCTCTCTATTGTTTGTTTGTTACAACAGGCATGTGCATGCACTCAGTGGGTGCTCAATAAATATCTGTGGATTAATGAACAGAGTAATTTTGAGATACAAAAGCTATATATAATCCTAATTTTATATAAAACGTAACAAACATATATACCAAAATGTTAATAGCAGTTGTCTTTGTGACTGCAGGTGATTTTTTCCTTTTATCTTTTGTGTATTTCTTTTTCAAATTTTTACCAGAAATGTGATTTTTTTACTTTTTGCCTTTTACAAATTACATGTGAAGTCCATAAATTCTCCTGCAACAAGCATGAATCTAAGATGGACAAAATACGGATAAAAATGTAGTCAGGCATGGTGGTATGAGCCTGAAGTTCCAGCTACTCAGGAGGCTGAGCCGGGAGGATCACTTGAACCCAGGAGTTGGAAGTCAGCGTGGGCAATATAGCGAGACCCTCTCTTAAAAAATAAAAAAAGCAAGCATCTCCCTTTGCCTGCTCTCTGCTGCATCCCACCCCAGTTCCACTGTCCTGCCCAAAAGCAACTCCCGCCAACAATTTGGGGTGCATCCTTTCAGCCCCTTCTTTGTATTTACATCCACATGTTCAAGAATCAACTGAGGTGTCCCTGCCTCAGAGAAACCTTCTCTGTTCAATGTAAAAAACCTACCCCCTCACCACACACCCCACCTCTGTGCATTACTTTCTTCACAGCTCTTGGGGTTACTGGTCTTACCATGTTTCTGTTTGTTTGTTTACTTGTTTAGCTTGTCTTACCCCACCAGACTGTAAGCTCCGTGAAGAAGGGACCTTTCTTGCTCACTGATGTATCCGCAACGCCTCAAACAGTACATGGTACATGCACGGTAGGAGCTCAATAAGTATGTGTTGAATCAATGAATGAATGAATATACATAAAAATATTTGTTTATAAAAACATAATTGGGATTATACGTAAATAATGTCCTGTGAGTTGCTTTTTTCAGTAAATACTATGTGATGGCAATCTTTCCATGCCAATAAGTAAAGGTCTATGTCTTGGTCTATTTGGGCTGCTATAACAAAATACCATAGACTGGGTGGCTTAAAAATAACAGAAATTTATTTCTCACAGTTCTGGAGGCTGGGAGGTCCAATATCAAGGCAGTGGAAGATTCGGTGTCTGGGGCGGGGCATATTCTGGGTTAATAGATGGTGGCTTCTTGCTACATGCCCATGTGGTGAAAGGGGCAAACAAGCTCCCTTGTTTATAAGGGCACTAATCCCATTCACAAGGGCTCCCCCCTCATGACCTAATTACTTCCCAAGGCCCCACCTCCTAATACCACCACATTGGTAGGCAGGCTTTAACATATGAATTTTGGGGGGACACAAGCATTCAGACCATAGTACTCTATCTCACTCTTGCACTATGGGTGCATAGTAGGTGTATTATACATTAGTATTATATATTAGGTGTATTATATATTAGTAGTTATATTTATGGGGTACATGAGATGTTTTGATACAGGCATGCAATGTGTAATAATCACATCATGGGGAACGGGGTATCCATCCTCTCAAGCATTTATCCTTTGTGTTACTACCTTATTTTTTCTAATGGCATCATAGCATTTCATAATATATTCATTCAATCAATCAATCATCAATCAATCAATCACTTGTTCAACCAACAAATACTTACTCTATACCTTCTATTTTTACTGTTCTAGGATCTGGGAACACAAAATTAAAGAAGTCTCTGTTCTCATGGTGCTTATAGTCTCCGCTCTCATGGTGCTTTTATTCTCATGGGGGAGACAGATAATAAGCACACAAATGAAAATACCAGCATTAAGAAAAATCAAAGAGGCTAAGGGTGACAGGCAGGGTGTACTATTCTAGACAGAGTGGTCAGGGAAGGTCTCTCTGAGCAGAGGTCCTGATTAAGTGAGGACATCTGGGGGACAAGCATCCCCAGCAGTGGGAACTATAGGCTCTTTCTGAGGAGATGGAAGAATAAGGAATTCAGTATGTTGAGTGTGGAGCTGACGATTGGAGAGGTAGAGGGGCCAGATCATGCAGGCTCCAGCAGGCCAGGGTCAGGATCTGGGGCTTCCCTTTGAACAGGACAGGAAACCTTTAGAGTTTTGAGCAGAGAGATGACCCGATTCCACATGTTTCAAAAGGACAACTGGCTACTATCTGGAAACCAGAAGAGAGGGTGAGAGTGGAAGCCAGGAAAAGAGTTAGGAGAGTCTGCAGAGCCCAGGCAAGAGAGGATGGGGTGGCATCCCCACACCAGAGTGGTTGTGGTAGAAGTGTTGAGAAGTGTTTGGATTAGGGATATTTTATGAAGAGGTGTCACCAGGATGTGCTGATAGGTTAGATATAGGATGAGAGAGAAAGACATGGATTAAGGATTTTTCCAAGTTTGGCCTGAGCAACAAGACAAAAGATACTGCTATTTACTGAGAGGGATAAGATACATAAACCATAATTTATTTACTCCATTGCCTATTGATAATATTTTAGATATTTCCCTATGTTAGTTATATACTTAGAAAATCCAATATATTTATATTTTTAATGGGGGCAACAGGGAATGGCAACATGCAAATAAATTCAGCATTTTGTATATTAAGAGCATCCTAATAAAGCACACACACCCTACTTTAATGAAAATTAAAACCTCATTACTCACCCTGATCATAAGCTTAACACATTAAATGTTTCCAAGCAGATTTAAGTAGTTTGATTGTTTTCATAGCTTTATAGCTAGATGCATAGAAAATTCTAAAATATACCTTAAAAATACATGCCAGTAAGTTCTTTCCGCGCAATGTGTCCCACTGTGCAAATCTACATGGAGATTTGGCTGAAAGCAAAGGCTGGGTTCACAGTGAAAGGAGAAATATATTTACAAACATGGAGGCAGAGCAGGTGCAAATATCTCCATAGAATTACTCACCTCTTGTTCTTCAAGAACCAGCAAGTCCTGTCAAATAAAGTTTTAAAAGTTACATCCAGGCATAACAGTAATTATTTCATTTTGACTTGCTGTGAAAGCCAAGCTTTGGTTTGCTCACACTGACATTTTGAAAATAATTTTAAAAGTTGGTTATAGGAGCTTTGTTTGGGGGAAAAAAACCCAACTATGACAAAGGTGGGTGCCACGAGTCTTGGATCTTTTTCCCCTATAAGACCATCTCGTAAGAGCAGCATGGAGCAGCAAACCTAAACAATCCTTTGAATCCCTGCTGTCGCATTCTTAACTGTGTTTGGGCATAAGTCATTTAATCTATTTGGGTCTCTCCTTCCTTCTGTCTTAACCCCTGTGAAGATCACTGTCAGCGTGTGTGGAAGACCTGGTACACAACGGAGATTTAATCAACTTAAATTACTTTCCTTTTCATTCTTAGTCACCCCATATAAAAGTTTGTAAACTTATTACAAGGAAGTCCCATCTTTTCCAGAACTTCTAAAAAAGTAGATTCTGGTTGATAAGCGGACACCAAAGCCAAGGCTCTGACAGGGACCCTGTGGCTGAACGGAGTGGGAAGGAATGGCCCAGGTGAGCCATGGGGACAGTGCAGAGGCGACGAGGGTCAGGATGGAGGCACGGAGGCTGGAGGGACCCTCATCCTCCTTCTGGCCCAAGACTCTCTGGGGAAGAGCTGTGTCAACTGGAGACATGGCAATTCTGAAAGAACTGTAAGAGGCATACAAACCTCCATTTTATTTAACAGAAAGCCTCTTTCATTCAGAACTCAGCCATCTTTATTATTTTATTCTTTCTTTTTTTGTTTTTTTAAAGAGACAGGGTCTGGCTCTGTCCCCCAGGCTGGAGCACAGTGGTGCGACCTTGGCTCATTGCAGCCTCGACCTCATGAGCTCAAGCAATCCTCCCACCTCAGCTTCCCAAGTAGCTGGGACTATGGGTGTGTACCATCATACCCAGCTATTTTTTTGTATTATTTGTAGAGATGGGGTTCCACTATATTGCCCAGACTGGTCTCCAATTCCTGGGCTCAAGCAATCCTCCTGCTTCAGCCTCCCAAAGTGCTGGGATTACAAGCGTGAGCCACCACGCCTGGCTGTATTATTTCTGAATTCTGGGAAAAAATAAAATTATGTTACACATTTTTTACATTGGGACATTATGTTTGCATGTCACTGTGTATGTCATTACAAAATTCTCTCTTTCCATGGTTTACTTTGATCTTCCTCAACACCTTGTGGTTTTTATTAATTTTTTTATTTTTAATTTTTATGGGTACATCAGTAGGTGTATATATATATATTTATGGGGGGGTGCAGTTTAATTGTTCCTGAATCACAGGTGGAGGAATTGGATCCCCAGTTAAGGTCACGTGGCCTGTAAGTGTCAGCTCTGAATCTCACGCCCAGTCCTTTTAACACCCACGCCAGTGCTCCTTCCTTGCTAACTGTGGTGAATAAGAAAAGGATCGCACCTCTCAGCTTCTCAATTGCCACTAGCCCTGCAAGCATTAGGACTGGGATGTTTTGCAACCAGTCCCTGGCCTGGTAATAGAGGCTGCTCCTCAGTGGGCTAGGCTGAAGGAATCAGAGCCTTGCAACAGGAGTCCCGGCTGAGCTCAGGGCTAGAGTCTCAACACTCAGCTGTAGAGGCAGGAGGGATGTCATAGGCTGTCAGGTTACATTTATGTTGCAGTTTCTTTATTTTGGATTACATTTGTTCAGAAGCGAATAGTCCTGCAATTTGCCCTGGTTTGCCAATGTCCCACTTAACATAATTCAGATTTTTAAAATATTCTTGTTCCTGAATTTGTGAGCATCGGAAGTCCTCTTTTTTGCTGCTTTCTAGTGTGTAATTTTAGCCCAGAAAGTATAATTTTGGCTAGTAATGGTGTTTCTCAATACAGTCCTACTGGCATTACTTTTGATGTATGCATGATTCTAATCATTAGTTTGAGGCTGACACTGATTTTTTTCATATATATGAGATTTGGGAGAGTGATTTTACATACACTTTTTAAACCTAGAAGTGTTTTAAAAATCAAATTTAGCTCTACCGGTTTTTATAAAATACCTGGTCATTTAGGAAACATATCGCAACTATCTGGAAACAAACTTGATGGGTAGGAGTGGGAAGAAACACACAGATACCCTTTTTTCTCTATCCATTTAAAGCTAGCTTAATCACACATTGCTTCTGGATTTTGGTCAAGGAAAATGTTACTACAGTATAGCAGCCAGAAACAGACAAATAACATTTAAAAACAGCACCAGCCACCTTCCCTCTTTGTGGAAAGATGCCTTCTTTATAACACAGTTGGTTTACTTTCTGTTTACTCTCTGGCTCCTACCATTTTTAAGAACTCTTTCCTCTCTACCTAAAGCCTGTTGCTCAACTCTTCCTAAGGGAAATCTACAGAAATGTGATGACAGCCTTCACCCTGCATCTCTGAGCCTCATACACATGTGCAAATTCACACACACATGCACACTCACACACACAGAGGACAAGGGGAAAGTTCACAAATGGTTCCTTTTGTTAAGGGGAAAAAAGCCAAAATACAAATGTAGGAAAGCATAAAAGTACCTTTTGTTTGGTAAAAACAGGCACAGAGTTGTGATATAAATAGGCAGAATGCTGCTATATCTTTTTTTTTTTTCTTTTCCTCTCCTAGAAAAATCAGACAGGGATGACTGAGCAGAGGTGAGCTCTGCCGAGGGAACTGGCTCAGTAGCAAGAGGCAGAAAGAAGCATCACAGAGCTCTGGCTCTGTGGGTTTTGGGGCTCCGTGTCTGGGAAGCAGAGTTGGTGTGGGGGATCAGACCAAGGCTTAAAGAAGGATTAGGAATAATAACCTGTGTGAGTGAAGTAATAAGGACACATGGGTACTGACATATTTATAATTCTAGTTTGTTTTAAAATTTGCTATAAAGTATCACTTGTAATAAGCCTGGATGGCTTAAAGTCGCTTACAGTTTAAACTAACATACCCATTTTTGCCTGAGTTCCGTCTGGGGTTGAGGCTGGATGTAAATACTATTTTAAAAATTACATCAAAACAAAAGATATGAGAATTCACAACTCTCTATATTTGGGGTAAGCCAAGAGTTGATAACCTTATTTTAAAAGCTAACCGTATTTTAAAGATATACAAGCAAAGATTGTTCATGTTCCAATCAGTCCTCCTCTTGCTATTTACCTAAAAGCAAATTTGAGCACGATGCTCCCTGCTTAAAGGTTCTACTGGCTCCCTGCTGCCTCCTGGATAGAATTCTAGCCTGCCTCTCCAGCCTCCTCTCTTGTCACCCATCCCTGGCGTACCCAACTACTTCAATCTCAGCTTCACACATGACAGGCACTCTACTAGTGATGGCTGTGTTTGTAAGTTTCAAAGCTAAATTGGTTATAACTACAAGACAAAAGTTTGGTTGACATTTTTCTGATAAACCGTCACCTAAATTATGACTAAATTTTTTTCTCTCCTAAGGCAGATTGTTTTCCCTTAACAGTAAGACCTAAGAAAACAGGAATGGCTTTCTGGATACCTTTTATCCTCGATGGTAGCCAGCGCAGTCTACTACATGAGTAAGAGCTCAATCGACCACGTTTTGTATTTATTAACTTTTTAAAAATCTCTTTAACATTCCAGGCTGGGCGTGGTGGCTCACGCCTGTAATCTCAGCACCTTTGGGAGCCTGAGGCAGGTGGATCACCTGAGGTCAGGAGTTTGAGACCAGCTAACATGGTGAAACCCCATCTCTACTAAATTAGCTGGGCACGGTGGCAGGTACCTGTAATCCCAGCTACTAGAGGCTGAGGCAGGAGAATCGCTTGAACCCAGGAGGCAGAGGTTGCAGTGAGCTGAGATCGCACCATTGCACTCTAGCCTGGGCCACAAGAGTGAAACTCCATTTCGATTAAAAAAAAAATTCTTTAATGTTCCACACAATTCTATATTACTCAGTAAAAAGGGTAGCTTTTAAGCCAATAAGATTTTTCTGAATGTACACCCTATTGGTTCGTGGATTGAGGACAGTTCTGCGGTTCTCAGGAGTGGCTACGCATTAGAATCACTTGAGGAACTTCTGAAAAACTCAGATACCCAGGCCCTACCATAGACCCATCAAATCAGAACCTTAGGTGTGAGGTTCTCCCATGATGATTTTTTTAAAGTTGCATAGGTGATTTGGCTTTGCATCCCAGGATAAGGATTATGATGACCTGTCAGTTCTATCCTAACACTGTAATCAATTTTGTACAATTATGAAGCATAAAATTTTCTGTTACCTTTTGTATTTCAGGATGAAAAATTTCCCTGGGGCCTTTCTCAAATTTGTCCAGATTCATGGCACTGAAATAGAATGGACAGGATGAGCTGCAGCATCAGAGAAGCTAAAAAGGAGCTTCTAGAAAATCACAGCTGTTTTCCCTAAAGGGCCTGACACTCAGAAGATACAAATCAACAAATGAGTTATCAATGAACAAACAGATGAAAGTAACCAACACCACATGTACTTGACTTATATAACTGGCTCCTAGTGATACTCATAAGAGAGGGAGAGAGAAATCAGGAACATCTGTTTCAGGTAACCTTGGCTATTCTTCTAGATTCTTATTTTTATTTACTAAAAGTAATGAATGTAATTAAGATTTAACTGAAATTTCTATGCCACATAGGGCAAAAGACCATCCTTAACAAGACTTTTTAAAATGTTTTACTTTGGACAAGCAACGTAAATTCCCTTGAACCTAAGTTCCTATAGAGGTAAAACAAGGAGATTGAAATAGATCTCTAGAGTTCCTTTCAGCTAATATTCCAATATTTATAAGTGAAAGTTAAAAATAATAACGAACTTCTAGACTACTTACAATACACCAGACACTGTAATAAATGCTTTTCATGAATTTTCTCATTTAGTCCTTATGAGGCAAGTACTATTTTAGCCCCAGGAAATTGAAGCTCAGAAGTTAAATAACAGGAAAAAGATCTGGTAAAAAGCAGAGCCAGGACTTGAATCTAGGCTTATGTGACTCTGTAGTATTTATATTTTAATTTCCTTTTAAGTTTTCAAGTTCATTCTTGTAACAAAAGAAGATAAAATCTTTTCTCTGCTGGCAGCAACTGTAGAATGTGTAGTTTGTCATATCTTTAAAATCTTGCTGTACCTTGCTCCAGCTATGAGGGTATACTGAAAAGCTAAGACTTGCTCATAAACTAAATGAAATTATAACAAATGAAATGCCTAGTTTTTAAACGTTCTTAAAGAAGAAAGGAGCTAGAGTAAACTTCTTTTTAGAAAAAAGAATTCACAGAAATCTTAAACCAGTATAATTTAAGGTATTACTCTCCAAGCAAATTAAGATTTATAGTTCCTTGAAAGCAGCAGGATATTTCTGTGCTCAGCAAAAATGTTAGCCTCTTGGTGGAGAGGCTTAACTCAGGCTTTAGAACTGCTCAGAAGAAAAATCAGAAGATACAGAGCAGACAGGAAAAGGTCTGCAATCTGGAGACCAAACTAAGCTTGAAAGTGGGATATAACATTTTTCACTTCTTAATCTTGGTTCCTTTTTTTTTTATTTTTTTGAGACACAGTCTCACTCTGTCACCCAGGTTAGAGTGCAATAGCATGGTCTCAGCTCACTGCACCCTCCACCTCCCAGGTTCAAGCAATTCTCCCACCTCAGCCTCCCGAGTAGCTGAGACTACAGGTGTGTGCCACCACACCTGGCTAATTTTTGTATTTTAGTAGAGACGGGGTTTCACTATATTGGCCAGGCTGGTCTCGAACTCCTGACCTCATGATCTGCCTGACTTGGCCTCCCAAAGTGCTGAGATTACAGGCGTGCACCATTGCGCCCGGCCTTGGTGCCTTTCAGTCAGCCAGATGCAGTCCCCAACAGATAGAGTCAAGTTTGTCACTGTAAGAGCCATTTTGGTAAGGATGAGTTGTAGCTATTAGGTGTCACCTGGGAACACTGGAAACACATCTACCACCATGTAGCTGCAGACGAATAGAGAGGAAATCACTAGGGCTCTGAGATAAGCTTTGCCCTTCATACGATAGGGCATTAGTGGTTAAACAGCCCAAGCTCTGGAGTCACATGGACTCCAGCTCCGTGATTTACCAGCTGTGAGATCTTTGTCAGATCCCTTCACTTCTCTGAGGCTCCAATTCCTGATAAGTGGAGTGGAGATAATAATAGATCTACTTCATGGAGCTAAAGATTGACTCAGAGAACACTCATAAAGCATTCAGCACAGTGCCTGACAAACAGAAGCTACCATAGCTATGATGTAACATCTTAGCTGGTAACAAAGCAACAGGCTGGATCCAAGTGGCGGCATTCCCTAGGGGAGGCTGCCACCTAAGCATGGGAGAGAGATGAGAGGGAGGTGGGAGGGTGGGGGCACGAGAGGTGGCTGAGCAGGAAGCAGCCAGATGTTCCATCCATTTAACGTTCTGTCTGGCGAAGAATAAGTACATTCTTTGCTGACATCTGGGTTTCTATTTCAAGGTAGAAAAATGGAAGGAAAAATATTTCTTGATTATCTTTATAAAACTAAAGTATCTGAGTGCATGCAAGAAAAAAGAAGCTGGCAACTAATGCAGTAAGGAGAGATGCCTAAGAGCAATGCTCAAAATCAGTTGGACCTGGACTCAGGCCTTGGTTCCACTACACACTTGCTATATGATCTTGGCTTTCTCTCTCTGAACCTCCATTTCATCTATAAAATGGCACAGTCACAGCACCTGCCCTACAGGGTTGCTGTGATGATGACACGAGGTGATGCACGTCATGTCAAGTGCTTAGCAAAACATCTTACACACAGTCAAGGCTCAAGACAATGGAAAGGTAACATCAGAATGATCACAGGCAAAAACAGTGTATAAAGGGCTCCAAATCCATGTGTGGGGTTTCTACCCATTAGAACTCACCTTAAGATGGACTTCACAGAAAGAGTTTTTGTGGGACTGTAGGGAAGGCATATTTTCTGGGTACCCTGGAAAAGTCCAAACATCAAATCAGTGACAAGTTCTACAACTTCCTTCTCCAAAAGAGCCTCTCGGGTCATTCAAAAGAAAGCCATGCCCAGTCTTTCTTCTTTCTCCTCAAGGGGAATGTATATGAATAAACACATTCTATGACTGAAAACAATCTTGCTCAGGTTTGATAGCAACTTCCAGGATCTCTCCACCCCAACATGTGTGGATTTCAGCATGGCCTTCAACATACAGGTCTTCAGTGTCTTAGGTATTATGGAGAGCACTTGAGCCATCTGAACCAGATGAGAAGGGAATTTGTTTTTTCGTTGTTGTTGTTGTTGTTGTTTTGTTTTGTTTTGTTTTTGAGACAGAGTCTGGCTCTGTTGCTTAGGCTGGAGCGCAGTGGTGTGATCTCGGCTCATGCAACCTCTGCCTCCTGGGTTCAAGCGATTCTCCTGCCTCAGCCTCCCGAGTAGCTGGGATTACAGGCATGCACCACCATGCCTGGCTAATTTTTAGTAGAGATGGGGTTTTGCCATGTTGGCCAGGCTGGTCTCAAACTCCTGACCTCAAGTGATCTGCCTGTCTCAGCCTCCCAAAGTGCTGGGATTACAGGCATGAGCCACCACGCCCGGCTGGGAATTTGGTCTCTGAGCCAAGCATCAAATAAGCCTCAAAGACCATAAGACAACAGTCTCCACATGTTCAATGGGACCCAAAAATAATGTCTCCCAGTCAAAAACTTTTTGAACTAGAAATCCCCTGAATCTTTCAGAGACATTTTCATAATGCACACTTTTACATTTATCTGTGTTTTCTTATTTAAAGTCTCCTTTCTCCTAAATGAGTACCAACTGTGACTCATTATAGGAATACTCAATGAATATATTTTGACTAAAAAGGAAATGAAGAATTGCCTAAGTGATTCAGTCTCCCGTCCACACCACCCAGGAACAGATGAGTGCTATTCTCTTCCTAATCGTCTAAGAAGAGGTGACATAGATTTAGGATCCACAAAGGTTCACACTACACAGTTAGCAAAAGGGATTATCATATACCACACATTTAAAACTTTCTTCCTGACTTTGATTAGTAATAAAATTGTCATCACAAACGGCTAGAGGAGGGTAAGAACATTTCTTTTAGGGAATGGGCAAAGAAATATGATTTTTCTTGTGCTATTGGGACACATCTGCCAATTCATCTGTCCAAGCTCTGAACAATGGCAAGGGAGAGGAGTTCTTTGAGCTTTCCAAGCCCATGGTCTCGTTGCATAAACAAAACTTTCATAACTACATCCTTGGAGACCTGCTACTCTCACCCCTCTCCAGCCCAGGGAGGAGGATGTCTTTGGAGCTGAGGATGAGAAGTTGCACTAGAGAGAGCCCTTCTTATGGGTTCTCCATTAGCCAAGGAAACTGGGCTGAGCTTTTCTTTTTGTAGTTTGTGCTACAGAGATTAAATTTTTTTCCAATTATAGATGAATATTACGATAGAAATACACGTTTTCTGATTCTACAGGTCCTTCCCATTGAAACCCGAGTTCTTCTGTGGCTTTGCTTTTTAACTGGCTCCAGCCTACACTGCATTCCCTGTCTAAGAGATGGTCTTGAATCTGCCCCTCTAGCTTAGATCCTACCTTGACTACCTTTTCTTCTTACCCAACACTCCAAAGGCAGTTTTATTTTTATTTTTTTTTTGTAGCAGGCAGGGTCTCACTATGTTGCCCAGGCTGGTCTCAAACTCCTGGTCCCATGCAATCCTTCTGCCTTGACCTCCCAAAGTGCTGGGATTACAGGCATGAGCCACCCTGCCCAGCCCAAAGGCAGTTTTAAAGAGAAGCCAAGGGCAGCTCGGGGGAATGTGTGGCACAGCAGAGGGCTCCAGTGCTGCACTGGGTGACAGTGACACCTTCATGAGCTGCCTATGTGGGTGCGAAACTCAGGGCTCCTGGGATTGTGGATTTGTGTTTTTCTTCACCACAAACTGGTAAAGCTCTTCCTCATCTCCTCCCTTTTGTAGCTTCCAGAGTCAATGTTTAAGTAAAATGGTTCTGTGTTCAGGGGAAGCATCAAATGCACAGGTAGAGTCAAGTGCATGTATGTATCAGGCTACACCCAGTGAGCACAGCAAGGATGCAGAAGTGCACATCGAAGATTACCCTGTGTAACAGGTGTGTGTGTGCAGGTGTGTGTCTACAGGGACGGATGTCTAGAAGCCTGTTGCAGTGATTATCTCTGAGTAGTTGGATTCTTTTCACTTGCTGTATTGTTTGGATATAATTTTCAAAATAAGTACAAATCATTTTTCATATTTTATTTGTGTGAGCCATTTCTGTGTATTTAGAAGAAACACAGTAGAGATATGCAAGACTGTGTAGAGTAGAGTTATATGTTTAGCTAGTTTTTTTTTTTTTATCTTTCTTACTTTGATTTTGTAGAGACAGGGTCTTGCTCTGTTGCTCAGGCTGGAGTGCAGTGGTACAATCATAGCTCACTGCAGCCTTGAACTCCTGGACTCAAGCCATCCTCCTGCCTTACCCTCCCAAAGAGCTGGGATTACAGGTGTAAGCCACCATGCATGGCTAAGTTTTTATTTTATTTTTCATAGAGACAAGGTTTCGCTATGTTGCCCAGGCTGGTCTTGAACTCCTGCGCTCAAGTGCTCCTCCCACCTCGACCTCCCAAAATGTTGGGATTACAGGCATGAGCCACTGTGCTGGGCCTAGCTAGTTTTCTAACTGCTTTATAACCTAGAAGATGTGTGCTGGCAGTTGGGAGAGCGAGGGTTGAATCACATATTTCTGTGGACTTCCCATAGCCTCTAGCACTAGTTTCAGGCCAAGAGGGGCTTAATAACTGACCCCTTGTGCCAATGCTCAGTTTTGATTTCTCAGTTCCTCCCTCCCTTCAGCACTTCCATCAACAGCTGAGAACCCTCTCATTGTCCTTGGCACATAACTGAAGGCCAAGGGAAGAGGTGTTGGGTGAAGGCACTGGCACTTCTCATCATGCCCTGCCCCTATGCTGCCTTCACAGCAGTCCTGGGATTTAAATTCCACCTCCTTGGCTTCTCTAATACCAGGTATGAGTAACCCTTGTTTGTCTCACATTTGTTGCTCCTTCTACCTGGAACACTCTCTGATTCCCCTTCTACTCGTCAAATGACTGGCTCCCTTCCATCTTCAGGCCTCTGTTTCCTGGGCGCCGCCTCAGGAGGCTTTCCCTAAACTGTCTCATCTAAGTGGGGCTCCTGTAGCATGCTCTGTCATTCTCTGTCTTCAGAGTGCTTATCACAACTTATAATGTCATATAGACAGTATCTTTGGAAATTAAAATAAGCAAATGTTCCCCCTGCATTTGTCCCACTCTGTCTCTCCTCATACATGGCAGCCATCTCAGTGAGGATGTGATTGCTACTTCCTGGAGGAAGAAGATATGGACATTGAGAAAGTCCATTCCAGAAAAGTAGAAGAAGGGGGAAACCCACCCTCTCCTGCCTTGGAGGGAGGGAGGGAGGGGGAGGGTGAAGGAGGGGGAGGGAGGGAGGAAGGAAGGGGTGAAGGAAGAAAGGCCAGCCAAGAGGTGGATGCCAGGGCTCTTGATGCCCCCATGCCAAGGACAGGCTTTGAAGGCATTGTGGGATGCTGTAAATCTGTCAAGGGAAGACCTGGAGGCACCTCAGAGCATTTGAACCAGAGGCCCCTTCCCGGGCATGGCCTTGCACGGGAATCTTAAGTCCAGGCAGCACCTGGTTTGAACTTGGAGAAGGGTAGCAACTCAGTGGCTGCAAATGTTAATGACCAGAAGTATGACACACACAGGCCTATGGCAATGGTCCTGCCTCCTCACATCTGACCTATAGCTCATAGCGGATGTGCCCCAGGAAGGGATGGAGAGCTTCTAAGAGATTCAGAGACTAGCGGAGACCTGGGATCAGGACAAGGAGTGACTTTACAACAAAAGGCAAATAGCTGGCACTGTGGGTTTCAGGGGCAAATGCTTTCCAATGACCCAAAAGAGCCAGAGGAATCAACTATACTTCCGTGGTCACGAGTTCAGAGGTTGGATCAGTCACTCCACAACGGAAGTCAGACAGAGGGCCCATGTGGATCCACAGTTCTCTTCTGTGACCATTAGGTCTCATAAGCCCTCTCCCCATGTGCACAAATACCAACCACAAGAGGAGCAGGAGGAGGCAAAAAAATTGTAAAGGCTTGATTCTTTGCCCAAAAGAGACAAAGTCATCCCAAAGAAAATATTTAAACCAGAAGAGACTAGAATGCGGTAATTAGCAAACATAAAATAAATAAGTTTTTTTTTTTCAAAAGGCCAGAAAACAGTCTCCTGGTGCAGAAAATAAGGTGCTTTGGGCAAAGGCACTGTCAACTTCTCAGAGGTGAATCACGAGAAGACTATGAGGCATGCCCTGGAAGAAACTGGCACACAGTTCCACAGCACAGGGGTTATCTCCTGAAACTGATGCATAAATTTTGCTTCAAGTGTGAGCCATATACTTACTGTTTTTCTCCAAAGAATTGCACGGTATTGAGGGACACGTTGATTGTTTTGGTCAGAAAGGGTCACGGACAAGAAGAAAGGGCTCTTCTCGGCATCGTTTCCAATGTAGTTCTGATGGACTGGAAAAGAAAGGTTTAGAACAGTGAGAATGCAACTGATCCTGCCAGCCACAGATGGTAGAGGACACTGCAGGTGGTGTCCAGCCCTTCCCACATGCTCAGGGAACAATAATCCCAAAGCCAGCTTGGGATGGACCCTGATCTCTCTCGGGGGATCATGTATTCCTCTGCCCCTTGCTAGTGACTGGTTCAGGAATGAACATGTGACCAAATTCTGGCCAATGAGACTGGAGAAATCTGCCAAGGGGCTTCTAGAGAGGCTTCCTCACTCCTAAATACCGTCTTCTTCTTCCTCTGGACCTGGTGGAGTCTAGAAGTGATGCCTGGAATTCCTGAATCCATCTTGTGACCCTGAACAGGGCCAGCCCAAGGGCCAAGCTGCCACACTAAGGATGGGGAAGCAGAAAAACGGAAAAGGCCTGGGTCCTTGACATTACTGGGCCTCTGAATCCCCCAAGCCTGGGGCTTGCCCTGCCTCTGGGTTTTTTGTTATATCCTTTACTGTTTGTGCCAGTTTGAGTCAGGTTTTCTGTTACTGCACCTGAAGGCATCCAAACTCATGGCGCCATTTTTCTCTAAAGTCCTCACTGCTCTGAGCACTACTTGCAAGCGTTTGGGAAGATGACGGTTTTCCTGCTGATTTCCTTTTTTAAAATAACTGCTTCTGTATCCCCCACACACCAATAAACTTTGCCTGGCCAAATAAAGGAACTTCTTACAATAATACACAGTCAGGTTTCTTTAAAGGCATCATTTAGGTCTGCTCACTCTCATTTCATCATTCAAGCATCATATCTACAAATGAATACATTAGCCTGAGAAGCAATTTCTCTAACTCATTTTGAATCTCAAAATAGTGATTATTCTTCCATTCTCCAAATCTTTTGTCATTAACCACACTCCTGTTTTCCACCTTTCTGTATATTTTCACTTGAGCCCTTCACTTTAAATGTACATAGCTATTAATGACTGAGCTGTTGGTATGTGCCAGGCACTGGGCTTAGTATTATTCCTGCATATCTCATTGAAACTTCCATTCAAACCTACTAGATATGCACTCGTAATATCTCCACTTTACAGAAAGGAAAACTGCGTCTCAGAGAAATGGAGAGTAGCTAGTGTAAGGTCCTTTGATTAATAATGGCAGGATCAGGATCCAAACCCATATCATGAGTGTCTTTGCCCCTGTATCCCCATTGCTCTGCACATTGCCTGGCATGTAGTAGGTGATAAATACTTGTCATGGTTGAATGTATGAATGATGCCAGAGTCTACAGTCTAATGTCTCTCTAGTTCTATACAGGCCCTGGAGCTCAGGGAACCAATTATTTCCCTCATTGCCTTGAACTAAGTATTCAAAACCCAATATAGACAGGGCAATTGCCTTGTTAGGTCTAAAGTTGTTTTTCCACCCTGGAAAATTCGTCTTATCTCTCAAATCACTTTTTCAGATGATCTAATCTTTAGCTCTCCAGGGATAAAAATGACTGTCCATAAAAAAAGGAAACTATGAGCAAAAACTCTTAGGGCTGAGACTCTGAATCTTTTAGCCTACAAAGCTTACTACTGACCTTGAAGTGAAATGCCCTGATGTTAGTGTTCCTAAAATGGCTAGTTTCACTCATATAGGATACCAGAAGTTATATGAACACTAACTTCCATTTTGAATACCCTTTCTTCCCTACCACCACAATAGCATAATTACCTTGTCCTAAAAAATATTTGAAATACCATCTGGTGTGGTATTCTGGGTTCTCTAAGTGCACGTCTGTTCTTCGCCAAGTACCAGGCAGGGCAGTTGCATTCTGTAATGGAACAAAGTTGTGACATTAAGAGGCTTATTCAGAAAGTAAACATGAACCTGGCAATGAACCAGCGGCCAAAGAACCAGAAAAATCATTGTTAAAAGCATACACCCAAGGGCTGTGGCTGCATGTTCTCATTAGAAAAGACACCCAGTCTAAATTCACATCGTGGAAGCATCCAGGAGGCCTTTGGGGTGTAGGAAAAATAACCAGTGAACCGGTGAGTTCAGCTATTCCTAAAATGGGTACCAAGTACCTCTCCTTTCTGGGCTGAAACTTCCACAGTATTTGGGAGTTGGTGCCCCCTAGAGGAACCCCCTTCTTTTTGTTACCCCTGTAACAGGCACAATTCATCTAGAATTAATCCATGTTTTGGTAGGTTTTTTCTGTTTTTTTTTTTCCCCATGCATATACATACGTATTTTTCTTAATAAGATGAAATTATATTGAATATACAGTTTTGTGGCTTGCTTTGCCAATAACTATTTTACATGTCAATAAATATAATCCTGTGTTATTGGCTCTATACTCTTTTATTATATAGATACAACTAATAATACTGGACAATTAGGCTGCTTCCAATTTTTGTTATTGTAAATAAAATTTATCATCTTCTAATTCCACGTTTGCATACTTACTTATTCAATTATTTCTTTAGGATAATTCTTAGAAGTTAAATTTCTTTGTCAAAGGGTATGCATGTTGTCGAGGATCTGCAACACAATGCCAATCTGACATCTAGGAGGACTGATACAAAATTATAGTTCCACCAGCAATGGCTGAGGGTACCATCTTCCCTATACTGTCAACATTGCCTCCTTACAATTTAATGGCAAAATGTATTTTTTTTTTTTTTTTTTTTGAGACAGAGTCTTACTCTGTTGCACAGGCTGGAGTGCAGTGGTGCCATCTTGGCTCACTGCAACCTCCACCTCCTGGGCTCAAGTGATTTGCCTGTCTCAGCCTCCTGAGTAGCAGGGATCACAGGCACATGCCCCCTTGCCCGGCTAATTTTTGTATTTTTAGTAGAGATGCGGTTTACCATGTTGGCCAGGCTGGTCTCGAACTCCTGGCCTCAAGTGATTATTGGTCTCCCAAAGTGCTGGGATTACAGGTGTGAGCCACTACGCCTGGCCTGTATAACATTTAGATTGAAGCTTTTCTTCATATTTTTATTGGTCATTTACAATTATTTTTTGGGTTACCTGTTTATGTCCTTTGCCAGTTTTCTGATTATTGTATTCTTTTGTGAAATCTTTGAAATAGATTGCAAATAATTTCTTCTGATCAAATTTTTGCTTTTAAACTTGTTCTATGGTATTTTTGGCCACATAGATGTTTCAAAATGTTTACATAAGCAAATTTTTCATTTTTTTCCCTTTATGGCTTTTGCTTAATTACTATAAAAAATTCCCCCATCCCAGCATTAACGAAACTGTTTACCTCTATATTCTTTTAGATGCTTCATTTTTATAGTTCATTCCTTATCATTTATTTTGATGTATGCTCTGAAGGATCAATTTTCCCCAAATCATTTATCAATTAACTCAGTTCTACTTATTGAACACTCTATCATTCTCAATCCTTATAAGGCATTAAATTACTGTTTACAGTAAATGTCTGAATCTTGCATGGTCTGGGCTGAGACTGTGTTAGATGTCAGTTTTCCCGCATGACTGATGTCACTCTATTGCAGCTTTGTTGATATCTCCATCGTGCCACGTATGTAAGACAGACTACTGGAACATACTCTCTGACTTTGACATGCCTCTAGCGATTTACTAGATGTCTGTGGTCAGTTTCTTTATCATGCTAAAGATGTTTCCTTCAATTGGAAGTTTACAAAGAGGCTTTTCTCAGGAATGAAAATTAAATTTACCAAAAGCTTTTTTTGGGGGGCAACTGTTGAGAGAACAGGTTAAATGGGGGGAATCACAGTATGTAATGTAATGAATGAATAATGAATATAGTAATAGCTCTTCTGGCATTGAAAGGTTCTTACATTTCTGGAATCCACCCTACTAGGTCATGGTATAGTATTCTTTTAATATACTGCTTGACTTTAACAAATGATTTATGTATCATATTTGTGTGATAGATCTATAGGCTTCCTTTCTATTTGTATTTCTGTCATGCTTTCAGGGTTATGTTACCTTATAAAATGAAACGGGAAGCTCTCTGTCCTTGTCATTGCTCTGGAAATACTGACATGCATTGAGAGAGTGCTAAATGCCAAGTATTAGGCTAAGCATTTTATATGCATTATCTCCAGAACCACCCATCAACCTTATGAGATAGATTCTATTTTATCCCCCTACTTTCAGATGAGGAAATTGAGACTGAGAGAGTTTAAACATGTTGCCCAAGGCTACAGAGATAATAAGTAGTGGAGCTGGAACTGAAACCAGTTCCAATTCCAGAGGTTTCTTCTTTTTTCTTTTTTTATCTTAACCATTACATCATCTTCTGTGTCCTTTTTTATGTCCTGCCTTTTAAGCCTATTAAGGAGTAAAAACGTAGGTGAAAATTTTAGTATTATTTTGCTTTTATCAGATTTTCTGGAATTTTAAAAAACTAGCTATTGCTACATACATATGAATTTTTATTTGGAAATAATTTTAAATTTATATAAAAGCTGCAAGAATAAGAGCAGTGTAAAAAAGCATGTTTACCTTTTACTTACCAGATTTACCTACTGTTAATGTTTTACCCCACTGGCTCATTTGTTCACAACCCCCAACACACACACAAACATACACACATATACAATATTTTTTCTGAACCATTTAAGACTCAGATGTAAAATAATAGGCTTCATCCCTAAATACTTCAGTGTGTATTTCGCAAGAGTAGGGCTATGTTCTTACGTAACCACAGTAGAGCTTTATCAACTTTTCTAAGTCTAACATTGATGCCATCTGTATTCTAATGTTGTCAGTTGAGTCAACAATGTCATTTTAAGCATTTTCTCTCTTCAGTACAGGATCATTTCATTGTGTTTCTTTAGACTCCCTTCATCTGCAACATTTCCACTGACTCTTTGTCTTTATGACATTGACATTTTTTGACTGTCACTATTTTTTTTTTTGTTTCCATTTTGTATTTTAGGTTGAAGGGGTACATGTGCAGGCTTGTTACATGGGCAAATTGTGTGTTGCAGGGGTTTGGTAAACAGATAACTTTGTCACTCAGGTAATCAGCATAATACCCAATAGGTAATTTTTCATTCCTTACCTTCCACCCCCAAGTAGGCCCCAGTGTCTATAGTTCCCTTCTTTGTGTCTGATTTTGACATTTTTGAAGAATGCAGCATCTTCCCTCCTCATTTTGGGTTTGTCTGATATTTCCCCAGTTAGATTCAGGGTATGCAGACTTGGCTGGAATACCATGTAAGTGAGGTTTGTCCTCAGCTTATCATATTTCAAAATACCCATCTGTTCCTCAGTGGTGATGTTAATTTTGATTACCTATTCAAGATATTACCTCTTAGTTTTTACCTTTTGGTGAAAGCATATCATTGGATTTTGTTCCTTGTAGGACTTTCGCATGATTCATTATCAACAGTTATTTACTTTATAACCATGAACTACTGGCAGTACTCCTGGTCTCCAGGTCTTTCCACTATGACACTGCAGGGCATGCAGCGATGGCATGACCCACCAGCCAGCCTCAGGCATCAGCTGACCAGACATAGGGGGAGTCCAGCCAAGGAAGCTGGCCTCAGCCAGACTCCACAGTGGTTGGTGTCATGGTCCCAAGGCCTTGGATCCTACAAAGCTAGAGCAGAGCCTAGAGAGTAAACTTTTTATCTTTTTATTTTTTTATTTTTTAGTATTTCTAAAACTTTTATTTACTTGACACATTAAAAAAAACTTGTTAGCCCTATTAGAAAACAAAGGTTAAACAAAAATCACCTGAATTTTCAAATTAACATTTTCGTGTATTGTTCCACAATTTTTCATTTGCATATACAGAGATCACAATAGGCATACTATTTGGTATCACATTTTCCCACTATGACTATTAATAAATATGTATTTACATCATAACAACTCCATGTATTCACTGCATAATTGCACATTATTGTGCTTGATCAGTTGCCTATCACAGTTATTTTTCTTTGTTCTACTAAAAGCAACACTGTCATGAACGTCTTTCTCTCTCGCCTAGAGAGTAAACTCCTAAGCTGTCATCAGGACGTTTAAACTTCTGGGGCCTCCAAGAGATGCGTGGATGGCACAGACAAGCTTCTTTCAGGTAGCAGCAACAGATCTTAGTTCTGTGCTTCTCAAATTTGTTAAAATGTGCACTCTTGGGCCCATCGTAAACTTCTTCCTTAAGATCTCTATGAGTGGGGAACCAGCAACTGTTTTACAAGTGGTTCTGATGAAAACTGAACTTTGAGAAACAATGCTCTATGCCAGTTCTAAAAGAATTCAGCACAGAGAGCGGGGCATAAACTTGGATGGGGCAAAACAAATATAACTTTATTTTCCCTAAGTTCTAACTAAAATTTAGTGTTTCATTCAGTTATGAATATATGCAAAAAAACTATAGAATGGACAGTTCTGGTAACCATGCCGACAAAAAAAAAATCAAAGATATTTTCAGAATTCATTATAGTGATTGCTGATATCTTAAAATACTGTTTACACTCTTCACTTTTCAAAATTACAGTATTTATGAGGCCTGCTGCTAGATTCATTATTTAATGTATTATAATTAATTAATTAATGTATTTATTTTTTGTTGAGACGGAGTCTTGCTCTGTTGCCCATGCTGGAGTGCAGCGGCGTGATCTTGGCTCACTGCAACCTGTTTCTGAGGTTCAAACAATTCTACTACCTCAGCCTCCCGAGTAGATAGGATTACAGGTGTGTGCCACCACACCAGCTTTTTTTTTTTTTTTGAGACAGAATTTCCCTCTGTCATCCAGGCTGGAGTAGAGTGGCGCGATCTAGACTCACTGAAAGCTCCACCTCCCGGGTTCACGCCATTCTCCTGCCTCAGCCTCCTGAGTAGCTGGGACTACAGGCGCCTGCCACCACGCCCGGCTAATTTTTTGTATTTTTAGTAGAGACGGGGTTTCACCGTGTTAGCCAGGATGGTCTTGATCTCCTGACCTCGTGATCCGCCCGCCTCGGCCTCCCAAAGTGTTGGGATTACAGGCGTGAGCCACCGCGCCCGGCCACACTTGACTGCATTTTGTATTTTTAGTACAGACGGGGTTTCGTCACGTTGGCCAGGCTGGTCTCGAACTCCTGACCTCGAGTCATCCACACACCTCAGCCTCCCAAAGTGCTGGGATTACAGGCGTGAGCCACTACATCTGGCCTATTTAATGTATTTTAAAATCATATATATTACTGTATCATAAATTAGGTTTCAAAAATCATGTTGATAATTATTTCAATACAACTGTTTTCCTTCGTAATCCTAGTATTTAATTTCATGTATTTAAAAACATTATTCTGAGAAGGGGTCTAGGGGTTTTAGCAGATTTCCAAGGGGATTCAAAGGCATGGAAAATGACCTGCATGCCCTAGGCTTCTGAAGCACTTGCAACTGTCTGCCTCCCAGAGATTTGAACACTGCCAAGTGTAGAATGGAACACCACAGGGAGGCGCAAGGTGCTGCTCAGCATCGCAGAGGGAGAGATGGGACTCCAGAGGCACTGGCATGCTGAATACCAACTGTCAATATGAGGAGTTTTCTTTAATGATTAAAAAATTACTGGGCTGGGCATAGTGGTTCATGCCTATAATCCCAGCATTTTGAGAGGCCGAGTTGGGAGGATTATTTGAGGCCAGGAGTTCAAGACTAGCCTGGGTAACATAGTTAGATCCTGTCTTTACAAGAAATAAATAAATAAATAAATAAAATTAAAAAATAAAAAGTAGCCAGGTATGGTAGTGTGTGCCTGTAGTCCCAGCTACTTGGAAGGCTGAGGTGGGAGGATCACTTGAACCCAGAAGGCTGAGGCTGCAGTGAGCCATGATAGTGATACTGCACTCCAGCCTGGGCAACAGAGCAAGACCCTGTTTCTTAAGAAAAAAAATTAAAAATTAAAAAAAATTAAAATAAAAGTTACCTATTTCACTTTCCTCTTCACTGAATACTTAACCAAAACACAGGGGAAATAACCCAACTCCAAAAATGTTGTGAGTCTTACAGAGCAAGACACTTCCCATCCCTTGCTAAAACCACATTTGATGAGGTGTAAAGACAAAAATACATGCAGGAACTGACAAAAGCAATGGAGACTAGGCAACAAAAAACAACAACAAAAAAAATCCCACTTTTCCCAGGACCCTGAAGAAGAACTCTGAACACAAGCTCCAGGTTCCGATGATGTGTAGTACTAGTGGACAGTAAAGGGCACAAAGAAGTGTACAGCCAAATAATTTTTTTTTACATTTATACACCCTCATAACCATTACCTAGATCAATATAGAAAATATTTTCAGTATTCCAGAAGGCTCCCTTGTTCATTTCCCCAGTCATTACTCAACCACATGCCAAAAGAGAACCACTGTCCTAACTTCTATCACCATGGATTCGTTTTACCTGCTCTTGAGCGTTACGAAAATGAAATCATATGATGTGTATTTGAGTCAGGCGTTTATCCTTTGTCATTCGGTCTGCAACATTCACCTGTGTTACTGGTGTGGCAGTGGTTCACTCTTTCTCATGGCCATGTAGTAGTCCACTGGAAGAATACCACAATTTACGCATTCATTCTTCTATTGATGGACATTTGGATTGTTTCTGGTTTTTGGCTATTAAGAATAAAGCCACTGGCCGGGCTTGGTGGCTCACGCTTGTAATCCTAGCACTTTGGGAAGCCGAGGTGGGTGGATCACCTGAGGTCAGGAGTTCGAGACCAGTCTGGCCAACAAAGCTAAACCCTGTCTCTACAAAAAATACAAAAAATTAGCCAGGTGTGGTGGCGCATGCCTGTAGTCCCAGCTACTCGGGAGGCTGAGGCACAAGAATCACTAGAATCCAAGAGACGGAGGTTGCAGTGAGCTGAGATCACACCACTGCACTCCAGCCTGGGTGACAGAGTGAGACTCTGTCTCAAAAAAAAAAAAAAAAAAAAAAAGAATAAAGCCACTATGACCATTTTGAGTCTGTCTTTTGGTGGATACAAGTACTCATTTCTGTTGGGTATACATCCGGTGACACAGACGTATGTGTGTTCAGTTTTAGCAGATACTGCCAAAAAATTTTCCAAAGAGGATACACACACCAATTTAAACTCCTATTAGCAAGATATATGAGAGCTCTAGTTGTTCCATGTTCTCTGACCAAACTTTTAGCTTTTCAGTCCTTGCAGTTCTGGAGTTGGTGAAGTAGTACCTAATTGTGGTTTTAACCTACAATAAATCCTAACTAATTTAAGTGTCACCTATTTTACAAAAGATCTTGGAGATATAGAAACTCTGTCTATAGGAGTTTAAGGTGACAATGAAACAGGAACACATTATTCATTTGACATCAACTAGAAAGTTAGGAGAAAATAGGCTGATGAGTACACTTTCCAGATAACTGAAGTTTAACATTGCAAACACTCATGCTTATTTTATGCCCTTTAGGTAAACATTTGTGAAAGGCTACAACAGAGGGAAATGAACTCAAGTTGCTCCATGCTGCATTCAGGCCTGTACATGCCCACAGAGACCCAAAAGTCCTGAATCATTTCTGCATCAGATCCAAAGCCCACCAAAGCTTCTCACTGTCTTCATTATCTTCCCCCACCCCCTACTTATACTTGTGGGATGTGACGGAGGAAGACTGAATCTGGCCAGGATATTTTGAGGATAATGTAATCAAAATCCATATATGACACCCTGATTTTATTTGAATGTTCTCAAATATTTGACTTTAAGCAGGGAATCCACAAAATACAGAAACTCAGAATACAAATGGTATCCACAGTTTTAAAATAATTCCTTTGATTTTTCATAGAGTCTATTCCAGAGTGAGTTCAATACATGAATGAATGCAGTTACGCTGATTTTACTTCAGTTCCTAGGTTAAACTGCTGAGATAACATGGCAGTAGGGAAAATGGATTCTTTTAAAAAACAAACTAAAACTTTTAAAAAATTACAAATGTAAGCATGAAAGCTGATTATAAAAATGTGAAACTACACAAAGGTTAAAATCTTTTTCTTTCCCCCATCCTCCATGACCCAACCTACTTCTTTTCCCTCTAATAACCATGCTACTAGATTGGTCTGAATAATCCCAGATCTTTTTATGCATTTACAAAGATGTGTTTACTTTATACACACATACACACATATCACACATTCACATACATATATACATACAAAAATATATATACATACATAAGCCTATATATACATATACATAATTTGTTTTCATAAATGGGACAGTAGTATAGATATTACACTGAAAAATTTTTCTCTGCTAAAGAAAATATCTTGGGAATATTTATTTTTATTTTTATTTTTTTTGAGATGGAGTCTTGCTCTGTCGCCCAGGCTGGAGTACAGTGGTGCCATCTTGGCTCACTGCAAGCTCTGCCTCCCGGGTTCACGCCATTCTCCTGCCTCAGTCTCTGGAGTAGCTGGGACTACAGGCACCCACTACCACGCCTGGCTAATTTTTTCTATTTTTAGTTGAGACGGGGTTTCACCATGTTAGCCAGGATGGTCTCGATCTCCTGACCTCGTGATCCACCCACCTCGGCCTCCCAAAGTGCTGGGATTACAGGCGTGAGCCACCATGCCCAGCCCGGGAATATTTCTATGTCAATACATATAGATCTATTTTGTTCTTTTTAACAACTACATAGATTCTTCTTTTAAAAAATTCAACTCTTCAGTTGAATGAATATAAGCTTGTAAAATATGTAAACAGTATATGAGGGCATCAAGTGGAAAGTTAAGGTCCTCCAGCTCCAGCTTCTTTCCTGAGCTCCCATTTCCATTCTCCAGAAACAATTACTATTATATTCTTCTGTATCTTTTCAGAAATTTTCTCGCATCTTGACGAGCATATTTCCCATTTTTTTGTTTTTAAGAAAAATGGCATGATATTAAACAAGTCATTCTGGAACTTGCCTTTATGTCTAACATGTATCTTAAACATTTTTTGTGTAGTAGTACATATGTGTCTACCTCATTCTAATGGCCACTAACCAGTTCATTGTGTAAATGGACCATAGTTTACATGATAATTCCTCTACTGAAAGAAATTGATGCTGTTTCCAGTTTTTTTCCTATTTTAAATAATGCTACAATATACGTCCTAGCAATAGAAGGTCTTGCCAAATGGTATACACATTTTTAATTATTGCTAATTGCCTTCCCAAAAGATTGTGGTAATTTTCATATCCTCCAACAGTGTATAACAGTTCTCCCGGCCGAGCGCGGTGGCTCAAGCCTGTAATCCAAGCACTTTGGGAGGCCGAGGCGGGTGGATCATGAGGTCAGGAGATCGAGACCATCCTGGCTGACACGGGGAAACCCTGTCTCTACTAAAAATAGAAAAAACTAGCCAGGTGTGGTGGCAGGCGCCTGTAGTCCCAGCTACTCTGGAGGCTGAGGCAGGAGAATGGCGTGAACCCAGGAGGCGGAGCTTGCAGTGAGCCGAGATCACGCCACTGCACACTCCAGCCTGGGCGACAGAGCGAGACTCTGTCTCAAAAAAAAAAAAAAAAAAAAAAAAAAAAAAAAAGTCCTCCCAATGCTAAGGAAGATAGATTTGTAAAAAGCTGAAAGATTGTCCCCTCTGCTGCACCATCTACTAATTGATACATACAAGTGAGCTGTAAGGGAGGTCCCCAGTGATCCACCCAGGGGTCACACTCATTTTAATTAATAATCTGAATAAGCACACACATGGCAAGACAAGCACATCTGAAGGTAAAATAAAGCTGCTTAGTGGGTTAGCTAACAGGACAGGTGACAGAATCAAGATGTCACCAAAAAGTCTTGACAATTAGGAATTATGAGACACACTAATGAGATTAAATTCAATGTAGACAATGCAAGATCCTTCACTTAGATACAAAATACAAATTACTGAAGGACAAGCTCAGATGGTATAAGGAAGGATTTCCCCTCCCTTTTTACCCATTAGGAAATTGAGGCACAGAGACACTGAATTGTAAACTAGAGAGTGGTAGAGCTGAGGTTTGAACCCAGGTTTGTTTGACTCCAAAATAGTCTCCATTATATCATAGTGCTGCTCCACAGCTAAACACCAGCACATGTGAAAAAGATGGGGGGTGGGCAAAGTAGCATATTGTAGGTTCATAATGAGTCATTAGGGTCCATAAAAAGAGGTAGAGTGTCTACAGCAAGAAAGGGGATGAGCCTGCTCCACTCTGTGGCTGTGTGGAGCATGCCCAGAGCCCTGTGTTCGGTTCTGAGCACTTTGGTCCAAAAGGTTCAATAACAACCTCACATGTGTCCAAGGAACAGCAATAAGGATGACAATGATGGAACTGATCCTGTGTCTTAGGAGGAAAACAACAGATGTCACATTGAAGAGGGCTCAGACTTACAGTCTGGGGCTATGGAGAATATAAATAGAAACACTGAGTGGAAAATACAGATGATAGTTCCATGTGTCGCTTCAACTGGCAATAGCAGAGGGAACCACCTGGGTTTGTGAAATGGCTGCAGACATTTCTGAATCCTATGGGGCCAAGTGCAAAGGAGACCTAAGGAACAGGGCCGAGTTAGATGCTGATTACCCACTGTGAGTCCTTTATTGTGGAGTCTGTTCATTACCAACAGGCTACTGTAAATACATGCCTAATGTTGCTAAATGTAGATAATGGTTAGAGAAGAATTTTCCAAATGAATCTGCAAAACTTACTGTAGAAAATTTACCCAAATAGGGCCAGGCGCGGTGGCTCGCGCCTGTAATCCCAGCACTTTGGGAGGCCGAGGGGGACAGATCACTTGAGGTCAGGAGTTCAAGACCAGCCTGGCCAACATGGTGAAACCCTATCTCTACTAACAATACAAAAATTAGCCAAGCGTGGTGGCGCATGCCTGTAGTCCCAGCTACTCTGGAGGCTGAGGCAGGAGAATCGCTTGAACCTGGGAGGTGGAGGTTGCAGTGAGCCAAGATCCCACCACTGCACTCCAGCCTACGTCTCAAAAAACAACAAAAAAAAGAAAATTCACCCAAACAAGAAGCTGGAATTAATGAGGGTCAAGGAACAGCAGGGGCAGAAGAGAAGAATAAAATACAAAAGAGAGGTGAAAGGGGTCAAATAAAACAAAGAAAAGAAGGCCATACCAGAAAAGGTTACACAGCCAAAATTCCCACAACAGAGAAGAAACATGTAACATGAATGTGTGGCCTCTAACTTTTGAAATTGATCTTAAAAAAGCACAAAGATTTTTTGCTCAAAAATTGTGTGGTGCCTCAGTAACAGAAGAGGAAGAAATTATCATTCAGGAAGACTTTACAGATGACATAATTGATGTTATTCAGGAAAACTGGCCAGAGGTAAATGATGACAGCACTGAAGATCTTGGAGAAGTAAAGAAGTGATTTTGAAAATCTGTCTGTTTTTAATGACCTGAGCTTAATCTCGATATGGCCAAAGGGAGACAGGCCTTTAAAAAAAATGTATATATGGCCGGACATGGTGGCTCATGCCTGTAATCCCAGCACTTTGGGAGGCCGATGCAGGTGGATCACCTGAGGTCAGGAGTTCAATACCAGCCTGGCCAATATGGTGAAACCCCATCTCTACTAAAAATACAAAAAAAAATTGGCTGGGCACGGTGGCTCACACCTGTAATCCCAGCACTTTGGGAGGCCGAGGTGGGCGGATCACAAGGTCAGGAGATCGAGACCATTCTGGCTATGGTGAAACCGGTCTCTACTAAGAATACAAAAATTAGCCAGGTGTGGTGGCTGGTGCCTGTAGTCCCAGCTACTTGGGAGGCTGAGGCAGGAGAATGGCATGAACCCGGGAGGCGGAGCTTGCAGTGAGCTGAGATCACGCCATTGCACTCCAGCCTGGGTGACAGAGCGAGACTCCATCTCAAAAAAAACAAAAACAAAAACAAAAACAAAAAAATTAGCCAGGCGCCTGTAATCCCAGTTACTCAGGAAGCTGAGGTGGGAGAATCGCTTGAACCTGGGAGGCAGAGTTTGCAGTGAGCCAAGATGGCACCATTGCACAAGGCTGCTTGTTTTTTTATTGCCAAAGTCAGATAAACACAGGAGACTGTCACGCTTATGCATGGAATAGAATTTAGTCAAATAAAAAATTCTGGTCATTTGGTACTAACTTTTCTCTTTCTTTTTTTTTTTTTTTTTTTTTTGAGACGGAGTCTCGCACTGTTGCCCAGGCTGGAGTGCAGTGGTGCTGACTGCAAGCTCCACCTCCCGGGTTCATGCCATTCTCCTGCCTCAGCTTCCCGAGTAGCTGGATCTACAGGCACCCGCCAGCACACCCGGCTACTTTTTTTGTATTTTTAGTAGAGACGGGGTTTCACCATGTTAGCCAGGATGGTCTCAGTCTCCTGGCCTCGTGATCCACCCGCCTCAGCCTCCTAAAGTGCTGGGATTATAGGCGTGAGCCACCGTGCCTGGCCTGACTTTTCTCTTTCTCTCTTTTTATTTTTGGAAAAGCCCTGTAGACTTTTTGTGGGAAGCATTTCTGTTGACTATTTTACAGATCTAAAGTTGAGTGAATTTTCTGAAAGAATTTGAATTTGGCTTCCTCACCAGTAATACATCTTCTTGCTTCTTTGATGTGATAATCTTGAGATAGGTGAGAATCTAATAAATTTGTGGTTGAATTTGCTTCACTGTTAGCAAGTCGACTCTGGAGGCATAATAACATACTGTCGGTAGGACTTTTTTGAGCTACTCTGGAGATTATTCAGTAAATTATATTAAAAGCCTTAAAACCACATGTACTGTTTGAACCAGTAAGCCACTTCTTTGATATTATTCTAAAGAAATAACCAGTCTCGCATAAAACTTATGGATGAAGGTGTTCATTACAATATTATTTATAATATAAAAAATTACAAGTATAAAATGGTAGAAATGAACAACTGGGAAATAAAGAAGTGATGGTGTATCACGTGGTAGAGTATTATGCATAGAGTTAAAAACCATATTTTCTAAGAAAACCTGGAAGCAGGCCGGGCGTGGTGGCTCATGCCTGTAATCCTAGTGCTTTGGGAGGCTGAAGTGGATGGATCACCTGATGTCAGGAGTTTGAGACCAGCTTGGCCAACATGGTGAAACCCCGTCTCTACTAAAAATACAAAAATTAGCCGGGCATGGTGGCAGGTGCCTGTAATCCCAGCTATTTGGGAGGCTGAGGCAGGAGACTCGCTTGAACCCAGAAGGCAGAGGTTGCAATGAGCTGAGATTACGCCATTGCACTCCAGCCTGGGCAATAAGAGCCAAGACTTCGTCTCAAAAAAACCCCAAAAAACCAAAAACAAAAACTTGGAAACACGTTTGGTGATATCAAGTTGGGGCAGACCCCAGATACATTTTAGACATTTATTTTCATCGCTGTTTTGAGTGGAAGGCCATTCAGAGAGGCTAGAGGTTTTTGTTCCGGCTATAAATTGTGTGAGTAATTCTATTAACCAAATAAAAACAATACACACCCATGCTCAACAGATAGTTTGGGAAATAGCAATTGAAACATGTCTTTCTCATAAGAGAAACTGAACAGTTTTAATGAGTACATTCGATGAATTTAAACTTTAAGTCAGGTGCTGCAAATTGAAAAGAAGACTTGTGTTTTAAATTGCTATAGACAGCTTTAAGAAACTAAGAATCCATGAAGCCACTGTTTATTGCCATGCAAATTACAATCTGGAATGACTTTTTAAAAATAAAAAAATGTGTAATAAAGATGTAAATTTTAAAAATGGGATTCTGCATTAACTGAATTTTACTAAATAGAATTACCTGGTGGAGCAAATTTATCCATCAAGATCATTCGGTATGTGTTACGTATGTATTCTGTTGGTGCTAGAAGATGTCTATGTGCCTATATCAACACATGTGACTTCATGTAAAGCTTCTTAATGTTCACAGTTCTTAGCAAATGCAGTTTCAATTCATAGATAGCTAGCAATGGATGCTGTTATACTATAGGAAAATGTAGGATTAAAATTGTCCTTGTGTTAAAAAAGAAAAAAAAGAAAAAAGAAAATATAGGCTGGGCTCAGTGGCTCACAGCTGAAATCCCAAAACTTTGGGAGGCTGAGGTGGGCGAATTACTTGAGCCCAGGAGTTTAAGATCAGCCTGGGCAACATGGCAAAACCCCATCTCTACAAAAAATACAAATATTAGCCAGACGTGGTGGCCTGCGCCTGTAGGCCCAGCTGCACAGAAGGCTGAGGTTGGAGGATCACCTGAGCCATGGAGGTCGAGGCTTCATTGAGCCATCACTGCACCACTGCACTCCAGCCTAGGTGACAGAGGGAGGGAGACCGTGTCTCAAAAAAGAAAAGAAAAAGAAAATACAGTAGACAGGTGAATTATGTTCAATAAAAAGACCTTTCTAGAAATTAAGAGATTCTGAAAAATGGAATTAACTGCTTTAGGGGTGTGGTATAATGGGAATACGTATTTGGTCTTTGTTAGTGGTTCCTAGCACAGAGCTCCTGAGTGATAAGGGTGACAGGAACATCTTTTGTTCTAAGGAGGGGACTCACAGGGGGCTCCTAGATAGCTGCAGGATCGGGGGTGGCTGCCAGAAAGACTAAGCCTTGATTGGAAACTTGGAACTTTCAGCTCCATACCCCAACCTCCAGGGTGAGAGAGGGTTTGAAGATTGAGGCAGTCATCCATGGCCAATGATTTAATTAATCATGCCTACCTGGCCAGGCGTGGTGGTTCATGCCTGTAATCCCAGCACTTTGGGAGGCCGAGGTGGGCAGATCACCTGAGGTCAGGAGTTCGAGACCAGCCTGGCCAACATGTGAAACCCTGTCTCTACTAAAAATATAAAAATTTGCTGGATACAATGGTGGGTGCCTGTAATCTCAGCTACTTGGGAGGCTGAGGCAGGAGAATTGTTTCAACCCAGGAGGTGGAGGTTACAGTGAGCCAAGATCGCGCCATTGCACTCCAGCCTGGGCAACAAGAGCAAAACTCCGTCTCAAAAAAAAAAAAAAAAAAAAAAAAGTCATGCCTACCTGATGAAACCTCTATATAAACCCCTAAATCATGGGGCTTAGGGAGCTTCCATGTTGGGGAACATATTGAGGTACTGAAAATATGGATACAACTGGAGAAGGTATTGAAGCTCCATGCCACCACCCCCATACCTTGCCCTATGCATCTCTTCCCTTTGGTTCTTCCTGAGTTGTACTCTTTATAACAGACCAACCCCTGGTATTGGTCCATAGCCTCTTAGGAACTGGGCTACACAGCAGGAGGTGAGTGGTGGGTGAGCAAAGCTTCATCTATATTTGCAGCCACTCCCATCACTTATATTACCACCTGAGCTCCGTCTCCTGTCAGATCAGCAGCAGCATTAGATCCTCGCAGGAGCATGAACCCTATTGTGAAATGCACATGCGAGGGATCTAGGTTGTGTGCTCCTCATGAGAATCCAATGCCTGATGATTTGTCACTGTCTCCTATAACTCCCAGATGGAACCGTCTATTTGCAGGAAAACAAGCTCAGGGCTCCCACTGATTCTACCTTATGATGAGTAGTATAATTATTTCATTATATATTACAATGTAATAATAATAGAAGTAAAGGGCACAATAAGTGTAATGTGCTTGAATCATCCTGAAACCATCTCCCACTGCCTGGTCCGTGGAAAAACTTGTCTTCCACAAAACTGGTCCCTGGTGCTAAAAAGGTTGGGGACTGATGCTTTATAATATATCAGTAATAGTAAAAAAAAAAAAGTGCTTTCATTAATTCTGTGAGTGATTTTAGGGAGTTATGGAAGCTGAGGAGGAGGCTGTGGTAACGGCTACCTGACTTTGTAGCCAAGTTGGTAAGAAATGTGGAATGTAGGTAATCTGGGGACCCAATGCTTGTGACTGGCTTCTGAAATGAGGACAGTCTTGTGGGACTGAGCCCTTAAACCTGTGGAGTCTGACGCTAACTCCAGGTAGTCGGTGTGAGAATTGAATTGTAGGACACTCAGTTGGTGTCAGAATTGATTGGTGTCAGGAGGAAAAAAGTCCTATAAAGGAGGTATCAAGTTTCCCATTACTGGAGATACACTCAAGCAGGAACAGATCAGCTAACTGCTGGCAAAGCTGATGCAGGAACTCATGCATTGGGAAGGGGATTGGCCCAGATGAACTCTAAGGCAGGAAAGTATGGTCCATTCTGATGGATGCCAATCTGCAAACTGTTTACTAGTCCATGACAAGGTGTACAAGAAACCTTTACAGTGTTCTGACATGCCTGTGGCATGTAAGTACATGTTCAGTGGATTCATCTCATGAAACTGTCCAGACCAATCTGGATGATATCCAATTCCTTGATGAGTTGCATAAGGTGGGTTCTGTGTACTAGTTATGCAGAGTAGGATCACATATTTAATTTCCTGCAACTGACCGGAAATTGAAAAGATGGACAGTCTGAGAAGCACTGTTCAGAGGCTTGGCCTCACTGGCTGTCGCTGATAAGGGCTTTCTGACGACCCCATCTTAAATAGGGCTCTTCCTGTTTCTTTGCACCATGGTCCTCTGTTTTTGCCACAGTAGTTACCAAAATTTGCAATCCTTCTATGTGTTTGTATTGGTTACTGATGGCTCTCCCTGCCATCTGCAGGCCCCTAGGAGCAGGGACTTCAGCAGGCTTATTCAATCCTACATCCAGGGCTCAGCCTGTCTGGCACTAGGAAATGACCCTATGAATGCCAGTTGAATGAATGTTTTGTCACATTATATGAAAAGCACTCCCGATATAACTTATGTTTTTGGTAATGGCAGGCTAGGTTATTCAGATCAACCCTCCCACTGAAAAAACTAAAAGTACTAGAAAAATATTAAAATCATCTCCTTAAAAGCACTGGAGGCCGGGCGCAGCGGCTCATGCCTGTAATCCCAGCATGTTGGGAGGCCAAGGCTGGCAGATCATGAGGTCAGGAGTTCGAGACCAGCCTAGCCAACATGGTGAAATCCCATCTCTACTAAAAATACAAAAATTAGCTAGGCATGGTGGCTCACACCTGTAATCCCAGCTACTTGGGAGGCTGAGGCAGAAGAATTGCTTGAACCCAGGAGGCGGAGGTGCAGTGAGCCGAGATAGTGTCACTGCACTCCAGCCTGGGTGACACAGCAAGACTCTGTCTTGGCCGGGGGGAGGGGTGGGAAAAAAGCACTGGAGTGCTTACCAGATTGTAGGAATTGCCAATTAAAACTGAAAGGCAAGTGGGAACGCACAGAGGTAAATGCAGCATGAAAGTCCTTTTTGGCTTGAGGATGTTTGTCAATCCCAGCAAAATTGAATTTGGATTTTGGTGACCTTGTTGGGGACAAAGAGTCAAATCCCAAGACCCACTGGGGTAGGCAAGTCCAATAGGAGCCCTGCCCCACATTATGCTAGGATCCCAAAGGGCTGCACACTGAAGGAAGAGGGAATCAGAAGAAACCACCTCCACCACCAAAAACTACAAGGAAGTTGTCACAGCACCGAGCAGAGCTGAGCAGGGGAGTGTCTCTGAGGTGTGGTGACCACAAGCCAGCTTTCACATAAATCTGTAGTTGTAATCTGCAGCACTTTGGTAGTTTAAAAGGTCTCAAGATGGGTATTTGGTTTAAAGGTATCTATCTGGCAAAAGCAAACATAAGTCCTCCCTACCAAAAAGCAACTCATCTTAGGCTTTATATTATTCCTAAAAATTTTCAGGAACAATAAGTAGCACACAATCAGGCAGCCTAGCACACGCAGAAGCACATTACATGAGGAGCATAGGCCAGAGGAAAACAATGAAACAACAGCCACAAAAACTTCACATATTGGAATTCTCGGTCGCAGATGATAAAACCATTACACTATGTTTAAAGAAATAAAAGACAAATTTGACATTATCTCAAGGGAACAGTAAACTATAAAAAGTGACCAAGCAACCTTGGATTAGGCAATGGTTTCTCGGACATGACAACGGACGTGCCAGCAATGAAAGAAAAAAAACAGACAAACTAGACATGATCTAATCTTAAAGCTTTTGTGCTTCAAAGGACACAACCAAGAAAGTGAAAAGATAACCCACAGAATAGGAGAAAACTTTTCCCAATCATATATCTGATAAGTGTCTAATTATCCAGACTATATAAAAAACTCTTACAATTGAATAATAAAAGCACAAATAACCCAAAAACAAAATTTGCAATTTGTTTGTTCAGAGGTTTGAGAATTTTTAAGCAACTATATATAGTGAGTCCTTTACTGCACTAACTGCTTTACCTAATTCAGAGAAAGCCAGCTGTTTTTTCCCTCTGGAAGTCAAGTGCCCACAAGGTCTTTTATCAGGCTAGAAAGTACCATTGGCCAGAAACTTTTAACTGAAGACCACCAATACAAAACAGCCAAGGTGCTCCAATGGAGCATCATGCTCAGTAGTTTCGGTGGAAATAAAACCTAAAACAGTATTCGATCCTTGATATTATATTTCCAGAGAAGCAATTTGAGACGGACTGTGTTTTGAACACAACAGACTGCAATGACTTGTGAAATCAGTAACTCCCCCAAATTGTTCCCAAGATGTCAACTGAACTGCCCAAGGCCACATTGCTGGTGAGTTGTAGGGCCATGATTTGAACCCTGGGAAGTCTGACTCTTAAGCCACTCCTGATCATGACCCAAGCACAGGTTATTTCTAACCCCTGACTGGGTCCCAGAACCTATCCTCTGGTGTATGGCAGGGCCAGGTGAGCAGTGTTTGACTGCCAAGTGTATGGTGATTAAGGATCACATGAAGGCCCCATTGATGTCTTTCCTGGGAGGTGTGTATTTCCTCCAGACACTGGATGCGGCAGGGGCCAGAGTTGTGCTTACGTAGGGTGGCAAAGTCCAGTTTGGTTTGTCCATTTCAGGCTGGGCTGAAGTTCTGCAAAATTTTGGTAGCAGAAAGATGTCTCAAGGTATACAGCCTCCATGGGCTCTCAAAGTAGAAACTCGGCATGGTGGCCGCTAGCTTTCCAAGCACTGGAGAGCAATAACTCAATGCCTCTGTGCCTGGCTTAGCTCCTGAGAACCCTTGGCTGCCTGAGCTTGTGGTGGTGAGGCTATCTAGTCCCAGGGGCCAGGCCATTTGGAGAGGGATGTTTCTAAGGTTCAGAAGCAAAATTCTCCATGAGTTCCTTCTTCTATGTGGGTCAGCTAACATCATTCTGAACAAGAAGTATGTGGGTACCTATTCAGGGGTATTCAGCCTCCATTTGGCTAACATGTCAATGGCAAGGGTCAGGTAAATGTACATGGCTAAGGCCAAGAGTGAAAACATGCAATCACTTCCCAAATGTCATGGGCTTTCAAGTTAAATTCATAGCTCTTTACCGAGAATTTGCATTAGGAGGTGGTCAGGAGAAAACCGGCAATGTGGCAGTGATGACAATAACAATAACCATCAATAGCATCATAACTAGCACTTCTGAAGCTTACTATGTGCCAGGCATAGTGCTAGGAGTTTCACAAACATAGCTCACTGAATTCTTGCAATAATCTTGAGACAGTTTCTAATTTACAGATGAAAAAAAAATGAGGCTCAGGGTGGCTGGGGTCCTTGCCCAGGGTCAGGGTCAGGGAACTAGAGCTATGATGAGCTACCGTGTAAAAAGGCAGCAAAGAAGAAAAAGGCTGGCGAGTTTTTGCCATACTCTGCAGTTTAAAGGGTAGACCCCGTGGGATAGAGAGGGTAGTGGCAAAAAAAAAAAAAAAAAAAAAAAAGCAAGGTGAGTCCCTGTGGCCTGCAGCAAGGAAGACCCAGAGAGCCCAGAAAGTAGGCGTGGCCCAAGGAGCAGTAGGCAGTACCAGCCTCTTTTCCTGGTGACATTTTGTCATTGCAGTAATTTTTGGCATCTCCCTCCTGGACCCTGGCACTGCTCGGATGGCTGTGCCAAGCTGATCAGCCTGGCAGAGGAAGTACTGGGACTCGGGACCATTCACAGAGGGTGGCAGAATTGTCTTTGGTCCCACTGCTGGCAGAACAACTTCCTGTGTCTACCTGGTTTTAACATAGATCTTTTAAAGGGTATGTGTCACCCTATGAATAGCACCTTCCATGCCAGAATACTGACATTTCCCTTCCATTTGCTTCAAGCAAAGCTCTGAAAAGCTCTATTTACCTCTTCCAGAACTCTTTCACTGCTATATCCCAGGCACTATAATCATGTGCTTGGTGGCATTACAGGAAGTGGGGAGGCTTCCTTACCTCATCTGAAGAGCCATTTTCCACTCTGAATCTTCCAGCCCTTTGGATGGCTCCATCAGCATCACTGGAAATAAGCTAGGGGGGAAAAAGCATTCAATTAGGAAGCATTTACAATGTCTCTTCTATCTGTATGTAATTATCCTATAAGTAAGCCACATCTAAGGACACAGGCTGGAGTGCCCAGCCTAGAAGCTAACAGTTTTTTTAAAGCTCTATCAGGCAGGTACTCATACAGTTGGCTCCCACTGTCCTTGGGAACCCAAGAGTAAGGAATGCCTAACCTGCAAGAGTGGAAAAACAAGAGCATCACATTTTAATTGGAACACATTCCAATACTGATGCTCCCAGCAAAAACAATCTTAATACACACCACATGTGGACAAGTGGCAGTTCACAGATGGCAAGACCAAAAGCCAACTCTCAAGTTCAGCCTCCTTCACAGGAAAGCCTAAAGAACAATTAGTGGCTGGCAAGAACTCAAGGCTCTACTACCATCGGAGAAAGCGCCTGTGCTTCATTCAGTTTTAAACAGTTTCCAAAAGGCCAATTAGTCCCTCCCCAGGCAGGCAGACTGTGTTTTAGCTCTGGCAAGGTGATGCTTGCAAATAGACAGTCTCCAAGGGGCCCAATGTTCGAAAGAGGTGAGTGAACACACCAGGGCTTGGCACTTGAGTCCAAAATTACTGACTCAAGATTTAACTTATTTTCTCCTTCTAGATTTTCTCAGTAGTGACTTGGGAAAGCAACACATCTTTTTTTAGCCTTTAAATCTACCCACAATTTGCAACAAAGATCTGCAGCAGACTCATCAGAACGCATCTGCCCTGAGGGGCACTTCTCACCTCTCTAACTCAGAGCTCACTCAGCAAAACAGAAATGTGATTTCTCAGGAAAGATGGTTACCTCACGTTTTCACTAGTGCTTAAGAGATACGATGGTATAAAAATTAATAGAAAAAATTTAGGGAAAAACTGCAATGAATTTTCTCAAGGAAAATTACTTAAAAGAGATTGATAAATTTTTCCTACGATAAATATAGAAACAGTATCTGGTATTTGTTGAATGCCATGCATTCTTTTGCTCTTAATATGTATTATCTCGTTTAATTCTCATAATAACACAAGGTAGGTATTATTATTATTCTCATTTATGAACGAGGAAACTGAGGCAGAGAAGGGTAAAATAACGGGCTACAGTCACTTAACTAGTTAGTACAGGTAGAGCTGGGATGTGAACAGAGGTAGCCAGACCCCAGAAACCCATTGTCCTCATCTAACCACCACCCTCCCTAACCATCTTCCAGAGAATGTCCGTGATTAGGTTCAGTTTTTATATTTCATCTTTCTCCTGCAAAATAATTTCTAAAAGCAAATGTTTTTTTGATGACATCAGATCATTACACTATTCGCTAAACTGAGGATGAGCCCAAGAGGCTGTGTAGTCATGAATTTCAACTTGTCCAAACAGAGGTCTAGCCTTTGCCCTCAGCTTCTGGGAGGTGATCTCTAAGACCTGGGAATGACCTGTGTTAGTGTCTGATTACTTAGGGGCTCTGAGCCACACTGATTTATAGTGAGGGCTTTGGGTCACACAGTATCAGCTCTACCTCTGAGGGGTGAAGGCTCAGGTCAGCCACGTGGGTGGTCAACCACATCTATGGGATCAAGCCCTGCTAAAAACTCTGGATACCGCAATTCAGGTGAGCTTCTTTGATGAGCAACATTCCACTCGGTGCTGATGTTGTCACACATCATCGCCAGGAGGAGTTAATGCTGTCTACAACTCCATCAGGAGAGGACAATGGGAAGCTCTGCAATGGAACTCTCCCGAACTCTGTCCCATGCACCTCTTCCCTTGGCTAATCTTAATGTGTATCCTTTTGTTGTAATAAATCATAAGTGAGCTTAGAAGCTTTTAGTGAATTCTGTGAGTCCTTCTAGCAAACTATCAAACCTGAGAGTGGTCTTGGGGACTCCTGAACGCTGTAGTAGTTGGTGTCAGAAGTGAGGGTAATCTGGTGGACTGTCTCTAACTTTACAGAGGCCAATTTTAAAGTACAAGAGAAAGATAAATTTAGATATCATAGGGTCACTGCCGTTTTCACAGGGGAAGTATAGAGGATTCAGCATCAACAGCTTCTTTGTGGGTTTCTACTCACTGTTAAAATAGAGGGAAAAGCAAGTAGATTTCAGGTAGAGTGTTACTGGTATAGGCTGCCTCAAGGGCTTTGGGAGAAGCATTCTGAGATGACATCTGGACTTGGCAAGAAAAGAGCACTATGATCAATTAATAATGTCTGACATAGGTCTATAAAGACGTGGGACACACCCTCCCCTTACTTGTTACCCTTAAAATAGAGGTTGCTAGAGACAGTCCTGACTATAACTAGTCTCATCTAGGAGTCGAAGGCTTGGGAGAAGAGCTGATAGTCATTCATTCATATAAAAATATAAATTAAACATCATAAAACACTATATTTTAGACACAGGCATACGTAATAATGCTCTTTTCATTTGTTGAGTTTAGAACAGGAAGCATATTGCTTGTCTTGCTTAAAAAGTTCAAGAAAAAAAGGAAGAACAAATTTAACGATTTGATGGTAAAAAGAAATTCAGCTCCCTTTGAACTCATGAAATCCATAAAGACAGAGCTCATGCTAATGGGTTTGACTATCACCGTTACCATTTCACCATCCCCATCTTCATTCAAGTCACCATCATCTGTCACCTTGATGACCACAACCACCTCCTACTGAGTCTATACACCCATCTACCACTGCTCCTCTCCAAGCGGCTCCTCACAACGAAGCCTGCAGCCTGGGTGATTATGCAAACTGCAAATATGACTGTGCCACAATCCCACCTCTATTCCAGCATCCCCACTTCTTCTCACCGAAGGACACATGCTTGGGACTTCCTGGCTTGGAAGGCCCTCCTTTCTCACCTTCCCCTAAAAAACCCTACTACTCATCCTTCAGTTCTACCAAAGTCCCCCTCCTTCTGTATACCTTCCCTGACCCACTGCCTGGGAAGATGACCCTGTTGTCAGTTCTTGGGGCACTCTGCAGAGTTGTGATTTACATTTCTCTGCATGATTATTTGGTTCCCACCTGTCTTTCCTCAGGCGCTCTCTCCGCTCTCCAGCAAACTTCAAAAGACAGCAACTACATTTACTTGTTCTCACCACTGCATCTCCAGAGCTAAGCATAACACCTGACACAGTATCGGTCTCATTAAATATTCATAAACAAGAAATATGGGAATAGATGAATGCCAAATTTCTATTGCAAATGGCCAAAGGGATATAAAAACAGGGGTAAGACCTATACTGGCCCTGGAAAGCAGAGAAGGTTCATTAATCATGCAAGAAATGTCAAAGAAATTCTACCAGCTCTATCATGAAGGAAAGGCCAAAGTGAAGGGCAGGCCAGATAACCGGAAGCACCACAGGCTGGGGAAAGTCGGTTGGGCAGTAACTTAATCAAACCATGCAGGTTCACACCAACACCCTGAGCTCATGCTGGCAGGACCTGCCTGAGGAGAGCATGGGTGGGAGGGCAGTAGGTGGGCAGGAGATCCTACTGGTCACACTCAGGGCCAGCACAGAGTGGCAGTCTCAGTGTCCCCCAAGCCCGGCTGGCTCACACAGCTTGCTAACTAAAGCAGAGGGGGCTGTGGTGGCTGGGGCCTGATGAAGACCAGTACGTCAGCTGCTGTGAAAGGAGAAAGTGCCCCAGCAAACTGGGGAATGAAAAAACTAACACTTCAGGAAGAAAATCTTTTTAACGCAGTACAGAAGCTGATTATCAGGTAGCTGTCTCTGTCCATTTTCTTTCTATTGTCCTCACAAACCTTTGATCTGGCCAATTACAACTATAAAAAATCTACACTTTCTTTTTTTGGGAGAAGATTTGGCTCAGGAATGACACAATCTCTATCAGAACCCATCTAAATGTCAAAACTGCACAACCTAGAAGCCCTCTCCCTCAATTCATTAAGATGGTACAGAGCTCCAGCTGCCACCAAAATCCACTCTCGCCATTTGTCACAGTGCAGAATCATAGCTGGACACAAAGCTAGACCCCATTTCCCTAGAGGTGGCCATTTGACTGAATTAATTCCACTTGAAGGTGGGCCAAAGCTCACCTGGGTACATATATGGACCCAGGCCCTTTAGGAGAGGGGAGGTACCTCTTCCATGCACTTTTTCCTTCTCCACTGGCTAGAACCCCAATGACCAGAGGGATCTGGAAATTCATGTTGAAGACAGCAGATTTTCTTGAGCCTGAATGTGTGGTGCAGACCCACCACCCACTTAGAGTTCCTGGCTGCATATGAGAGAGAAATAAACTTGTTGTTTTTTACCGCACTGTGACGTTCTAAGCCAACTAATACACCCAATAAGGAAGAATCAAGAGAATAATCATTGATCCTATGATAAGTTGATAGTATAAAATGTAAAATCTGAAATATCAGAGAAAATGTTCTACAAGACAGATTTACTACAAAAAGTCCAAGGAATTTTTTGAAAATTTCCAATTATGGTAATAATTTGGGAGCATATTGAATCTATGAAAATGGGACAATCTATAATCAGCTTTCAGATGAAAAGTGTAATTACTGAATTTCAAAATGTAGTGACCATGGTGAACCAAAAACTAGAACTGAGAAGAAAATGCCCGTAAAGAGTAAATCAGAATATCAGTTTGAGACAAATAGAGGAAAATGATTATGAAAAACAGAGAACATATCTGGGAAAAACTGTAAAGAATGGACTGGGGTGTTACGAAAGTGGTCCTTGGGCAGAGAACAGAACACAGGAATAAACAAATCATCTCCTACACTAACCACCCTCTCTAGCAAGGTTCTCTACTAATGAGTGAGACCAAGACTAAAGGAGAACTACTAGTGAAGGTAGATCAGCCTACATGGTGTAGAAAGAAAGAAGACAGGAAGGCAGTCTGAGATCTTACCCCTCCAAAGCCAGCAAAGAGGAGGGAGTTGGTTAGGTCTCCTCTCACACTGGAATGCATCCAGCCCTTTGTTATTCTTCTGGGAGAAGAGTCCAGAAAAGAGACTTTTGCATGTTTGCATGTGTGCTCTGACCTTTGCAAATATAGCTCTGTCTATCCAGGAGTTTAGTACTTAGTAAGATGTTATCTAATCTGATCAATCCAGATCTGCACTCCTGAAGGATGGAGTGAGAGGGAGGGATAAAATGAGAAAGTGGATAAAGAGGAGCCTGGAACTTCTCCTAAAGGTAAACAGAACAGCACAGATGTTTTAATAAATATGAATTGGTTACATTTCCCTACTAAAACAAAAAAGACTTGATCGGTAACATAAATGAAATATATTAAATACAATAAAGCAATCATGAAAAAGAAAGGCAAAGTAAAAAATATTCTAGGCAAATTGGGACAAAAAGAAAGTAAGGGAATAATGAAATCACAAAGTAGAACTTAGGAGAAAAAGACATCAAATAAAAAATGTTATTTTATATGGATAATTAGAACCACCCATCTCCAAAATATAACTATAAACATTTATGTAATGAGTAACAACATATCACTATAAAACAAAAACTATTATAACTAGAAAGAAGAGTTTATAAAATTATAATTGTAATGGGAAATTTTAGTACATTTCTCTCTGATAGGTCAAGGCAAAAATGAGTATGGATTTATAGCGGAATCAAATCATAAATTTAATAAACATGATTTAATAGACATATATGGACTGTATCAAGGTACAGAGAATACACACCTTTAAAAATATCTAGTAAACTTTAAAAAAACCGACCTAATATTGAAAAGAAAGAAAAGCGAGTTTCACTCTTGTTGCCCAGGCTGGAGTGCAATGGCGTGATCTCAACTCACTGCAACCTCTGCCTCCCGAGTTCGAGCGATTCTCCTGCCTCAGTCTCCTGCGATTACAGGCATGCACCATCATGCCCAGCTAATTTTGTATTTTTAGTAGAGACGGGGTTTCTCCATGTTGGTCAGGCTGGTCTCAAACTCCCGACCTCAGGTGATCCGCCCACCTCGGCCTCCCAAAGTGCCGAGGCATGAGCCACCATGTCTGGCCCAGAAAAGGAAGAAAAAGTTCTACAGAACAATATAAAATAAAAAACTTCTAAAATATTCTATAAAATTGTACAGGTCATTTTTAGCATAATGCAACTGAATAAGAAATTAGTATCAAAAGGATTTTAAAAACTGAAAATCAGAAAATATGCATCTCAGCCTATTGTGCCTATTGTCCCAGCTACTTGGGAGGCTGAAACAGGAGGATCGCTTGAGACCAGGAGTTCAGTGATATAGTGTGCCATGATCACACCTATCAATAGCCACTGCACTCCAGCCTCGGCAACACAGTGATATCCCATCTCTTTAAATATATGCATATATAAATTTATTTTACTATTCCTATTTGACTCAAGAATTTATATATGTATATATGCATGTATAAATTTATTTATATGCATATATTTATATAAATTCTTGAGTCAAATAGGAATAGTAAAATTAGATACTATTCAGATGTGAACAACAATAAGAACAGTACATATGAAAACACATAATGTGATAGGTGCTATATTTACAGAAAAATTCACATTTTCAATGCTTTTATTATCAAACAAAAAAGGATAAAAACAATGAACTAAGCATTAACCACTAGAAGATAAAAAAAGAACAATGAAATAAACCCAAGGAAAGCAGGGGAAAGGAATCAATAAAAGATCAGAGCAGAAATTATAAAACTAGAAAGATAGTATAATTGATTAACATATCCAAGATACTCCAAGGCAAGTCTGATTTTAAAAAGCAAAGAACAAAGACAAATACATATAGTGATAATAAAGAAAATAGAACCACTAAGAAGAAAGAGATTTCTAAAAGATTAAGAGAATGAAATTATATTCATTCATTCTATATGAAATTATGCCAATATCATCAAAAAGTTCAATGAAATGGCAAATTTTCTAGGAAAACATACACAATGAAAAATATTTTAAGAAAGAAATCTGAGTAGACCAAAAGCTAGTTGCAAAACTGAAGATCTTGTCACAACACTGCCCCACAAAGGCAGCCCTGGCCCAGAGCATCTTCTGAGGAGGTGAAGGATCTGATGCTCCACACCGGAGCTACACGAGAGCCACATGAGAGCCACATAAGAGCCACACACTCACAGAAAAGTGGGGCAGTTTCCTTTGAGAAGAGACACCAGATCTTTTGCATTCATTTTGATGGATATGTTTAGGAAAAGGGTATTAACATGTATGTGTAACATCACTAATGCTAAGAAAAGAGGACAGGATTTTTTAAACTTTATTTGGTCTTATATCTCTGCTATGGTCATACACCAAATACTCAGATTCTGAGGAAGACCGTGTCCAGGAGGGAGAAAAAGGAAACAAACAAACAAACAACAACAACAACAAAACGACTTAAGTGATCATTTGGCTAGGATCTGCCAGGCACTGTGAGTGATTACTTCTGAGTTCTTGCACTGTCCAATACTGTGGCCACCAGCCTTGTTTAAATTAAATTAAATTTTATTTTTTATTTTTTGAGACAGGGTCTTGCTCTGTCTCCCAAGCTGGGGTGTAGTGGCACAATTATGGCTCACTGCAGCTTTGACCTCCTGGGCTCAAGCAATCTTCCTGCTTCAGCCTCCCAAGTAGCTGGGACCACAGGCACATGCCACCACGCTTGGCTACTTTTTTATTTTTTGTAAAGACAGGGTCTCACTATGTTGCCCAGACTGGTCTCGAACTCTTAGTCTCAAGTGATCCTCCTGCTAAGGTCTTCCAAAGTGCTGGGATTACAGGCGTGAGCCACTGTGCCCAGCCTAGATTTAATTTTAATTAACATAAAAAACATTCAGTTCCTGAGTGCACTAGTCACATTTCAAGTGCTCAGTGGCTATGTGTGACTACTACACTGGACAGCACAGATAAAAATATTTCCATAATTGTAGAAAGTTCTATTGGACAGGGCCACAACCCTGTCCAATTATACATATTTTTATGTATAATGACATGCTGGACATTCATGCAGCTCTGGGTGACCCAAATCAAATTGGTTTCCCATTCAGTTAGTTAAGTAGTGAAAATTCATGTGATTTAACATCCTGAGTGGAGGCCTTGGTCTAATCTCAGCAAAACTAACTGTTTCATTTAACACTGAACAGTGTTCAATATATTAGATGTTTTATCTCAGGAAAAAAAATAAGATCCAAGCAAGAATACTTGTTTGTAGAACTTAACAAATTAATTTTTTTAAATAGAAAGCATAAAATGTTATTAACTATAAATAAAAACATTATTAGTTTCAAATTGTAGGCAATTATTAAATGAGGATCTTTCTTAGATTAATACAAATATGTAATTTTTCAAAAACAAAAAGCACTTCCTCATTTATTTTACTGCTTTGTTTCACTGGGTTGGTGCTTGTTTCCATTCTAAATCAGTGCTGGTATTCCCTATGATCTCTGTTCAGCATGCACTGTGTACTTGGCATTCAGGTATATAAATCACAGGAACAATATTTTTACTTAGAAAAAAAACTCAAAAAGATTATGTAAAGTACATCCTTAAGCATAATATGTAATATTTTCTCCTAGATCCCCTTTCTTTAAAATGAGGGCTTATGAGTATGGGTTTTGGGGCTCAACTGACCAGGTTCAAATCTCACTTCCATACTTGTTAGCCATGTGACCTTGGGAAAATCACTGAATTTTTCCTCTCTAAATTTTAGTTTCCTTATGTCTAAAATGGGGACAATGACTGTACCTACTTCTAGGCTTGTGGTGAGGATTTAATAATGTAAAATGTATAACGAGCCTAGAATAGTACCTGGACATAATAAGTGCTCAATAAATGTTATAATGCTATAATATATATTGTAGTAATATGATAGTGATTAATATAAAATGCTCTGATTAGCATGATTAAGCCACTTTATGCTACATTTAAACTCTTGGAAGATCTGTTTAAATATTTGTCCATTTAGCAAACATTACTGAAACCATTTTTTTCAGGGCCTGTACTAACTGCTGGACAAAGATAAATCCAACATGATCCCTGCCCTAGAGGACTGCAAATCCTAGAGGGAGTAAGAGACACACATACATATAATCAGATAAATCACAACACAACCTGGTTAAATGCCATAACAACAGACAAAAGAACAGGGGACAGACACTGGAGAGACCAACTCTGCCTGGGGGAACTGGGGAAGGTTGCATTGCTATAATGCAATTTATTCTGGAAGATGTATAGGATCTTTGAGAAATGATTTCCAACATAAGCTGGTTTATTTAAACTGCAAATACTGGTCAAGAAAGCAGATCCATTTGACCCTGCACATGCAAATTACAGACAGACACAGACACAGACACATCCCTGACTTAGAAAGTACTACTATTCAGAAAGGAAGAAAGAAAAGTTTAAATGTCTGCATCAAAAAGAGGGGGTGAGAAAAGGCATAAACATGGGTAGAATGAGCCATCCCCTCACTGCTGAGTGCTGCCCTGGGGCCTGTCTCCTGGTCTCTTTTAGTCCACTTCTGTGCCTGCAGGGAAAGGCAAGGGAGAAGGAGCCAGTGTGAGGACCAGAGTAGGGGGAAGGGGTAGGTTTTTTTCTCCTCCTCCCACTCCTCACCTTGATCCTATTCTGCCTGTGCCGGGGGACAGGGAGATCCGGGTGACTGGGCAGCTGGGCAGCTGGGTGCTGAGAGCACCATGGCGCATATAGAACCAACCAGGTGGCAGGCAGATTCCCCAGCCAAGAGGATAAATGTTGGCTGGAGGAGAGCCACCAAGGCCCTGGATCTGGACTCAGACTTTTCTTATCATCCTTGTCCCTGGCCCCTGTCCTCAGCAAACTCAACACCCATCGCTATGATTGATCTGACAGCCTGAGCTCATATTCTTCTGTCTTTTCAAATCGAATACCTCCCAACTCCATGGCTCTGCCATCCATTCCTAACTCCAACAGCATCCTCTCCTTCTCATTGGCACAGCTGTGGCATCATGGGACCTACCTTACCTCATAACCCACTCGGGCTCTTTTTGGCATGGGTTCTATCTGGGGATCTGTGGTTAATCAGGCTGCACTTACCACCCCACATATCTGGCATGCTGCTCACTCCTCCTCGTGCCACCAAGTCAAGTCACTCGCTCACACCCTGCCAACTGAACTCTCACTCTTTTTCTGTGTTCAAAGAAGAGTTTCCATCTGACCAGGCCTACAACATGCTCATGCTATTTGATTATGGCTAGATCCTCACCACCATCCAATCTTCTGAGCCATTATTTTTGTACTTCCCATCACATCCTCCACCTTATCTGTCACATGTTACCACTACAGAAACACCCTTTCTCCTAACAGATGACCTTTCTGCTATTTTACTGAGAAACATGAGGCAATTCAGGATAAGCACTGTCATGTAGCTTTCCAGCTCAAAATATACCTGTCTTGGCTTTCTAATTAAAATCATATCTGAACAGTAGTCCCTGATACTCCATTTCCCAGTAAAAGACTTGTGAAAATTCACCACAAATGATGACAACTCCTTTGAATATTAAGAAGGAATGATTGGCAATTCTACGTCCAAAATATCAAGACATTTTCTACTTACTATACGGCCAATGGAGAAGAATCGAGAAACGTATTTGGTGTCTGGCTTTGTTGCTTGGAACAGAACAAATCTGTGGTAATTATGGAAGGTTGGAAGGCACTTTAATCTTCCCCACACCATCTAATTTTAGCTAAGAGACATTGGGTCTTTCAGAAGAGTAAGAATAAAACACTAGGAATCATCTTTTTACTGCATGGACACTGCATTTTGAGGTAGCCTCACTCGTACAAGCACCTCTTTTTCATGACAAGAAAACACTGGGCAAGAAGTAGGGAGGGAGAGTGAGTCCATCTTAGAGAATGTGGTCCTCATAAACCAAGTGCCCCAGGTAGGGAGCGAGACATGGAGAGTCCTGAGGGCAGAGCATCCCAGGGAGTTTAGTTTCCCCAACATGCCAAGGGGCTGGGGGAGATTTAACCTCTTCACAATCTGCATCCTGTTTTTTGATCTAGACAGCTGGCATTTTCTCAGGCTTATGTAAAGAGCTAAGCAAACATTACTTCAATACGCCTCTTTCAACCAGACTGCTACTGGTAGTTCCTAAGCCCCTGTTATGTATAAATTCTAGAGCCGCTGGTACAGAGCAGCAAAAAGCCAAGCACAGGAGAATATCCTATCTCACTCCAGCAGAGCTTTATAAGATAAACACCAACTAGACCCTGGAAATTGATCAAGGAGCTTTGTATAATCTCCAGCCAGCCAGTTGTTTAACTCAGAGAAGCTACAGTCCCAAATGAACAATGATAGCTGAGAGCCAGTTATACATTCTGAATGTTGAAAAAAAGGTCTGAATAGCTCTTTGTTTTTGTTTGAAGTAAAACAAAAATGAAAACAAAACAAAAAAAAATGGGGGCTATGAAAAAATGCTACACATAATCCTGAAAACTAAAAGAGGGAAGCATACCTTTAACCATCTTTACTATGAAACCAAAATAAAATTTCAGAATAGCCATTGCTGTCCTCAGGGAGACAGAAGACATGAGCTCTTTGCAATAGTGTAGAAACCTTGTGCAAGTGGGTGAGATAAAAAAGGATGAAAAAATGCAAATGTAGGATTAAAATCTTCACTGGAGGAGGAAAACAAAATGTTAATTTTAGGGAACTAAAACAGTAATATCTCCATCATTTTAGATGCTGATTATAGAATGGAAAGGAACAAAACAAAATGAAAATAAAAAGAAAGAAAAGACAGTCATGGAGGACAGAGAAAATGGTCTTTACCATTTTAGGGGAAAAAACAAGCAATAATCAAAGATATAACAGAAGAAAATATTCATCCTTGATTAAAGGACTGGATCTAAGAATCCCAGAGGTGCAATGTTTTAAGGAAAATTAATGAAAATACAAAGGTGCAGATAAATTATGGAAAACATGTAAAAAATGAAAGATGAAAAGAAAAAAAAAATGTAAGAAAAACCCAGCCAGGAAAGGTCACCAAGAAAGAAACTGAATTGGAACTGGCTCAGATTTCTCTTCAGAACACTAAAGGGCAAAAGGTAACTGTACTGGTTGAATAGTGTCCCCCCCCAAATTCAGGTCCACCTGGAACCTGAGAATATAATCTTATTTGCAAATGGGGTCTTTGCAGATGTAATTTGTTGATATAAGGTCCTACTGGATTCAGGTAGGACTTAAATCCCATGACTGATGTCTTTATAAGAGAAAAAGAGAGGGTGATTCAGATACAGAGACACAGAGAGAAGGCGATGTGATAACAGAGGCAGAGACTGGAGTGACGCAGCTACAAGCCAAAGGGGGTTAAGGATTGCCGCCGCAACCCCAGAAACTAGAAGAGGCAAGGAAGGATTCTTCCCCACGGCCCTCAGAGGGAGGATGGCCCTGCTACATCTTGATTTTGAACTGTTAGCCTCCAGAACTGTAAGAGAATAGAATTCTGTTGTTTTAAGTGACCCAGCCACCCAGTTTGTGATAAACTCTTACAGCAGGCCTAGGAAACTAACACGATAACAGATCAACATTTGTGAAGTTTTAAAGGAAAAAGGTGATGACTCAGACACTTAAAAGCAGGTAAAGTTGTTCTTGTGAAAGCTATGAATCAGAGACATGCTCAGATATGTAATGATTAAGAAAAGATACCCTCATGTACAGCCTTAAAAACTTACCTGAAACTCCAGGACAAGGACACCTGCAACTATTGCTATTTATGGTTGCTTTGGAGGTCATAGCCAATGCAATTACACATGAAGACGAAAAAAGAGATTTGCATATAAGGAGATGAAGTCATTTATGGAAGACAACTTTATGCCTAAAAAGACTATACTTTGTTTTTAAGTAAAGAAGCCCAATAAAATACATAAACCCATTTTGTATACAAATTTAATTACTAAATCGATGTGTACTAAATCGTAATAGTGATTATTTGTAGGATTACACATGAATTTAATTTTCTTCTCTGTGCTTTTCAGTATATTTCAAATTTTCTATAATGACTATGTATTCCTTTCATAATCGGAAAAATATATTAAAAAGTATATCAGCATCACATGCACATACACACAAAAATACTATGAAGTAATATAAAAAATTTAAGAAAAAAGAATTTATTAGAGAGATTTTTGGCAAAACTCATCTTCTAGCTGATTTGTGGATGTCTGGCACTGAGCCAAGTACTGCTGGGGATACAATAACAAAAGCACCATAATCTCTGCCTACTAGGACAGGTAAAAAATGCCCACAAATAATGACAATGTAAAATATGACAGGTACCATAGAGAAATGCAAACAATTGTGGGGTTCTAGATAGTGAAAGATGACTTTCCCATAGGGGAATCAGGTAAGGCTGCATGGAAAAAATGACACTCAACAGAGGCATATTTCAAGAGGGCATTCTAGAACGATGAAAAAGTATAAGGAAGTCTCAGGCCTGGGCAATGGTGGGTAAAGGTCCGTTTGCTGGATCATGGGCCACATGAGCTAAGTAAGGCTCAGAGATAGGTTGGAGCAAGACTGCAGAAAGCCTTAACTGTCAAGCTGAAGACTACCTACTTTATTTCATAAGCAAAAAAGAGATGCTGAAGGTTTGCTGTTGTTATTACAGCAGGAATTTGTTTGCTTGAATGCATAAAGATGATGTTGCCAGAGCTGTACATTAGGGAAAGTACTCTTTACAGCATTAAGGAAATCAAAGCTCCCAGGATTAGGTTAATTACATCTGAGGACACGGACACACTAGATGTAATCTTATCAAGAATTTGTTAAATGGAATTTTTGAGAAGTCAGGGAGAGCAAGAGAAAGTGCCAGAAGCTCAAGGAAAGAGGAAATGATACCAATGTCACACAAAAGAAGGACTACATAGAAGCAAACATCCTGTTCTTTTCTTACTTGTATTTCTTCAAGAGTCTAAATAAGAAACACATAAGGAATTAAAAGTCACTTTCAAAATGTAAGCTTGTAAAAAATGCACACTACTCAGCCCACTCCAGATATGCCAAATCAGAACACGGGTTTTAAACAAACTGCTCAAGTGATTTTTATGCATAATCAAGTTTGAGGGGCACTGGAGCAGCCTGTAACAGCAGCAAGATCATGGATCTTTCAAGTAAATATAACCTATTGTGGATGGGAGTTGGGGGACACCCCCTACAACTTACCAGTTGTGTGACCTTGGACAAGTTAATTTACCTCTCTGAATCTCAGTTAACTCATCTGTAAGATGGGGATGATAACAGTACTCCCACCTCATTAGGTCATTGTGAAAAGTAGTTTACACATACAAAGCACTCAAAAGGCTGTCTGACACTGGCTGTACACAGTGATATGAATAAAGAGCAACTGGCCATGAAATCCATTGAGAATATATAATAGAACCAATGGGATTTGGTAAGAGACTGGGACATGGCTATGTGTGATTTCTTGGTTTCTGGAATTAGCAACTGAAAGGAAGATGGTGTCATTCACTCAGTGGTTTGGCACAAGAGAGACAGGGTGAGTTCAGCTTGGGGCATATTGCAGTTTAGTTGCCTATGGGTCATCCCAGGAGAGACTGCCAGTGGGCATTTAGGCAAATGCGCCCATGCACAGAAATCTGTGGATAGAAATCTGGACTCAATATATGGATCTGGGAGTCACCAATTTTAAGACAGGGAAAGATTACCCAGAAAGAGCATATATAGTAAGAACAATGCTGGAGGCAGAATCTAGAAGAGCACCAAAATTTAAGGGCCAGCCAGACAAGAAGGAATCAAAAAAAAAAAAATGCTGAGAAGGTGAAGCAGGGAGGCAAGAGGAAAAGCTGATAGTATGGAGATGTCAAGAGAGGAGAAAATTTTAACAGGGCTACAGAGTTGTCATGTAACATGAAGACTGACCTGTAATCCCAGCCTTGCCTTGGGAGGCTAAGGTGGGAGGATAACTTGAGACCAGGAGTCCGAGATCAGCCTGGATAACATAATGAGACCCCATCTATACAATCAATCAATCAATTCAAAATGTTAAAAAAAAAAAAAGGCAGAGTTGAGGAATGCCAACTGGATTTGGTAGCAAGGAAATCTTTGGTGACCTTGGCAAGAGCAGTTTCAGTGGAGTACAAGGAAGGGAAGCATCAAAAGGAGAAAGTAAGAAGGGAAACTGTGGAACCATTACAAGGAGCAAAAAGAGAACTTAGAGAATAGCTGAAATGTACTCCCAAAGTAATCAAAGAGCCTTCACATCTATTATGCACGCACAGTTTGAGATTATATTTTAAAAGACTGCAACACAACGATAACTGCAATAGACCAATTAAAAAGTTGAGGCCAAAAAGCATACAATCCTTTTCTTGCACATAAAAGAACCCAAAGTAACTGCTTTAATTACATGTGTAAAATAGTTCAATATAAAAATATTACTTATAGCTCAACTAACAGTGGCAGTGTGACACCATGAGCCAGCCATTTATGGTAAGCCAATCACGGCAAGCTACACTGGATTTTTTTGCATGACTCCCTAAATTTGATTAGTGATATAAAAGGGAAGCAAATTTCAGAACCCACAGATGTTCCCCTCCTTAACAAACAGGGCCAAAAGCTCTTCTAACCCATGGAATGGATATGTGCCCTACGAAAACAGAAACTTGCCCTGAGACAGGAGAAAGCTGAAAGACAAGGGTTTCATCTTAAGGCACCAAGAGAGACTTTGATGAAGCCTCAAATTCTCTTGGATCCTGAACCCCAGGGAAACTTGTTCTAAGTTGCCTGCCAAGGGGCAGTTAATAAGTTAAAATAGGCTAGACTTTCCTCTGAGGGCCTAAAAAAAGAGCTCTTAAAGTCCACAGCCCATGTGGGGAAAGATTGGCAAAAACACCAAATTCCTCTTCATCTTTAACAGCCCCAAAGAGGTAAAAGAGTGGTTTTCAAACTCTATGCATGTTCATGGCATGTGAATACCACAGTTTTGAGGGAAGGCCTGCATGAGTTCAGAAGAAAACATAGGTACTGAAAAAAGCAACTTTGAGAAAACAAAATATATTCTATTGCTAAGAGCAGTACATAAAGGTATATTACATTATATATTTTAATCAAGTTTAAAATTTATTCCTGCTACAACAGATGATGCACACTGCTGAGCCTGGTCTTGCTTATCTGAAAGTTGAGGCGGGCACACGACAAGCCATGATGCAGGGCAGAGAATGATCTGGTACAAGTAAGGTGTGAAAGGCAACGGCTGTTACCAAACAGACACCAAGAAAGTCTGTGTGTTTAGAGACTTATGTGCATTTTGCCTCCTGAGTGTATGAAACCACAATCAAGGTAGAAAACTGCTGTACTCAATTTCCTTTGCTGAAGAGTTAACCAGGTAAGTGGCGTGTTCAGTTTGTATTTCTGGTTATATGAAAAATAAACTATTATACATTGATCAAAATTTGGAAGTGTTTTTATATACATCAGGGGACCATATCCCATCAGTTGAAGACTACTGGAGTCAAACAACAGAGACTCCCAGGATACCAGCATAAGGTTGAGGAGCCTGAGATTGTGAGCCAAGCCAAGGTGGCTGCAAGAGAGCAGCACAGAGGCGCAGAGAGGCTTGCCCTGAGGAGGAGAGCCTTGAGTGTCACAGGAATGGGAGACTCCTGTGGCCTCTAGGGAGAGCATGAGGAAGCCAGGACTCAGAAAGGAGGGAGTGGGGTGCCTGTAACTCTGGTTTTGAAACTAGAGAGCATGCTGATGTCTGGTATCAAGGTTCCCAAGGTTGATTTTGTCTGGGAAAATTTGGAGAAGTTGTCTGGTATTCTTATTACAGCATGTGTTCAGCTGGTGGATTTGTTACAGTTTGTGACCCGCCTATGCATGTCATTAACACAGCACTCGGAGCTCAAGATGGTCACCAAATGGCTGGTCAGGTGGTGTTAATTCTCCCCAAGTTTTGTTGATCCTAGAAAAATAGGTCATAAAATCATACTGTATCAAAAAGTAGGGTAGGGAGGAGACAAGCATCAAAGTTATTCTACCTGTCAATGGAGGACAGAAGGATTATGCTGTTAACGGCTAGATACAGAAATACTTTTATATTTATGCTCTATCTTATTTTTTAGAAAGGATTTAAAAGCAGCTTACTTAAATATATCTTACTTAAAGGATAAAATGAGATACTGAGCACACTCAGAACAAGGAAAAATCAAGTGTAGGTAAATAAACTGAAAACAAGAGAATAAGATGAGGATGCATGTTATAAAGTCCTTTAAGACTGTTAGAGATAAGCCACAAATGGAGTTCGGAGCTTCCTAGGAGCCAATGCAAAGAGGAAAAGCCCTTTCATTTACAGGATTCCCACTGCTTATAAGGTTAACAACAAACCAGCTTCTCAGGAGAAGCATGGCACTTTTTGGTCCTGAGAAAAATTTTTTCTCATAGGTCTTTTTAAATGAGACTCTGTATATGACGAACATAAAATTCTTAGCAGCATCCTACAAGCAACACACCACCAAGATCTATCTGGCTGCTTTCCACTCTGTCCATCAATGCAGGTTAAAGGCATAATGCCATGGTACAAGTCAAGAAAAGCAAGTCTGAGAGGGGCCAACAAAGGCAGGCCAAGTGTTTGTAGCTAACTTATGGTTGGGCTTGATCTAGGAATTAAATTTAAACCATTTAAGGCATGGGCATGTCTTTGGATAACTCCTTATGGACATTCTTAATAGCAAGCTTTTGTTAAGATTTGGACGAAAAATAGTTTGAAATTATATGTTGGAATGGAAACCTAAAGCAGAGCTACTTTATGCTTTTGATTAAGGACAGCGGTATTTGTTCTAACAATCAACCTAATTTTCTCAGGAAACACTCTATACACAGCAGGGCTTTAAGAGCATGGGCTTGCAGGCGAAGAGATTAAGCGCAGGGGCTCTCGGAGGCAGATAGACCTGGGTTTAAATGTCACTCCTGCTTCTTCCTAGCTGTGGGACCGCTCTGGTATCATCAGTTAAATGGGAATCCATTTAATATTCACAAATGTCTTCTGAGCATCTACAGTGTGTGGCCTAATCAAATAATGCCTACCTCATATGGTTTTTTGTGGGGATTAAATAAGTAAATACATCTACAGTATTCAACAGAGACTGGTACGTGGTAAGCATTCAATAAAATGTTAAAACTAATAATAAAAATAATAAAATAATAACCATAATAAAAGATTTCTGATTCCATTCTAATGTATAAAAAGTAATTATTAAAGTCTCAAAATTCTACATCACAGAAAATGGTTACAATAATTTTGGCCTGAAAAAGCTTAAAAGTGAGCACTATCAATCACCAACAGAGGCAGTAAAAATATCAAAAAAGCACCATCCATAGTTTCAAAACATGTTAACTTGTTGGTGAATGTTCTGATATACTTTGTACCTGGAGGTATCCACAAGAGTTGACTGGGAGGCTGAGGCAGGTGGATCACGAGGTCAGGAGATCAAGACCATCCTGGCCAACATGGTGAAACCTGTCTCTACTAAAAATACAAAAATTAGCTGGGCGTGATGGTGTGCACCTGTAGTCCCAGCTACTCAGGAGGCTGAGGCAGGAGAATCGCTTGAACCTGGGAGGCAGAGGTTGCAGTGAGCCGAGATCGAGCCACCAGCCTGGGGAACAGAGTGAGACTCCTCCTCCTCAAAAAAAAAAAAGAGTTGGCCTGCTATGTGAGACACAGATATAAGCCAGATAAATTTTAAAGAACATCTGTCAAAATTATGATTTTAGCTGTACAACGCTGAAGTCTTGATGTTTTGATGTTCCTGAGGGAAATATGCTGGTACCCTCACTAATCTCTCAGTTTGGTAATACTAGATAGAATATAATTTCTCCCATAAAGTGCCTTTGAAAGTAAAAACCCTACTTAACCCTGAGTAGAGCACAAAACTGAGTTGTGTTAGGGGTGCTGGACAGGCAGTTAAATCACTCATTAGCAAAGCATCATCTTTCTTCACAACAGTCCCACAGGTATAAATCCAATCTGTGCCTGAACAAAAATACAAATTACTACATATCAAGACTTCAAGAGTCCTCAAACAGTCAAAACCTCAAATGCTAAAATCTGCAGATGCCAAGCAAGTTCATCATCAACCGTTCTTTTGATAGTTATTAGACGGTACAGCCAGATACCCTTTGAGGCTACCCTGAGTTCATGACAACGAAATCATGCTATCTGTATAGAGAAGCACTGATATATTTATTTCCTATATAGCAGGGGAGCATGCACGTGGCTCATCTAAATGCAGGTTTGAGTCATTAAGAAACAAGCTTAAAAAGGAATGGACAATATACTACCTTGTTTTATCCTGACTTGAAATCACCAGTAGATCATTACTTACCCAGAAGTATCAAGATACGGGGTTTTATGAGAGTCAGCAGCTGGGCTGGGGAGGGGAGAGGTCTATATTGTGCCCATACCATTTATCACTGATACTGTATCAATTTCCTAGCCATCCAGTTTAAAGGCCAAAAAAAGATCAATAAAAGCTACAAACAATCTTGTGCTTTTTCTGACAGATTTCAACACAAAGTGATGAAGAATGGTTGATGGTGTGATAGCTGTGTCTTGCCTAGAATGCTGCCATGAGAGACAAGACTTGCAATTCATCAAGAAGAAAAATGGCATATGCTTTTGATGAAATGCACTGCCAGCTAATGAGCCTAAGTATATTGGTTGAGGGGGGAATCAAAGAGGCTTGTTTTCTCTTTCCTTTATTTATTTTTGATGGGTTAGGCCACTCTCTAATTTCAACCAAATGGGATCATTCATTCATTCAATCAATAGTTACTAAGTAACTAATGCTAAGCATTGTGCTTGGTTCTAGAGATACAGTGGCAAATAAACATTATTCCTATTTTTAGGGAGTTCATAATCTATATCTTTATTTATGGTATTTAAAAAAGTACAGAGATAAGGGAGTCCATCAGCAGAGGAAGACATTTTCACTAAGTGCTTTTAGTTTGAGCTTTTAAATTCTCGCTATATGAAGGAATGTTAATGGACACATTTGGGAGTTCCAGCTCAGCTCATGCCCTTCTTTGAAACTGACTTGTCTATATCATCTCCAGAGAAAATCTGCCCTGTCCACAAGCATTGCTGAGGGGATGGGCCTCAAAAGCCAGGTTTATAGTCTATGACCCCACTACCCTGAGCACAAGTGTTTGAATCAGGGATAGATACCTGAACAAAGAGGAAACAATCCATAGTATTCTATTTGGAATTTGAAATTAGGATCCAAGAATGAAGAGACCACGGTGGCCAACAGAGCTGTAACCCATGTAAACCATGGGGACTGGGGGGCCAGAAATCAATTCAGTAATAAAAAAACATTTATAAGAAACTTAGTATGTGCCAGGCCCTGTGCCATGTTCTAGAAATAAAACAATGAACAATACAGAGTAGTAAGTAAGTGGTAAATGAAATGAATATAGATTGTGATAAGCACTGCTAAGAAAACAAATAGGATGTTGAGTTACAGAATAGCAGAGGAAGGAACTAATGTTGATGGGATGGTCAGGGGAGGCCCCTCTGAGAAGATGGTATTTAAGCTGAGATCAGCCGTGAGAAGCCCCAAGAATCCATCAGTAAGAATGACTAGTAAGCGCAGGGGTCCTGGGACAGGGAAGAGCTCAGTGTGTTCCAGAGACCAGGATAAAGGCCAGACATTTGAGCCACAGTGAGGAAGCGGCATGAAAGAAGGTGAAAGAGAAAGACAGGGTAAGGATCACATAGGTTCTTGTAGGGCTTGGTACATGGTCTGGCCTTGAAGTACAATGAACAGCTGAAGAAACATTTTAAGAAGGAAAAGACATTGTATTGACAACATTTTAAAACATCATTCTGTCATAAGGACAGACATATGGACCAATGAGACAGAAGGGAAGCCCAGAAACTAACCCTCACATCTATAGTCAATTGATTTCTGACAAGGGTACCAGGCCATTCAATAGGGAAAGGACAGTCTTTTCAACCACTGGTGCTGGGAAAACTGGATGTCCACAAGCAAGAGAATGCAGCTGGACTCTTACCTCACACCATATAGAAAAAATGAACTCAAAATGGCTCAAAGACAGCTAAAACCATAAAAGCCTTAGAAGAAAACATACAAGAGAATCTTCTGGACATTGAATTTAGCAATAATTTCTTGGATATGACACCAAAAGCATAGACAACAAAATAAATAATAGATAAATTTTACTTCATCAAAATTAAAAACTTCTGTGCATTAAAGGCACTGTCAACAGAGTAAATAAGCCACAGAATGGAAGAAAATATTTGGAAATCATCTGATAAGGGACAAATAACCAGAATATAAAAAGAACTCCTACAACTTGACAGCAAAAAAAAAAAAAAACACAAAAAACAAAACAAAACAAAAACCCAATTCAAGAATGAACAAAGAATTCGAATAGTCATTACTCCAAAGAAGATACACAAATGGCCAATAAGCACATGAAAAGATGCTCAACATCACTAATCACTAGGGAAATGCAAATCAAAGCCACAATGAGATACCACTTCATACTATTACAATGACTATTATTTTAAAAATGGAAAATAACAGGTGTTGTCAAGATTGTGGAGAAATAGAAACTTTGTGCATTGCTGGTGGAAATGTAAAACAGTATAGCCATGGTGGAAACAAGTTTGGCAGTTTCTCAAAAAGCTAAAAACAGAATCACCTTATGATCCGGCAATTCCACTCCTAGTTAATAAACTCCAAACAATCAAAAGCAGGACTCCAACAGGTATCTGTACACCAGTGTTCATAGCAGCATTAATTTTAATAGCTAAAATGTAGAAACAACGCAAGTGTTCATCAACAGATGAATCAATAAACACGCTGGGTGCGGTGGCTCATGCCTGTAATCCCAGCACTTTGGGAGGTCAAGGCAGGAGGACTGCTTGAGCCCAAGATTTCGAGACCAGCCTGGACAACATAGAGAGACCTTGTCTCTACTAAAAGTCAAAAAAATTAGCCCGGTGTGGTGGCATGCATCTGTAATACCAGCTACTTGGGAGGCTGAGGTAGGAGGATTACTTGAGCCCAGGAGGTCAAGGCTGCAGTGAGCCATGACTGTGCCACTGCACCCCAGCCTGGGTGACAAGGTGAGATCCTGCCTCACAAACAGACAAACAAACAAAACAGATAAATGGATAAACAAAATGTGGTGTATCAATACAACGGAATATTATTCAGCCATAAAAAGGAATGAAATTCTGATATACACTATCACATGGATGAACCCTGAAAACATGCTAAGAGAAATAAAACCAGATACAAAAGGACAAATATTGTATGATTTCACTTATAGGAGGTATCTAGAATAGGCAAATTCATAGAGACAGAAAGTAGAATAGAGGTTACCTGGGGCTGGGAAGCTCTGTTTTTAGCTTTTTGAGGAACTGCCAAATAGGAATCCAGTGTTTAATTGATAAAGAGTTTCATTTTGGGATGACGGAAAACATTCTGAAAGTGTATAGCAGTGATGGTTGTACACCAATATGAATGTATTTAATGCTCCTTGAACTGTACACTTAAAAATAGTTAAAATGGCAAAGTTTATGTTCTGTCTGTTTTACCACAATAAAAAATAAACTAAAAAAGAAAACACCACTCTGGCTGCTGGGAAAAATGAGCTGGAGAGAGGCAACTGTGCCATCAGAAGCTGTTCTGCAGAGAGGAGAGTGATACAGACACAGAGAAATGTGAAGACAAGAAAGCATATGGACCAGAGAGAAAGAGAAAATAGTGGCTTGCTGGTTTTCCATCACATGAGGCGCAGCTGCACTTCCCTCCCGTGAGATTCACCCATATCCTTTCAGTGAATTGCTTTATACTTGACCTAGACAGAACAGATCTCTGTTCTTCATAAGAAAACAATCCCTGGTTAAGGCAGGGAAACAGCTGAGATCCAGATACAACACAGCCTGGGGACACGGTGTGAGGCTGCTAGTTTCTAAAGTGAAGGCTCCATGAGAGCAGAAAAATGGTTTTGCTTCTCTCCCCTGACTCTCAGTCACTTGCACAGAGCCTGACACATGGATGACCCTCAATAAATATGTGTTGAAAGAATGCTAAGTAGTTCTCCCATGAGTCTGTCAAGATCTGGGTTTCCATCTTCTCATCACCAAACTAATGCAGGATGGAAACCTAGAGAACTAAGCCCTAAGTCTTCTCTCATTACTGATATGAATGGCCGAGCTTCATTCTTCACAAGACTTGTGACTTGTTCAAGGTCAGGAGAAGTTCATGCTAAAATTTCAATTTTATATAATCTTAGACGCCTTTCTGGAAAGTTTGAGTTCCAAGATGCCCAACACTTATTGGGTTCCCAACAATTTTCATCACAGCAGGCATAAGAAAAGTCAAACTCACTTTTTCATAAGTCCCTGCAACACATAATGGTTTGTAATTTAATAATACTCTGTTGTTCAGAAGTGAGAGGAAACATCACGCTCCTCTTAAAACACTGCAGTCAGAATTTCAAGAGATCCTCAGATAATAAGAACGGAGCTCTGCTCATTTCACTTTTCCCAACCTTCCTGACCACCAGCACACATGTCATTTTTAATACGGGAAAATGAGAAACAACCTAATTTTACAAAATTTACACAGATAATCATTTATCACTATGTTGGCCTATCATGTACCCATTAAAATATGACTCTGAAGACTATATAAGAAGACATTTAGAAAATACAGTATAAATGGAAAAAGAAGAATGCGAAATTAAATTAAATACATAATTTCATTATAACAATATAAAAATGAGGTTTGTAGCTATAAGGACTGGAAGGTACCACAAGGAGATGAAAACAGTTGCTGCAAGGTAAGATTATACGTGGAATTTTTAAATATATTTAAAATGTATTTTATAATATTCTAAAAAGTCAACTACAAATACACATACACACAGTCATGGCCCCAGAGGAAAAATGTGAACAAATGGATTGAAGAACGTTTGGTCAACTGGATGCCTCATCAGGCCAAGGATAACTGATGACCTAGCTGAGGTCCTCTAAGGCAGAGCTTCTTAAAGTATGATCCTGGGACCAGCAATATCAATATCAATCTGGGAACTTGTTAGAATTGCAAATTGTAGGTTAACCTTGGATCTACTGAATTTGAAACTCTGGGACTAGGGCCCAGCAATCTATGTTTTAATCAGCCTTCCAGAGAGTTCTGATGTCTGCTCAAGTTTGAGAACCACTGCTCTCAAGTACTTTTCCATTCTGATATTCTGTGATTTCCCCACATCTTTAAAGAGTCCATCTTTCACACCCATGTTATCTCCCCCAAGTAATGTTGTCACTGTTTAAAAGCGCTCCATATTACTTGCTAGGCCAAGTCCAAAGTGTTCACCTGACAGTCAAGGCTCTACTTTTGCTACTGAATTTTGTCTTTATGACTGCAGCTGGTTAACATAAACTGTGCTTATGTGCTAAGTACTTTATGTACATGATCTCATTTAATCCTCATAACAACCCTCTAAGGTAGATAACAGAAATATCCCCATTTTATAGATGAGAAAACTGATGCTAAAGGAAGTCCAAGATCATACAATTAGTGAATGATGAAACAAGAATGACTTCAGATCACATGTTCTTCAGCATTACTGAGGTTCAGAGAAGTAACCTGACTGGTCACAAAGATAAGTAATAGACCTGGTATGGGAACCCAGGCCTACCTGATTCCAAAGCTTGCTTGCTTTGTAATTACAAAGCTCTTTGCTAGGCAGGACCATTTGCTCATTGCCTTGGGACACGGCATTGCCAGGAATCATACTGTTAGCTCATACCTACTGTCTATCCTCTCTGCCACCAATCCACATCCCACAGCTCTCTGCAAGGTCTTCCATGGTGTGTCTCTGAGACCCCTGGCCAGAATGGGTGATCCCTTCCTTCTCTGAACCCCCGTGGTGCTCTACATGCATCTCTTTCACAGTACCAATTCCTACTCTGACTTATAGCTATGCACCTGCTCCTTCAGGGGAGGTGGTGGTCTAAGTGGTGTGGTGTCACCAGTGACAGACAGAACAGGTGTTGACTGAATCAACTGAGGTATCTTTTATGTGGCTAAATTCATTCTTCAGATATTTTATGTGTCTTATCTGCCCAGCCAGAGGACAGTAAGCTCCTTAAGAACAAGGACTGTATCTTTTACTCATTTTATATTTTCAAGAATACCCAGCTCCAGGCTAGGTACACAGTCAGGTCCATAACATATGCTTGAGTTCAAGTAGAACGCCACTGGTACACAACTCCGCTATAAATTTTTCTACTACTTAAACTCTGCAAGGATGCAGCTTATATTAATAGGGGAAAATTGGGTGCTACACAAATAGATACAAGCAACTCATTTTTAATAAATAGAAATAGTAGGCAATGTCATTAACAGTGTTAAATAATAATCAATATAATTTTATGAGCACATTTCTGAAAATTTGTTCAGATTTTCACGTAATTGGAAAAAATCACATTCTATCTTTAAAAAATATTGAGACTATTATATGCTTTCATTATGGCTCTTTTAAAATGAAAACACACAAATTTTAAAAATCATAGCACAAACACTAACACCTCTCATTAAGGAAAATGTAAATATTTTCATTCCAAATATTGATCATCCATAATAGTCATTTATCTAGTCCAACCAATATGCTTTTAATGGGAAAAACAGCTCTCATAAATATTCTAACTCCTACTACACACCCAGAAAGCAAACATACAGAAAATCAGAATACGTATTTCAATAATATTTAAACCTTGAAAACTAGATTTATAAACTTTTAGGAAAAAGGTCATATATAAGCCAAATGCCACCTTTCTTAATTCATAAATTGTTTTATTTAATTATATACACAGAGAAAAATACCAAGCCGTAACATATTTTTAACAAACTGGAAGACAAGATTAAAAAGTATGTAACAATAAAAACAAATAGATAAAGAAGATCAAATTATCATAGCCTTTGTATAGTTATTTATTCCAATCCAATCCTTACACTGTACCCACATGGTCTAACAGTAAATATACAACAAAAGATCTGATGAGCTTGGCAATCGTCTCTAAATCTAAATCAATGTACTACCACTGAACAGACAGCATAAACTTACCAGCTCCACAGATCCATAATGTTTCCTACTGAAATCCCCACGTCTACAGCCTAGGTCTTCCGAGACAGAGCTGGAACAAAAATGCTTCATCAGTATTATACATAGCGATCTGGCCACAAACCTTCTGCAAAAATCAACTACCATTTGCAAAAAGGGCTGCTATGGAACAGACTTGCAGTGCCCCGGCTCCTCACTGCAGGGGAGCCTCCTTGCAACAGACACAGTCCCCAGCAGCCATTGCAGAGCCTGGCTTTCATGGAGCCCTCAATAAAAAGCAAACGCCAGAGTCATCCCTGGAAGTATAGGCAATGATTCAATTAAATATTTAGTCATTTGGAATCGATTGAAATTTCCAAGGTTACTGGTGGTTTATAATTTCATTTCTGTATAACCAGAGAGGAGAGAAGCCCTGCAGTAAACTTGAGGCAAGGGACAAAGCTGCTGAACCGGATCTTGCAATTATCTTTCATTTAAGAGAGCTCTTTGTCCCAAATATGCAACATAAAAATAACCAGCATTATTTAATGCTATATTTTAAGTAAGAGAAAGAAACTTCACAATCGTGGTAGGCTCCACCCTCTGTCCCCCTTTAATTTAGGATTTTTATGTGGCAATATGAAAAAAGACCAGAACTAACAGAAAATCTAATGTCCAAGTATATTCAGCTTTTTACATAGCAGCAGCTACCCACCCCCCAAAAAGGCTTAAATCAGATTTCAAAAATCACATGTTGTTGAAGAGTAATTAAAACAAGGGCAAAATTGTTACTACGTTTTCATCCTGAATGCACAGTTGCACACTCAAAAGGCACAAATCTTATTAGTTAGTATATTTAGCACTCAAGCAATACTCATGAAACCACATGAGATCCACAAAATATAAACAGTTTTAATAAGTTTGATTCTAATATGTCATGCAAATAACTCTACGATAACATAGAAAATAAAATTATATAGGAATAACATGTTTACTATATTCAAAACATTTGGGATCTAACATGCAAAGAAAGGTGCATTTAGTACCTTTTCATCCTTCCTTAAAAGGTAGGTTGCATTTTCTAAATTACAGCCCTCTTGGCACATGCAGAAAGAGACTGACTCTGATGTTTAGCAACCAGAGAACTGACTCTCTGCCAGGACACTGTTTGACAGGCTCCAAGAAAGACAGCATGAGAGAAATGAGATTAGAGAGTCTAATGGCATTCTGCTTCCACCATTTCACAGAGATGGCTGAATTAATCTTATATGAGAAATTTAACCTTTTGTAGTCCTCCCTCTCTTAGCTGAAAATGGGCAACACATCAATGCATGCAGTTTGAAAGTGTTCCAGATATTACCCAGGCTACATTCTTGCTTCTAGTGATATGATTTTCTACCCAAAAATCTCCAAAAAAGAATAAAAACCTTCCCTCCATGGTCTATTCCAATCTGTATTAAATATGTCCTCTACGCCTATTTTCTTAGCTCATTTTGAAGACCTTCCTGGAGGCTACTGCCATTCCCCTACATATCAGTTACCAAGCCCGCATCACTGGCCGCTCCAGTGAGAGGAGTGCCGGTGGACTTGGACAGAGATCGGGCAGAGAGCGGATGCCCAATGGCTGTTGACTAAATGCTGTGTCTGCCCAGAGCTCAACCCGCCGCTTCAATTTCAGCCAGGCCCACTAGGAAATTAACAACAGCAACAGCTTCTAACATGAATAGCCAATAATACGAAAAAAGCAAGGATGTAGAGCACTGGGTCCTCCCTGTGCTGCCATCAGCTCTGCTGAGGGGGTTCTGAGACACGGTGCCAATTCCCTAACTTTACCAGCAGCCAGACACAAACACATAACCCTATATCCTAGACCCACCACCTTCCTTAGATGCCTCACAGAAGGAAAACAACGTCCTATGAAAACAACCAGGGAGCAAGCTATAAAGAGAATGTCCACTATGTGTTGCCTTCTCTTCCCCCATATTACATTTCATTCAATATACCGCAGAGGGATGCTTGCTAATAGTGGGAACCAGGCTGACCTATATGGGCTGCATTTCTTGGGTTGTAGGAGGCATTCAAACCAGCCAAGTTAAAAAGACCTAGCCACTTCCCTCTTCCTTTCCCAGGCTCTCTGGCCTCTAGGCCTCCAGCACAAGGGTTAGGAGTAGAATGGCTCACCCAGAGCTCCAAGGGGAGCTTTGTTCTCCTCCCAAGGCCCCAGTGTCTGGCCTACTGCCTGGCACATAGTGGACATGCAGTAAATGCTTACTGCATTAATGAAGGTATTTGTATATCTTTTGAATCATACTAGCTAATGCCTGACAGCACCTCTTCTACCAGGGCAGGCTGCCCACTGCCACCCCCACTAATGAGCCATTATAATTCTCTGCTGGCCATTATTCCCTCAGTCCAGAGTCCTGGCCTATAAGGCAGCCACTGCTATGTGCATGCCAAAACCTGTTCTCCTTTTGTCTTGGACTTGGACTACCTTTCCTAGCCCCTCTTGCAGGATGTGTGGCCATGAGACTGAGCTCTGGCCAAGACAATATAGGCCAAAGTGATGGATATGCATCACTTCCAGCACATCCTCTGAAATGTGCCTGATCTTCTAGCCTTTGGCCAGCTGGACAGAGAGGCTGTAGAGACCTGCAGGAGGGCAGAGCTTCAAGATGGAAAAACATGGGTCTCTGATTGACCACATGGAAGGCCACACCATGAAGAACATCTGTATGGAAGGCTACACCACAAAAAACATCTGTACTAGAATATGATGTGAGCAAAATGTAAACATTTAGTTGTGTTAATCAGGTAGAATTTGAGTCTACCAGTTAAAGCTGCTGTTTTACCTGAACTAATACAGAAGTAGGTATCTTGCAGTGGGGTGCCGCAATAGCAACACCCTAAAGTAGTAGGCAGGCAGCAGCCAGTGAGGAAATGGATCTCAGAGGCTGGAAAGATAGAAATCTATATTAGATGGTAGCAAAATATTTGGTAAAACTTACACCTGCAGTCATTCAGAAGGTGGACCATGTACTCAGCAAGCCTGCAGATCTAGGGAAAGTGGCTAGAAACAATCAGAGTGAAGTTGAGCACTGTCTCCTCTTGGCTGAACTTAGCGAGGTTCTTCACAATGAAGAGACAATCCCAGGAAAGAATTGGAGGCGTTTCAAGCAAAGACAGACAAAAACAGAATGAATCTAGAGACCAAGGGCCTCATGGACTTGAGAAATCAGTTTCTGGATCCCGAACAATAACAGCTCTGGCCAAAGAAATATGGGTAGAAATGAGGGGCACCTCTACCAGACCCAGCCCTTAAAAACTTCCCATGAAGGCCGGGCGCGGTGGCTCACGCCTGTAATCCCAGCACTTTGGGAGGCCGAAGGGGGCGGATCACCTGAGGTCGGGAGTTCGAGACCAGCATGACCAACATGGAGAAACCCTGTCTCTACTAAAAAAAATACAAAATTAGCCAGGCATGGTGGTGCATGCCTGTAATCCCACCTACTTGGGAGGTTGAGGCAGGAGAATCACTTGAACCTGGGAGGCAGAGGTTGCGGTAAGCTGAGATTGTGCCATTGCACTCCAGCCTGGGCAACAAGAGCAAAACTCTATCTCAAAAAAAAAAAAAAAAAAAACCAACAAAAAAAACACCTTCCCATGAATAATCCTTGGTCTCTTTCCTTATCTGCCAGCTGCAATGGAGAGGACTCTGGGGCCCAAGAGGGATACAGCCACAATATGAAGGGGCCTGGGTCTTAAATGACCACATAGAAGATTCTTTTTTTTGAGACAGAGTTTCGCTCTTGTTGCCCAGGCTGGAGTGCAATGGCACAGTCTCAGCTCACTGCAACCTCCACCTCCTGGGTTCAAGCAATTCTCATGCCTCAGCCTCCCAAGTAGCTGGGATTACAGGTGCCCGCCACCATGCCCAGCTAATTTTTGTATTTTTAGTAGAGATGGGGTTTCACCATGTTGGCCAGGCTGGTCTCGAACTCCTGACCTCAGGTGATCTGCCTGCCTCAACCTCCCAAAGTGCTGGAATTACGGGCGTGAGCCACTGCACCCGGCCCACATAGAAGATTCTAACCAGGAGTAGCCTCACTGGGCTCTGATATGAGTGAGCAATAACTTTTATTGCCTTAAGTCACTAGGATTCAGGGTTTATCTGTTACATCAGGCAATTTTATCTTAGTTGATACAGCTCTCCATAGGTAATAGAAAGTAGTGTAAGAATAAGTTCCACAAACAGGGGTTGTCAGAGGGCTGGTGGGCCAGGATGACTCTAGATCAGGGGTTGGCAAACTACAGCCCAATTCAGCCCAGCGCTTGTTTTTGAAAGCAAAGTTTTATTGGAGCATAGCCATGCCCAGTGGTTATGAACTGTCTATGGCTGCTTTTGGATTACAACAGCAGAGTTGAATTGCTCCAACAGAGACCCATATGGCCCACAAAGCCCAAACTATTTACGAACTGACCCTTTAAAGAAAAAGTTTGTCAATCCCTGTAGTATAGTCTCCCAAATCCCTACTGTTGGTTTTAGGCCTACCCAGAAACTGATTAGTGTGTCAGTGAAGAAAATTCTGACACCATGTCAGAGGACATGTTCCTCAGACTTTAGAGTCTGAGCTTTGCAAAAATGCAGATTCCCTGGCCCTATTCCGAGAGGTTGTAAGTCAGTTAATCTGTGATTTTAACCAACAGCCAGGGGAATTCTGATGCAGGCGGTCCACAAACAATGCTTTGAAACATATTCCTTTTCCAGATGACTCAGGAATCCTGGGAAACCTGTTAACCATTCTGTAGCACTCTTTATAAGGAAGGACAAGGCTAACTTAATCCAGGTTTCTATCCATGGGAGGAGATGCAATGTAGTCCCTCAGAGCACGCACTTCAGTCACAGATATGGGTTCTCAGCCTCTCTGGGAATTAGTTCCTTCATCTGTACAATGCAATTGAAAATATCATCTACTTAGCAGGGTTATAAAGAATAAACAAGAAAAAGCAGACAAGGTTCTAAGCACAATGTCTGTTGCCCACGCTAGAGTGCAGTGGTGTAATCATAGCTCACTGCAGGCTTGAACTCCTGGGTTTAAGCGATCCTCCTACCTTAGCCCCTTGAGTAGATGGGACTACATGCCTGGTTAATTTAAAAAAATTTTTTTTTGTAGAGATGGGCGGGGGGGTCTCACAATGTGTCCATGGCTGGTCTCGAACTCTGGCCTCAAGTGATCCTCCCACCTCAGTTTCCAAAGTGCTGGGATTACAGGTATGAGCCACCACATCCAGCCAGCTCTTATTAGTAATATGAATCCCTCTCAGGTTTTTAGAAAGGGACCTGGAAAGTTGGCATAAATGATTACTAAATTTTAAAATAATTTTAAATAAAATGCTTTGCCTTTTATCCCCAGGTAGCAGTAAGGGAGACCCAGGGCCAAGCAGCAGGCTTCCCAGGGCAGCGCTGAGGATGGCATCATGCTTCAGCACTACATCTCCTCCCTAAAAGCGTTGGCCTAGCAGTTTGACCTCACCTAGAAAATACCTGGGACCCCCTGTTGCCATGACAAGGGGAAGAGACTTTGAAACCTGGCTAGAGAAAGTGACCTGAACAAGGCAAGTACCAAAAAGAACTTCAAGTTTCCCACAGGCAACGTGGTCCAGGCTCTAAATATAAACCCTTCTGCTTCGGCAATTTAACATGTGAGGATGCTGAATCACACTTCGCAGGCATGAACAGAGCTGAGGACCTCCATGTTAAATCTCTAAATATGGCCTGGGATGAGAGCAAAGATTTCCAGCTCCATGTAGAAGCTAGACAGATTTCCATGATGTAAGTCACATTCCTGGAAAGCAGGACAACCTCCTCCAAAGAGTCAAGAGTTGTTAAAACTGATAAGGAAAGAAAAGGAGTCAGCCAGCCCCCAAGGGGAAGCCAAACGCAGAGATCCAGGTCATCACTCAACTGACACTGAGATTAGTGCTGACCTCACAACAGACCCCACAAGGCCAGGACTCAGCAGTGGCTAGGCCTGGTAGAAGAGTTAAGGGCAACAGCGACAAGGGAGACTCTTCCTAGACCAGTAGAGAGAATTTGTGAGAAGTAACAGGCAGTTGTTCAGAAGCCTACCAACAGTCAGGAGCTCTAGGAAAAGGCCTCAGCCCCTGCTCCACGATAGGCAGACAGTAAGAAACAGATGGAAGGGATTCTCCTTATTGAGGGACAGAGAAGCTAAACCATGTGCCAGACTGTAGTTTTAGGCTTGTAGGGAGCCCAAGGCCTCCTAACAACAGGTGCTAGAATAGCTTCTTGCACAGAAGGGACCAGCTGTCTCTCCTCCTGAAGATAAGTAAAGTGCCACAGAAAAGCAGGGATGCGATGACATTAATTTCTTTTCTTTTTTTCTTTTGAGACAGGGTCTCACTCTTTGGCCCAGGATGGAGTGCAGTGGCAGCATCACAGCTCACTGCAGCCTCAAACTCCCAGGTTCAAGCAATCCTCCCACCTTAGCCTCTCAAATAGCTGGGACTACAGGCACACACCACCACACCCGGCTAATTTTCATATTTTTGTAGAGATAGGATTTTGCCATGCTGTCCTGGTTGGTCTCAAACTCCTGGGCTCAAGCAATCCATCTGCTTCGGCCTCCCAAAGTGTTGGGATTACAGGCGTGAGCCACTGCACCTGGCCCACATTAACTTCTAATAATGAAATGGAACAATTCTGTCCTCTTGAAGACCTTTGAGACATACGAAGTAGGAAATAAGCAGAAAGATTTCCAAAACAAAAGGGGACCCAGGAAATCAGGGCACTTTGATTCTTCTAACTCTCCAGACAGCTCCCTGCTCCCCTGTTTTGTTTCTGGGGGTACAATACCATGTGTTCCTTGTACCAGGATCTTAAGTTTACCATCCCTTAGCAAGATCCACCAACCATAAAGTGGTTAGATACTCCTGGATTTGAATTTCGGCTCCATCACACATGACCACCGTGACCTCAAACAAGTTACTTATCCTCTCTGAGCCTGTTTCCTCATTGCAACAGGGGGTTAAAACAATATCTGTCTCCATGGGAGGACTGAAAGAGATCATATGGCACACAGTAGCCACTAAATAAATGCTAGTTATTCTAACTGTCATGGATCTTACCTGTCTTGGCCATCGCCATGCCCTGATGTACCTTATAGAGCTCCTGGTTCATAACAGGCCACTTCATAAATATTTATTGAATAAATTAATTGTGAATAAATTACTACATTTGCTCTACTTGAACACAGGTGGGTTCCTTTCCCTTTCTCTTCTCCCTGCACCCCCCAACAACTGCCAGTATACATTCTCAGACATACTTTCAAGTACATTTGTAAGTTATTGTTTACCATTTTTCAGTCATCTTTCTCATTCTACTTCTCTTTTCTCTAATTCTGGAAAGCACACCTCCTACAGAATCGGTGTGTCCACTAAGTTTCTGATGCAGACATATGCCCCTGAAATTTATGTGGTTCACTAGCATTAATAAAGACTTGTGGCAATCCACTGCAAGACTCCTTTCAATAACGATCTCTATCAGTGCCTTTACTATCGTATCTCTAAAATAAAAAATAGTAACCATACCAAATGCTGGCAAGGAAGTGGAGAAGCTGGACCAGTCATCCATTGCAAGTGGGACTATAAAATTTTAAGCTAAGCCTCTTCAGAAAACAGTTTGGCAGTTTCTTATAAGTGAAATATGTAGTTATCATGTGACCCAGCAACTGCACTCTTGAGCATTTATCCCAGAAAAATGAAAATGTATGGTCAACACCCTGCACAAAAATGTTCAAAACAGCTTTATTGATAACAGCCAAAAACTGGAAACCACTTAGATGTCCTTCAAAGGGCAAATACTCAAACAAACTGTGGTACATCCACACCACAGAATACTATTGAGCAATTAAAAGGAACAAACTACTAATGTATCCAACAACTTGGATTAATCTCCAGGGAACTATGCTGAATGGAAAATGTCCATCCCAAAAGGTTACAAATTGTATGATTCATTCTTGAAATGACCAAATTATAGAGGGAGGATGGAGGGAGGTGTGGTTATAAAAGGGCAACATGAGAGAGCCTTTGGGGATGGAACTGTTCTGTATCTTGTCTGTGAATACAGGTAAATACAGGAACCTACACATGTAATAAAACTGCATGTAAAACTGGGCAAATCTAAACATCAGTGGATTGTATCAACATCAATTTCCTGCTTGCAATACAGTACTATAGTTACTATAGTTACACAAGATGCTGCCCCTGGGGGAAACCTGGTAAAGGGTACATGAGATGTCTCTGTGTTATTTCTTACCACTGCACATGAATCTATAATTATCTCAAAATAAAAAGTTTAATTTAAAATACTGTATCTGAGTGAAAATTCTTTCACTCACTTAATAAACGGTTACTGAGTACCTACAAGGTACCAGGCACTGTGCCAGGTGCTGAACCTGAGATATGCGGTCCCTGCTCTCATACAGCTTACAGTGCAGTGGGAAAGAAAGACACAAAGTACACAGGACTTCACAGGAACAAAAATATTGTGCAAGCAAAGCACAATATGTATATAGCAAATCTGGCAAACTGTAAAACAGCCTCTTTTTATCCCCTTCGTCAGTAGCATATGCAGTCTTCGGGTGTGGGTGCCCACAGCAGAAGCCGGGGAGGTCTGTCACACTCTTCTCAGCTCAAGACCCATCATCCAGAAACCTGGGAAACATTACTAACTAAGTGGTTCCTATGAAGTATGATGTTTTGCACACCTGCTCCCTCCTTTCTTAATTCTTCAGTGACAGCAACCTTGGCTTCTCTTTTCCTGTAAGGTCAACACTTGAGGGTTTTCCAGCCCAGAGTATAATTTGGTATGGGAAACATCACTCCATGTGGGATCTATAAATGCATGACCAAATTGTATTAAACGGAAACTTAATATAAGGAAAATAATTCAGTAGGCAACATATGTTGTGGCATACCTCCCTTAACCACCTGCAGATCTACTTCTTTGGGGAAATCCCTTGAAAGTCTATCTCTCCAGGTTCATAAGGTTTCCCTGCTGGGATTCACAAGATCTGCCCCCAGCTGTGCCCAGACCTTGAAGGGATGCCTACTATTTGGAACAGGTGTTTCTGCAATCCCTAGGAAGTGAGATTCCTAGAGAACACCAAGGTCATTGTGATTCTGCTGCTCAGTGTGGTCTTTTGATATGAGCTGGTGAGAAATGCAATGTCCCAGGACCCACCCCAGACCTAAGAAACTGAATCAGCATTTTAACAAGATTTCCCTGGGATTCATATGCACATTGAAATCTGAGAAGCACTGATTCTAGATCTTGGTTCTCAAACCTACCTGTGTATCAGAACCACCTGGAATTTTGTCTCTAACTTGTTTTATTATCAAATATTTCAAGATACAGAATAATGAAGAATAATATAATGAACATTACAGATATACTTAAAACCCTTGTGTACCTCTCCCTGACCCCATTTACATCTCTCCCTCCCCTGAAACAATCACTAATTGGACTTATACTGCCTGCTTATAGTTTTATATTTATACTATGTACTTACTCATTTCCAATATACTGCATTGTTTAGCATGTTTTAAAAATTTACACAAGTAAATACTATACCATGCATATCTTCCTGCAACTAGCTCATCTGGCTGAACAATTTGCTCTTGAGATTTGTTCATGGTGATGCCTGTAGCTCTAACCCACCCACTTTAGCTGCTATATGATATCCTGCTGCATCAATATCCTCCATTCTCCTATTGATGGACATTTTGGTTGTTTCCAATGTTTAAACAATGCTGTAATGAACATCCTTTTACATGCCACCTTGAATACCAGTGCAATCATATCCCTAGATTCCATACCCAGGAGTGAAGCTGCAAGGTCATGATGTGTGCACTCTTATTTTTTCTACATAGTGTCACATTTGCTTTCCGAAGTGAGTACGCCAATTTACCCTCTCATGAGCAGCATATGCATTCTAGTTGCTCCACAGTCTAGCTAACACTTGGGATTGTCAGGCATTAGTTTTTGCCAGTCTGAAGAGTATGAAATGGTGTCTCACTGAGGTACGGCTTTAATTTGCATTCCTCTGATAGCTCAAGAGCTTGAACATCTTTTTCTTTCCTTATTGGCCTTTTGGGCTACCTGTTCCATGATTTGCCTATTCCAAATCTTTTGTCCCCCTCCTTTTTTGTATGTTATTGGTCTTTTTCCAATTAATTGGTAGTTTTTTTTTTTTTTTGAGACAGAATCTCGCTCTGTCACCCAGGCTGGAGTGCAGTGGCACGATCTTGGCTCATTGTAACCTCCACCTCCCAGGTTCAAACGATTTTCCTGCCTCAGTCTCCCGAGTGGCTGGGATTACAGGCACGTGCCACCACATCTGGTTAATTTTTGTATTTTTAGTAGAGACGGGGTTTCACCATGTTGGCCAGGCTGGTCTCAAACTCCTGATCTCAAGTGATCCGCCTGCCTCGGCCTCCCAAAGTGCTGGGATTACAGGCGTGAGAATTGGTAGATATTATTTGTATATTCTGAATACCAACCCATTTTTTGTTAACAAATTACAGATGTCTTCTTCCAGATAGTTGTTTTTCTTTTTAAATTTTGTTTCTGATATCTTTGATCATGCATAAGTTTTCAAATTCTAATGCAGACATTTTCAATCTTTTCCTTTATGGTCTTTGTTTTTCTGACTTAAGAAATCCTTCACCATCATGATTTCCTAAAGAGTCTCTATTGTTCCATGCAAAAGTTTCAAAGTTTGCTTTATAATTTTTTTCATCTAAATCAGTAAATGTCCAGTTCCTACCCTAGACCTCCTCAATTAGAATCTTCGGGAATGGGATCCAAGCACCTAAATTTTAAACTAAAATACATTTAATAGGTGATTTTGTTACAGTTACCCTGAGAGACGCTGACCAACTCATTTCCCACCCACCAGATGCCAATGAAAGGTATCTTTTCTACAAAATCCCATGAAGCCATCTCATCTCTGTCTCTTTCACTGGGTTAGAAGAGACTTCAGAGACTTCCAGGTCCAGAGACTTAAGGACCTTCTAGTGTCTAATCTTTTATCTGCAATTGTGTATCCTTTACCAGATACTTGAAAAATAGCCATCCAGTCTCTACTTGCACACTCTCAGTGATAAGAAACACCCCCACAACCCAGGTCCTCCCTTCTTCCTGTTAAACAGATTTTTCTATATTGAATTGAAATCCATCACACCTTTATCTCCACCAGCTGGTCCTACACCTACACCCTTCATCTTTTCTTAACTTCCTCACCATCACTCCCACACCCCCAACCACCTGCCTAGTCTGGCACCACTCCCCGCTCAGCACTCCAGCCATACTGCCTTTCTCCTATTCCCTTTCATTTGCTGAGCTGCCCTTAGCACCTAGAATGCTCCCTCCAAACTCCTCCTTCTTCCTGACTCTCCCTCCCAAACTAGGAATTACAAAGAGGGAATCTGATTAACAACCGCCTCCCCACCTACAATTTAAGCTTCACAATGGGTTCCCTGTTTTCAGTACTAAGCCTAAGCACCTAACATACTATCTGGTACAGACTTAGTTCTTAGTAGGGTTTTGTTAAATGAAAGTGTGAATGAATGCAAGCAAGCCAGCCAGTCCTTTGGGGCCATATAAAACAAGTTAAAATCACTTGTATAGGAAAGCCCTTCAAATATCTCAAATATCTGAGGAGAGCCATCATGCCCCCTTGTTTTTTTTCCTTCTGTAAAGGAGGCTGGGAGTAACAGGGGAGGGTGAGGCCAGCTATATTGGGGTAGTGTCTAAAGAAGGGACAGGGCAAACACACAGACCAGTTCATAACTTTCTGTAGGGTCAAGCCCATGAGTCAATCCCTCAGCTCACAATTCCACTAACAGCTGAAGTGAACTGCCTTATACAGCATATTCATGAAATTTGTTTTTGAGTCAGACATAAAAATGCTATAAATGTTGCCTCAGGTTCATCTCAAAAAATTCATTTCAGAGGTTAATACAATGCCACTAATATAAGTGAACAAAGAAAATACTATGGGAGCAATCATAATGAATAGATTGTGACATGGCTCACTAGCTGTCAGTTCACGATGACATTCCCCATGTCTAGAGATTGATGTTTCTCAATACATAGATAATGCAATTAAGTGGAACTGACTGACACCATAACATTAAAAAATCAATCAGCTACAACTGTCAAAATTCATCCCACTGTATATTTAAGATATCTGCATTTTATTGCATGTAAATTATAGCTTAACAAAAAATTCCAAAACAAAGATCACATACAGAAAATATAGAACTTGAACTTAAACTTAAATAAATATCTACATGTGTAGAGAAATTATATGTGCATAAATGTTGCTTGGTATCTACTTAGCCGTGTCTGAGTCACCACTAACTCACTGCTTGATCTTAGGCAATAAACATCGCCTTCATGGACCTCAGTTCCTACAACTATATAATGGGGTTTGATGGTTTGATTAATAAATTAACTCAACAAATATTTATCATCATAGTGCCTTCCCATTGGATTTAATGAAAAAAGACGTATGAAGCACTTATTGTGGTGTCCAGCTTACACAATAAATATTTGAATAAACAGGCTGTGTATCCATGCTTCTCATCAACAACAGAGAAGAAAAAAGGTCTCTGTAGATGGCTAGGGGCAAGCCAGAATTTGCTGTAGTCTACAATTTTGTTGCTTTAGGAACATAACCATGAGGGAAGAAAAACTTTTCCTCTACCCTCTTAGTTCTTTCCCTGAGGCCTGCAAATTTAACTGGAAAAAGACAAATTGACAAGAGAAAAAGTATACAAGTGTTATGTTTAATTTTACATGCAGGGAGGTTCCACAGAAAACAAATAAAAATCCAAAAAGGCACTTACACTGGGGGGCTTATATACTATTTTGACAAAGGGCGATAATTTGTGGAGAAATGACTAGACAAAGGAAAAAGGGTTTGGGGTTTCTAGAGCTGGTAACTTATTGGAAGGTATATGTGGGGGAAACTAACGGTAGTTAAAGGTTATTTAGTAGGGTTTGTCTCATCTCTATCTCCATCTCTGATGATAAGTGTTGTTCTCCTCTTGGTGCAGTTAAGGGGAGGGGGCATCCTCACAAGGGGAAATTTATGCCCTGCTTTTAGGCAGATAGAAAAAGGGCAGAGAGTTCTTCCTGTGTCTGCTTTTTTTCAACTGCCTTCTGCTCAAAATAATCCTTTTGCCAAAGTGGTGTATCTTGGGGTGGCATATTCTGATCCCTTTCATTGCCAATACCAATATGTGAGAAATTCTTAGTCTCAAACATAAAAATAAATGCTGTGGAACTGACATGAATTTTGCCTTAATGGATCGGGAGGCACAGAGCTGCTTTTCAAGTGGTCTCTATATTGTATTCCAAATTTCTGGACCAATTTAGGTCCACTCCATGTTATCTGTGCTCTGTTTTTCTTCAGACACATTCAGACCACGTAGTGGAAGAAAAGCAGCTTACTCTGTGCTTTTAAGGTCAAACTATATTTTTGAAAGATTTTCTAAAATGTTTACTTCACTAACCTGCTCTGATTCTGAGATGCTCTCCTGAAAAAAACAAAACAAAACAAAAAAAACTATGAAATCAATGGTGATTGAGAGTGATGAGGGAAGGGGGGATGTTCTTCAAAGAAAGCAAAATAATAGATAAGCCAAACTCACGGAAATATAGGAAGCAAAAGTATTTGAACTAAGAACATTTACTATAGGAGACGACAAGAAAACAACCAGGCTGTTTCTAAGGACAAAATTAGATTTACAAAAATGAGTGCTGACTAAGGTGAATTTAGGGCAGGGCAGCCCAAACAATTGCCTTTTGCCTCTTAAAAGCACTGATTAAAATAGTAATACTATCTAATCCCTATTTATAGTGTGCCCTTATGGTGTGCTGTACTGTACTTTGAGATGAGGTTAGCACCAAAAATGGGTTACTGGTCCTTGAGGAATATGAAAGTTGAAAGACCCGAAAACTGTAATAGTCAAAGGAATAGAATTCTTAGTAATGGCATAACCTCCTTGAGGAAAAATGATTACTTTTAGCAGTTATTCCTGCAGGGGATGCTGAGCTCAACAGTGAGCAGGGCATTCAGAAAAGGGCCAGGACGTCCTGGCAGGGAGCGAGACCATCCTCCTCCCTGTTCTTAGGGCACAAGAAGCAGCAATAAACAAGTTCTGTTCTGTGCTTGCAGTCTATGAGCAGCATCCTTAACTCTGTGTCACCTTGAATGATGAAGATCCACATCCCTCTCCCTTCAATTCAGTCCACCTCCCTCCCTGAAAATCTCGACTGTGCCTGAGTCTTCACATATTAGCTCTGTTCTAATGACTCTCCAAACCAAACCTCCAACTCGAATCTTTCTCCCCAACTGCAAACTCAGACTTCAAAATACTGAACATGGTTCCATGGATACCCCAGCAGCCCCCAAAATATCATGTGCCCCTAATCAGACTTACTGCCACTCCTGCATTCCTGTCTCTGTTAGCAGAGGGGCTGCCCTCTTGCCAGTCACTCAAGCTACAAAGTTCAGAGTCATCTCCCATGTCTTCTCTCACATCCCACATCTACTCAGTCACCAGGCCTGCTACTGCTCCCACCACCATGTTGCTTTTGAAACGTGTATGACTGTATCTATGTATTTGTATTTTATTATTTGAAGAGATAACACATTCAGTTGGTTCAAAACTCAGAGTATACAAGGCTGTACAGGAAAAAGTCTCCCCATCTTCTGCCTCCCAGCCCCCATTTCCTCTCCCCACAGGCAACCTTTATTTTTTCTTGCATAACTCCCAGAGGTATTGTATGTATTTAAAAGGAAAAGAAATACATCTTCCCCTTTCCCCTTTTTTTACACAAATGGTAGCACACTACACACAATCCCACTCCTTGTTCTTTTCATTTAATGTATCTCAGCAATCCTTCCATCAGTAACAAAAAAGCTCTTGTATTCTTTCTTTTTTTTCACACGGAGTTTCACTCGTTGCCCAGGCTAGAGCCCAGTGGTGCAATCTCGGCTCCCTGCAACCTCTGCCTCTTGGGTTCAAGTGATTCTTCTGCCTCAGCCTCCCGAGTAGCTGGGATTACAGGCGTCCACCACCACATCTGGCTAATTTTTTGTATTTTTAGTAGAGACGGGGTTTCACCATGTTGGCCAGGCTGGTCTCAAACTCCTGACCTCAGGTGATCCACCCGCCTCGGCCTCGCAAAGTGCTGGGATTACAGGCATGAGCCACCACACCTGGGCCTCTTGTATTCTTTCTTATATTGAGTAGACATACCATATTTTACTTAACCAAGCCCCTAGCTAAATGGTTTTCAATATTTTCTATTACTAATGATGCTGCAATGCATAATCTTTTATTTATTTATCTATTTATTTATTTTAAGACAAGTTCTCACTCTATCACCCAGGCAGAAGTACAGTGACACGATCACGGCTCATTGCAGCCTCAACTTCCCGGGCTCAGGTGATCCTCCCACCTCAGCCTCCCAGGTAGCTGAGACCACAGGCACACACCACCATGCCCAGCTAATTTTCCTGCATCTTTGGTAGAGAAGGGGTTTCATCATGTTGCCCGGGCTGGTCTTGAACTCCTGGGCTCAAGTGATCCACCCACCTCAGCCTCCCAAAGTGCTGGGATTACAGGTGTGAGCCACTGCACCTGGTCCATAATCTTGTATATGCCATTTTGCACATGAGAATACTTGTAGAATTCCACCCTGTCATAGTTTCTTGCCCCTTCTTCCCCTTTCCATTTTTACTTTCTTTACTTTAGCTCAGATCTTCACTGCTACAGAGGCCTTCTAACTGGCATCTCTACTCTAGTAACCTTAACTTACACACAACAAATAGTAAGCACTTTTTACATGCCAGGTACTCTATTAAGACAGGGAAGAAAAAGGAAATAAAAAAGAAAACCCAGCCCCAGCCCAAAAATCCTCACCTGTCTCATAGTCTTTGGAGCTTTGGGAACTTATTAATAAACCAACCCTTTCTTGTCTTTTTGGAATTAGCTGGGAATTAGTGACAGAAGTCAGGCAAATGAAAAACAAAATACTGGCCAGGCGTGGTGGCTCACTCCTGTAATCCAAGCACTTTGGGAGGCTGAGGCAGGCAGATCTCTTTGAGTTCAGGAGTTCAAGACCAGCCCGGGCAACATGGCGAAACCATGTCTCTACCAAAAATACAAAAACATTAACTGGGCATGGTGGCGCACACCTGTGGTCCTAGCTAATCAGGAGGCTGAGGTGGGAGGATCACTTGAGCCCAGGAAATGGAGGCTGCAGTGAACCGAGATCACACCACTGCACTCCAGCTTGGACAATGGAGTGAGACCCTGTCTCAACAAAAAAAAAAAAAAAAAAAAAAAAAAGAAAAGAAAAAAGCAGAAGAAAATAAGAAATTTCCTTGCTGTCAGTGTTTCATTGACAAACAAAGCTGAGTCCAAAAGCAAATGGGCTTCCTACTACTTCCCACAAGTTTACACCCTGGGGCAACCCTCCTGTGGGAGAGTCTGATCTGCAGACAGGCAGGCACCTGCCAGGTCAGCTGCAAGGGAAATAGTCTCAGGACTATTTCAACAGGGGAATGGAAACAGATGGGCCCCCACGCCTACCTCTAGAAGACTTGGGTGTGTTTTCCTACATAGAAACAGGAGGCGAAGTAATACACAAGCTCTGTGGGCAACCAGATCCCAAAAGGGAGAGAGGAAATGGGGCAGGGGACGAGTCAGCCGCCCTTCCAACCTCTCTTCTCCATGGGAGTAAAGCAGAAGTTTCTTAATGGAAACACAACGGCAGGGGAATAGAATTCCTCCTAACAGTAAACTAAAAGCTTACTTTCTGGCACTTGTTTTAAAATACAGTAGCCCTACACTTAGGAGCAAACTAGGTATTTCAAAGCTTCTGAAGGCTATTAAAAAGGGTCTAAAATACAAACTTCACATGTTTTCACTTATTTGTGGAACTAAATATTAAAATAATTGAACTCATGGAGATAGAGAGTAGGAGGAGGGCTACCAGAGGCTGGGAAGGATAGTAGGGGACAGGGGGTAGTGGTAAGCTTTAATTAATGAGTACGAAAAAATAGAAAGGATGAGTAAGACCTAGTATTTGCTAGCACAACAAGGTGACTATAGTAAAAAATAATTGAATTGTACATTTTTAAATAACTAAAAGAGTATAATTGCGTTATTTGTAACACAAAGAATAAATGCTTAAGGCGAGGGATACCCCAATTACCCTGATGTGATTATAACACATTGCATAACTGTATCAAAATATCTCACGTATCCCATAAATATATACACCTACTATGTACCCACAAAAACTAAAAACAAATAATAAAAAAAAGGTAAAAAAATATAAATAACAAAATTGCCTAATATTTGTTTAATGCCTTGGTGACAAACTCAAACACATGGCAACTTTGCTCAAAAGATCAAAAACTAAACTATGGACAGTAGGAGACAGGGAGGCTGGCAAGCATCAAGAAGCACGGGGAAAGAGAGAAAAGGAGGTAAAGGAATAGGAGACAACCATCTGACTTGACAGCATTGAGGCCCTGGATCTAATCAGCCCTGAAGCCAGATCCGTCCCTTTTCTTAGTTTGGGTTCCATGAACCCATATATTCTCTTTTTGGCCTAAGCTAATTTGAGTTGGGTTTCTGTCACTTACAACCAACAAGCGCCTCACTAGTCCAGCCCGTAACTGGGCTCTTCAGTGTACACAACAGTGAAACTAATTTTCTAAAGCAGACATCAAACCACCACTTGCCTGTCTCAAAAGCCATTCAGCACCTCCCAATGACTCCAGGATTCAGTACAACATCTTGCACAATATGTCCCTCAATTTGACTTTCCAGACTTTCACTACTTCACCACACAAGAGGCAAACTAAGACAGCTGTTATTCCTCAAAAATGCGCTGAAAGAGTGTCCCTGCTTTGTGCCTTTGCCATGCCAATCTCGCCATCTAGAATCCTCTCCTCCCCAATCTCTGCCTATTAACATTGACGCAAAAAAAAAAAAAAAAAAAAAGAAGGAAGGTCAACTCCTTTCTCAAGGTCCATTTCACCTTCTCTCCAAGAAGACTTTCCTAAATGCCTCCTGTTCCCAAAGATGTTACTGTACCCTTCTTCAGCCCTGACAGCAATTTTTTTTTTGAGGCAGAGTCTCACTCTGTTGCCCAGGCTGGAGTGCTGTGATGCAATCTCGGCTCACTGCAATCCCCGCCTCCTGGGCTAAAGTGATTCTCCTGCCTCAGCCTCCCACGTAGCTGGGACTACAGGCACATGTCACCCCACCTGGCTGATTTTTTGTATTTTTAGTAGAGACGGGGTTTCACCTTGTTGGCCAGGCTGGTCTCAAACTCCTGACCTCAGGTGATCCACCCACCTTGGCCTCTCAAAGTCCTGGGATTAAGGGCATAAGCCACCGCTCCTGGCCCCGATATCATTTTCTACATGACCTTTGCTTTATTCTATCTTATATTTTGTGCTTTCTCATCTCAGTGCCCTCTTATTAATGACAACACCAACTACTCAGCTCCCTGAGTTGAAGCTCTGAGTCTCACTTCCTCACCCCACAACCCATACGCTTACCAGATCCACTCTAATCTTTCTCAAAATACTTCCCAAATCAATCCCACCATTCCTGTTGCTCATCAGAACTCTTAACATCTACCTTCACATCTTCTGCTCTGATAGGTCTCCCTGCCACCAGCCTCATCCTACTGAAATCCAGTTGCCTACTGACGCCAATTATCTTTCCAACTTTCAAATCTGAGCATGCTATGCCCTCCTCTAGAGAGTCAAGACCAATGGCTCCCACTCCCCAATGGGTTGATTTTTGTCTCCCTTCACAGGCTCATTGCCCACCACTCCCTAAGAAGCACCAACTTCAAAGTAGGTCTTTGAGGTACTGTGGTACCTAGTGTAAGACCCAACTTGGTGCTTGGTCAACTTCATTGGTGTTCAGCACTGGACTGTTGTTATATATACTTCACTGGACAGCACCGAGAAGCCCTGTGGACGCTGCCATCCCATAAATATTTTTCTCCTGATTGCACTCCTGAGTGCGCTGAGGTTAAGAGATGGGCACTGGACCAGACAGACCGAAGTCCAATCCCTGTTCTGTCACTTCCAAGCGGTGCGTCCCAGAAAAGGCTGGGCCTCCGCACCCTTACCTGTAAAGTGGAGATAACAGCACCTATCTCATTGGGGTTTTGTGAATAAATGAGAAAATGCATTTAGGATGCTTGGGCAAGGTGCCTGGTACACAGGTGATCAATAAATATTTGTTCAGTGAAGGAGTTAATGAATAGGCGGCCCACAAAATGGTAGTGGTTCTTAAAGACGCATCTTTCCAGGGAACCCAATCTCTGGCTGCCTTGCAATTTGGTTTCAAGTCCGGTCCCTAAGTCTGGGGTCCAGAGCAAGGCCTGACTCCACCCATTTCTACATGCCGCTGGGTGAGATCAGCGGGTGAGGCCACGCAAGTCCAGAATCTGCCGCTGGGTTCCTTCCTAAGGACGGAGGTGTGCACACTACCTGGTCCTATCCGGCAGCGATCGCAGTCCCGCAGCCTGCACCCCCGTGCGCGTGGCAGCTTTGCCATCCCTCCGGCCGCCAATCACCACGGCTCGGTCCCACCCCTAATCGGATTCACCAATAGGGCCGGAAGGCGGCCCCTCGGGGTGCTTGCGCTGTGCTCATAGGCTCTCCAGCGGTCCCGCCCGCCCCTGTTACACGTCACCCGCGCGGTGCACTGCGGGCCTTGCAGTCTGGAAAGGCAGCGGGCCAGCTCCACTGCGGGTACTTTAACTCCTGCTCGGAGCTCCAGCGCTGAGCGTCCTCAGGTTACCTCCAACCCCCCGCCCCGGACACAAATTCCTTTTCCTAATTAGTGATAAAGAGGGAAGACGGGGCTACCCACCCGCCCCACCTTTGGAACTGACGCCCTGGGTTCCCTCCCGTCCTCTGCAGTGCGCTGGGGTCACCGAGGACCCGCGAGACTACCGGGTCCATCTTGCTCAGATAATTCAGTATCGCCTGAAATTTGAAATTCCCATTTCAGATCAAGGAGACATTCAATATCTTATTCACCTGAGAGGCAGTTTCTGGAAGGTGCGGAAGCTCTGAAAAGCCAACAGTGACTCCTGGCTTCGCTAGTTTCCCTTAAGAATCAACTGACCATCACGATTTTATCTAAACGATGTGACCCGTTTACGTTCCAAACTGCATCACTTCTTCAGTGCATAAGAGCTGTCAATGGTGCCCATTGCTTAAGATGTAAGGTTCAGGCCCCTGAGCTAGGCATATAAGGTGCTTCATAATTATTTTTTATTCACTTATTTGTGGTTACATTTCTTAAGAGCAGCGTTTCTCAACGTCTACCACACGTGAGAATCACCTGGGGAGCTTTGTAAAAATACGAGTTCTTATGTCCCACCCTAGATCTCAGAATTTTGGAGGGGCAGGGCAGACTTCTATGTTTTTAAAGCTACCCTGGGTAATTTTCACGTGCAACCCGGTTTAACAACTGTTGGTTTACTGCCTATCAACACAGCCTCATGCATGTGAGCCTTTGCTTTGTGGCATCCTTGTTTTAAAGAGGTCTTCTTCCCTCTCTCTTGCCTGATCAATGCTCATCCTACAAGGCCAAGCTCAACTGTTATCCCTTCTCTTCCCTGTCCTCCAGCAGGTGATGGCTTCCTTTAGCACGTTATTCACGCTGCTTCTCCAGCATCACTGGTGTGACCTGGTGACTTGTCTGTCTCCCTGGATAAGTAGGGAGTTCCTTGAGGGCAGACAAAGTGTCTTCCTTCACCCACCTCAGATCCACTGAGTCAGAATCTCAAGGGGCAGGTCTCAGGCATAAATGATTTTTAAAGTCCCACTGGTGATTCTGATCCATGTCCTTATCTAGGAACTCGCTTCACAAAAGCACTGGGTACAGTAAACAAGCATACAAATATTTGTTGCATTGAATTGATGAAGCATCTCATTTGTTTTGAAGTCAACCGTGTTGTTGCATCTGGCTGCCTTTGATTCCCCCTGGAAAACTAAGTACCCCTCTCTTGTATCATCTTTATTCATTTACTTATTCATTCATCCGAGTATTATCATACACCATAACAAAGGCCTGGGGATTCAGGAGTAAATATAAAAACACAGTTACCACCCTATAGGCCTTAGAGTCTACTGATGTATTAATTCTATTCTAGTTATTATTAAAATTTATTTTGTATTACATTGTAATGTTTTTGCTTCCATATACTATTTATATTCAAAAGGTAGGTAAAATGTATTATTCTCTAATATCCCCAGTAGGTTGCTGGCACAGAGAAGGCATTCTGTAAATGTTTATTGAATCAAGGCAGCACATTTCATAGAGCTTATTACAAATTGCTAGTATTTATTTGTGTGATTATTTGAGTAATGGCTATCTGTCCTATGTGCTGCAAGCCCACTGATGACAAGAACTGAATCTATTTTGCTCATAATGTCTGACACAGGACCTGGACGAGTAGGTGCTCAATGAATATTACTAAATACACAAATAAGAACAGAAATGCAGTCTCCCAACCAAACATCCACTCCTCTCTCCCTCCCCACTATCCCCCCAGAAGTAAAAAGTATATTCTTCCTAAACATTAAGGGATTTCAAGCTATAGTGAACATAAACCCAAACTGAGATGATGCTTCTTTTACTTACTTACAGGTTGACCTGGGACTCTAGTTCAGGGTCTTTCGTTGGCCATGTCTGAAGGGGCTGGATGCCGAAGGAGAGAGACGACTTTGCTTTCCATAGAATGGTTTGTGCTATCTGACTCCCACAAGGCACCTTCGTTAACGGGTCCATCAGTGGGCCTGGAGGCTGGGCAGCTGTCCTGAAACAGAAGAGTTGGGAAAGGCACTAAGAGACAGAGAAGAACGGCAGGCCAATCCCTGGCCTGCTTTACCCTCCTCCCAAAGGCAGCCCCGCTGGTAAGCAAGGAGGAGGGTGACACTGAAGCACCCTCAAGACCCAGGGGCCCCACCAAGACCGCATATGACCTTACTGCATCAAGGAAGCATTGGGCCATGGAACCATCCAAGTCCTGTTACATCCCTCAGCAATCAGTTAAGTCCGCGGAGTATAAAGTAAAAGGAGGCCCAGTGAGCATTTGAACAATCACAAACTTGTTTAGAGAAAGGCAGTATGAATTTGGTAAGGGAAGCTATGTCTAGAATGCTTCTGGAGAATCACCGGTGGTAGGACTTCATGGCCATTACTGGGGTAGTCCAGGAGCACTTGGTTTATCTTCTAATTTAAAAATCCAAGAAAAGCCATAAAAAGGGCCTAGACTGGCAACAACACTGGAGACAAGGACTAAAGCCCACAGTTCAAGAGTAATAGCAGATAGTATATATAAGCAGTAAATGCTTGCTGAATTAATAAATGGCTTGTTCATGGGAATAAACTGAGAAATGCATTCCTGAGATGTGTCTGCTCCTTTCTCCGATGATGCATCAAGGAAGGTGGAAAAGGCAGTTGTGGGATGATGGGTCTACTTTGTTAGGAAATGCAGGCATCACACTCCTTCTGACTGGAATTATTTTCTGAGCCAATTAGCAGGGCTCTTCACTCACCTCTACCTCAACTGACAGACAAACAAGCCAGCAAAATCCAATTACTTGGAAATGGAAAAATAAAAAGCAATTTTATGTAACACTTTGGTCAAAGGGGACTCTTTATAATGTCTTCTTAAGAAACGTGACATCTCTGGCTGGAGTCGCGAGTGAATTTAAAAAAGAAAGAAAGAAAGACTGAGAAAAGACAAAAGGCCTAATGGCTCAGAAAGATTTTATGCATGAGAAGGGAGTGCTGTGAGGCTGGAGACCAAGAAAAGCGACTCCACACAAGTTGGGGCTTTGGAATCAGATAGGCACTGGCCACTCTGAAGGTTCTATAGTGGTGCCAGTTAGACCCAAGGCTGCAGGCATATTAAAAAACAAACAACAACAACAACAACAACAACAACAACAACAAACCAGGCCGGGCATAGTGGCTCACGCCTGTAATCCTAGCTATCTGGGAGGCTGAGGCAAAGGAATCACTTGAACCCAGGAGGTAGAGGTTGCAGTGAGCCGAGATTGCACCACTGCACTTCAGCCTGGGTGACAGAGCAAGACTGTCTCAAACAAAACAAAACAAAACAAACAAACAAACAAACAAAAAACCTCAAAAAAGTCACTCTAATGACCTGTGCCTAATGCAGGAAGGATTCAAGACTCACATAACCTCCTACCTGTCCCCTTTGTCTTCTCTCTTGTCAGGTCCCTCTGGTATTCCTCTTATAAATGATGACCTGGCTTCCCCCATTGCCTTTCCTGGGCCCAGCAGGCCACATGCTGCATACCTGACCCAGACTTCTAGGTAATCTCACCCTAGGCTGGCTTCAGGCCACTTATCTTGGCAGCAACTAGATAGACATCAAAGGCTCAAGTCACCCACTCATGACAAAGCGCAAGAAACCAGGGTTCTGTTATCAGTTGTTCTTTACCCAAAGGAGCCCTGAGTCTTCTAAAACCCAGTGTCACTAGAGTTTACGGCTACCTTAGTGATACACCAACAAATAAATAACAAATCAGGGCTTCAGGATGAGAGACATTTTCTTTTTTTTTTCTTTTGAACCTCCCAGATTTATTTTAATTACAAAGATAATACTTGTATGCAAAAGATTTATTAAGCAGTGCTCTCAAGATACCGATGAGGGAGTGGAGGAAGCAGGACAGGGAACGAGAAGAAACCCAGTGAGACTTCAGTTTCAGGCAGAGCCCTGCGGAGGAACAGCTTCCATGTGACTGACGCTGAGCTGTCCGACTGGGTAGCCACTAGCCACTACTGAGCAACTGAAATAGGGACATCCCAAGTGAAGTGTGTTACACACTGGGTTTTGAAGACTTAGTACAAATAAAAATGAATTCAAAACATCTCATTAATAGTTTTTCACACTGATTACATGTTGAATGATATAAATACACTGTTAGAATGATTTTAATTAAAAAAAATTTTTTTGAGACAGGGTCTCACTCTGCCACCCAGGATGGAGTGCAGTGGCACAATCATAACTCACTATAGCTTTGACTTCCCAGACTCAGGAGATACTCCTGCCTCAACCTCCTGAGTAGCTGGGACCACAGGTGTGCACCATCACATCTGGCTAATTTTTTAAAACATTATTTGTATAGACATGGGTCTCCCTATGTTGCCCACAGTGGTCTGAAACTCCTCAGCTCAAGTGATCCTCCCACCTCGACTTCCCAAAGTGTTGGGATTACAAGCATGAATGCCATGCCTAGCCCCTTATTAAAATGAATTTTAATGTGGCTACTAGAAAATGTAAAGTCACATATGTAGGTTGCTTTATATTTTGGACACTGCTGCTCAAGGCAACTGACATCTCAGAGTTGTCCCCACCTGAGACAAGGGGCGAGGCTTCCATTTCCTGCAGCCTCAGTTACTGGCTGAGGGCCACAGGGTGGGAGTGAGGATGGGGTGATGTAAAGGCCCAAGTGAATCCTTCAAGCTGTCTACACATGTGGGGTGCAAGGGTGCAAAGGCAGTTCACCTGCGAGTTACCATTGTGAGGGCTGGCGGTGCATGGCACTCAGGATGGGAAAAAGAGCACAGAAACGGTAAAGGGACCTGAGGGCACCTAAGGGGACTGGCTGACGATGTCCATGACACCCCCCACCCCACTCCCTTTCCTCTTCAGTAGCTCCCTACCACTTCAGTAGTTTGGCTTCCTACCATTCTTTTCTCTATCTGCAAACCTTTATGCAATATATACGCTTGGACTATACAATGTTCTGTGACTTGCTTTTCTTTCTAAACTAGAGGTCTTACACATCTTTCTACATCAGTAAATATACATGCATCCTTAATTTGGAATATTACAGAATACATTGTTTACATTCTTTTTAGCTTTTTAATCTTTAAATACTAAGATGATTTAATTATCTTACCATGTTCTTTTCTAGCCCTTTAAACTTTAAGATTTTATTAAAAATTTGAAAGGCTAGCCTTTTTAAACCTTTTCTCTCATTTAATTTTATCTTTTTGGCATCGTTACTCTTAGAGTTCTTTTTTTGCACTTTCATCAAATTCTCTGACTTCTAAAACTGTTCAGATTTTGTCTCCTCACTGTTAATTTTAATCTATTTACTCATTTCTTTTATCTTTTCTAGTCCTAACTTTCTAATTTTAAAAAATATGTTCCTCTTAACCTTCTGACATATTTTACCTTTATCTTCTCACTATTTAAAATATATAGCAGTTGAAGAACTTCTTGGAAAGAAGTGGAGTAAGTACTCATTTGCATAATAACTCCTTGGCACTCTAGGAAAAAAGCAAAAAATAGCTCAATATATAAAGACAACTTATTGAAACAAGAGAGTGGCCAAATTCCATGCTAGAACTCTGAGATCTGCTACATATGATTAAGTGTAGACAAACTGAAAGAGATCATTGAGAGTCTGTACATCTCCCGTAATGTGAGGGAAATGACCTGGCGTGTCCTGAAGGCCTGGCCAGGCTTGATTTGGAGGGGTGAGGACTGGCAGCAAGGGTGGGACTTGGCAGAGGGTTCCCTCTTTGTTTTTTTCACTGTCCCAGCTTTCTAATGAGAAAGGGTGACCTTCTGAGGACAGGCTGAAGAAGAGAGGGATAAGTATGTCTTAGGAGCCACTTAGATCTCTTGAAAGATATTAACCAAAAGTACATGTGAACCTGCCCAAAGAAAGACTACAAGTCAGGGGAAATCACACTGACCCACAGAGGGTCTTGCCTTGAAGTGGGGGTGAAGGCTGGAAATTCAAGGGAAGCCCTGCCAGGGGGGTCAGATACAGCACAGGAACAGGTAATTGGGTGGACTGATGGGAAAATGTGGGACTGGTAAGAAGAGATGGCACATTCCTACTGCTTCTGTACCCTCCCCACTTCCTGAGGCCAGACCTCAAGCTCAGGTTCTAAAAGAGAAGATCCAACCATTGCTCAGATAGAGCGGGAGGGAGTCTAGGTGGTTCCACCCACATTATTAGTGGGTACACGACCCAGGAGAGCTGCTTCTAGTCAAAGATGAACATGCAAGACTACCGAGCACAGGACCTATGAGAAACGCAGCACCGGACAGATGAGGAGTACAGATCAGGTTTCCACAGGGAGCAGATGAAAAATAAGACACCAAGAGAACAAAGCTTCTCTCAAAACGTCCAATACTGCAATAGGCAGATTTCAGAAGGCTCTAGGATAAATATCCCAGAATAAGGTAGGAGAAAGGATGATTCAGTGTGGAAGTGCTTTCTGGGGGCAGTGGACCTGTAGGAGAGGACATGGGGGTATCCCTGAGCAGTTCTCCTATGGAAAGTGTTTTTGTATGTATGTGGTTTCCTATTTGACAGAGGACAGCCCTGAGAAGCACACAGTTTACAGTTTTCCCCTCCTGTGTTGTGACTCCCAAGCCCTAGGTGTGCCTTGAGTCTTAGTATTATGAGTCCAAAGAGATGGAGGTAGAGAGAAACGTAGCCTACTTCACAGTTAGGCCTCTCCTCAAGGCCACAAGGAAGTAACAGCAGTCCAGAGAACTTGTCTGGGAGCTCGACTGGGCTCCCCTAGCTGTGGCAGCCACAGCCAGGCCTGATGAGGCCTAATTAAGAGGTCTCAAAGAGACCATACTTCGGAAGGCCAAGGTGGGCGGATCACGAGGTCAGGAGTTCGAGATCAGCCTGGCCAACATGGTGAAACCCCGTCTCTACTAAAGATAACAAAAAAATTAGCCAGGCATGGTGGCATGCTCCTGTAATCCCAGCTACTCAGGAGGCTAAGGCAGGTATTCGTCTGGCATAGGGAGAACATGTCAGGTTGATCTGGCCTTTCTTGAATGAGGTCACTGCTGGCTTTAGTCAGGCGGATGGGAAACCTGCTCCACTGCTTTACCAGTCTCTGATAGGCAGCTGCTTTGTGAGGACTGTGACAAGTGCACAGGAGCAAAGACAATCCATCTGCAAAACATCAACCCGGGCTTGATCTATGGAACTGACACTGGGGAATACTTAGTGGCTGGCAGTGCTTCTAGAGACACTTTTTTCTCTGGTCATAAAATGCAAGACAGATATTTATGTCCTTACTTCCATTTGTGCTGAAACTATGCAATCGCTGACACTTATGGTTGGAAAGTCTACCTCAAGCACCCAACTGAGGCTGGATTGCCCATTTTTACCTCTTCACCCAATAAGGTGGTTCCCACATGGGCATGCCAGCTATGCAACAGCACACCCATGTACAGGGAACCTTTGGCTACTATGTGACCAACTTTCCATCAATATGTCTCATTTATTTTTGTTATGATTGGAGAAAAATACTGTCTGTGGCAGATACTGTGGAATGACTTGCTCAATACCCACTTCAGTCCCCTTCCACTGTGCAAAAGTTGGAAAGCTAAAACTTAAATGTTCTCAACTCCTTTGTAGTAGAGTTCTGGACGTGATTTAGATTCCACAAGTCAGATGCACTCATGAGAGACTCTGACTTGGAACTGAGTCAGTGGTGCAAAAGAGAGGATATAAGCATTGTTCTGGTTTTACAGACAGTGACAAGAGTATCATGGTTCTAGAGTCAGCAGCTTCTTGATTCTCCAGCTTTCTGAAGTAGCAGTGGTGGCTCTGGGGATCCAGGCAGAGTCGGCAGCATGGGTCTGTAGTTAGTCAAGGTGCCAGGATCTCCTTGCTTCTTGATTGATCAGCTTCTTGACATGATGCGGCAGCTTTCCTTTCCTGAAGACAGCAGAACAGAGTGGTCCTGGGAGCTCAGACAGCAGTCGGCTCTCCAGCCCTTCCAACAAACTTGTACACACTTAATTCCCTGGATCAGTACAACATCCCTTACTGCTTATATTGGGTAGAGTGGATTCTGTTGTCTGCAACAGATTACTAACTGATATGCCTTTTTTAGTGTCTGTCAGATTGGATTGTGAGCTTAACAGTTTAAATGACCCTGTGCAGAGCGCAGAGTAGGGCACAAATTTCTTCTTCTGGCAGGAGTAATGGATAACCTCCAGTGGGCAACAAAAAGAGACTGCATATTTTTACTGGAATACATAGGAATGTTGTCTTTTAGAATAAAAGAGAGCCTGCTCAAAGCACTAGGAATTTCTGCTCAAGCAGCAAAGAAATGTTGAGGAGCAACCAAAAGAATAGCACACTAGGGTCGTGTGGAGGCTCACACCTGTAATCCCAGCACTTTGAGAGGCCGAAGCAGGGGGAACTGAGGCCAGGAGTTCAAGACCAGCAAGGGCAACATAGTGAGACCTTGTCTACAAAAAGTTTAGTCCTAGTTACTCAGGAGGCTGAGGTGGGAGGATCAGGTGAGAGCATCACTTGAGCCCAGAGGTTCGAAGTTACAGTGAGCTATGATCACGCCACTGTGCTCCGGACTGTCTGGTCTAGAGACAATAGGTCTAGAGACCCTATTTCTAACAGCACACTAATTGAGAATACTTCTGAGGTCACTGTTACACTGGAGTGTGATTGTGCTATCACTGGTGCTGACCTGCTCAGCATTGTTTTGAGTCTTTTCAAGTTTGTTCCCAAAAATTATATTCAAAAGTGTGCAGAAAACATAAAATAGTTGAGAAATACTAGTCTAACTTATAGATGCTTTGACATTTCCGATAATAACATTTTTTACTGCTCCTTACAGTAAGCCATCCTAGCTTGGGGCAGAACTAACTGTAGGAATGTACTTTCAGGTACTGAGTCCAACCAGTTTTAATATACCTCATACCCACTGTGATTTCAGGTCTAGCCAAGGGCCATATGCCGAGTGAGCCTAATTTCTTTGTAAATGAAACCCTGTCAACTGTGGTAAGGCAGCTGTCATATCCTCCATGAATTTTCTTTTTCATGTAAAACACTACTCTCCCATATTGATTTTTTCCCTTTTTGGATCACTTCCATCAGATATAAACATCTTTATAAAACAAGAGCTAAAAAACCCAAACAAAAACATACAAACAAAAACAAATTTTCAACTCACATTCCCTCCACCTGTGCAAAGAGTTGACTGTAGTCGTTGTTTCCAATCATCTCCTCTCATTATCTCTTGAAGCCAGTCCAGTGAGATTTTCACCCTCACTGTTCCAAAGAAACAGTTTTGTCAAAGGCCACCAATGGACCAATAATGCTAAACCCAGTGGTCAACTCTTAGTTCTTCATTTTGTCTGACCTATCAACATATGACACAGAAAATCATTCCCTCTTTGTTTTTTTAAAAAAACAAAAAAACAAAAAAACTATATGAATCTTATTTCCCCCAAATAAAAAATGTCAATCACATTATGTATCCATGACACAATGATTTCACATTCAAGTCTCAAGTCTACATTTCACTTGGGATTTATATGAACAATTAATCAAAGTCTACCAAATCACAGGTTACCTTTCAGACTAATAAAGTTTCTGTAGTGATTCTCTTTCCTAACATCTCCTGATATCCCTTTATTCCACAAAATTTTTATGTTTCCCTATTTCACTGTGATTCACAGTTACATTAAATAACAAAGCTAAACAAAACAAAAACCTTGGTGCATTCTTTCAAACGTTTCCTACCTGAGGATCCATATCTGCTCTGTCCTAAGGCAGCCACCAACCACAGGTGGCTACTCAGCACTTAAAATGTGGCTAGCCTGAAGTGAGATGTGCTATAAGTGTAAAATGCATACTAGATTTTGAAGACAGTATGGGAAAAAAGGAAACTTTCTCAATAATTTGGCCACTAGAATTTTTAAATTACATATGCAATTCTGTACCCTGGCTATCGCCAGAAGCTGCTTATTTCTCTTCACTTAACACATATGTATATGCTAGGTATCTTTCCAAGCAGAAATATAAATTCTAAGAGATTATTCATATTGACATACTTCTGATGGACTTAAAAAAAAAACTTTTATAAGTGCTATGATCTAATGTCTGTGTCTCTCCAAAATTCATATGTTGAAACTTAATCCCCAACGTGGTAGTATTAAGAGATGGGGCCTTTGGGAGGCGATTAGGACACGAGGGCTCAGCTCTCATGAATATGTCCTTTTGTGTCTGTATAACAGAATCCCAAGAGAGCTTATTCACCTTTTCTACCACATGAGGACACAAAAGGTGCTGTAGCAGGCCCTCATCAGACACCAAATCTGCTGGTACCTGGATCTTGGACTTTACAGCCTCCAGAAGTGTGAACAATAAATTTCTGTTTATAAATTACTCAGTCGAAAGGATTTTGTTTTAGCAGCCCAAATGGACTAGGGCAACAAGCAATCCTACAGTGAATAGCCTTCTTCGTAAATCTCTTTGGGCAGTCACACCTCATTGCTAACTCATACTTGCTTACTGTCCTCTAAGATCCTAGCTCTAGAGACAACTAGATGTGGGGTTTCTATTTTCCCACATCTCTACACTCTCTGCCTCTGTATATCTCTGCATGCTGCTGTAGAACTTCTCCTCCCAGGAAAACCAGCCGTGAGTCTCACTGTAAAGGACAAATCTTTTATAATTTTCCTACAGCACTGTTTGTCAGACTTCATCTCTCTTAAGATCTTTAACTCTGGAAACCAGACAACCAAGCATAATCTCTCATATTAACCTTCTAAAGCAAAACTAATTTGAGTATTGTCTTCCTCCAAGAAAGGAAGCTGGTTTGCATTAATTTAAAATCTTAGTGAATAATAAAAGTTGTTTTTTCTCTGCTCTTAGGAGAACAGACATAATATGAAAATTAATTTTCTTCTGCTGGCTCTAAGAGCCCATTATGTCAGCCCAATACTAGACAGCTTTTAATAGTCTTTCCCAAGAAGGCTGCTGTTTTTCCAAAAGAAAACTGACAGCAGCAGATTTATTTGTGATTAAATACTTAAGGGCCTGATACAAACAAAAAAAGTAATAACGGAACACAGAGGAATGAAGACTGTGAAAAAAGCTCACATTAAAATATTTGTTCACAAAACTACCTGAAAAAAAGAAAGTCTGGAAAACTACAAGAAAAACAAACTCTAAGAGTCCCAAGAAACATAAGGAAGAAGAAAAGGAGGCACCCCGACGCATAATGGATAACTGCTCTTTTCTGAACTTATCTTGGCCTGGAAAGCAACATTCAGGAACAAGAAAGCATTTGTCTTGGCATCGAATTTGTTCTCACAAGGCGTGGGTTCTATGCATTACTAATAAGGAAACCACCATGCACAGAGCAATATTTGGGAAAGTAGAAAATATGTTTTCCATTTGTAATTCAAAATCTTCTGTCTATGGTAGGGCTCTGCACCCACAATGGCTAAACTTAGCAAGCATAATTTAACCACTTAACTAAGGCAGGCTTTTACAACAAAAACTAAAAAAAAATACAGAAACCCCAATTCTGTGACCCTGGGTGGCATCTGGGTATTCATACTTTGGAAAAGCATCCCAGATATAATGACTTTTTTTTCTACCAACCCAATATCAATTCCCTTCTTCTGGTAATAGCACTGTGGTTTTCCTTTGAGAAATCACTACTTCTTGGTCTCTGTGAATGGAAGATTTCAGCACGTGACCAGGCCCAGCCAATCAGCATGTTTCACCCCCTTCTAGCCAAAGCAATTGGTTCAAGGATGACCATGGAACCCAAGAGAGCCAATGAATGTCAACTCAGGGACATATGCTAGAAATATTATTGTTATTTTAAGAGACAGGGTTTCACTTTGTCACCCAGGCTGGAGTGCAGTGGCATGATCCTGGCTCACTGTAGCCTCAAGCTCCTACTCTAGTGATCCTCTCATCTCAGCCCCCTGAGTAGCTGGGACTACAGGCATGCAATACCATGCCCAACTAATTTTTATTTTTTATTTTCTTTTGAGACAAGGTCTTGCTCTGTCACCCAGGCCGGAGTGCAGTGGTATAATCATGACTCACTGAAACCTCGACCTCCTGGACTCAAAAATTTTGGGATTACAGGCACAAGCCACCATGCCAAGTCATATGCTAGAATTATTGAGAAAGCAGTCCTATATTTCTGCTGGGATCCTACATTGAAATTAAGTCTGGAGTAGTTAACTTTCTTTGCCTCGATGAGGAAAGGCCTTGAGCATAAAGTCAACCCAGAAGATGAAGACTACTAATGTCATTATTCAAGCACCTGGAGCCATCTTTTCCCAACACTTGGTCTACCCCAGCATTTTGCAATTGCAGGAACCAATAACTCTCCTTTGCTTGTCATTCATAGATTTTGACAATATTAAGAAAAAATTTAACTACTGGTAAGGCACTGATATCAGCCAATCAGGAAAGATGCTAATGCAGGCTGGGCACGGTGCCTCATGCCTGTAATCCTAGTGCCTTGAGAGGCTAAGGTGGAAGGATCACTTGAGCCTAGGAGTTCGAGGCCAGCCTGGGCAACACAGGAAGACCTCATCTCTACACAAAAATTTAAAAATTAGCCAGGAGTAGTTGTGCATACCTGTAGTCCTAGCTACTCAGGAGGCTGAGGCAGGAGGATCATCGAGCCCAGGAGTTCAAGGCTGCAGTGGGCTATGATCATGCCACTGTACTCCAGCCTGGGCAACAGAGTGAGAATCTGTCTTTTAAAAAGACAAAAAGAAGGGATGTTGATGAGTTACTACTCCTGCTTCAGTAGCTGAAGGAGAAGGGTTCAATGGTGATTACAAGTGGGTAAGAGCCACCTGACAATTAAGGCTACACCTGGAATCAGCCTACGAACATTGGTACTGCAAGTGGCCATGAGAGCATCATGAGTGATGGGTGGCAAGAATAATGAGGCAAGCTTTGACTTCACTCTCAGGGAAAGCTAATGCAGCTGCTCAATATTAAAAAGGCTTGCTTTATGAAGTGGTGGGCTCCTGGACCTTAGATGTAAGAAACAGAAGCCAAATGATCAACTACAAAGGTTGTTGCAGGAAAGATTCTGGTATTACTCAGAGGGTTGGTTTTTGAAGTACTGTATGTCCCTGGGCCAGCAGTATGGCATTATTTATGAGCGTGTTAAAAACACAGATTCATAGAACCCACTGATGACCTTGTGAATCAGAATCTCTGGGGGTGGGGCTCAGGCAACTGTGTTTTAAGAAGCCCTCCTCCTATCTATGCTCTGTTTGAGAACTGTATTAGCAATCTGACTCAGTTTCGTTAGCCCCATTCCACAGATTCCGACTAAGTAGATTTGGGGTGAGGCTTGAGAATCTGATTTCTAACAAGTTCTTAGGGAATGCAGATGCTGCTGGTCCAGGGACCACACTTTGAGAAGCAATGTCTGAGCAGTTGACCTAGGTGATGTCTAAAGTTCCATTCAAAGTTGAGATTATTTGATCTTCAGGATTTACCTCACAAATTCAATCCTACTAATATATAACCCTGTTAATGTGGTAGCTCATATGTGGTTTGGCCTCTATGAAATATTGCAGCCAAAATGACACAGCTCAGCAATAGAAAATATTTTAAAATAACTCTGGTTCATCAATTTCTTGATCACCACAAAGGGACAAAAGACAACAGATATATGTCTTAAAATATCATTTGCCTGGCCGGGCGCAGTGGCTCACGCCTGTAATCCCAGCACGTTGGGAGGCCGAGGCGGGCGGATCATGAGGTCAGGAGATCTAGACCATCCTGGCTAATACAGTGAAACCCTGTCTCTACTAAAAATACAAAAAAAAAAAAAAAAACAAAAAATTAGCTGGGCGTGGTGGCGGGCGCCTGTAGTCCCAGCTACTAGGGAAGCTGAGGCAGGAGAATGGCATGAACCCAGAAGGCGGAGCTTGCAGTGAGCCGAGATAGCGCCACTGCACTCCAGCCTGGGTGACAAAGCTAGACTCTGTCTCAAAAAAAAAAAAAAAAAAAAAATATATATATATATATGTATATATACATATATGTATATATACACATATGTGTATATATACATATATGTGTATACACACACACACACACATATATATCGTTTGCCTGTATTAGCTTCCCTCACACAAAGTAGGTTTTCCTGTATGTTTCACCTCTAAACACCCCTAAAAGTTTTGTTCAGCCAATCCTAACCATTTCCCTAGGTACCTATTGTCCTTTTCCTCACCTCCTCTCTTCCTAAATCTGCAGCTCAAAAATGCAACAAAGCAAAGCAGAACCTTATTCTGAGGGCAGGGGAGGAGGAAAAACTGAATAGACAAAGCCGAAGTTTCAATCAGGCAAGGGGAGGAAAAGGTTGAGAAGAATTTTTATGTAAACGTCTTTTTTTTTTTTTTTTGGTGAGATGGAGTTTCACTCTTGTTGCCCAGGCTGGAGTGCAATGGTGCGATCTTGGCTCACCGCAACCTCTGCCTCCTGGGTTCATGCGATTCTCCTGCCTCAGCCTCCTGAGTAGCTGGGATTACAGTCATGTGCCACCACGTCGGCTAATTTTGTATTTTTAGTAGAGACGGGGTTTCTGCATGTTGGTCAGGTTCGAACTCCCGACCTCAGGTGATCTGCCTGCCTCAGCCTCCCAAAGTGCTAGGATTACAGGCATGAGCCACCATGCCCGGCTGAATGTTTGTCATTTTTGTCCAGAGCAGTTACCATTTACTAAAGCTTTGTGCCAGGTACTGTTTTTAGCACTTTGCATTAATTAGTTCATTTAAAGCTGACAGCAATACTTTGAGGCAGGTCATTTTATAAAGGAGTTAACTAAGGTTCAGAGGGGTTACGCAATTTGTCCAAGTTCACAAGTGGTGAGTGAAAAGACAGAAACTTGAACCCAAGTCTGTCTCACTCCAAAGCCCTTGTTCTTTAACACTATCTGATGTGCCTTCCTACAAAATGATGGCAAACACATCCAGGGCAAGTGGTTTAACAGCATAAGTGTCTTATTCTACTGCATCCAGGTTTCCCAGCTAGTCTCTCACTGCCCCTGCCTGGAGGCCTAATGCCTGGGCTATTCCCTTCGCCTTTACATTCATCAGTTTGCTGTGTCTGCAGGCTAGTTAGTTATCAGAGCTGACATCAGATATTTAGCCAACAGAGTTGCCAAAGTGAAAATAAGGACTTTCTTCTCCTGATGCCAACAAGATGCTTAGGTAAATATGGCTAAACCAGATTCTGAAAAGCCCTAAACATGAGTCATTTAAACTGCTGGGTATGGTGGCTCAAGCCTGTAACCCAGCACTTTGGGAAGCCAAGGCAGTAGGATAGCTTGAGGCCAGGATTTCGAGATCAGCCTGGGAAACAAAGTGAGATCAAGTCTCTACACAAAATTTTAAAAGTTAGCTGGGCATGGTGGCACTCACCTGTAGTCTCAGCTACTCGGGAGGCTGGGGTTGGAGAATCGCTTAAGTCCAGGAGTTCAAGGATGCAGTGAGCTATGATTATGCCACTGCACTCCAGCCTGGGCAATAGAGTGAGACTTTGTCTCAAAAATAAATGAATAAATACATAAAATGGATATAACAGGAAATGAGAAAGAATTAAGGACTTTGGATAAGGGAGGCCAATCTGGTAACAGGCCCACAATTGAGGCAGGCGCTGTTGCCTCTGAAGCACCTGCAGAGCTTTCTGAACATCCACAGGCCCAGTGCCACCCTGAACTTTCTGAATCAACAGGCCTGGAGCAGGGGCACCCATATGCACCTGTATGGCTAAGACGGTCCACAGGTGATTCTGACACACAGTCAGGGTTGTGAGGTAATTTGGATTAATGAATTAAGGGGTAGTTTTTCGAAGCAACAAAAATAAGGGGAGAAGGTATAGATGAACATTTATCTGTTTTAAGTTAAGGAATTCACTTTTACTTAAGCATAAACAGAGCCAGGCACAGTTACTCACACCTGTAATCCCAGCACTTTGGGAGGCCGAGACGGGTGGATCACTTGAGGTCAGGAGTTTGAGACCAGCCTGGCCATCATGGTGAAACCCCGGTCTCTACTAAAAAATACAAAAGTTAGCCGAGTGTGGTGGCATGCGCCTGTAATCCCAGCTACTCAAGGCTGAGGCAGAAGAATTGCTTGAACCCAGGAGGCGGAGGTTGCAGTGAGCCGAGATTGAGCCACTGTACTCCAGCCTGGGTGACAGAGCAAGACTCTGCCTCAAAAACAAACAAACAAACAACAAAAAAGTATAAACAGGAGGAAGATCTGACTAAATTTTAAAACAACAACCACAATTTAAAAAAGCTTTATCAGAAACATAAAGAAAATTAAAAGGCAAATAATAAACTGAAAAAAGTATTTGCTATATATTTGACCTAAACAATTAATTTCCTTAATAAATAAATAAAAAGTGCTTCAATTCAATAAGGAAAGCATAAGCATTCCAAAGGAAAATCGACAAAGTGTATGCATCTATATTTCATAAAAATAAGTATAAATTATGGATAAATACAAGGAAAAGTTTCACCTCACTATGAAACAAAGAAATTCAAATTAAAACAAGGTACCACTTTGGCAAATATTTATAAATGATAATGCCTAGTATTGAGAGTGGGGAAAAACAGGCACACTCATATGCCCTTGGGGGACTATAAATTGGTGCAACTCTCTGGTGAGCAATTTAGCATTATGCTTCAAAAGGCTTTAAAATGTTCATTTTCTTTGATCCAATAACTCCCATCACTTCTATAAATTTATGATGACCTGTTTATAAAAGTTGACCTCTTCATAGCTAAACAAATGCACATGGATTTACAGCATCTTTAGTAAGAGTGAAAAACTGTAAGTAAACTACATGTGTCCAATAAATAAATGGTAATATATCCATATGACAGAATACCAGGCAGCAATTTAAAAGAGATTTCAGAAATGTTTAAGGATGTGTGGAAATCCTTACACTATATTAAGTGGAAAAGCAAGTTAAAACATTAATATAAATATACACATACATAGTTAAGAAAAAAGGCTAGTTAATACCTAGTGGTATTATGGGTAAATAAACATTTAATTATCCTCTTTATATTTTTCTTGATTTTTCAGATTTCTTCTCACAAACACAAATTAGTTTTGTTTTATTTTATTGAGATAGGGTCTTGCTCTGTTGCCCAGGCTGGGGTGCAGTGGTGCAATCACAGCTCACTATAACCTCAAACTCCTGGGCTCAAGTGATCCTCCTGACTCAGCCTCTGGAGTAGCTGAGACTACAGGCATGTGCCACCATGCCTGGCTAATTTCTTTTAATTTTTGTAGAGATGGGGTCTTGCTATGTAGCCCAGACTAGTCTTGAACTCCTGAGGCCTCAAGCGGTCCCCGTGCCTCAGCCTCCCAATGCATTGAGTGTAGGTGTGAGCCGCGATGCCCAGCCACAAATTAGGTTTTTTTTTTGTTTTTTGTTTTTTTTGAGACGGAGTCTCACTCTGTCGCCCAGGCTGGAGTGCAGTGGCACAATCTCAGCTCACTGCAACCTCTGCCTCCTGGGTTCAAACAACTCTCCAACCTTAGCCTCCTCAGTAGTTGGGATTACAGGCGCCTACCACCACAACCGGCTAATTTTTGTATTTTTAGTAGAGATGGGGTCTCACCATGTTGGCCAAGCTGGTCTCAAACTCCTGACCTCAAATGATCCATCCGCCTCGGCCTCCCAAAGTACTGGGATTACAGGCATGAGCCACTGCGCCTGGCCCACAAATTAGTTTTATAGTCAGAAAAAATGATAATCATTATTATCCTACAGCTGATAAGATAATGTCATGGAGTATCAAATAGAGAATAAGAAAACTCTGGAGGCCAGGAAATCATTAGTCTTTCAGGTGTAAGGTTATGAAGACAAAGGAGAGGGTAATAAAAGTGGGAATTCAAAGGGAAACATTTTCTAAACTGGCACTGCCCAATATGGTAGACTTTAGTCCTAGGCGGTTAAATTAATTAAAGCTAAATAAAATGTAAAATTCAGTTCCTTAGCTCAACTAGCCACATTACAAGTGCTGCATGGCCACAGGTGCCTAGAGGCTACCGTAACAGACAGCATGGATTATAGGTTTCCATCACTGCGGAAAGTTCCACGGGACAGCGCTGCTCCATGCATTCCACTTCAGGCCTGAGGGATCCAGCTTCCGGCTTGTCTCTTCAGCCTCATCCCTTGGTTCAGTTTCTCACATCCTTCATGCTCCAGCAACAAGCATGTAAGCACCATGAGCACAGAGACCGTTATCTGTCTGGTTCTCCAAGTCTAGTGGGGGAGACATACTACCTGGGTAACTACACGCAGTGTTATGTGGACTTGAAGACAGGTGCACAGATTATTAATACAGCAAAGAGCTCAATCTGGGGTTCAAGGAAGACTTCCGAAGGAGGAGGGGTGGGCGTATACAGAGAGGAAAGGAAAGAAAATTCTAAGTAGAGAGAAGAGTGTGATATGAATAAGGGCCCAGATGAGAAACAGTGCAGCACAAGGGAGGAAGCACCAGCGGGTCAGACACTGACTCATACAACACACAGATGATGTCCCATGGGCCAGGCCTGAGCCAGCTCTGGGCACCCAGGGGTGACCAGGACAGCTCTGTTCTCTGCCCCCGCGATGCTTATATGCCAGGCTCACCAGTACTGCTGGAGCGCCAAGGGTGAGGCAGGGAATGCCAAGAACTGAGGATGGAGGGAAAAGGCCAAGTCAAGGGCCCCGCACTTCATCTTAAGGATCCTGGTTAGTTTGCTTTTTATCCTAGCAATGGAACCCTCTTATTGGCCTCAGTGCGGGTCGGAGTCCACATCCTTCTCTCTCTCTGTCCCCCACTCTGGTCCCTACCACTGCTGCGGGTGATGGGGAGCTCCTCAAGGGGTGTTGGCCGCGAAGGGCACAGTCACGGCTTTAGGAAGACCTCTTTCGCGGCCGGCTGGGGTGTGGATTTCAGAGGTGTCAGAACAGAGATGGGAAGTGTGGCTGAGAGGACGTTGGAGTCATCTCCAAGACCTGAGAAAATGGTAGGGCCGACTTGAGCGACGTCGAAGCAGGAGAATCCGTTCCAAGTTCAGGGACTGCCAGGGAAGCTGAGGGAGGGCACGCGCCCGGGCGGCTGTAGTCCCGTGAGAGGCCCCGGGGGAAGAGCAGCCTAGGGGCGCCGGCGGCCCGGGCAGAGGCCGGCGTCGCGAGGGAGAGGGGCGCAAGGGGCGCGAGGGGCGCAAGGGGCGCGAGGGGCGCGGGGGCCGCGGAGGCAGCAGGTGTGCGGCTGCCAGGGCACGCGGGCGCCGGAAGGAAGCCTCCAGTGGACGGAGGGGTGAGCTCCCGACCTTGCCCTTGAGGGTTTACCAGAGGTGGGCAGGGCACATTCTCCTCAGCCCATGCCCCGCCGAAGCCGCGGGCGTGCGGGGCCTGCCACTGGACCGACGCTTCTGGACGCCCGACACCCGTCCCTGCACCTCCCGCGCGACGGCCCGGCCCCTCCCACAGCCCACGGCCGTTCAGCCCGGGCTCCGCGCCCGGTCTCCTGAGAACCTCCGCAGACCCTTCCCACGCCACGGCCTCGCCCCGCTGTCCCTTCACATCGCCATCCCCCCACGTGGCCGGCACCCCGCCCGGCCGCACCCCTCCCCGTCCGCAGTACCTTGGGCTCTCGAAGCTGCACCCCCTGCGCCGCAGCGCCGCCCTCTTCTGCCGCAGGAGCGCAGCGGCCACCCCGCCGGGCTCCGGTTCCATCGCCCCGGGCGGGGGCCGCGGGCTCGGGCGCACTCGGGTGGGCTCGGGCCTCGGCCGGCCGCTCGGCTCGCGCGCCGCAGCCCACGTCCCGCCCCTCTCCCCTCGCTGGGCCCAGGCCCCGCCCCGGCGCCGCCCCGAACCACAGCCCAGCCCGCCTCGCGCCTCTCATCCTGGTTCAGGCCCCGCCCCAGCCCCGCCCCGAACCCCAGCCTGCCCAGACCCTCCGCTGGGCCCAAGCCCCGCCCCGCGATCACTCACCCTGGTCCCGGCCCCGCCCCGCGCCCGCTCAGCCTGTTACAGGCCCCGCCCCGGCCCCGCTCCCAACTCCAGCTCTGCTTCCCCCGCGCCCTCAGCCCGGAGCAGGCCCCGCCCACGCCCCGCCCACGCCCCGCCCACGCCCCGCCCCGCGCTCCGGTAACGCCCCTCCCGCGCCAGCCCCGCGGGGTTCTTGCCGCCGGCTTTCTGCACCTCTGCGAGGCCCACAGGCCCAAAACGCCCACCCTAACCTCGACTGTCCCGTCCACGACCCCACCCCTCCTGCTGCTTGCCCCTCGGCACAGACCCAGGCCCCGCTCACCTACCCCTGCACTACTGAGCTCGCGCAAGGCCCTCGCACTCACCCCAAACCTCTGCTTCCGCGAGCGTCGTCCCTTGGAGTTCGGCCTCTCCTCGCCTCAGCACCTCCTGGCCCTTTCTATTGTAGCTCCGCCCCTCGGGCCCTCCTTTCCCATGTCCCGCCCACAGGTATGGCTCCGCCCCCAGGAGCCCCGCCTTTTCCCTTCGAAGCCCCCACTCCGTGCCCGGACCAGACCCAGCTCCACCGCCTGCTCAGTTCTGCTCTGACAGGGCCCGCCACAGCCCCGCCCAGCCGCGAGAGGCCCCGCCCAAACTCGGTGGCCCCGCCCAGCCACTCCCTCCTCCCGTGCCGTCGCCCAGCCTGCCCGCAGGCTCCGCGCTGGGTAGATGCCCGCACCCGGGGCTAAAGCGGCGTTCCGACGTCCGGTCTGCGTTGGCTCCGGGATCCCGCCACCCATCAAGGGGGAGGTATTGCTGTCTCCTGGTGGCCGTTTGTGGCGCCTGACGCCTTGATGCTAAGGGGCTGGAGCTTTGCTGGATACCAGTTGTGGTGGGTTCGAGTCTTGACTGTTAGTTTCCAACTGTGACAACCTCCAACCCCATCCCCACTTCGCTAAGTCAAATGCATTCTTCTCAGGGACCTTGAACACTGCACTGTGACTGAGGGCAGCGACCCCATCTGGGTAAAGCTGGGGCCACCGTGCTGTCTAAATCAGGAGGAGGAGGTAAGCTAGGGCTACCTCGGCAAGCGGGGTTTTGTCGTAGCTAGGGAGGTGTGGCCATGCTGGCCTGGAACTGGGATGGTGGAGCAGAGCCCGAGGAGTGTGCTTGTTGGGGGGAACCTGTGCTTGGGGGACTGGCCACTGCAGATTTGGAAGGCACTGGCTGGGAAACTGAGGCAGTCCGGGCCAGGGGATCCTATAGTTAACTTGGATTACATCACCCCCTGGTGCACACTTCCTCAGTGACTTCCAGGTTCTTTCTTGGTAAGGCCTGAACTTTGTGAGAGAATGAAGGGGCTGCCCAGATAGCACCGAAAGATGTAGACGAGGTGTTTCTATTTGTCCTTCCAGCCCCTCTAGAGATGCCCCTGGTCCTCCCCTCAGGTTTCCATGAGATAACCCGTTTAAGACAGCCCTTTTTCTCCAAGCGAGGTATAATGGAGTTCTGGATTTTTGCCTAACACCATGAAGTCCTCCCAACATATCTTTTCAGACTTAAATCCCATTACTCCCGCAAAACCTGTACTCAGTGAGATCAGGTTGCCTCCTTTTTCCCAGCCTCATCCTGCTCCTTCTCATTTCTGTCTCCCTATTGCCCCCACCCTTCATGTGTTCTGCAGCCTCTGAACTGAATCTCCAAATACCCACTGCTCTCTAAAGCATCCCCAGGTCTTCTGCCTCTCTCCCTGGAGTGCCTGTCCCTTCCTGAGGATGCTGCTCCTGCAGGGTTTTTATGTTCTGGTTACGTCCTAGCTGAGTTTTGGGCACCCCATGCCTCCTTTGTGTCTATCTGAAACAGCAACTGTTTGCTAAGTGAATGTGTGTGACTTTAATAAACTGAGCAACATTCATTGGAAAACACATTTAATTTCAAAGTAAACAAAGATGTTTGTACATTAAAGTATTTAATTAGTGAAATAATTATTATCAATGTAACAAGCTGAAAAATACAGCAACTTGATACAAGACTGAGGTAACAAAATACTTCACCAAAAATCGAAAGAACCCCATGGAGGGCTGATTGACGTTCAGTGGTTACTGCGGGTGAGACGATTCACAAGAATTAGAGAAAGTCCTTACACAACTGCATGCAGGGGTCTGCTGGAGAAAAAGACAGCCCAGGAGAGTGCAACAGATTTAACAGGAAACGAATTAAAATGTAGAAACTGATTTTCAACTTACTTCGAAGAGTACATAAGAAATTGAAAACTACTCTCTATGCAACATTTTGAATGCTAAGTGGAAAACCATGCATTTTGGCACGAAATTTATTAAAGATTATACCATACTAATTAATTACTATTACTTCGTTACTGAATAGTCACAGTCGTTCAGCAATGGATAAAGAGATTAATGGTTCTAAAATGGACAGATGATCTCCTGTGTTGCTGCTGTAAGCGGGGTTTTGAGGCTGCCCAGGGGGTGTACACGCTTGTGCAGCATACGGCTGCAAGGCGGTCTGAAGTCCATGGTACAAGTTCTCAACACCCAAGAAAATGCAGTTCTCGCTCATATTGTAGTTGTATTTAACATTGAAATTAAAAACAGAAACCTATGGAGCAGATACTGTGACAGTTTGACCCTACTCTCTCATTCCACCTTTGGAATCCTTGGCGTGCCCAACTGCAGCTCTGTGCCTGGCTCTTCTGGGCCAAGCAGCCTCTAGGATAGTGACTTCATCCTCATTGCAACTGAATTTTCGCAGACCAAGAGGCCATTCAGTCTGTTGAGCCTTTTGATGCCTTTCTAGAGGAATCTATGCACAGGATTTATACTCAGGACTAGGAGAGAGGCAAAGTCTTGCCTAAGGAGATAGGTGTGGTGGGGACTGTTTGTTGAGTGGTCAGGTCCATGAGGGCAGGGATCAGATCTGACTTGTTCTCAGCATAGGCAGCACTTGCTAGTGCTGTGAATGAATAAATGAATGAATGGGTGGTTTTGTGCAGAGAATCTGTTATTTCTAAAGGACTAGGAGTTTGTTTTTTAACATGAAACCACTTGATATGTAAAAATGATGTAAAGCTGATTTAAGTCATTTATGGGCTCACAAACCAGAAAGCTGTATTTTTGGCAGTGCTCCCCAGTGGTTACAGACATCAGCAGTCTCGGGGAAGGGCTCTGGGCCCCACCTGAGGAACAGAGCAGATGTTGCTTGCAAGTGGCTTCCTGTTTCATGGAGCATTTCCGCCTGTAAAATGGCATCTGAAAAGGTACACCTCTTGGGGCTTGGGAGGTGGGGGTAAAATGATACTGGCCATCTTGGTAAGAAAAAAAATGCTCTATAAATTCAACTGGCAAAAGAGAGTGAGTTTCTTCCTAAACAGAATCTCTTCAAGTATCTACTTCCTCAGGTTCCACAGCCTTATAGGGAGGGAGGGGGCCAAAGTCTCTCACCAGGCACAGTTAGAACAAGATTTCTACTGCTCTCTACCGAATCAATCCTCCATCAAGTATGTCAGTTGCCAGAATGCACCTGACTGATCTTGAATGACAAAACATGTTCAACTGAGAGAGACAAAAATTAGTCCTAGGGAGAGAGGTGAGTTGTTCTTGAGACAACAATGTTACCAGCTACCAACTCCACAGTTGTAGACAGCTTTCTATAACTTTCATTTTGGGGTGCCATGATCCATTTGCTTAAAAAAATTCAGCATATGCATGCAAGAAATAATCCCTTCAATGGCGTTATGAACATTTGTACACTCTGGACAGTCAAGGAGCAAAAACTAGAAATGCTTCCCTCCAGGGGGAGGGTCTACCCATGGACTTTCCCGCCTTGTGGTTGGTGCCTGGCCCTCTCTGTCTCAGGCTCACAGGGTTCAAACCAACACTGGGAAGACAAGCAGCACTTAACTCCCATGTTTGGCCGAGCCCCTGCTTAGAGAGCTGAGTGTCTTCCAGCTTTAGCTCCAGGACTCTTCCGGCGTGGTCAAGCCTCTTACTGCTTCTATAAGGCTTTTGCCAACAAAATCTAAAGAGATTCTTCAAGAGTCCGAGCTAAGAATGTTCCTGGGAGAGGACGTGGAAGCAGACTCAATTAGTGAGAAGACTAAACATTTTGAATTGTGATTGTGCTATTTCAAATTAGGCTAAGAGATGTTTCTGAAAGAAAAGACAAACTTATAAGGGATAGAAAATTACCTGTTTTTGTGGTGCCTGAAATTCTGAGGTTTTGGATTGGCATCTATAATACTTCATTGGTGTGAAAAACCAGGACAGTTTGCAGAGTGGAAAAACCCAAGGAAAATAGGTAGTTGATGTTCCACATCTTGCACTTTCATCCAAACTTACGACTTTTTAAAAGTTAACAGGTAGAATCAGATTCAATGTAGGTTAAAGTGTTAACACTGCATGGTTCTGATCAGAGGTGGAGTGTTTGGCATTGTCATTCAGCCTCTAGATGCTGATTTGAATAGTCATCGGGAGAATGAGGTGCAACATCCGCGTGGGTGTGCAGAGCACCCGGTGTCAAGGTTTGATGGCATCAACTTTTATCACCTGGGAGTTTCTCTTAGGAGGAAAGTATTCTAGTCTTTGCTCAAAAAGAAGATGAACTACTAAGCATTGTAAGGCTCAACTACAAAATGAGGCCCTGGTGACAACTACTTTCCTCACCAAGCCATTCAAATTTCTAAAGAAGTTGTCATTATTTGGTCAAAATACAGTGGTGGGTCTTTTGGTCGTTTTGAAACTGACCTATTACACTTTACTGGTGTAGATGTTGTTCTGAAACATCCAGCCCAGAAACTCTTGAGGGTAGCTTGATGCCTGATCAGTCTGAGCTCTGAAACCATCACAGCTGCAAGGACCCAGAAATTCAGTCTCTTCCAGAAAACTGTTTAAGGGTTAACTTCTCAGAGTTAGGCTATCCAAACTAAAGGGGAAGAGGGAAGAGAAGATACTATGATAAAGAGTGATTTATTATTCTGAATAAAAATTATTTGTGCAAAATAAAAGTCACTTTAAAATGTGACACAAGGTGACAGATAAGGATGTGATTCATGTGAAGAGCTCCTAACTGAATGCAGAGGTTGGACCGTTCACTCCCCGGGGCTTCGCTCTATTGTCACACGGTCATCAACAATTGTGCCCTTGGACTTGGAAAATGGAAAACTTGCTGGTGACTGCATTTGGGGCCAAGACTGGGGAAGCTTAAGGCCTCAGGGTCACTCAGCTTCCCGTCATGATCAGGAATCTTGGTGGGCCCCACCCTGGCAGTGCAGGCAAAGGAGTGAGATGATGGGGGCACAGGCTTTGCCCTGCGGGGAGAGGTTGGTGCCTCATGGCTCCTGCACAGCTGATCACTATGAGCACGTCGGTTGGAGCTGCAACGTCACAACTTCCCATTCTGGCATGGTGGGAAGGGCGAGAAGAGGAGGGCCTCAGGCCCTGCTAGGAATGGGGAAGGGAGGAAGCAAGCAGGCCAGCAGCCCAGTCCACAGTCCTGAAGCCAGGTCCTGTCTCAGAAGGGCTGACAGCAAAGAGGCCTGGAAGCAGGCCTTCCAGATGAATAGCACCCATAGGAACAGAAAACAAGACACAATTTAAGGCATTGTTTGTTTACAGTAAAAGAATGCGAGGGACCCTTGACACAGGAGGAATCTAGGCTCTCACCCTGACCTTCCTCGGTGGACAGGGCTATAACTTAAGGTTAAAGCAGGGCCTCAAAGCGAATGAAGTGTGTGATGTCACGAGTCTTGTGCCAAAATGCATGTTTCTTGAAGAGTTCACACTCGCTCACACACACACACACACGTACAGCACGCACACGCAGAGGACGCTTCGGGGTTGTACAAAATCTGAGGCAGCCCTGTGGGCGAGCAACCCCATGCACTTGGGGTGTAAAAAGCCTGTTCCACAGCTGTTCCTTCTCTCGGGCCCCTCTCACAGGTTAGTTAGCGCTGTCCACTCTGTGCAGTAGAAAGCACTGAGAACCCAACGTGGGCCGGGTGCTCTCTAGTCGCAGATGCAGGTGGTGGGCCCAGAGAGGGCGTGTGGGGTCTGACCACTGCCCCAAGAGGCGGTGCTGCAGAATGAGTGTCATGAGAGTCGCTGGGGACTGACAGGTGGATCCCACACTGGTGAAGCCCTCTGGGATGGTGAGGCCACAGGCCGTGTCCCCTGAGTCCAGCTGTGAGTTTCCCAGCACCCTGGCTCACAGCCTGTGCCCAGGACTGCTCTTCACCACCAGGCCCAGCCTGGGTTCCCAGAAGCCTCTGAAGTCATGCCACGTCCTGCAGAGACTTACTCAAATGACATAAGGTTTGCAGGTACCTAGAAGAGAAAGCTCAGCCTCTTGTTAAAGTTCCGACCTCAGAGAAGGACAAGGGGTGGTGGTCCCTAGGGGAAGGGACAGGCCTTTCCCCGTGAGTCTGGGAATGAGCAGGTTGGGTAGGGAGAGGGTATGGCAATAACAATAGCCACCCCATGTGAAGTGGCAGCTGCGTGCCAGGCACTGCTCTGAATCCACCGCATGCACTGCGTTCTTGAGTCCTCACTTCAACCCCTGGGGCAGGCACTGGGATCGTCCTCATTACAAAGACAGGAAACTGAGGCTTAGGGAGGTTCAGTACACAGCAAGTAAGCAGCAGGGCTAAGAACCCAGAGCCCATGCTCTTAACCTATCTCCTTCAGTGAAAATCAAACTGCGCTTGGGGCAGAGAGACAAATCCTGAAGGCCTGAGGTGTGTGCAGAGGGTGGGTGGCTGGAGTTGGCAAAGGGAAGCATGGGAGAAAGAGTCAGTTCAGGGATATCAGAAACCCCAAGACCTTCCCACAGCTCTGCCCTCAGGACAAGATCCTAGACCCCTTTACTGGCGGGACCACTAGCCCCAAGGTCAGAGTGTTTCTGCCACCCCCAAAAGCTGCCAACAGGTCCTCAGCCCCAGACCTCCTCCCTCAGCACTGCTGTGGGAGGATTTGATTAGAAATAATTTCATTTAAAAAAATCCATTTTGGTGTCAGTTTGGTCAAACTATGAATTAGGAAAAAAATGCATCTCCATGTACCAGGAGACAGTTATAAGAATGGTCATTAGCAGTACTGTTCACTATAGCAAAAAAGCGGAAAATCAGTCCTGGGATGTCCAACAGAAGAACTAATAAAAACAAAATGAGTAAAAATAAATGAATGACTGCTACATGTGGTAACACAGATGAATCCTAGGAACATGTTACAGGAGAAAAGCAAGACACAAGAAAATGCATCTTTATGGTTCTATTTATAAGAAAGTTTAAAAATGCACCCCAGACAACACATGAAGGAATCAAGTACGTGACCTGCAATTCTAAAGGAATAATCAGCAAACAAATCAGGAGAGTGGTGCTGGGGCACAGGTGGGAGGGAGAGAAACCGAATTAGGAAGAGGCCATGGTGAGGGACAGCATTCCAAGGCCCTGGTGGCTCTGCTGTTAGGCTCATGGTGGCAATAAGGTGTTTTATTGCTGTTGTTTATACCTATACATATGTTATAGATAAGGTTTAAGTGTATTCAGTGTTAATAAAAACAAGTTTAGGACATGCAGTTCCACAGAACAGAAAATCACTCTAGTCACTGCGATGTTTCCTTGTGAATAGATGCATTTCTGTCACACTCTTTCTTACACCCTCCTGGCATTCCATCACACGGATGTACTGTGATTCACTTAAATCATCCTCTGCTGTTGAATATTTCAGTTGTTGTCAACTTTTTATTATTACATATAGCACATAGTGGGAATATTTGGTTGAAAGTAAATTAGAAATAAAAAAGGGGGAAAGTAGGAAGAAAAATCCCCTCCTCCAGGTCTGAAAATCAGACAAAAATCCTTAAAACTTGTAGCCTTGCCATGCTACACCACATCTGCCAATACATGAAACTGACCCATTAGTGCTCTGCTGGATCAGCCTGCCCAGGCACTGCTGCCTGCTGGGGCTGCTGTCATCCTCTGGCCGCTCCTCCAAAGAGGGACAATGGGTTTTACTCAGGGCTACCACTGTTGCTCCTGACTGGGGCCACCATGGTGCCCAGGCTTCAGGCACAGGGCCCTGCCTCCTTCCCCGCACCGCCCTCCAGGTGGTCCACCTCGTGGCTGTCAGTTCCTGTTGGACCTGGAGCTGCTCCGGCTTCCTGTGTGTGGTAGGGGAGCTTCAGTGTGCTATGCTCTTAAGAGAGCGGCCCTCAGAGCTACTGAGGGACCCCAGACACACATGGTGTGACCAGTATGGAGGAGGCCAGGATGCTCTTCCTCTCTTAATGCAAGCTGGGGCGGCGGCAGCCTTGTTCAGGTCTTGGCACCTTGTCTCAATGGATCACCTTGAGATGGCTGCCGACCAAAACCCTTGTCTTCCTGTCATACGGATGGCCAATTACATTTATTCAGTGTACAAACTATACATAAAGCTCTCTAGAAGCTACAGAATTACCATTTCTTGTGTATCATCTTAGAACTTTTATACAGATGAGATCATCCTTTCCAAATGTTTTTGCCCTGATCTGCCTCTTTCTAATAACTATCAAGTGTCACACAATAGGGTCCCCCTAAGGGTCACAGAGGCTTCCAGGGTTTTGGTTCCTATCAAGAACAATGCTGCAGTGAACATTCTTAAACACATCTTTGAGCACATGTGTGTACACATCCCTATGACAAATTCCCCGAAGTCAGATGGGTGAGTCAAGGGAATCAAGTGCAATCTATTTGGAACCTCCCTGTGGCACCTCATGTTTATTCTTGTATTGGTCTTGTCCTGTTTTAGTTGGTCGAGGACTAATTCTGAGAACTTGCTAATTCTGCTTTCTAACTTATCATCTGTAATTGCAATCAGCTTCTTGTATTTGTCCTCATCTGTGTTACAGACCGAGCTGAGCACAGAGCCCTAGGACCTGTCACTGTCACTAGAGACCTCCCTTCAGCTTCCAGAACCACTTGGAGGGACCAGGAAGTCTGTGACTGTGCCACGTGGCACCATGAAGTCCCCATCCTCCTGGACCCAAATGCCTGGTATGAACTTGCCTTTGCTGAGGTCCCCCAGACTTCAGAGCTGCTGCCTGCAAGGGGCCTGCTGAGTCTACTCCCAGGCACTACGCCTAACTGTCCTCCTTGAAGCGCCACCCTCTATGCCATGCGCCTAGCCCTCCCAAGATGGGCTAGGAGAGGACTCCTGCTTCCCCCGCTCCTCCTCTGGCTGATCCCTGGGGAAAACACACATGGACACTTAGGGACAGGAGCATCAGTGCTGCCCACCTGACCCCCAGGGAGCAGGAGGCTTCAGCCCGCCCCCATCTGCTGCTGAGGGCTCAGGTAGCCATTTCTCTCATAAGCCTTGACAGCTGGGGATGTGCTTCCAGTCTTTTGCTCAGCTGCAGGGGTTACCAGGGAAGTGGAGGCAGGAGAGGCAGGAGGGCTCAGGGGCAACAAGCAGACAATCGGGGGAGTCAGGCAGACCTGGGTTCAATCCCAGCTCCACTGCTCACTAATGTGGGACCTTAAATGTGTGTCTGCCCCTTTCTGAGCCTCAGGACCCTCAGCATAAAACGGAGACAGTAAGAGAATCTACCTCACAGGGATGTTGAGAGAATTCAGCCAATTCCTGCATGGGAAACATTTCGCATAACACCCTTCGTGGGACGGCTGGGGGCGACCAGGGGAGGGGGCCATACCATGAGCCAGGCCAGAGAGGGCCTATGTCAAGACAGATCCTGCTGGCTCAAACACACTGAGAAGCTAGGGACCCCCTTTCACCAGCAGCTTTGCGTGGTCCATGGCTGGCTGTCAGTAAGTTAGCTAGCCGCATTATTCCCAAGGGTTGTGGGGCAGGGAGGCCCTTTAGTGAGTCTGGAGTATTCCCATGAAGTCAGCTCTTGGCAGGGATGACCTAAATAGATGCTAGAACCTGATCCTGGGGTGATATCACAGCTGCTCATAATCATCCCCCAGTGGGTGTTTCTGTGGCATTTCCTATTGTGGGAAAGACACAGGAACCAGATTCAAAGTTCTGGTCTGGAGCTGGGCTTAGTTCTAAGCTGAGCAAGGGGGTGCCTTGTCTCAAGGGAAGATGCTGATCAGAAGAGGGTATCTGAGAGTGTGGCTAATGGGCTCTGAAAGAAGAAGGGAACCCTGTTTTCTAAAGACCCTTAGTTCCAAGGGTGGGAGAGGATATTTCAGGTGACAAGCAGGATTTTGATGACTTTACCTGAGGCCTGTTGCTTTTACATGCATCATCCAAATGCTTGTGCCACAGTATTGCATGAAATCGGGAACCAGTCTGAAACTTGTAAACATTGCCTGATGGGTAGAGAAACCATGAGTTAAGAAGAGGGCCACGTAGGAGGGTCAGCTGGTGACTGGCATAAAGAGAAATGTAAACACGGGTAACTAAAGTGGGAAGGTCGGCCCCAGGTGAGCTGGAACATGCAGAGAAAGCAGCCTCCAGGGCTCCCTCCAGTGGTCTCTTTGGACCATGGCTTGTAACCATTTTGGGGCCATGGTGCCTTTGGCTGTCTGGTTAAGCCTGTGGACAATCCTCAGAATAATGTTTCCAAATGTATAAAATACAAAGGAAATCGATAATACTCAAATACAGTTATTAAACAACTAAAAAACAAACCAGCAGTATAATTCTATAGGTGCTTCTATATTAAAGCACTAAAAACAGATCTAGTACGGTCCGATACTGCACTGTAAAAGAGATGAGCATAAGTGACATTTTGAAATGTCTGTAACAATATGTGATTCCTCTTGGAGATAAAAATCACAGGTATTGCTAACATTTTTGTTGATGGATGCTTATACTCATAACTGAAGTAGTCACAAGTAACTGAAAACAAAGATGCATTTTTTTTTTCCACCCAAGTTCACAGACCTCTTGAATTCCATCCATGGACCCTGGCCACCCCTTGTGTCACATTTCCTTAAGAAACCACTGCTAATCCGGTCCAGACTGTTGAGGGAGGAAGAAACTCAAATGGTATCCAAACTCAGGACACACTGCCACATGTGTGCAACAAATGTGGCTTCAGTCACTCAGACACGGAGCAGAGAACTTGGTAATTTATCTCTTCCCCATTCCAGGCTCCTGGAGGCTCCCTTTGTTTCTCTGCTTCTCAGCTAAGAACATTAGAGCCTGACACTCAAGGCATGGTCTCCCCACCAGCACTGCCATCTGCATCGCCCGGGAGCTTGCTGGAAATGCAGAATCTTGGTCTCTACCCCCAGATCTGTTGAATCCAAATCTGAATTTTAATCAATCCCCAGGTGATTTGTGTGTTCATGAACCCTACAGTAGAACATTCCTGTTAAGGTGTGAAAATGCGTGGGGATTTTCCAGCCCAAATCAGTTTGCCTGGTTGGAATCCAACTGACCCAGGCAATTTTGGGTTTTTGTCATGTGACATGGGTTACTGAGGAGACCCACCATAGTCTGTTCTGAATGTCAGTGAAGACAGGGCTACTGGACAGGATGGCATCCAGAATCTCTCCTCCTTCCCAGCATGATCATGAAGTGGGAACCGGGAGGAACTGGGAGATAGCTAGAGAAGGCTGGAGCTTTGGGAAGTTAAAAGGGTTCTTCTCTGAGTTGGCCTTGGAACTGGACACTGCCAGAGTCTTATGGCACAGGCATGTGAGGGGATCCCTGAAATCTCCCCAGAGCCAAGACCCTTCCAGCCTCATGGCCCTGCCTCATCCAGCCTTACTATTTATTCCAAGACCGTAAGACTACAGCTCCTGGAGTGATGGGCCCCAGCAGCCATAGGTAAGGCTGCAAAAAGGATTCCAGCACCCTGTGCCTCATACCCTTCTCAATGGACATGCCAACCATGATCTATGCAGCTTTTGTGGACTAGCATGGACCCCATGAACGTCAGAATCTAAAGCAAAGGGAAGGCAGCAGCCTCAAAAGCTCCTAATAATTTCAAAATGCACGCTGTGCAAGAGAGGAAATGGGCAGAGAGCAGCTGCAGGCGCCAGCTCTGGCCTGCTGCCTACCTTTGTCAGGGTTGTTCAGCTGGAAGATATCTGGGTGCTCGGGGTCATCGGGCAGCTGCACCATCCAGCCCACGATGGAAACCTTTTTGCCAGGTGTGGATTTATACTGGAGGAGAGCAACAACACATCCGGAGACCGGGGCCCAGCCCTCCACTCCACAAGGGAGGCCGACGTGGGCCAGGCAAGGCTTCCTCCCTCCCCTGCCGCCTTCCCACCTGCATCCTCCGCAGTTCACACAGATCCCTTTCCCACCCCCATCCTCCACAGTTCACAGAGGTCCCTTCCCCACTAGAGGAAGTCCCAGCACTAGAGTCCTTTCAAGGGACTTACGTGTTTTCTGTCTGTGCCCCGCAAGGACTTGGCTCCGTAGTACAGGAGGGTGGATCCTGAGAGTATGACCCAGTACCTGGTCCACGAGGACAGCTACAGAGGAAGGGGAGGCTGAGTGATGCCACCAGGGGTCGTGGGGGTAGAGGATCCCTGGCCGATTACAGACCCAGCCATCCCATCAATGCCAGTGCAGGCCCCATCTCTTCCCTGGCCCTCCACCACCCCCTGGCAATGCCAACTTCCACCTAGGACCAAGACAGGAGGCGTCTTCCCTCCCGTCTCTTGCTCCTTTACTCAAGGAGCCTTCCCTTTGTTCATTTTACGGCAGTGTCAGGTATAATTCCTGAGAGTTCAGCTCGCTGCATGCCCACTGCAAGCAGAGCCTCTGCCATGCATGTGACTTTTGCTGAGACCTCTAGGAGTGGGCACTATTTACAGATGTGGAAGCCCCTGCTGCCCCGGTGGATGTGGGTCTGTACTTACCGCAGGCTTCCGCCCTTCCTTGAGCAGGGTTTTTCTTCTCAGAGGCCCCTCCATGGTGGGCACAGCTGCGGAGTTCCCCAGAGAACAGATGCACGGGCCGGTGGGGCTGAGGAGAGACTACCAGTCAGACATCGCCCTGGAGGAGCTGAGGTCAAGCACCCTCTCACTCACTGGGGACCACAGGTGCCCCACTACCAAGTCCATGACATCCCAGCAGTCCAGACTTAACGGCGCAGAGCAAGGCCCGGAGGGGAGGGCCAGGTGATAACGCACATGAAGGGCCCACCGCCAAGGACTCCCACACCTGTCTCTGGGGCTGCAAAGCTCCAGGCTTGGTGACCAAGTTCCTCATAACCCAGGCCCTGATCAGCACCCCCACCCTAAGGGATGCTTTTGTCACGGCTACAGCCTGGCCGCTCCCTGGGGCTGGCGTGGGCTCCTCCACACCTGAGGAGCTGGTGCCTGTGAAGCCCCAGCTCCAGCAGCCCCTCCTTCTGGTGTTGGCAGGAGCCTCAGAGAGCAGCGAGGAAGGGAAGAGGTGGTGTGGAGGGACAGGAGGGACGCGAGCCCACACGCACCATTCCCCACATCTTTCCCGGGCTCTTCACTCACCCTCTCCCTTGGGGACTCAAGCACCACCTACAGATGAAGGCGTCCAAGGGCATGGCAGCCCACACCTCCCTCCTGAGCTCCGGATCTGCCGGTGCCTCAGGAATGGCACCACCCCCTACTGGCTGCTTCAGCCAGAAAGCGGGGATTTTCTTCCTCTCGGATGCCCCTGCAACCTAATCAATCCCAAGGATGCACTGGGGATCAGGCACTAAATATGTCTGACCATCCATCTTCGCCATCCCACTACACCTCAGGCCACTGGACCTTCCTTCGAGCCACTGCCCAGTGCGCTCCACGGGCCTTCCTGGGTCCACACCGGCCAGTGCCTCCACCCTCCCCCTCTCCTCTCCTCCACCTGCCCACAGCAAGCCCCTTTCATGGCTTCCTGTCGCTTTTAAGATCTGAGCCACCATTCTCACCCCTGCTGGATGATGCATGCTGGATGTGGCTCCAGCTCATCTCATGTCCCTGCCCTCTCTCATTCCTTCCAACACTCCCTTCCCTTCACTCGAATCACCCAGCTCTTCCTGCCTCATAGCCCATGCTGTCCCTTTGCTGGGAACATTCTCATTGCCCCTCCACTTCCAATTATTTGGCGAATTCCTATCATTCTTCCAGTCTCTTCTTCAGGGAGGCCTTCCCTGATCTCCCGAACCAAGTAAGCTCCCCCTCCTCTTCCTGAGTGCCCCTCACCTCCTCTGGGACAGCCAGTGCACCTGGCAGTAGACTCATGTAGGCAAAGGCTGTGTCTGTTTCTTTCGGCAGCCTCTAGCACAGTGCTTGGCATCCAAAAGGCCACATAACAAGCTATGTGTCAAACAAATGAACACATGAACACATGAATACCTGTAGACACAGCTCCGGGTTCTGGGAGAATTCCTAACTGGAACCCGCCAGTTGGGCCCCAGGGTGGCATAGAGACGTCCCCTGCTTCAGAGGAAAAGGGTTAAATTTTAGCAACAGCTTTGAAAGACCAGATGCTCCTGAAGGAGGCAAGAGCACCCCGACAACATAGTCAATTAGCTCAGGAAGTCCCGCAGAGCAACCTCCCTCCCTCCCCAACTCCTCCCCAGCCTCCTCGGCCACACTACAAGCACACCTGGAGCTGCCAGGCCAGTAAACACAGCACCCCTCAGAGTCTCCAAGTCTCCGCGTAATTCTTTCAACTTTTTATTGAGTGTTCACCCTTTTTCCAGTGTCAAGAGCATGATTAAAATCCAGGCACGCCCACTTGCCTCAGCATGGGGCTGAGATGTTTCATAGCAAACACTGTACAGCCCAGATAGTCCACGGCAAGTCCACGTGAAAAGTGCACACAGAATTGTGGGCAACCTTGCATGTTGGGCCTGGGGGTCATTCACCAGGACACAACCGGAGCCTTCTGTTTGCTCTCGACTGGACAGTCTCCTCTGCGGCTCCAGCCAGGCCCCTGCAAACTCGCTCTGTGACCTGCTGCAGCATCCAAGAGTCCATGCTCCAAGCTTGCTCCGTGGGCGGCCCTCTGGCTTTCCTCTCACATGCACTCCCCAGCAGTGAGCCTTTCCAGGGCAACGTGCAGCTTCCTGTTCAGCCTCTTCGCGGGGAGGCACCCTCTTTCTCCTTTAGCCTCTCTGTCTTAGAAGACTCACTTCCCGTATCCACTTGATGTTCCAACCTTCTCCCCACCCTTGAGGCATGGCCTATTCTCTGACCACAGCTCTTCTTGCCCGTTGGCCAGACAACAATGTAATCAACTTAATAAAGTCAGATGAGGCCCAGAGTTCCTTTGTAAGATCCCCTCAGTCCTCCATGGTCAGCCGTTGCTCTGTGACATCAGTACCTGTGGGTAGTGTGGGGCCGCCCTCACACATTGCAGCAGGTACATCGTACCTGCCCAGGGGCCTTTGTCCTCCTCCCAGGAAGGAGCTCTTCTTGATGGCCATCTCGGGTCCACTGTCCAGGGGCCCAATTTCAGGGCTGGTGGGAGTCTGATGGTTAGCTGGGACGGCTGCTCCAGGCCCCCGAGCCTCCTGCCCATCGGCTCCTCCTCTCTGGGTGATGGTATACCATAGCATGTGCTTGGACCCCCAGTCCTCTAACCTAACGGGTGTCAGGGTGGTAATAGGCTGACCCCACCACCACCCATACTGAGCTGTAGCACAGACAAGAGAGGCCCTGGTGTGCTCAACTCCCAGGCCACTGGCCCAATGGCCACCTCCCTCTCAGAAAGAGGGGTGGAGTGCAGCAAGTGAACATGACTCATGCAGATAACCATGATTCTCTCATTTTGGACAAGTCAAACAGTCACCAACTTCACTGTTACCGGCACCACATGCTGGGCACCTCGCAAGTGAGTGCACTAGCACGGCCAGGTCGCTAGCCCATGCAGAAGCAGCACTGCTCAGGGGAACTGGCCACGGCTACCTCCGGGGCTGCTCTTCTTCCAGCCCCGGGGCTTTCTTCTGAGAATCACCGGGGATTTCTTCTGAGCAGGGTCTGACAATGGACTTTCTTGCAGTGAGATCCTTTGTGGCTTTGTCTGCTATCCAGGGATGTTTCCTCCTCACCTGGGCTGGATTCCAGCTCTGAGCTGCTGACTGTTGGGAGTTGAGGATGGAGTCCCCCTTCCCAGAGCAGGGCCCTCTGGCCCCTTTGCCACTTTTCTTCTCGTGAGTCTTTTTCCCCGCTACCTGAGGAGAATGTGATGCCAGTGGACTGTCCGGAATTCCCACAGTACCTGAGACAGGGCATGGTGGCCAGCGTGGCTACCTTCTTCCCATCATTCTCTCCCTTTGCGTGAGACAGTGCGTGGCTTTGTATTTCACAGATGTTTGAAGGAACTGACATCTGTTGATGGAGAGCTTGAAACGAGCATCTTCCAAGCAGGCTAGCCTCGTAAGCAGCCTTTCCTCATGTCCTCCCTCAAGGAGTGAGGAGTGGACTGGCGGGGAGCACAGGGACACCAGGGGTCTCTGGGTGGGCTCTTGACAGATCAAGCAGTCACTAGGTAGTGAGTGCTCACATGCTCTGATGCTCCTGCAACTTCATCGAGTGCACTCGCGCTGCCACCGAAGCTTTGTGTAAAGCACCCTTACCGTCCCCACAATGAGGAAACTGAGGCTCAGTGATGTGAATCTGCTTGACCAAGGCATGAGCCTTGTAAGCTAGGACTTGAACCCAGGACTGTCTGACTCTGCAGCCCAAGTTCCTCACCACACTGTGAGATAAAGCCTTTCAGGATAAGGGAGAGGCGGCAGCATAAACATGGTGGGGTCTGTCATTGGGACTGGACCCACTGTGGGGGCCCTTTCTGGCATTATCCTCTCAGAGGCACCTCTACTTGTGGGTCCCCACCTGCACTCACGCTGCCTGGGATTTGTCAGTGTCTGAGACCGAATGACCACAAGATTCTTAGGCTTGGGGATCTCCCAGAATAGGGCCACCTCCAGGTCTCCTGGTCCCTTGGTGGCCCCAGTGGAGCAGTCTCCTGGCAGTTGCTGCCTGGCACTGAAGAGCAGCTGCCTCTACTCAACTGCACGCCACGTGCCAACTACATGCTTTCACACAAGAGCATGCCCAGCTCTGTGAGAGGGGCCCGGTTCTCACAGTTTTAGATGAGGAAACTGAGGCTCAAGGAGGTGAAGCCACTTGTCCCACCCTGCTGGCCTGTCATTAGAGATAGAGACTCAAGTGTTCACAAAGGGAGGCTCATTTTCTGGTGCGGGTGGAGGGCCTGTGCCGGGGTGGCTGCTCCAGGCTATGGAAGTCAGAGCCTGCTCTCTCTGGAGCCACGGGGAGCGACCCCAGGCCTTGAAGGGCGGCACCAGTGTGACCTTTCTCCAGGCCAGCCTTTAGGAACACAGAGTTAGGGTGGAAGTGGCCAGCCTTCCCTCCAGGTGAGTCCTCCAGAGCTGGAGGAGGACCGTGCTGGGCAGGGCAACTCTGGCTGCCTGGCAGGCCAGCATCAGCATAGAGGAGCTAGGATCTTCAGCCACTGGAACCAGACAACCGAAAGTGTCTGGAAATGTCCCTGCTTTGAGAAAATTTGTTATTTGAATGTTCAGGGCCAGAAAATGCAAAATGATTGGGTGGTGGTATCAGAGGAACCCCAGAAATCATAGTTTTTGTTTGTTTGTTTGTTTGTTTTTTGGTAACTGACATAGGGGCTCATAGCCCAGAACCACAGACACCTTTCCCAGTGTCATTCTGAGAACCTGTGGCTGAACACAGTGTCCTAGGAAGGCCGTTTGACTAAGATCCCTCTCAGGGATCTTAGGTGGAGTCAGAAGGAGGACTGCAACAGGCAATTGAGGCTTGCCCAGACCAGGAGCTTGTGGGAACCTGGGTCTGGGGAAGACATCGACTGGCAACAAAGTAGAACACTTCAGTCCCAAGGGGTGTACAAGGTGATGATGAGCAGGAGGATGGGGTCATGGGATGATGATAATGATGGGACAATGAGATGATGGGATAACGATGATGGTGGTGGTGGTGGTGACAGTAAAAGTGGGAGGATGAAATGAGGATGGTGATGGTGGTAACGGTGGTGGTGGTGATGAGACAATGGGTGCCAGGCAATGTGCTAAGCAGGATTCGCTCAGCATCTCATTTATTCATATAACACTGTGAGGTAGGCACTATTATTATCCCCACCTTATAGATAAAGAACCTGATGCTTGGAGACGTAGAGTCACTTGCCCAAGATCACGACACTGGGAAGAGGCAGAGTAGGTGGTGCTATTGAGGTGGAAGTGGCCAGGGCACTTCCTGAGCCAACAGCATCATGAGAATTCAGACTAGTCAAGCAGGTCTGAAAGGCCATCTTCACTCCATCATTTTCTAGGTACACATTAGGTTGTAGGTATCCTGGGGCTTACATTTCATAAAGCCCTAAGTCCCTGTTTCTGGGCTAGGAGGTTGGAGAGCAACCTCCCCAGAAAATAATTATGTTGAGGCCTTGGTAATCTTGGTCTTAGTAGAAGTAGGATCCCTCCCTGATATGGTTTGGCTGTGTCCCCACCCAAATCTCATCTTGAATTGTAGTTCCCATAATCTCCACGTGTCATGGGAGGGACCCAGTGCGAGGTAACTGAATCATGGGGGTGGTTACCCCCATGCTGCTGTTCTCATGATAGTGAGTGAGTTCTCACAAGATCTGATGGTTTTCTAAGGGGCTCTTCCCCCTTTTGCTCAGCACTTCTCCTTGCTACCACCATATGAAGAAGAACATGTTTGCTTCGCCTTCCACCATGACTGTAAGTTTCCTGAGGCCTCTCCAGCCATGCTGAACTGTGAGTCAATTAAACCTCTTTCCTTTATAAATTACCTAGTCTCGGGTATGTCTTCATTAGCAGCGTGAGAACAGACTAATATACTTTCCCTAATCTTCTGTACACAGAGCCCCAGCCTCAAGTCCACAGAGCCTGGGTAGGAGTGCACATGTGGAAGGGCCCAGGTGATGCTACTGATCAGCAGTGTCCACCTGCGCCTGCGCACCCTGGATGGGAAGCCATCCAATTAGGCCATGGCCTATGCTGGCCACTTTCTGATGCTTCACTCTCATCTTCAGGCAGGAAGCTGCTACCCTGAATTCTGCTGGGCCCTGGGTTGTCCCTTCTAGCAGCAATTTTTGAAGGACATTTGCTTTCTATGGGCCACCCACTCTTCTCTGGGCAATGTCCCTGATTCACTAAGTGGGTCCCTAGGAACCACATTTGTACTGTATGTCCCCATCCTTCTGACAGCTAAGTGGACAGGGCAACACCAGTGATCCAAGCCAGGTATGCCAGATCTTCTCTCCTGGTGATTAGGAACCAGATCTGAGAGGCTGAAAGTGAGGCTCAGTGGCTGGGCGAAACTATCACATGTAAACCTGGGAGGCATCCCAAGTTGCCATGAGGCATCATCCATCTTCCCCTCTGTGCACTGAGAAGTTCAGAAATCTTGTCTGAGAGAGAGTGGGGAGGGGTAAAGCAGATATGCACAGAGAAGGATGGACACAAGATGGAAGGAGCGTCCTGCCCGCTTTCTAGGTGCTGACTCTGGAGGAATTGTAGATATTGGACAGAGAAGCTGTGGGCAGAGATTTCCCAGCTACCCATGAAGCAGCAACAGCTGCCTGGCAGGGCTCGAAAACAGAGTCAAGCAAAAAGCCCTGGCACCTAGAGGCCAGGGGTTCTTTGTGCACTCTTCTCTCTGCAGACTTCTCTCAGTCTGCTGGCTGGAGCCTCAACTGCCAGACTTTAGTGTTTGGAGCTAAGGGAGTAAGGCAAGAGATCACATATCGGAGGGAAACCCAAATCAGAAGCTGGCAAATTTTCTAACTGGGCTGCCACCCAGAGGACATTTGGTGAAGAGAACCCTAGTGATCCCTCGACGGGGGGCCTGGGACCTGAAGAGGCTGCAGGCTCTGAGTCATGCACCAAGCTGGGACAGATGGCCCAGGGCTCAGTGTCTCTGAGTCTCATGCAGGAGAGATAGGCCAACTGTCCAGAGCACTGAAGCCAGGCACCAGGCAGCAGAATGAACCCGAGGACACCAGACTCAGGGGAAGAATGAGAGCCTGGGATCCTGGCCTCAGCCACAGGTGTGGGGGACAGTGAGGTCCTCTGCGGTAGTCACCCTGAGAATGGCCACTGGCATGTCTGCTGCAGCCAAGGGGACCTATCACCTGCGGGATCGCCTCCAGAGCCTGGCCTGCCTCTCCCAAAATACTGCAGAGTTTGGGGCTTGAGAGGCATCCTTGGGACCTGGCAGACCTGGGCATCTACCAGGGTCCTCTGATCTTCTCAAGGAAGGAAACAAGTGTCTTTTAAAACTCAGTTTTTGGGGCAGGAGACTTGGTGCTCTGTCACCATGACTGCATTTCCCTGGTGCCTCCCTAAGGATGTCGGATGATCCCACCAGCTAAAACGAACAGGTAAACCTCACATGGGCAGAAACTGCATCACCCAACTCCCTGAACGCCCTACAGCACCACCCCACAGCACTCTGAGGGGCAACTGTCTGCAGCGACCTCTTAGAGGGGCCCTCCCACAGTCCAGTGTCATCCTGGAGGCCAGCAGGTGCTGGTAGAAATTTGCCATCACTCCAGTCCATCCCTCCCATGATGACTGAACTGCATTTGAGGAAACTTTTCTTCCCCCTACCCAGCCTTAGACCCCTGGGTTGCTTTCTTGGTGGTAAGTAGTACCTATTGAGGGAAATTCATAAAAGTCTCCAACTCAGGCTGGACATAGTGGCTCCTGCCTGTCATCCCAGCACTTTGGAAGTGGGGGTGGCCCCCATCTCTACTGAAAAATGAAAATAAAAAAGCTAGCCAGGTATGGTGGCGTGTACCTGTACCCAGCTACTTGGGAGGCAGAGACAGCAGGATCACTTGAGCCTGGGAGATCAAGGCTGCAGTGAGCTATGACAGTGCCACTGCACTCCAGCCTGGAAAACAGAGTGAGACTCTGTCTAAAACAAAAAAAAAAGTCCCTAAATCAGTTCCTCAGATGTGGTAGCTCCACCTATGTGTTAGATCTTCACTGTGCCTAGCCTCATCACAGGGCTGAGGAATGGAGGCTCAGAGGTACTGAGAGCTGCCCAAGGACCTGGGAGGATCAGTGGTCCTAACTTCAGGTCCCCCCGCATGGCTGGCTGTGCCTTTCACTGTGGAGGTCAACGGAGAACTCCAGAGAAGAGGACCTGCCATGGGGCCCAGCCTGTATGAGACTCTAACAGACACCAAGCCCTGGGCCATCTGTCCCAGCCTGGTGCATGATTCACAGGCCACAGCCTCTTCAGGTCCCAGGTCCTGCCTCGAGGGCTCTCTAGGGTCCTCTTCACTAAATGTCCTGGGCTGCTGCTTAACCATCCCCTCCTCCAGAAGCCACCTCTGAGCCTGGTGCCTCATGCAGGTCGCCCTGTTGGATCCTCCCACTGCATCCTGCACAACTGCTTCCCTGACAGGACTTATTTAAGACTCTGAGCTCTGACCCATTCCCTCACCTCCCCCAGAGCAGGAAGAGGAATGGGCTTTGCTTCAGAGAGGGTTGTGCACTGTGCCCCCCAACCCTGCCCCAGCCTCACTTCCCTCACCCACTACAGGGGCCTCCTCTCACCCTGGGCCTTCCAAGGACCCCCCCATCCCCTACGCTTCCCACTACCTGTATTACAGCCTGTGCCTCACACGAGAAGGCCCTTCCACAGAGACAGGTGATTCCGACCAGGGGAGATGGTGGCCAAGGGTTTCGTAATCAACTTTGTGGCACTTTCATACTTCAATTGTTAAAAACTGATCAGTAATCATTTCTGATTATGTTTTCTTTTATACAGTTAAATGTTAATTGTTTTTCTGGGTAGAAAAGAAACATTTACACACTGTGGAAAATCTGAAGAATACAGGGAAAATAAACTCACTCAATAAACCTGGAGACCAGAAATACTCAGGATGAGTGAGACTCTATTTTCATATATACATACATGATCGCCGCTACAATCCACTTTGTTCATCTTTTTAAAAACACCTCATTTAAAATCCTTTAACTCGTAGGCTGATATTCTTGTTTTCATCTTAGTGCCAACACTTGCTTTCCAAATCAGGCAGAAAAAGGCATCTGTTATCCATTACTGCTGCTCCTGACTAAACGCTCCCTTCCCTGTTGGTTTCCAAGGGGCCCGAGGTTGGTTGGAGATCATCCTGACAAGCCCACAGCCCTCCTCTCCAGGTAACTGAATGCCCTGCGGCCGCTGCCCTGCGGCCGCCTCCCCACCTCCCTGGGAGAGCAGAGTGTGCTGGGGGCCCCCCTTCTCTCCTCGCCCCTACTCTCCCCGGCATGAGGTGAGGAAGACTGCTGACCAGGGACACTAGGTGGAGTCACAGAGAAGAGCAGGCCCACCCCTGCCCATAGCTCTCTGGTTCCTGAGGGCCCTGGCCCAGGATCACCACCCTGTCCTCATTCTGGGCCCCAAGGGTAGGGGAGGGTCTTTAAGGCAGCCTGGGGGCTCAGAAGTGACTAACAAACACCTCCCTGCATCTCACTGCCCCTCCCCGACCCCACAGGCCCTGTGTCCTTGCCAAGGCTGACATGGGTGAGGAGACAGGAGGATGAAGAGCAGAAGAGGGTCCCCTTTGCTCTCTGCACCCTTGTTCCACAGTCCAGTAGGAACAGACCCATTCCCACCGAGGGCAGTACAGCAGCTCCGCAGGCCTCAGTGGGCTCCAGCTCCCGTGTGGAAGCTCTTTATGGCCGAACACTATGGGGACCTACTGGGCATCTGCAGCCTGAACTCTGGCTACTACCCAAAGAGGAGACATCTATGTGCATAAACTCAGGGAAGGCAAATTCACCAGACGGGCATGCAGAGTCTCACCCCTGGCCAGACAATAGAAACTCCTGCCTGCCTGCTGACAGTGGCATTCTTAGTGATGAAGGTGTGCCCTCAACCCACCAGAGGTGTGTGTGGTGTGGAGGAACTGGCCTGGGGTCTTCCTGGCTTTCGTCTTGGCATCTGGCTCTATTTCTCTTCCTAGCCTGGGCAGGCTTATTACCAGGGTTGAGGGGCAGGGGGCTGGTGGCAATCTTCAATAGAAGAGTGTGGCCCCTGCGCTTCAGAGCTGTGGGGCGAAATGCTGTCTCCCCCACCACGGCCAAGCCTCCCCCTCTCCTCTCTCACACCTCACTTCTCTGCGTGGCCCAGGCCTCCCCTGCACCCTTGGCTCTGGCTCCACGGCCTCTGTCTGCTCGAGCGGTGCGGCCTGCAGAGAAAGCTGTGTTCTTACGGCATCTGCAGGGAACAGCTCGTGGGGTCTCCGAGGAGGGGAAGCTCTTTCAGGGCAGGTGCTGGCCTCTGGGCCCAGGCAGGCTGACACTCAGTCTTCTGAGGGAGAGGGAGTCTGCTCCCCATTAGAGTAGGAGGATTTGGCCTGGGTGAGAGCTGGGAGTGGAGGGAGGACCTGGAGGAGCTAAGCATCGGGCCCATGAAGGTCAGGAATAGAGAAGACCCAGGAAAGAGCATGAAGGTGAGTAACTGAAAGAAGAGAGCCACAGGCAATGAAGATTTTCAAGCTGCAAGAGGTCAATCTTCCCCTCCGACTCTCCTGTGGACTCTCCAGGAAGGTCCAGAATGCTCCTTTGCTTTTGCGAGTGTGGATTATTTCAGGGAATGTAAGAAGCAGTGCAGGATGGAGATGGAGGCCGGTGGCCAAGGGGCAACTGGCATCTGCTCATCAGGACTGCACGGGGCCTGGGTCTTGACTGGGGGAGACATCGCAGGCCCACTGGCATCCTCCAAAGCAGGTGGCCCCCTGCTCCCCTCAGCAAGGTGGGGCTGGGCCAAAAGCCATCCTCAGAGGATGAGAAACAGGACATCCTCCCTGCAGGGATGTTTCAAGACTGCTGGAGGCAGAGCCGGGCATCTGCGCCAGCCATGAGACCAGTGCTTGGAAGAGATCCCAAAATCACCTATTCTAGACATTCAGATGGATAGTGATCTAAATGCTATGAAATGCTGTGGCCTACAGTGATCATGACAGCATTGCAAACAGCATCATCTCCCTGGGACAAGGAATTCTTTCTCACCACCCTCCTTCCTAGAAGCTCTAATCTCAGTCATGAGTACTTAGCAGGAACTATATCTGCTACACCTTCAGTAACTCGTGTGGTGTCTGGCAGGGAGCAGCTGCTTAACAGCTACTGAATGAATAAGTGAGTGAATGAAGGAATAAGCGAGTGAAAGAATGAATCAATCAATGAACAACAGGTCCAGGTCTAGCTGCTATTCAGGATCTGTGCCTCTGTTTGCCATTTGATGTCTTCTCATTGGCCTGAGGCCAGGGGAGGTGCTGGCCTGCCTGTAAGCTATCTCCCTCAGGGTGTCCCCAGGAGTCCCCTGACTGATGCTGAGAGTTCTAGAGTCTGCCCTTGTGCCTGTCCAGTTCTCCTCCCCACTGCCGGGGTGGCTCCCAGGGTGAAAGCTATTGGCCCATTTGCCTGAGCAACCCAGATGGCCGGGGAGGGGAAAGAGAGAGCCTCTGAGGGCTGGCATATCGCCACTCCCCCACCAACCCCCATCTTGGGTTTCACAGGCAGACAGACTGACTGACCAATATGGGACAGTCCCCGTATCTGGCCAAGCTGTGGAGCAGTGATGAAGAGGTGGCTCAGTGGTCAGGAGGCTGTTGGGTGTGGCTCAGCTCTGTCCATACCAGAGTGTGGAGCAAGTAAGTCACTTTACCTCTCTGAGCCTTGTTTTCCACATGTATAAAACGGGGACACTATGAATGGCTGTTGTGCAGGAGTGCTGAGGATTTGGTACATCCATGCACGCAAAGCACCAGGACAGTGCTTGGCACAGGCCATGCTCAACCAAGAGCACTGACCAGCAGGCAGCCCGTCTGCCCTGGGAGGAGTTGCTAGGCAGCACTTATCGTCTCTCTGGCCAATTTATGATTATGAAGACTAAGGAGAGAAGCTTCAGCGCCAGAGGAGGAGTGTGTGTGTGTGCGTGTATGCATATGAGTGTTTATGCACACAAATGTGTGAGAGGGTACATGCATGCATGCATATGTACGTGTGAGTGTATACACCCACGTGTGACAGTGTGGTTATATGAATGTATACACAAGCACATGTGTGAGCGTGTGCCTGTGTACGTGACACTGCAAGCATAGGTGAGTTCAAGTGTACAGTGTGTGCATGGGTATATGTGTGTGTAGGGCATGTGTGTATATGTGAGTGTGCATGTGTACGTGTGTGTGTGTGCCCAGGGCCCTGGATACTGGTGCAAACCTGCCTTTCCTGGACATTCTGTGTCACTGGTCACTGGATGTTTCCCGCCTCCTCTCAAACCCTGAGTCGCCACGATGCCCTTCACCCCTGGTGGTGCCATGGCTGTGGGGGTACCCCCTTCACAGCATTGCCTGCCTTCCTAGAGATCACCGGGCGCCTGGCACAGGAAAACACTAGTACGTGGAGCTGTGCGATGGGAATTCCTGAGCAGGAGGCCTGGGGCCCTGGCAGACAGGCTCTCCCAGGGAGCCAAACCCTGGGCCAAGGGATCCTCGAGGGAGGCAGAGGGATCCTCGAGGGAGGCAGAGGGATCCTCGAGGGAGGCAGAGGGATCCTCGAGGGAGGCAGAGGCTATGGCCACTTCCCTGTCACCAGTGCCTAGCAGGGTGGGGGTCAATAAATACCGAAGGCCTGAGGCCATTAGGGTGCAATATTCTCAGACCCCACCAGGCGGAGCCACATGCCCATCTCAAGAACAGGCCACTTCTTAGGCTTTTGGTTTCAAGAACCCACACTTCGGACCAAATCTACTCACAGGCCTCCTGCAGCTGTGCTGGAGGAAGAGCCTCCTGGATCAGGGGAGGCATGGGGCTGCTCAGAGCATGGGGGCTGGGGCCCCAGCAACCATCCTGCTCTTCCATCCTCCCTCCTACTCAGCCCTGCCCCAGCCAGTCTGCTGAAGGAGCCACAGAGCAGCCTCATGGGGTGGGTGGGGCAGGGCCCGTCCCTGCCCGGGGCCTGTCTTCGGCTCCCTCAGCCCTGAGCACCGCCCCTGGGAGGGAGGCCATGCTGAGGCCACACTCACCTTTCCAGCCCTGAAGACATCTCTTCACTAAACTCTGAGCTCTCACTACTGCCTGGAAAAGGAACACAGGTCAATGAGCACAACGGCTTCACAGAAGAGGGGCCTGTTCTCCTGGGTCACCGAGCCCAGGCCCCCTGAGCTCACAGAAGTGCCACAGAAACTGCTTCCTGACATTGGGAGCCTCAACGTACTCGAGTTTTTGCTGTGAGTTCTAACTCTGCTCTGGGAGGGTCAAAGAACCACTGTTCCAGGCAGGTCCTCTGCTACCTTCCCACTGCCCCCGGGGGCCACAGCTAACTGCCCACTGGCCCGCTGGGGTCTGGGTCCTCAGGCTTTCTTCTGGGCCTGACCTGGCTCCACCACTGCCTCCCTTCTGGCCCAAGTGAAGCCAGGACTAGAACAGGCCTCACCTGGTGAGGCCAAATGAGCACCTCTTCCTCTTCCCCAAGGGTCAGGACTTGACTAGACGTTGGTCACAGTGCAGCTACCTGGCATTAGACAGAAGCCTCAAGGGAGAGCCCCTGCAGACCCCTGGCCAGTGGGGTCACAGAGAGGGGCTGGGTCCCACAGCTTTGCTCCCTATTCCTCCTTCAGGCCTGTCCCTCTGGGCTGAATGGGCGACCCTGCTTCTCCCGGGCTCTCTAAGCCCTCTTGGAGGAGAGATTTTCTCCTCTCACCCAAGCATCCATGCGCAATGCTTCTGGACTGTCTCTCAGACCTCAGAGGCTCTGAGGTTCAGTGCTCTTTGCCTGAAAGAGCACCAAGGCTGAGCACTGGGAAAGGGGGAGGGAGGAGATCCCAGGCCCCTTGGCATCTGTCTGAGTAACAGCCCTCATCACAGAGGGGAGGACCAGCCCAGCTCCCAACAGGGCACATGCACAAATGGCCGCTTCATCAGGGCTTTTGGCCTCAAACAGAAAAACAGTTTCAATTCCCCAACTTGAGGAGCCGGGAACCAAACAACCTTATGATCTCCTGTCTGGACGTTGGACAGCTCTGCATCTGACTCCGTTTTCTATCTCAGGAATAGCAAGGCCTGGACTCAGGCGCAGCTCACAAAGTTTTCTGGATATAAAACAGCTGTTTTGCCGCCCAGCTGAGTGCTGTTGGGCCGGCATTTCCCAGAGGGCATTCCTCAGAACCCAGGTCCCATTGGACACTCCAAGGAAGAGGGTCCCATGACCAAAGAATGTGGACACTGTGGACTCTGATGCCTTCTTAGAGGACTCCCACCCACCAGCACAGCTGCGTCTCTGGGAAGAAACCTGCACACCTTTGCTCAACCCAGCCTTTCCCCATGCATGACCTGGAACTCTTCTCCCAAGGCACACCTCGTAACCCCGGACACATCGTCCTGAGCTGTTGTATAACCCTGACTGGCTCCAAACAGGATGACCTCCTCTGAGGACAGAGGCAGACACAGAACATGCTTGTCAGACTTCCAGGGCGTGGGAGACAGCGACCCCTGGACTGATATTGCCCATGCCCTCTGAGACTGACTTGCTTTCACAGAGACATGGGAGTGATTCCTGCCTGTTTCTCCTGTCCCCTCCCGCCCCCCACCCCCATGCTCTGGGCCCTCTGCTCTGCAGTCCTCACAAGATCAACTCCCAGCTCGGCAACTGGTCTAACCACCAGCCATGGGAGGACTCCCTGCTAAGGGAAGCCGACAGACACACAGACACACAGACCACAGAGGCACAGGCACACCGAAAGGCAACAGGCATCAGAGCACACTGGCCTGACGGCAGTAATAACAGGGCGGTGCCCACCTGTCCTCAGCTGACCTGGACACTGCAGGGGTACGGACCTACAACCAGAGCTCAACACCAGCCTGAGTCCTAATGTCAAGTTCTTCTTATCCCAGCCTCAGCAGCACAATTTCTGTCTCTTCTGTTGCCATAAGCACCACGTCTGGCTGACACTCAGTGATGCAATTTCATCCCTGAATATCAATTTTTCATCCTCCCTCCTTCTAGCTTCCCATTGTGAAGACAAGTACGCAGTGAGAACCCAGTGGCCACCCAGCTACCCTCCCTGGCTGCCTCTCCTGCTTTGCCCTGCAGGGCCCTGTGGGTCATGATCCCCCAGGGACAGAAGCCTGACTGTGGTCCAGTCTGGTCTGGGGAGCTGCCAGCCAATGGCAGCTGGTCTCAGGCATGTGTTTGGCTGCTTTTTCTACCTGCCTGCCATGCCACCAGCAGGATGACGACAGATCCAGGGCTCTTCATGAAGCCCACGAGGCTAGGAGACAAGGGTTTCCCTGGGTCTGGGCGATTCCTGCAGGCAGCCACCTCTGCAGGGAGGTGAGGGGCCACTGGGTCCCCAAGAATGATAGCGCCACTGGGCATGGCACAGTGACACAGAGACAGACACGGAGCACACGCTGGGCCTACAGCCCACCAGCCTATCATGTGCAGGCCGGAGACGCTTACCTAGGGAGAGTCCATTGGTGACAGCAGAGGAGGAGGTCAGAGCCAGGCCCCTTCGGGGGCTGCGGGACTCTAGGACACTGTCGTCCAGTAGGTGCCTTGCTTTCTCCGATGGGAATGTCGCACTTTTACTCTCAACTACACTCAACTGACACATCATACTGGAAAATGGAAAGGAAGAAAGAAGGCAAAGCTCCTTATCTATGGAGTGACAGTGGTTACACCTGCCTGGGGCCGGAGCAGATGGTGCAGCTGCAGGAAAAAGGCCTCCACCCAGAGCCACGGTACAGCCCAGGCTCTGTCCTCTCTCATGCCATGACCTTGGGCAAGTCACATCCTTTCTCTGAGCCTCAGTTTCTCCATCCATCCAATGGGGATAACGATACTTGCCCTGCCCATCCCCCTGGTGGCTATGAGGCTCGAGTGAGCAGATGTGCTCGTGAGTGATGAGGCTGCACAGGTGAGCAGCAGTGGGCCTGTGGCCAGGATGTCTGCTCCTGGAGTCACATGCACCGGGTCCAGACCCTTGCTCTGATGTTTTTCCACCATTGCAACGAACTTCACCTTGTTGAACCTCATTAGACTCGTTCTCAAAATATGTAATAATAGCACCCACCTCAGAGGCCTGCATGGGGACTCAGGGAGATCATGCTTGACAGGCATATGCAGAGTGTCTAGCACAGAGGGCTGCTTAACACTCAAAGAGCAACTCTTTCTCCTCCAGCCTTGGAGCTCCTCCAGGGCCTGCCTAGGCTGGGCTGAGCTTGTGCCTTGGAAGTGGTAGGTAGGTAGGTAGGTAGGAAAGAAGGAAGGAGGAAGGGAGGGAGGGAGGGAAGGAAGAAGGGAGAAAAGGAAGGGAGGGAAGGAAGGAAGGAAGGAAGGGACTCATCTGTTCGGAAGCCTGTGCCTAATGCCCTGGAGACACAGGCACAGTTGCCCTAGCCATGCCGAGGGCTCACGCATGTCCCCCAGCTATGGGCCTCACAGGACTGATGAGCCAGCAGGTTCACTGCTCTGTAGGCAGATGCCATGAGAAACTGAACACTGCCCTGGATGACAGTCACTGGTGTCTACTGGACTTTGGGGTTTTCCATGAGTCATTAACTGGGCTTGGGCAAATTCTCTGGAATGCCACTGCTACTTCCCTGCCCTTCCCTGCACCCTTCCTCCATCAGCTGCTGAGCCTGAGACACCTGTCGGTGGTGTGGAGTCAGTGCTGCCACAGTGCCCCTCAGCTCCTCCCAAGCTCACACCAGCCTCAGGAAAGCGCACTGGCCAGGATTCCAAGAGCTCTCATCAGCAACTCCCAGAACAGGGCAGGGGAGGGACCCAGCCAGCAAGTGATTCCCTGCACTGTGCCCAGGCCCATGTGCAGGACGGTCTGAAGCCCGGCGGGAGGGCTTGCTCAGTCACCCACTTGTTGCCTAGGCTGTGGCTCTTCCTGTGTCTGGGGACTGGAGGTGTGGGGAGGCTGCCAGCAACAGATGTGTCAGGACAGGTGGGCCTCCGGCTGAACCTCGCAGAACCGGAGCCAGCAGAGGGACCTGCAAACAGAGCAGAGAGAGCAACAACGGGGGTTATGATGGGAGGGTGAGGGGCTGCACAGGCTGGGTTGAGGTGTGGAGGTGGGCCCCGGGTTTGAAGTACAGCAACTGGCCCAGCTGTCACAGGTGGGGCAAGGTTCATATGAGCTCTGTAGCTTCCTACTCATTAGATATTGATCCTTCACTCTCCATATAGTACTTGACTCCCAAGGCTGACAACCAACTCTCAGGATGGTCAATGTCCTGCTGTCCTGGCCAAAGGGAGGGCACCATGGATGGACATGGGGATAGTCTTGGCCCTGCTTCACCATGGCATGACTTATCTAAGGACATCCAGCTGGTGAATGACAGAGGTGAGACTTCAAAGTATGTCTTCTAGGCCGGGTGTGGTGGCTCACGCCTGTAATCCCAGCAATTTGGGAGGCCGAGGCAGGTGGATCACCTGAGGTCAGGTGTTCGAAACCAGCCTGGCCAACATGGTGAAACCCCATCTCTACTAAAAATACAAAAATCCACCGGGTGTGGTGGCGCATGCCTGTAATCCCAGCTACTCGGGAGGCTGAGGCAGAAGAATCGCTTGAACCCGGGAGGTGGAAGTTGCAGTGAGCCAAGATTGTGCCACTGCACTCCAGCCTGGGCAACAGAGTGAGACTCCGTCCCCAAAAAAAAGTGTGTCTTCTAACACCAAGTCCATTCCCTTACCCCTGAGCTCTTACACAGCCACTTTCTGGTCTCTATGTACTCATTAAACAAAAAGGGGCAAGAGCACAGCTAGACAGATAGGGTTCAGATCTTAGGTCTTTCATTTGCTACCTGGGACCATGGATAGGTTACTGAACATATCCCTTGAGCTGCAGTTTCCTCATCTGAAAAGTGGGAATAATTCAACTCACCTTGCAGGTGGTCAGAAGTCCATGAGGTAATGTACGCAGACTTTCATAGTTAGCCCTCATACTTAATTTATTATGGTAATTATTACCATGTCCTTCTCAACCCAGTCATGGGGCTAACAGGTCACCAGAGCCAGGGAGTTAGGGGCGCAAACCTCACTGTGCACAATACACAGACACTGAGGCCAAATCCTTCATGCTGGCCATGTCTTCAGCCATGTCTGGAGGAATGTGACCCTGGCCACTGTGGCACTCTTTAGTTTCTGTGGCTTGGGAAGGGAGGTCTTTAAGGGAGGTGACTCCAGAGGCTCGCCTAGCTCTGGCTATCTGGGTCAGGCCCTGGGGGTGGGAAAGAGTGACTCTACAAAGGGGCTCAGCTGCTTCCTGCAGAGAACACCAAATGCAGAGCAGATCAAGGGGGTGGCTGCCTGGCCATGGCTGGAGAACTTTCTTGGGGGGACCCATAAGGCCCAAGCCCACCCAGACCTCCAGGTCCTCCAACACAAGGCCCTACAGACCCACCAGTGGCCTACAGGTTCCCATGTCCTCCAGCCTGCTTGGGTCATCTTAATGTCCAAAATAATGACCCACACCCCCAGCCCGTATACTGTGGGAAGGCTGGCCCATCTGGCATTTTGGCAGATTCAGGAGGCAAGGGCACTTGCATCACCTCCAGTTCTGAGCTCCTGTGCTGGCTGAGTGCTCACTTCCCATGAGTTGTCTTCTCTGCTGTCCCCCCTCCTTCCCAACCCCACTCTGCACAGGCACCTTCTCCTTCATCCGCCCCCACCAATCCCTTTATTAAGCCTTAGCCAACTTTCTTATTCTCAATAACATTCCAAAATGTCACTTCTTTCCTCAGTGCCCCCGGGCAACTCCAAGACCCCACCCCTTTCAAATGCTGCCACTCTTTACTTCAGTGACAACACTGGATGTCAGGTGGGATCTCTCTCACAGCCACCCTTGCAGTGGCCATGCACACCTCCATTCACACTGGCCTTCCCACCAGGCCGGGGCCCTTCTCTTCTCTCAGGTCCTACCCGTCTCCTCTGATAATTCCCTGCCTCACTTTCCCCTTCTCTCTCTGGCTCCTTCCCCCAGCCTACAGGCAAGCTCTAGTCTCTCTTTCCCTGTAAGCCAAGGTCCTTCACTGGATCTTTTCCCAGCAAATGGAGGTCTGTGCTCCTCCAGTCACTCAGCTCTGACTTCTGTACCTAATGACACATCCACTGACCTCCTTCTTGCCAAATCAATGAAGGCTCGTCAGCCTCCTCCCAGAGCCCTTGGCACCTGGTGCTCGGGGTCACTCCTTCTCAAAATGCCCTCCTTCCTTGGCAGGCACTATGCCACACTCTCCTGCTTCTCCCTGTGCCTCTTCAATCACTGTCACCACCTCTTCCGTGAGATCCTTCTCTTCCTCTAACACCCCTCATGCTGGAGTTGTCCACACAGGACTCCCTCTTTGGCTCCTGTTTTTTCTTTGATTGGATAGCTGATGACTCTTAAATCTTGACTACAGTCCTCTTTTCTTTTCTTTTTTTTTGACACAGGGTCTGGCCCTGTCACCCAGGATGGAGCGCAGTGATGCTATGATGGCTCGCTGCAGCCTCGACCTCCCCGGCTCACCAGCTCAAGCAACCCTGTCAGCTCAGCCTCCTGAGTAGCTGGGATCACAGGAGGGTGCCACCAGGCCTGGCCCAGACCTCTTTTCTGAGCCTGAGACCCATACATCCACCTCTTGGCACCATCCCTCCATCTGCCCTTTCCTAAGATGCATCAAGTGCAGCACAGCTAAGGCTAAGCCTGCAACTCCTTCTCCTGTTTCCAGCCTTGGCTGGAGGCACTGTGGGTTGCCCAGTCGCCTGGCCTGGAATGGGAGCCCACCCTCGGCTCCTGCCACACGGCAACTTGCCTCTTCTCTCCTCCCTTTCCCTCCTCACTTGCTGCACAGTCATCATGGCCTCCAGACTCTGCACAGCCCCTCCCTGCCCACCTCTCTTGTCACTGACTGGTCTGGGCCCCCACATTTTATTGTCTTCCTGCCTCCAGTCTGATCTTCTAAAATCTAACCCAAGCACAGCTTCATAAGTATTTGAAAAACGTGAAGCTAACCATGTCACCGCCTTGCTTGAAATCATCCATGACATGGTGTTCAAAGTTCTTCCTGACCTGGCCATTTAAGCCACTCTTAAAATCCCAGTGGAGGCCGGGCGCCGTGGCTCACGCCTCTAATCCCAGCACTTTGAGAGGCCGAGGCGGGCAGATCACAAGGTCAGGAGATCAAGACCATCCTGGCTGACACGGTGAAACCCCGTCTCTACTAAAAATACAAAAAATTAGCCGGGCGTGGTGGCAGGTGCCTGTAGTCCCAGCTACTCGGGAGGCTGAGGCAGGAGAATGGCGTGAACCTGGGAGGCAGAGCTTGCAGTGAGCCGAGATCGTGCCACTGCACTCCAGCCTGGGTGACAGAGTGAGACTCCATCTCAAAAAAAAAAAAAAACAAAAAAAAACCCAAAAAACAAAAACAAAAAAACCTGATGGAAAAGAAAAAAGACAGAGTAGCCAAGACTATTCTGAAGAAAAACAGTGCAAGACTTGCCCTACTGGATGGCAGAACAAAACCTAAAGCAGTAGTATTCAAAGAGTGTGGTATTGGGCATGGATGCAGACACAGTTCAGTGAATACAAAGTGAGAGCCCGACATGCTTCCTGATGGTGGCGGCATTACCAGTCAGTGGGGAAAGGAGGAACTTTTCAGGATGAGGGGCAAAACCACTGGGTTCCATGTGGAAAAAGACAAAATTAGAGTCCTGCCTTATGTTAAGCAAGTGGATTAATGTCACAAATGTGAAAAGCAAAACTACTGGGAAAAAAATAGGAGACAATCATTATAATCTTGGGGAAAGGGAAGAAAGAAAAAACACAAATCCTAAAGGAAGAGATGAATAAATTTGACAACATTTAAATGTCTGTACCAAAACAACCGACCAAAAACGACATCAAAATCAGTGTTAAAAGGCGAATCACAGTCTGGGAGAAGGTATGTGTCACCCCTAAACCAACACAGGATTAGCTTTCAGATACACAGAGAACTTCAAATATCTGTAAGAAAGGACAAACCACACAGAGAGAACAAGCAAAAGATATGAAAGGCAAATTCAAGGAACAGAGTCTCCAAATGGCCAGTAACAATAAGGAAAGACGCTTAACCCCACTGGTAATAATGGAAATGCAAATGAGAGTAAAAGGAGATATCTTTTTATTACAACAGATGGTAAAAAAATAAAAAATTTAGCCTGACAATGTATTGCATTGGCAGAAGGGGAGGAACAGGAACTCTAGTTTGGGGCTTATATGAAGGTGAAATATTTGGAAAGCAATGAGCAGTGCTGAATAAAGGAAGATGCCCTGCCTTTTATACCTGGTGATTCTAATTGAGGTTTTTACTCTAGAGAAACTCCTGCATATATACACGAGGAGCCACATACACAAGGATGCTCAAGGTAGCATTGTGCGTCATTGCAAAAAAGCAGAAACAAGCTACATGCCAATCAGTAGGGAAATAGATAAATGAGCTGTGGTTTATTTACAACAAATTCTACAAAGAGAAGAAACTGCATCTACAGGTATCAATACAGATAAATCGTAAAAACTTATGTTTCAGCCTGGGCAACACAGTGAAACCCCGTCTCTAAAAAAAAATACAAAACCTAGTCCAGTACGGTGGTGTGCACCTGCAGTCCCAGCTACTCAGGAGGCTGAGGTGGGAGGACTGCTCGAACCCAGGAGGTGGAGGCTGCAGTAAGCTGATATCATGCCACTGCACTCCAGCCTGGGCAACTGAGACCCTGTCTCAAAAAACAAACAAACAAACAAACAAAACCCAAAACTTATGTTAAGTGGAGAGAGTAAGTTGCAAAAGAATGTTTATGGCATTATGCCACTTAGGTCAAATTTTTACAAACACACAAAACAACAGTATATATGTTTACACACAAGTACATATGCAGTAAAACGCAAAACCTGCACAAGAATAATGTAAATCAGCACAGCAGTAACTGTAGGGAGGAAAGGGAAATGAGGCAGGATGGGGGTGAGAGGCCTTCCCTCTGTGTGTAGTATTAATACTTAAAGAAATATGTGGTGAACCTGGCAAAATGTTAACTGCTATTAAATACGGATAGTGAGGACAATAGGTATTCTCTATGCATTAACTATTTCATTATTTAAAGTGAGACTACTTTAAAAATAGTGGCCACCTACTCTGTGCCAGGTGCTGTGCTGGAATCTCCACCTGCCCCTCCAGATTTGTCCTCCACCCTTCTCCACCCTGTGCCACGGACCAGGGGGCTGCATATGGGGCTAGGTCAGTAGGCTCCCTGGCCCGCTCTGGCCCCTCGCTGGGTTAGGCTGACGGGGAGCTGCCTCCTTTGGCTCTCTGCCTGTGGGGTCCCTCCTGAGAGGTGGCAGTCTATTTCTAACCCTGGGGTACTGAGCTGTCCTTTGGGGTCCCCACACTCTGCCCACATCTTTGTAAATAGCCCCATTCTGAAACTCTCCTCCAACCACCCAACTTGTATCATTTGTGTCTGCCTTGACCCTGTAGTGCCTTCACATTTAATCCACACAGCACTCCTCTGAGGTCTGTATTATTAGCTTCAACTTGCAAGTAGAGTAGTAGAAGCTCAGTGGGTAGGCACCAAGCATGCGTCCAGAACCTGGCTGGCGACGGGGTTAGGTTCAAGTCTAGGCCTTGTGGGTGCATGGAGCAGACACCTGGGATCACCTGCCCAGCACCTTCTCAGGAAGCACGTTCTCCTCCCACTGATGGAGACAGGGGAGGCAATGCCAGTCCAAAGCGGCCTCGCCTCTGGCCCCAGCTGATGGGTCTACGAGTGGATACACTCCCCAGGACTGTTGGATTTGAGCCTAGAAAGCATTTGAGGACAATCTCTGTTTGATGAATGAGAAATAAAACCTAGATACTAAGGATGGCCATGTTTCCCTGCTTGTGGTGAGGGAATCTGATCTGTGGTGACAGAAAAAGAAAGTAACCTCACTGAGTGAGGCCACAAAGCAAGGTGGAAGAGAGTTCTGTTTCAGCTGTTCCTGACACCCAGTGTGTCCCTGGCCTGGCTGTTCAGCCCTCCCTGGATTCTGTGAGCCAATGGGGTTTTTTTTTTTTTTTTTTTTTTTTTTTTTTGAGACAGTCTTGCTCTGTCGCCCAGGCTGGAGTGCAGTGGTGCCATCTTGGCTCACTGCAACCTTCACCTCCTGCATTCAGGTGATTCTCATGCCTTAACCTCCCAAGCAGCTGGGATTATAGGCGTACGCCACAATGCCTGGCTACATTTTTTTTTTTTTTTTTAGTAGAGATGGGGTTTCTTAGTCTTTAGTACAGATGGGGTTTTGCGACCATGTTGGCCAGGCTGGTCTCAAGCTCCTGGCCTCAAGTGATCCACCGATCTCAGGCTCCCAAAGTGCTGGAATTGCAGGCATGAGCCACTGCAACCAGCCCAATGGATCCTCTTTTGGTTGAAGTCAGCCAGTCTGTCTTTGTTGCTACAGTTCAAAGAACCTTAACAAAGAGACCCCACCACCCGACACTGCCTCTTGGCACAGCTGCCTAGATAAACCAGCCTGGTGGCAGGAGAGAGGAGAGGCTCTCTGAGGCCCCAGTTCCTGCTTTCAGATGGCATCTCAAGAACAGGATCTGACAGACCAATCCACCGTAATGGAACTGGAGAGGCATGACTCTAAAGGAAAGGTTTGTGGCTTAGACTTCACAAACCCAGGAGAGGTGTATAGAGGACTGAAAGTGCAGCTAAGCTTTTGTATCTGTGCATTTTCCCCGCAAGGGGTTCCATGTGGTCATCAGCTTCTTTGAGGCTCGGGCGGATCACGAGGTCAGGAGTTTGAGACCAGCCTGGCCAATATGGTGAAACCCTGTCTCTACTAAAAAACACAAAAAATTAGCCGGGTGTGGTAGCAGGCACCTATAGTCCCAGCTACTCAGGAGGCTGAGGCAGGAGAATCACTTGAACCCAGGAGGCAGAGGTTGCAGTGAGCCTAGATCGCGCCACTGCACTCCAGCCTGAGCAACAGAGTGAGACTCCGTCTAAAAAAAAAAAAAAAAAAAAAAAAGGCTCTAATTCTTAACCAAAGAATATATCAGAACCATCTGGAGAGAGTGTTAAAAACGGAGTTTCTTGGGCCACCCCTGGAGGTTGATTCTGTGGGCCACAGGTGGGTCTGGGCATTGCAGACCTGGAGCCAAAGCTCTCCAGGTGATTCTGCTGTGCACCCCGGGGGAAGAAACTCTGCTCAAAGCGCTGCAACACAGGCAGGCTCCGTTCCAAAGGAAACATCTCGTGCAGTTGTTCCAGAAAGGAAAACGAAGAATGAAAACCATCCTGCTTTGTTTTGGTTTTGCACATATTGCTCAAGAAACAAATCCATGTAGAGGGTGGATCTTGCCTTGTTTATCAGCAGCCATGCGCGAGGGATTACAGTCTCACTGCCTGAGTCACTCTGGCTCCCACCCTGACTCAGAAAAGTGTTTTCTAAAGGTCAAATTGCATTGCTCCTCCCTTGCGGTTTGGAGTGGAACCCAAGGCTACCTGGTGTTGTGGTAGTAATAATAATGATGATAATTATAATCTAATGTAATGCGCCCAGCGCTATGCTCTGTACCTGTGCCACAAGACTTGAGGTGGAAACTCTTAGTAGCCCCATTTTACAGATCAGAAAGTGGGGCTTACAGAGCTACTGCACGCTGGAGGCAGGACTTGATCCCAGGTGTGCCGCACTCTTGTGGTGGCTGGGGAGGAAGGCTAGCTGTTCAGAGGTCAGGCGCTGGTCAGAACATGAGGAAGGAGGAACACGGTGGCCATATCTGAAGTGATCTAGTAAACAGGAGACATTTCCTCCAGGAAGTCTGTAGTGGGTAAGACCCAGTTACTACCCTTGAGGAAAGGAAGGTGATGGGAACTAGCATCTATTATGCACTGTGTGCCAGACTTGAGTAAACACTTCCAAGTCCTGTTCCTTGACTCCTATGAGGTTAGTAACTTTTATCATCGCCATTTTAAAGGAAGGCTCAGAGGCACTCTGCAGTCACACAGCTGGAGGGGTGCAGTGAGACGCGGAGGCTCCAAGTCTCTTCTGGTAACTTCTTCGGCCCTTCCTGCTCACTCCTGCCTGACTCCTTTTCCTGTCTGTCTCCATGTGCTTCCTGCCTCTAGCTCCGATTCCCATGCCCAGTCTCTCCCAAACCCACTGGACTTGCCCTTGGTCTCTTCCATTCAATTCTTGACTCTCCCTCCAGGACTAGGCCTGGATCTGCCACCTCTTCTTTCGGCTGTGGATGGCCCTGGGAGACACGCCTGGCCTCAGATGCCCCTTGACCCAACTGGAGGAAGGGTGGGGGGCCCAGCAGAAAAGCCTGCAGCCTCCCTGGGCACCGTTTCAAAGCTGATGCTGCTCTCCCTGCTCTGGGTCTCAGCTCCTCCCCTCTTCTGCATTGTTGACCAACAGCCTGGGTCTGACGCGGAAGCAGAAGAATTCCCATTCAACTGGGCCCCAGGGATGGGGGGCCTCTCTGCCAGTAAGTGACACCCTCTGCTACTGAAAGGCCTCATGTTCCTGCCCTGCCAAGCCTGGGGTGGCCACCACGTGACAGCACCAGGGACACGTGTCTTCTGGGACCGCTTGTGAGCTGGGTGGCTGGCAAGTTTGTTTCTCCATGTCCCGCAGCAGGGGCAAGGGTGTGGGTGGTCATAATGCACCAGGGCTCTGGGCGGGCTGAGCAGAGTGCAGTTCCTGCTGCCAGCCCCGATATGGCACGGACAGCTGGAAAAACTGACCATGTGGCTTGACTATCTCAGAGGATTGCTCCATTTTTCCTCAGCATAATTTTTCCATGAATAATCTTTAAAGCTCTTTAAGTGGCTGTTTCTTTAGCAGTTTTATTGGAACATATGAGAACTGACAGTCTCTGTGGGGAACGAGATATCATGTTGAAAAAAAATCTGGTTTTCATTACACTTCTTTCAAGAAAGCAACAGGCTGCCCAACAGACCTCTCATTGATTGGAAGAGAAATGAGCCCAGAGCCTCCTAACAACAGCCTTGGAGTGGACAGGATGATGAACAGTGATGCCAAAGACTCAGGATCTGAAGGCAGACAGGCCTGGTCCACCACCTGTGTCTGCCATTTGCAGGATGAGTGACCTTGAGTAGGTCACCTCACACCTCTGAACCTGAATTCTACATCTGCAAAACAGGAATGATGACCCTGACTGACAGCCTCCCTGTGAGGAGTAAGCCATACAGCATCCCTCCCTCCTTCACGTGACAAACTTTTCCTGAGTCCTGACCTCGGGGGCAGGAGCTGGAGATACTACACTGGATTAGAAAGATGAGTTTCCAGTCAAGTGTGGGAGAGAGAAGTAGCCAGGTAATTACACCAGGAGAGACATCTACTTTTACATGAGAATAATAATAATAAATACGGTAAAGGCAACAACTACACCAGTAGTATAACTACAACAATAATGATGGTAATAATGACAGCAGCTAACATTTACTGAGCATCTACAAGGTGCCAGGAACTGTGATAAATGCTTTGTACACCTGATCTTATTTAAGCCTCACATTAACACTGCCATGCAAATACTGTTGCTATCTCACTTTTAGGATGTAGAACCTGACAAGGGAAGAGTTCAGGAACTTGCCCAGTTGAGCAGCCAGTGAACGGGACAGCCCTGAGCACGGTGCACGTGAGAACACAGAGGGGACCCCTGGAGGGCCTGATGTCCAGGTGGGTGCAAGAGCTCCAGCAGGAGCAGTGATGGATGCAGACAGAACAGCATGTGCACAGACTCGGGTTGACAGAGAGCAAGGCCTTTGAAGAAGCCTGGAGTTCAACGAGGGGAAGGTGTAGAGATTTTTAGGAAGGGGCACTGATGCATTCAGATGTGTACCCTAGAAAGTTTGCTTTGGTTGGAGAGCAACCAGATGTGGCCAAGACTTGACACCACAGGCTGGGGGTATGGAGGGAGGGGGACTTGGGGTGACCGTCGGTGGAGTGGTATCCCTGGTACTGTCAGGTTCTGGGGACACGATGAGAAGTTCATTTTGGGATTGATATCTGGAGGCCACTGGGTAGATGGGCATAGTGCTCATGGCTGCGGAGGAAGACATGTGTTTGGGATGGGAAGCCTCGTTCCCACGGATTTCCGGCAGCATCCAAGTGGCCTGCCTGGGACAGCACTGCCCTATTTAAGCAGCCTGGCAGCCCTGCTGCCGCTCACAGGGGCACTTTCCAAGTATCGCACATCAGAAATTAATGGGAGGCAGCTGTGGCAGAGGGGAAACTACTCAGCTTGGAGTCACAAGACTTGGGTTCCAGTCCAGCCTCTGCCCCACGCTGAGCTGGGAGCTCACAGTCCAGTCTCATTCTTTGGAGCCTGCGTTTTCTCACTGGAGGAGGGGGCTTGACAACTGTGCAACCGGGTGCTCTTGCAGGTACCACTCTGAGCCTCTGGTGCACACGGTGACTTTCACCTAATGTGAAGGGGGCTCAGTGTCCTCAGTGTTTCTCCTGCCCAGGCTGAGAATCCGGTTCCCAAGGACTCAGGCCCTCTCCAGGTCTGCCAGACCCTGTGGCTCTCCAGGACACTGGGGCCCCTCTGCACAGAAAGTCTGTGTTGAAACCCTTCTCTGGCCAGGTTTCACAGTGGAGCCTGGGAGCTGGTCACTTTCACATTCACACACATTGTTTCTCATACATGCAGCTCTCACGAGTTCTCGCTGTCAGCCAAGAGCTGTCTCACACATCATTTAGAGGGCCTGGTTCATTTCCTTTTTTTTTTTTTTCCTGAGACAAGGTCTTGCTCTGTCACCCAAGCTGGAGCGCGGTGGCGCGATCACGGCTCACTGTAGCCTCCCCCTCCTGGGATCAAGCGATCTCGCCTAAGCCCTGAGGAGCTGGGGCTGTAGGCACGCACCACCATGCCCAGATCATTTATATACTTTTGTAGAGATGGGGTTTTGCCATGTTGCCCAGGCTGGTCTTGAACTCCTGGGCTCAAGTGATCCTCCTGCTTCGGCTTCCCAAAGTGCTGGGATTACAGGTGAGAGCCACTGCACCTGGTTGACCTTGATCATTTCTTAGATTCCTAGGCCACGGGGAGCGCGGAGCAGCAGATGCTGGGGGAGCCGCTGGTACTCGTGAGGAGCTGGGCCACATCCAGGCAGGGTGTTGGCCAGAGGTGGGTTTGAGTCTTGCCTCTTCTGCTTGACCTTGATGTGACAGGCTGCTGAGATGGGAGACTCAAGAACAAAGGAGATGTGAAATCCCAGAGTAATGGGCCACAACTGGCCTCCTATCCCTGAGGTCCTCATGGAGGGCCCCTCCCACCCATCCATTCCGAAAATATAAACGGGCAGAGAGAGTATGTTTCCAGAGAGAGGAGCACATGGAGAGAGGGCCTACAGCTTGCCCCTGGCTGTTCTCTTTTTCTACTCACACATAGTCAGGCGGAGTCTCCACAGACCCCCTGCGGAGGTTGAACTATGTCTCTAGCAGTCAGGAGACCCAGGGGAGCTACTGTGCCTTACTCAGGCCTGATGAGGCCAAACGGCTGTGCCAGAAGACAGCGGTGGCCACAGGCAGGTCTGTTGTGCTCACAGGTCTGTTAGAATGAGGACAGGTACGGCCTCCTGTGGACCGAGGTGGCCCATGTGAGGAAAGCTGGCAGAGTTGAGGGCTGGAGGGGACCCAAACATCAGGAAGCTGGCAGTGGGCACCAGACTTTGCGGGGGGGCATGGAAGGGGCTGCAGGGGTCCCCAAAATAGGTTTGCATCTGCCTGGGTCAAGGGACTTGTGGAATCTCTGAAATACCCACGGAAGTGCCTGGGAGAAGAAGCATCAGCGATATCGGCTGCCAGCTAGAAGGCCCTGTGAAATGGTTTGCCCCTCCAAATGTCATGTTGAAATGTGATTCCCAGTGTTGGAGGCGAGGCCTGGTGGGGTGACTGGGTCGGGGGCGGATCCTTCATGAATGGCTTAGCACCATCCCCCTGGTGATGAGTGAGTTCTCACTCAGTTCACGGGAGGTCTGGTTGTTTAAAAGTCTGGGAACTTGCCTCTCCTCACCCCTGAATCTCTTGCTTCTGCTCTCACCATGTGACATGCTTGTTCATCCTTCACCTTCTGTAAGCTTCTTGAGGCCCTCACCAGAAGCCAAGCAGATGTTGGTGCCATGCTTGTAAAGCTTGCAGAACTGGGAGCCAATTAAACCTCTTTTTAAAATAAATTACTCAGCCTCAGGTATTTATTTATGGTGATGCAAGAATGGCCTAACACAGAAAATAGGTACTAGGAGTGGGGTATTTTCTGTATTAGTACATTTGCATTACTATAAAGGGATACCTGAGGCTGGATAATTTATAAAGAAAAGATGTTTAGGCTGGGCATGGTGACTCACGCCTGTAATCCCAGGACTTTGGGAGGCCAAGGTGGGCAGATCACCTGAGGTCAGGAGTTCAAGAGCAGCCTGGCCAACATAGTGAAACCCATCTCTACTAAAAATACAAAAATTTGCTGGGCATGGTGGCGGGCGACTGTAATCCCAGCTACTCGGGAGGCTGAGGCAGGAGAATCACTTGAAGTCAGGAGACAGAGGCTGCAGTGAGCCGAGATCACATCACTGCACTCCAGCCTGGGTGACAGAGCGAGACTCCGTCAAAAAAAAAAAAAAAGGAAGGAAGGAAGGGAGGAAGGAAGGGAGGAAGGAAGGGAGGGAGGGAGGGAGGGAGGGAGGGAGGAAGGAAGGAAGGAAGGGAGGAAGGAAGGAAGGAAGGCAGGAAGGAAGGAAGGAAGGTAGGTAGGTAGGCTTAACTGGCTCATGGTTCTACAGGCTGTAAGGAATTATGCTGCCAGCATCTGCTTCTAGTGATGGCCTCAGGAAGCTAAGGTACAAGTTACCACGCCTTGCTAATTTTTTTTTTTTTTTTTAAACAGATGGGGTTTTGCCATATTGCTCAGGCCGGTCTCAAACTCTACTCTGGGCTCAAGCCATCTGCCTGCCTCAGCCTCTCAAAGTTCCAGGATTACAGGCATGAACCACCACGCCTGGCCCCTTAAACATGAGATCTGCAGGGGAAACATACTCTCGCTGCCCGTTTATATTTTCAGAATGGATGGGCGGGAGGGGCCCTCCTTGAGGAGCTCCAGGGATAGGAGGCCAGTTGTGGCCCATTATTCTGGGATTTCACATCTCCTTTGTTCTTGAGTCTCCCATCTCAGCAGCCTTGACATCAAGGTCAAGCAGAAGAGGCAAGACTCAAACCTACCTCTGGCCAACTCCTTGCCTGGATGTGGCTCATATGACCCTATGCTCCAATTACGACTGTATCCTCTCCCCCAGTTGCCACAGGCCAAAGAGATGGAGAAAGGCCTAGGGAGGGAGAAGGGCCAAACACTCCTCCTCTCTTGCCACAAGCAGCCAGGCCTGAAGCACCCCAACTAGGTTGTAACAAGGAGATTAGAGTTAATGTTAGATCAGGTTTGGAGTTCTGATTCTTACATGGAAGTTGCCTTCTGAGGACCAACTGGGGACAATGTGTGACTCAAAAGTGACTGTAGGAAAGTCAAGGACATGCCAATGTAATGCCTACTTGCACTATACGGATATATGGAGCTGTGGGGACAGAGCCTCAGAGGCTGTCCAGAGCCTTGGGCTTGGCAACTGGTTCTGCCACTTCCTCAATGCATGAGGCTGCGCGAGCACCTGCATCTTCACCTGTAGAATGGGGATGACATTGGCCCCACCTCACAGTGTCTGTGTCAGGGTCACTGAGTGAGCACATGACAAGCACTTACGATGGTGCTTGGCAGAGAGTACAGGCTCAAAGCAGCTTAGCTGCTATGACTGGTATTACGTAACTCTTGGAGCCTCTGTTTCCCTCCTGTGGAACAGCTGAGGTGCTGGCTTTAAAACCTGTCCACAAAGTCTTTGATGCTGCTCCCATTCAGTGGTAGGGTCTACGTCCCTCTCCTTGGACCTGCAGGCTTTCGTGACTGCCCTGAGCAGCAGAGTGTGGCAGCAGTAAGGCTGCGTGACTTCTGAGGCTGGCTCATAAGGGCTCTGTGATGCAGGTTCTACCCTGCTCTCCTTAGCCATTTGCTCTGGGTGAAAGCCAGCTGCCCTGCAGGAGGCTGCAATACTGAGGCTGCCATGCTGTCAGGAGGCCCAGGCCACAGTGGGGGGCCACAGGTAAGTGTTCTGCGCCCCCCGCTTGTAGCTCAAGCCCCATCTGGCAGCAAGCACTGAGCATGTGAGTGAAGATGGCTCCAGGTGACTCCAGCTCCAGCCGGAGCCCTGTTCAGCTTCCTGACCGACAGAGTCTATGCATGTAATAAAATGGTTGTTTCATGCCCTTAGGTTCTGGGGTGGCTCGTGAGTGACAGCAGTACTGGTATGCTGGTGAGTGCCTCAGCAGGAGCTCCCTCTGTCCCCCTACCAACTCCCCGATGTCTGGACGGCACCAGAGCCCGCCTGGGAGGCCACGAGCTAACACTCTCAAGAGGTAAGTGTATGCCAGGGGCTGGACTAAGGGGACTTCCCCAGAGACCCTGTGAAGTATGTCTGTATGAAGATTCCTATTCCTATTTCTCCAATAGGAAAACAGGGGGATCAAACCAATGACCCAAGGGCCTACAGCTAAGAACTGCTGGAGCCAGGCTCTGAACTGAGCTCTGCCTGACTCCAGAGGTGGTTTCTACCACCAGGCAATACAACAGGGAGACACGCAGGTGTGTCAGAGAGCAGTCCTCACAGTGCGAGCACAGAAACCAGAGGCCAAGGCTGAAGATTTTCCTGGACTCGCGGTGCTGCCCAGGAATCTTCTGAGAAAACCTGTCAGTTGGTAAAGCCACGTGGAGGCGGGGCTAACAAAATCTGGAAATGTCTTCACCAGTTCCAAAGTACACACAAACATTACTTGCCCTCTCTGGGGGTCAACGTTCTTTATGATTTTTTTCTCTCCAGGAAAATATTAGTTCATTTATAGAAACTAAACATTACATGTGGAGGGAAAATGGAAAACGTGGCATTCTTGGCCTTTTTTCTCCACAGACACAGAAACTGAGAAGGTTTCTCCATTTCCTTTCTCACAGCCTATTTGTTGGTGTGGAACTGCCTGTGAAGTCATTCTGCAGGGGTGGAAAGTGGGGGCCAGCTCTCTGTGGGCAACAGGGACCATCCCAGAGACAAAGGGCAGCCTCAGCCCACAGACCACTTCGGACTTGAATCAAGGCCTCAAAGGGCGAGACCTGGGCCACTGTCAATGTGAGGGCAGGTAGGCTGGGTAGAGGGGTAGAGGCGTGGGCGCTGCCTAGAAGAGGGCCAGAGAGACCGCCCGGCACATTGGTCTTGCTCCCACTGCCTCCTTTCAGCTCCTCAGTGTACCCATCCTTGCCCCTGGCAGCTTTTGCTGCCTGGTTCCCCGACTAAAATGTGAGCTTTGTGGGGAAGGTTCTTGCCTTGCTGGGCACCTGGCTCACAGCAAGTCCTTGGCCTGGAAGTCTTGGGTGAATGAATGAATGAACATGTCTTAGGGCCTCTCCTTTGCAGGTGTGGGGGATGTGCCTACTGGAAAGGGCACCGAGCTGAAGCCTAAACCCCCTCCTGAGGAGCCAGGGAAGCCTGCGTTCCTCCCATTCCCGGGACTGCAAGAGGCACATTCCTGTCCCTGAGTCTGGTCAGGCTCCTGCCACGCAGCTCAGTCTGGCTGCCAGGTCCAGAAAGGCCTCCCTGGAGCTGCCCCTCTGGCCCCACCCTTCCCAGGACCCCAGGCCACCCCACAGCTGCAGCAGCACCCACTCTCTGTCTTCTGAGGCTGCTAGTGGGAAGCTGGGACCCCCGAGTGTGTCTGAAACCTTCCAGGCACTCCTCGACCCTCTAGTGATCAATGAAAACCTTCACATCCTGCTTCCAGGGCTGAAGCCAGGGATTTGGAAAATTGGTGGAAAACACTCCTATGAGCTGGGGCTTGCTCTGCTGTGGAAAACTGCCAGCATCAGCACTTCTCCCAAGGCTGTGCCGAGTCAGCAGTCAGCCCACTCTGGAGCTGCCTCTGAGGACCAGGTGCCTACAGGACCCTGTAAGGAGCTTGAAGAGTTGTGGCTGACGGAGGGATTTCTGTCCTGGGCTCTAGGAATTCTAGACTGGGCCCTTCCTCAAGGAGCTTTCAGTCTGGCGGAGCAGACAGACATGGGCAAATAAGCCCACAACTAACTGTGCCATCACTGCAGAAGGAAGTGCCACGGAGGAGCATGAGGGCCAGTTGCAGGAAGGAGCCAGGGCCAGCATGTGCCTGTAAAAGCCAGATAGTAAATAGTTCACGCTCTGCAGGCCACAGGGTCTTTGTCCCAAGCACTCAACTCTGCCACTGCTGCATGAAAACAGCCACAGGCGATATGTCAACCAAAGAGGGGTGGTTGTGCCCATATGAAAACAGAGGGTGGATCTGTCCCACAGTTTGCCACAGCCTGGCTGTTAGACGGCCTGACCTGATTGGGGGTGGGGGTGATAGTGGGGAGAAGGCTTCCCCGAGGCAGTGATATTTAGCTAAAAGCTGCAGGCTGAGGCAATGATGGAGGCAGAATCACAATATGACAATTATGATAATCACATCACCATGATCAAGTTCCACCTAACACGTGTGTTCTATGTTGCGCACTGTGCTAATAACAACACTACCCTGTGAAGGAGGAAGATTTTATGCCCACTTTACAGATAGAGACACTGAGGCTTGGCAGTATGCTGAGTAGTCTGTTCACACAATTCAGCTGCATTTTTTGCCCTGCCCACTTGCCACTTCTGTTCGGGGGAGGCTGACCCCTGAGATGCATCTCCTGGACCCCTTGCCCCCAGCTTTCTATTGGATTTGGCCAATGAAAGGCTCTGGTGGCAGACTGAGGGCTGGAGGAAAGGGAGGCCAGGGATTTTTCTCTGCTCGCTCCTGCTTCCCCCTCCCTGCCCACAGACCCTGCACAGCCAATCATCCTCCAGAACTCAGCCATCCCTGGGATTGGTAACACTTCTTCCCCATGCCCTTTAGCCTAGGGCTCCACCCTCCCCAGGACCCTGGGCCGGCCCATGGGTGCCTCGCCATGCTTTATTGGTTCTGTTCATTAAAGTCTCTTCATGTGAACCATCTGGGGTCCATTCTGTCCCCTGCCAGGGCTCTGATGCTGGAGGTTGGCTGGCTTGCTGGTTTCTGGTCTCACATGGCTAATAAACAACAGAGCCAAGTAGAGGTGTGGGTGGATTGTGGGAAAGGAGGCTGTACCTGAGGAGGCTGGGCCAGGGCTGGCTCCTAGCTGCCCAGCTGACTTCCAGGACAGTCAGGGGTCAAAGGAGGCCAGGAAATGCAGTGCCTCCTTTCCTGCCCCAGGGACCAGTGAGTGACCCCATTCTTGAGGCCCCCAATTAGCACTTTTAGTTTTCTAAGCCTGGCTCCAGGTCTGCAACCTCCTGTTCTTCTCCCTACCCCTAGCAGCGGGAGCCAGTGTTGCTCAGCGCAGACCTGGGCTGGGGGCTAGGGCTGAGGCTGAGGCTGAGGCTGAGGCTGAGGCTGAGGCAGGGCCCTGGGCTCTTCCTCAGGGAGGAGATAGTGGGGCAGATGGTGGTGAAATGCAGGGACCAGCTGGGTCACATAGATGCCTGGAGGGGAAGAGGAAGCCTCTGTCGCCATCGCCCTGGCAGGAAGCAGCATGCAGGCGTGTTGAATGGCTGGTGCCAGGGAGAGCCAGGCTGGCAGATGAGGGCTTGGGCTGGAGGTGAAGGGTGGAGGCACCAGGGAGGAGGAGAGCCCTCTGAGGCTCAGTCGTGAGGCTGCAGCAACAGGATCTCCTCCACACTTGGGCTAGTGTATACCAGGGGCCCACCCAGAGCTGCAGCCTGGCTCTTCATCCACCCATCTATCCACCCACCCACCCACTCACCCATCCATCCCTCTCCTCCAAAAACCCTACGAAAATTGAGCATCTACAAAGGGCAGGCATAATGCCAGGTGCTAAAGATCCAACAAGGAATGAGTCGGGCCCAGTGACCAGACAGAGAATAATGACAAGTTGTGGTGAGTGCCATAAAGAAGCCAAGAGCTGAAATAAAGGCCACCCTGAGCCCAACAGGATGAGCAGGAGCAGACCACAAAAACAAGGGGGAGAATGTCTAAGGCTTGAGCGAGGGGCCTGGGGAGGAGAACTTCACAGAGGCCTTGCTACTCTCAGGCAGAGGTGAGGCTAGGGTGTGGCCTGTGGATGGACAGAGCCACTAGGGAAAGGCAGAGTTGGCTCACACCAAGGCGAACACCATCCTGTGCCTGACCCTGGGCTCTCCCACCTCTCCCTGCTCAGTGGCTCCAGCATGGAATCAGGCAGCAGGAAGGGGCACCGGGAGATGGGTATTCCAGAGCTGTCTGAAGGACAGCAAGTGTGGCATGGAGACTTCTTGGCATTTAAAGAAGTCCAGGGATGTGGCTCATCCTGTGAAGGCTATTGAACTGAAGAGGCTGCAAAGGCCAAACAGGCCTCTTATTCACACTAATTTGGAGGGGACTCGGAAGGACAGACCACCACTTTCATTTTGCTCCAGAATTCTGGCACTATCTCCCGATGCAATAGGCTAGTCTTTGCTAGCATTCCTTCTGTAGCTCTTAACAACTGCTGTCTCCTACAGTCTTCTGATAGGAACCCTGCCCTGCTCCCTCCTCGTCCCCCACAGGTCAGTTGTAGGTGACTGCGCACCTAAAAGGAGCAATGCTGACCGAGGGGGAAGGTGTTCTAGAATGGCAGAAATGACAAAGTAGAGACAAGACCAGCACTAGGAGCTTTCCTTCTGGCCACCTTTGCTGGGGGTCACCTGCCACATATGGAAGGCAATGGATTTGGAAGACTGCAAGAGATATTTTAATACTGGGCTTATGGAAACCCTGTGAAAATCAAGCTTCTGCCAGGACTGTCTTGAGGTATAGACAATAGCATTTCCGGAGACCCCGAGAATCAACCAGCATGTCTCTCTAAGATATCAGAGGCCCCCAGGGGTGCTGGAGGCAGGGTCTGGCTTGTCCAATGCAGCCAGGAGAGGCTGGAAAAGGCAAGCAGCCCGGAGTCCCCCCTGGGAATCAGGGCAGAGCCTTACTGGGTGGGGCTCATGAGAGGCTGCCACACTGGCCCTATGGGCTCTGTGGTCCTGTGTCCAGCAGGAGCTGTTACAGAGGTTGGCCTGGCACCAGAGAGTGGGGAGAGTGGCTTGAGCAGGTCAACGGGCTAGGGGAGGTGTGGCACCACGTAGCAGCTTGTAGCAGCCACCCCCTTACAAACAGGGCACATCAGACTCTGAGCCGAGTGCCTTCCAAATAGTATTTTGTTTTTGACATTCCAACGTTCCTGGGAGGAAGGTTTCATCATCCCATTTTATAGGATAAAAAAAAAAAAAAAAAAAAAAAAGGAGGCCCAAAGGGGTTAAGTCACTTGTCCAAGACTGCAGTGGCCTAGAACCCAGGGTGGTATGACCTAGAGCGCAAACCAGGGGGAGGAAGTGCTGTTGGGTTCCCCTTGACCCCCCACGCCCCCGACCTCTCCCTGGACAGCAGTGGAGATCAGCTCCTGTCGTTGAGAGTCAGTTGGAATATGAGTAAAAAGTAACCATTAAATAATAACGATGAAGCAGCCAACACTGAGCACACTTTCACAATGTCAGTGTGAGCAGAGCACTTTACAGGCAGGCATGAGCTTACTCAGGCATCACAACAACCCGAGAAGGTAAGTCGTCATATTATCTTCATTCTGTGGATGAGGCCACTGAAGATTACAGGTAAAGTGACAAAGCCAGGAAACAGCGGAGCTCGGGCTTGACTGCAAAGCCTGGGCTCAAATCACTAGGGGACAGTGTATGTGTGTGTGTTTCACAAGTCTGATGAGCCACCTGCATCTGGTGGCACCAGATACCCTGGGCATCCTCCGCACCCCTCCAGGGCACATAAACCCAAGCCTGGGCAGCAGCCCCGCTAAGGGTCTGGAGAGCCTGGAGAAGATGCTGGGGCTTTCTCTACCTTGTGTGTGCTCCCAACTTGGGGCTCTGATCCTGCCTCTCTTGGGGCTGTTCAGGCCCAGGCTCTAACACTCAGGCTCTTCCAGGGAGCCCCGGCACAGAGGGGAACCACAGAAGTCCCGCATGATCAGGAGCCTGGGCAGGCTGGTGCAGGAGGGCTGTGAACAGGGATAGCTGAGTCTGCTAAGCTGCAAACTTGATTTGCCCTTGGCCTCCCCGGTCAAGGCCAACTCTGGCAGCCACAATTAGGCTATTAAGTGGGTTTGCTCCCACTCGAGGTAGCTACGATACCTGCAAGATCTTCCTTGGAAGAGACTAGTCTTGGAGAGCTGCTTCCTGGTTCGATTCTGAGCGACAGTCTGAAAACAAAGATTTTCATAAGATCAGATGGGCTCTGGTTTACCACACAGGAACCTGTTTGGGGCTGGGAAAAGCTACTATAGTCACAGAAGCCAGGAATACTGTGAGATCTGCTCCAGATCACAGTCACTTCCCTCTGAGGTCTCCGGGGGTTTCCACAGCCAAGAAACAATGGTTAAGAAAGACAAAGTGAAAAGGAGTTGAGTGTGGCCTACTCTCTACTGAGCACAGATGTGTTCACTCTGAACCAGTACATTTTCTAGATGAGGAAACTGAGGAGTGGTGAGGTTAAGCAGCTTCCCCAAATTCATAGGATTAGCAAGTGGCAGAGTAGGGGATCAAACCCAGGAATGTGTGACCCTGAACCAGAGTTAGTTTTTTCTTTCTTTTCTTTTTTTTTCTTTCTTTCTTTCTCTTTCTTTCTCTTTCTTTCTTTCTCTCTCTCTCTTTTTCTTTCTTTCTTTTCTCTCTCTCTCTCTGTCTTTCTTTCTTTCTTTTGATGGAGTCTTGCTCTGTCGCCAGGCTGGAATGCAGTGATTCTCCTGCCTCAGCCTCCCAAGTAGCTGGCTGGGAATACAGGCATGCGTCCCCAACCCCAGCTAATTTTTGTATTCTTAGTAGAGACGGGGTTCCACCATGTTGGCCAGGATGGTCTCAATCTCTTGACCTTATGATCTGCCCGCCTCGGCCTCCCCTTTTTTGAGACAGAGTCTCGCTCTGTCGCCCAAGCTACAGTGCAGTGGCAAGATCTCGCCTCACTGCACCCTCTGCCTCCCAGGTTCAAGCGATTCTCATACCTCAGCCTCCCAAGTAGGTGGGATTACAGGCGTGTGCCACCATGCCTGGCTAATTTTTGTATTTTTAGTAGAGGTGGGGTTTCACCGTGTTGCCCAGGTTGGTCTCGAACTCCTGAGCTCAAGTGACCAGCCCGCTTTGGCCTCCCAAAGTGCTGGGATTACAGGCATGAGCCACCGCACGTGGCCTCTCAACTGGAGTGTTTAATGATTACACTGCACTCCCCATGATCAGATGCCCTTAGAGAGGCACAAGGCAACGGACATGCTATGAGGACTGGCCCTTCAATATATCTTTTTGAAGCACCGAATAGGAACTTCTGGGTGAAAATGACAGAGTGAGACTAGATGCCAGACTCTCCCTCTCCTCCCAAAACCAACAAAAAATTATAAAAGCTTACAAGTAAAAGAACTCACCAGGTGCAACTAAACAAGGGAAGGGGCATAATTTAAAGCCATGAACTTCAAAGAATTAGAGTTAAGGAAAGAAAAAGAGGATTCTGAAACTGGACCAAGAGTTGCATCATGGCATGGCTCCTGTCAAGCCCAATGAGGGGTCTCACTGGGTCTGAGTGGGGGTCCTTATCGCTCCCTCTGCTGAATGGCACCAGCTGCTAAGGAACTAGGTGGAGAGCACGGCAGCTCCTCTGATGGAAATGAAGGCTCCACGGGGCATGATGTGAAACCTGAGGGTACCTCTTTCTGGAATGGGATACAGCTCCCCAACGAGGTGAAGGAAACTCCAACATAGGCCTTTTGCCAGAACACACATATGTGAAACAGACTGCTTGCTTACTGCCTCCACAGAGCCTGAGCCTTCTACTCCCACAGGCTACAGAAGAGGAGAAAGACTAAAACCCCTGGACCTCCCAGCTAGCAGTAAGGGTTTCCCCCCTCACACACATGGGAGGAGGGCCAGACATCTCTCCCACCCTCGGATCACACCCATGGAACATCCAGACAGAGCTTCTCAAATGGGAGCCAGAAGAAAAGAAATGGTATGGCAATACAGCCAACATCCTCTTGCAAAAGAAGGAAAGAGAACAGGTGAGCATTGCCCAATGGCCCAACCGAGAAGGCAGCCCCAGGAGCAGACGAAATCCCCTCAAGTGCTTAGAGCAGTGGAACAACTTATTACAAACACAAGTAAAACAAAACCCGAAAAATGAGATGCTAAAACAAAGGAATGAGAAGAAAAAAGGAGATTGAAGACCTAGGGGGAACAAATCCAGGACTGAAATAAGAGAGTGCTGAATGAATACCTAAGTAGAAATAGACAATCCCAGTTACAGCTGATGAACAAGATGGAGGTTGCCGCTGTTAGCAAGAAGCGAATGGCTATGACGGGCAGAGAGCATCCAACACGGACGGATTCCTGGAATCCCTGGAAGAGAGAAGCCACGAAATGGCACAGAAGTAGTCAAAGATATAAACAAAAGGAATTCTTCTGCCATGAAGAAAGATGACGACACCATGGTCTGGGGAAATCTGGTACAGAACCCTCTACTCTGAGGCATTCTCTTATGAAGCTTTTGAACTTTAAGGAATTCTTCACCTACCAGGCAGACAGGACCCTTAACAAGAGGAAAAAAAAAATTAGATGGGCTCATTCTCTACAGCAACACCCAAAGCCCAGAGGCAACGGCACACGGCCTGCAGTGCTGAGGGAGAGAAACAAAGGAGGGCAGCCAGCAAGGCCGGGTCTAGTCCAACACAGACATTTCTCTGAGGGAATGCAGGGCATGCGGGCCCTGTGAGCACTTTTATTTTTCTGGTGGAGCAGTAGGTAGGGGGTCCTACTTCCTGATGAAACGCAGCTAAATTAAGGGACTGATTAAAATAAAGACTCCAGGAATGGAAAAACTATGGAGAAACAACAGGTGGTAAAAACTGAATCTGTTTAAAAATACTAAACAGTAAGAATTATGATTCCTGAACATGCTTATGTTATAGACTTGGACTATGTGGTAATAATAACACAACTAACAAAAAGTTGGAAGCTGGTGAAGTGGAGGTTAAGGAAGGGGAGAGGGCTAATATTCTCATCTTTCATAACCAGAGTTGGCTGACACTGTTCACAATGGAAACCTAGTTAAAATAAAACTTATTGACTCAAGCCTCCTAATGTTTTTCCTGATCTCTTTTATTATTATTATTTTTTTTGAGATGGAGTCTCACTGTCACCTAGGCTGGAGTGCAGTGGCGCAATCTCAGCTCACTGCAACCTCTGCCTCCCAGGTTCAAGTGATTCTCTTGCCTCAGCCTCCCGAGTAGGTAGGACTACAGGCGTGCGCCACCACGCCAGACTAATTTTTGTATTTTTAGTAGAGACGGGGCTCACCATGTTGGTCAGGCTGTTCTTGAACTCCTGACTTCAGGTGATCCGCCCTCCTTGGCCTTCCAAAGTGCTGGGCTTACAGGCGTGAACAGGCATGAGCCACTGTGCCCGGCCCTCTTTTATTAATTTTAGAAGGCTCTTTTGGAAAATAATCTCTCTTTTGGTAAATAAATATTTAAAGAGCAGCATTTTTTTTTCACATGAAAGTTTTTTTCTAGTTAAATTAAAATGAAATTAAAGTTAGTATTTTAAATTAAAAATAGCCAGTGTAGTAGAATCCAATTTTAATATTCTATCCTTCTATCCATCCATCTATCCATCCTTCCCTACATATATACACATTTTCTATGCATAGAAAAATGTCCAAAAGTATGTTCACTTAATGCTAATGGTCATGCTTTCTAGGTAATGGGAAATTGGGTAATTTTTCTTAAATAAAATAAAATAGAATAAAGGCTGTGGGGAATAAAGCACTGGTTGGACCTCTTGGCATAACATCTCCAAAGCAGATGGGGGAGAATGTCAGCAATGCAATGCCACTAAGGTAATAACTAAGCCATTGCATCCTTGTGGGTGAGGAGCCAGCCTCCAGATGTCAGTTGGGCCATGGAGTGTGGGTCCTCAAGCAGAATCACAGGCTCTGCCCATCTCTTGCCCCTTGGGGCCAGGACCTCCCTGAGGAGGAACTCCCTAGATGGTCTGAGGGCCGGGGGTGAGAATGCAGGCCTCCTCCCTGGGTTTGTCCACTTTGACCACAACAAAGAGCTAGGCTGACTGTTGTTTAGCATCAGGTGCTGAGGCGTTACTCCTTCAAAGTAGAAGGAGTAATTACTCATGATTTGCAGTTTGTCCAAAGATTATCTCATGGTCAGAAGTACTTATAGGCCATTTTTCTGTCTAAAGCATATTAGTGTTAATGAAAAACCATTGTCTCCTTTATCACAATACTGGTGCATAAATGGAAAATATTATCCCAGAAACTAAGTGGGAATAATTTTGTACTCCAGGGCACTCTTTTCAGGAAGAGCCAATGCTTCGTAAATAAATAAAATGAGCTTGATTTGTGGTAAGCATAATTTTAATGGTAATCTCTGGCTTTCATCTATTGTTGTTACTATTGGGTAACAGATCACAATTTCTTATTATAGTTTAACAAATTATTATATAAAACAACTAAAAGCATTATGTCTATGTTGCAAAAGATCATTAGCACCACCTAGGGAGCTTTGAAAAAATACAGATTTTTCAGGCCCCACCCCAGACATCTGGATGGTTAGAGTTTCCCAGGTGACTCTGGTTCACAGCCACGGCTGCAGACCACTCCTGTAAAGCTGACCAGGTGGGACACTGCTTGAACATCCGTTCCCCTTAGGGTCTTTCCTGGTGAGTGAACTGTGGGTAACGTGGGGGTTGTCTCTGTGGCTACAGTTCTCTACAGTTTTCACGAACTTAGATGAAGACCATGCAGTCTGGCTAATTAAATTCACAGACACAAAACTGGAAGAGATAAAAAATATACTGGAATAACAAGATTCCAAGGAATCATGGCATATTGGAAGCCATCATAAGATAAGATTTAAAAGAATACAGATGCTCCTCAACTTACGACGGGGATACATCCCAATAAACCCATCATAAGTTGAAAATATTACAAGTCAAAAATGCATTTAATACATTTAACCTACCGAACACCATAGCTTAGCCTAGCCTACCTTAAATGTGCCCAGAACACTTATAAGAGCTTACAAAATCGTCTAACACAAAGCCTATTTTATAAGGAAGTGTTGAATATCTCATGGCATTTATTAAATACCGTGCTGAAAATGAAACACAGAATGGCTGTATGGGTACTCAAAGTACAGTTTCTACTGAATGTGCGTTGCTTTCGCACCACTGTAAAGTTGAAAGATCGTTAAGTTGAACCATCCTAAGTTGGGGACCATCTGTGAATGTGAAGTTGACATTTAAGAGGTAAATGATTGATTACAAGATGGCTGGGACTTGCCTTAATACCAGGTCATATGAAAAAGTACTGAGGTTCTTAGTTAGTCTCAATCAAGCTGAAAATGGGCCAAGAGGACTTGCCAAGCAGTATGGCAGACAGAGTTAACACGAAAAAAATCCTTCTTTTCCCTCCAAATACATAGAAATGCTGGATAAATTCCCAGATGCCACAAATGAAGAAAGAACTGAAAGCCTCAGCAGGGTTAGTGGAAGATGAGGCCAAAGGGCCCATGGGTTTGTTATGAGAACTGGGTCTACTCCACTGGGGCTCTACGGGGAAGGAGGTAGGGCCTTGAATACTGCAGAGAGCTGAGAGTTATAAGGAACTGTCTCATCCATGAAACAGGCTCTTGGAGAACTCTGTTTGCTAGTCTGGAGATATGGCTGGAAGCTGCCTTGCCACCCAGCACTGTGGGTGGGGGAGTCACTTGTGAGAACCAGAGCACCACGCCTGTGCCATTCACAGCTGTGGGGTCCAAGTTCATATTATCCACGCCATGTGGGAAAGCCATACTGAGAAGTTAACACAACACCTTACTCTGAACTGGGGGGCCCATGAGGATGGGGCAGAGATGGGTATGAGAGCTGTTCAGACATCACCACTGCGGGGCTGTGAGGTCAAAGATCACACTGCACGCGTGTGCTTGTGTGTGCTGGGGCCTGGGCGCTACTGCTGTGGACTCTGATAAGCCCTGCAGGTGGCTACTCACTGGTCCCAACAAGGGCTAGGCCACTTGCAGGGACCTGAGCACTAAGGACAAAAGTGGGGCTGGGAGGCCTGACACAGGAATACGTGGGGACTTACTTGTAGTTGTCGTCTTCCACAAACTTCTGGAGCTCTTCAATGTAGCGTACGGACTTCAGGTACTTCTGCACATGGGGCAGGGTGGTGAGGTGATCTGCAAAAGGTGGACCACATCCAGAAACTTTAGGCTCTCCCATCTTTAGGCCCCCAGATGAGAAGTATAGAAATCATGATTTTAGATGCTCCCAGGATACTGAGACTCATTCACTCTTCCAGCAGTTGCTGATGCTCTTTGGGGACTGGCCCTGTGCTGGCCACTGGAACAGAGGGATCATCAGGCCTGGGTTCTGCCCTCAAGGAGTACCCCCCAGATGACCGGGCCTCAGTCACCACACTCTGAGGCCACCATGTTTTTTTAGCCAGGAAGGAGGAGCTGCACCTCCACTCAGATATCAGGGACTGGGGAAAGATGGCTCCCTGGCCTCCAAAACAGACCAGAGCCAGGTGTCTGTGCCCTAAAACAGGTTTCCATTGGGGTAACTGGGCAAGCCTCCTATATCTACCCACCAGCTGTGTGACATGAATTCAAGAATGAATGAACAGACCCTGTCCAGCCAGGTGTGGAGGCCTAACCCAGAAGCTGGCCTATGACTGGAGCTGCTGCACCCTAGGAAGAAAGGGAGGGGTCCAGGCACCTGAACATGCCTGTACCAGGCTCTGCAGCAGGTAATTTTATAGGAGTCATCTTTGTTAACCTTCACACCTGCCTCACGTGGGAGAAACAATATCCCCATTGCACAGAGGAAGAAACTGTGGCAACCTGCACAGGTCGCATTGCTGAGAAGGGCAGAGCTGGGTTGGGACTTCAGGTGATGGAAGGCTTCTGCCACACGGTGTTGCCCGTTTCTGGAGGGACTGGTGTCAGCTGCTCTCTGCAGACCTTCACAGTCACTGCACTCCTTCTGAGAGGGCCACTGGGTGGGACAGAACAAGCCAAGAGGAGAGGTGGAGGGAGTAGAGGAGGTCGTGAAGAGGAACAGAAAAGAGGGCGAGGAAGGACCCTCGCTTTCTGGAGAGGTGCGTCCAGGTGCAGCATGAGCACCCGATAGCTCTGGCCTTTCATAGCGAGATTCTGAGCAGATCATTTTGTTTCTCTGAAGCCTCAGTGTCCTCTCTCTGAAGTGAGGATGATACCTGTTTTACAAAACTGATGGAGATGACGCAGGTGAAGGTGAACAGTGGTAAGAGAGCATTTGCTGGGCTCTCATGAAATGCCAGGGACTGTGCTAAGGGCTCTGCATGAATCCTATCCCCATTTTCATGCATGAGAAAACCTTCAAGGGGAGAAAGTGACTTTTCAAGAGACAAAGCTGGAATAGGAACCGGAGTCCATCTGACCCTGAAGCCCATGTCTGTGGTTGCTCTGCTGGCCAATGGAACAACAAGTATCAATGTATTTGTGCTGGAGATGGCCCAGGCCAGGCGAAACCTGCACTGGGAATACAGGTGCCTCCTACCCCTCCTGTCAGAGGAAAGCGGCCCTGAAGTGTGGGAACCCCCACCCTGCCTGGGGATGCTGTGGAGGGGCTGGTGAGCAGGGCTCTTGCTTTGGTGAACCCACCCTGGCTTCCCTGTGACATTCCCAAACGGAGGCTGTGGATTTTCTCACACCCTACGCACAGCAAGTGAGGCTAGGCTCCTTCCTACCACCCTTCTTTGGTGCTTCCGGACTTTTACTCCTCTGCCCTCTTGTGAAAGCCTTGCTCCCCAGAGGCAGGTGCCTAGAGCCCCACCCCCCATGCACCACACCCCCTTCACGGCTGACTTCCGCTGACTAACCGCCTGCTCATCAGTGCTAATTCCCAGAAGACTTGAGCACCTGGCTCATAGTCAAGCTCCACACCCCAAGTCTGCCATCTTCTCGGGTGAAATCAATCCCCACATGGATGGCCCATCCAGCATTCTGACATCATCTCCAATGATTTTCTCCATCCCTCTTACACACCCCACCATCATGGGCACACTGTGGATTTGGCCACGTGCAGCAGAGTGTGGCCAGTCGCTTACCACATCATTTCCCTTCTCCCAGGCCCACAGCTAGATTATATCTCCTAGCCCCTGTCAGCAAAAGTGGCCTGCACTGCTTGCAAGCCTGGACCATAAAACCCACCCATATATGGTTCTCTCTCATCCTGCACCTGCCAGCTGGATGCAGAGTCCAGTGGAGGATTCTGAGGCCATGGGAGACAGCAGAGTCACAGAACAATGAAGGCTGGTCCCCGAATCTGCTTGGAGGAGAGCTGCCCAGAAAGCTCTTCATGAATGAATGACCCAGGGGCCAGAAAGACCTGAGCTCTGCCACTCACTAGACGCGTGATTGTGGACAAGTGACTAAACTGTTTTCAGCCTCAATTTCCTCACCTGTAATACAGAAATAGTAACACCTAGTTTGCACAGCTTTTGAAGATCAAACCTATGTATAAAAGGATCTAGTACATGTTTGATGCTCGATATATTAAAATGAGGAACTTTGTAGTTCTTTGAAAGGTTTCTAGAGCTTTCTCACTGGTAAGACCCAAATTTCAATGACGTAAGATTTCACAATTCTAACAACAAGGGTACTAACCATAGCTGCAGGAAACTTGTAAATCAGCAATTATTCGAAGAATATTGTTCATCTGATTGGATCTTTGTTCATTTTCCATGATACTGCCTGAGGCAGGATATGCAGAATCAATGTAGATTAAATCCAGAAGATAGATTCCTAAAATTAAAGAAGATATTTCATGATGGAAGGAGCTTACCACAAACCAGAACAAAATAGCACAAAATAGTACTGATCTGCTAAAAAATATAAAGGGTGACTTATGGAAAACTGAGATAATATTTGGACTTTAATTCCAATCCTGATTACTAATTTTTTCACACAGCACTGCCCAACTATAAATCAAACATCTGAGCAACAACCAAAATGTATGCTGGCAAGATTTTAGCATTTCTAGTTCAAATACTCTCCAGCAATAAGGCTTTTACCTGTAACCCAACTAGAAAATAACAGGACATGAAAGGGATGAATACTTGTGTTTCTTACCAACTGCTGAAGTTTAATAGGTCTAAGGTGCCATGTCCAGGAGAACACCCATTTGGGCTGAATTCAGTTTCTTCTTTATTTGCCCAGCTGTCTATTTGTCTATCTGTTCCCCTACCCCTACCTCACCATACATTAACTAAGAAACAAAAGAAAAAATTAAAAAAGCAACAGCTCTCAGTACAAAAAATTCCCTCTAAAGCTAGAGAATTTGGCCAATCGTGCTTAATAAGAAAATAAGATGTGAAATAAAAATACAGCTATGTTACAGAAATAGTAACATGTAGTCTGCAAAGCTTTTGAAGATCAAACCTATGTCTAAAAGAATCTTAGTAAGATCCATCACAGGCCAGTGATAAGCCGGGGGGATTTGAGGACAAACTGCCTGGCTGGGGAAGGGGAAGGGCCGCTGGCTATTCAGCCACTACACAGCTCTCAGCTGGCTGACTAGCTGCAGGGCCGAGCTTCAGACCACCTGGAGATGTGCATGGGCCAAGGATGGAACGTCCTTTCAGCTGCCCTCCAGGAGCACTGCTATTGTGCCCACCACACTGGCAGAGTTGGGCAGGAGAAGTGACATAAAGCAGAATTCAAGGCAGAAAACATTAAGCAAAGCAAGGAAGAGTGCTTGCTCTAAAAAACAAAAGTCCAGGTGATCAAGAAGATCTAATGGTTACAAATTTCTATGCATAAAGAAACAACACATCAAACAATACATAGCATAAAAAAGTTAGAAATGAAAAGTGAGTTCAACAAAAACACAACCATAGAGGGAGGCTTTGGTATGTCTTTTCCAGAATTTATATAAGCATATATGTATACATCATACACATATATATACATATACACATATATATATTAATGCAATGATACAGTATTACAGTAACAACGTTAACAAGTTTTAGGGCAGAGCATAGTGGCTCGCGCCTGTAATCCCACCACTTTGGGAGGCCGAGGTGAGCGGATTGCTCGAGCCTAGGAGCTCGGAACCAGCCTGGGCAACATGACAAAACCCCGTCTCTACAAAAAACACAAAAATTAGCTGGCCATGGTGGTGCATACCTGTAGTCTCAGCTATTTGGAAAGCTGAAGCAGGAGGATTGCTTGAGCCCAGGAGGTGGAGGCTGCAGTGAGCTGAGATCATGCCATTGCACTCCAGCCTGGGTGACAGAGCAAGACTCTGTCTCAAAAAAAAAAAAAAAAAAAAAAAGGCCAGGCATGGTGGCTCATGCCTGTAATCCCAGCACTTTGGGAGGCCAAGGCAGGCAGATCACCTGAGGTCAGGAGTTCAAAACCAGCTCGGCTAACACGGTGAAAGCCAATCTCTACCAAAAACACAGAATTAGTCACGTGTGGTGGTGGGCGCCTGTAATCCCAGCTACTCGGGAGGCTGAAATAGGAGAATCACTTGAACCCAGGAGGCGGAGGTTGCAGTGAGCTGAGATTGGGCCACTGCACTCCAGCCTGGGCAACACAGCAGGACTCTGCCTAATAATAATAATAATAACAAGCTTGGTTTTCTATAAATGAAAATATAGTTCTTTTCAGGTACCCATGGAGTACAAAAATTGATTGTATATAAAGAAAACCTCAGTAAGTCCTAAAAAGTAAATGCTATATTATCTACTTTCATTGACCTTACTACATCTAGGATTTAACAATAAATACAGAAAAAAAACTAACCATTTGAAAACACACACGCATGCACACACACACTCATATAACTCTTAGGTCAAAGAAAAAATAAAAAATCTGTTTGAAGAATCTATTTGAAGACAATGACAAGGAGAATACTACATATCAAAACTTATGGGTTCTGACCAAAATGGTAATCAGGGGGAAATTTATAGCCTTAAAAATTTACTATTAAACAACTAAGAATTATTACAAATATTGGAATTAACTTGGTTAATTATATAAAAGTTGTGAGGGTTTGTGCATGGATAGATGAGCACTGCACTAAGAGTTATATGTTCATTATCTGATTTATCCTTCTAACAAGCTATTTTACAGAGAAGGAAAAGGAAACTCAGAGAGGATGTGTAACTTGCTCAAGGTCATGCAGCTGGTAAATGAAAGAGACAGGAGTTGAACCCAAGCCTGCCTCCTCCAGGGTACACACTTCCTGCCATTACAGTGGAGCACTGGTGCTAGATACCATGAGTCATTCGTCTGCTTTTAAAATAGATGCACATTGTTACGGGAAACTGTTAAATCACAGAAACATATGCTAATACTTCTCACAGGAGCCATTTCCACTTCCTTTCTTCCTGGTGGTACCATGTTTCCAAAATTTTAATAATTAGAAATAATTTCCCTTGTAGAGAAGCTCCAAGTTTGGTGAGTTTGAATCCACAGATTTATTCTTTCTCTTCACCTTGTTTTTCTTCTCCTCTCTTAAAAATGTAACTCAGTTTTAGGGTACATGTGCACAATTTAAAAAAAAATGTAACTCAGTTACCACCCTGAAGCGTCAGCAACGGCAATCCTGAAAAATGCTATTACTGCTTCAACCACAACAAAAAGCATCCTCTAGTGCATGGCAGGGAGTGAAGAGATGTGGGACATAGGGCAGCTTTATTCCAGACGCAATGTGCAGACTTCGGCCCAGCTGGCTCAGAGTGGCAGAGTGAAAGCTCAGCCTAGAAGCAGAGAAACTGGAGAGCAGGATGGGGGGAAAGGCAACTTGCTCCCTGGGTATCAAATCCAAGACAGAAACTTCCCTCCTGTCTCATGGGATCCTGCCACCAACCCTGGAAAGTAGGAGGAGAAAACTAAAGCTCAAAGAGATTAAGAAACCTGCCCAAGGCCTCACAGCAAGGGTGATGGAATTTGAACCCAGGTCTATCAGGCTGCTGCACCCATGTTCCCATCCACTGGTCATCAGAAACACAGAGGGAGTTGCCTTTTCTCAAGTAACACCCTCAACATGAAAGGTGCACCCTGTGCTGCCCTGTGAGAACAGGTGCCGGACACTGGGCCTCCTCTTGGGTTCCTGGAAGTGGATCCCTGAGTGGTGCTCTGCAAACTGAGGCCCACAGAGTTCATAATTCCCCTCTACAAAACGTGCAGATGCCCACACCTGCCTACTCCTCAAGACCCAGGAGTGTGAGCCAAGGCCATACCTGCTGCGGACTGGGTAGAGCACCCCTCAAAAGGAAGCCTCCTGGCTCCAGTGATGTGGGGAGACCTTGAGCCTAGGCAATGCCTAGAAAGAACTTCCCTATAAACAGCCTTTCACTCCCACAATGAAAACCACAGCACAAGCAGCAAGTCTCCTACAGTTAACGCTGCACAAATCCACAGAAATCTTTTCAGTACTGTATTAGTCCACAACAGAGATATGTATAAGCCTAAACTATAATGAAATCGTAAGAATAACCACCTTCCACTTGTACCATGTCAGGCACAGTGCTGAGCTCTACATGTAGTTGGCACACCCCACAACCGCACACAGACACTTGTTTGCATCATTTGTGTATTTCAAATCTGACTCCCCATCAGGCCTAACGCCTCAAGGGCAGGAAGTGTGTCTTGCTCCAGGAGCTCAATCTCCAGCATCTAGAACTGAGCACACAGGAGCTGCTTGGTAAACGCTGGCTGACAAAGGAATGCATGAGAGAAGGCATATTTTATTTAACTCATACAATAACCTTATGAAGCACATGTTACCCTCGTTTTGTAGCTGAAGAGAGAGCCACCACCAGTCAAGTGATGATAAAGAGAGCTAATGCTTACCGAGCACATACTGTGTGCCAGGTCCTAAACTAAGAGCTTTGCCCAGATTATCGATTCATAAGAAAAATGCTGTTGTCAGGGAGGTTTCATTGTGATTTTATAAGGAAAGAAACTGAAGCTGAGAGTGCACCGGGAATACCGTTTGTCTGTGGCCACACAGCTGGGAACTGGCAGAAGCAGGATTTGAGCACAGGTCTGTCCAGGTTGTCTATGGGCGGTTCTTCTTTTACTCCAGCCAGACTCTCTGGTGTATGGCAGCCAGTGAGGCAAGATAGGGGCATAGGTGAACCCAGGCTATGGCTGTCCCTGCCTGATTTCCCCTATGGGGTCAACACTCTCCAAAAGGGCTCATGACTCTACTGTGGCTGCCTCCCCTGTGCCATCTACCACCTGCTACTCTCCACCTCCCTCATGTCCACTGTGGTCAGTCTGGTCAGCCCCAGGTCCCATCATCAGTGTCCCACCCAGTCCTGCGGGTCCTTCCAGCTCTGCCACATGACAAGCAGCTGTGGTATAAGTGAGAGAACGTGGGGCCCGGATCCAGGAGACTCGGAACCCAGGCTCTCCCACTCACCAGCTGGGTGGCCTTAGGCAAGCCTTTTTACCTCCCAGGGCCTCAGTTTCCTTGACTGTGAATAAGGGTAATAACGGTGGTTTACACGAGTCTCCCAGTCCAGGGCCTGGACCATTGAAGTGCATAAGAAGCTGAGCTGACCTTACGGCTGGCCCTATTTGAAGCAGCAGCATGGGAGGAATGAGCCCAGCTGGGTTTGCCACAACCGTGGATGGCGCCCAGATGCTGACTGCATGGTGGCCACCCCTCAGTTGGACCAGTGCTTGGAGCTGTCACCTGGACTGGGACAGCACAGCTGGACATCTCAGCTCCTATTCCTATTTACACAGAGTTACCAAAGCAGATGACATTGTGATGTTGGCCTTATGAAGATGGACAGTAACTGGATCAGCCATTGGCCCTGGCTGCCTTGGGGCTGGACAGTGCCAGGGACCAGGCAAGGCTGAGAGGTGCAGACCTGTTGGGGGAAACAACCCTGACAGTAACAGCCACTGTCTACTCTAGGGAAGGGAAGTATTGTGTTTACCATGGCACCTTAGCAGTGACCCTGTACAGAAGGCACTCCTGTTCCCCACCATTTTACAGATTAGGAAACTGAAGCTTAGTTTCAATTGGCCAAGATCACACAGCTTGCAAGTGAGAGAATCAGGATTTGAATTCAGGACTGCCTGACTCCAAAGATCTGGGACAGACAGCAGTGCTAGGGGCTGGAGGCTGGGGGCTGGAAGTCATTGGCTGGCACAGGGATGAGGATTCCAGGCAGAGAGTTGGGGGTGTGAGGACCCCTGCTGTGGCCTGTCTTCCCCCAATCCCCAGGACACTGCTGGCAGCTGGCATCTGCCCCATGGCTATGCCCACCCGCAGACTGGACCTCCTCTGAGACAGATCCCAGACCATGCTTGGGCTCTGCTCCCTCCTTCCATGCCCCACACAGGGCCTGGTGACACTGCTGTAGCTGCCACATGAGTGCCAACCAGACTGCCGTGGTGAGGCAAACCCCCAGGGCCAGAGTGGGCAGCTCTCACCTCGTTCTGCTCCAGAAGCCCTCCGCAGCTGGGCTGGCCTCAACACAAGGGGCAGGTGGCCAAACCTGCTTCTTGACAGTGAATACAGGCTCCCCACCAGAGGTGTCCACAGGACACCCGGCCCCAAGGAGGGAGTGCCAGGCTGACAAAGGAGGTGCTCTTCCGAACAGACACCTTCTCTGAAGCTGAGGGACACCCATACTCGATGGCCCAGAGCCTGCTTGAAGCTGGGCGCTTGCAGCCTCCCCAAGCCAAAGCCCACGGCTGGCACCAGGGCTTCCCACAAGCCCAGAGACTCACTGCTCCCTTGTTCTCCCATCGCCACCCTGTCTCACTTCCAACCCAAGTCTGGTTTTGGTTTTTCTCATACAGCTATCTTTTTAATAAGGAAAATTCTGCTGTGTTGAGGGGAAAAAAAAACCCTCTACAGCATAAAAATGTGCCACATTTCCATCTTATACTTTCCATTTTCTCTCTCTCCCTTTTTCAAAGTTTGAGATGAAAGACTTTTTTCCATGTTCTCCTGCTCTGCCTTAAAAAGATCACTTTCAAACTTCAGTATTCAGGAGTGCTGGCATGCAGAACTATATTTGTGTGGTTTGATCACATAAACTGTCCTGATAAATTCCAAATGAAATAACAAAGCAGCAGCTCATTAGGATGTGTGTGCTCTCTTTAAGAGAGCACAAAGCATTTCCATCTACTGCATGATGAGATCTCAGCAGGCGGCCCAGGCTCCCTGAGAAGATGGGGAAGACTGTGAGTATTAACTAGCACCTGCTAATTAATATCCAACAAGCAAAACAGGGCTTCAGAACAAATCCTCATTTAGAGAGTATTCCTTTTGTGAAAGCTGTTGGAAGCTTACTGTCACTGAGACAGTTTCCTCGGTCTGCAGAAGGGGGCAGGCGCAGGCAGTCACATGGCAGGTGGTCAGAGGCCACGCTTTCTGGATGAGCACATGGCCTTGTGTATGACTTGGGGTTGTGGCTCATGAATCACAAAGGCACGTGGGCAAAGTCCTGCTGTCTGGACAGAATCCTGAAGTCCAGGGAAGCCAAATCACCTCCTGGCTCCCCAAGGTGAAATGAGGACACAACTATAGATCCCCTCATGCCCTGGGGATTGCCTGGTAATGTACAGGCACAAAGAGGTAACCCACTGTTTGCAAACGTTCCCCCAGAGTGCAATGGATGGCATAGCGTGCACTGGGGTTCTGACTGGCAGTAAGAAGGGGCATGAGGAGAGGCCATGCATCTGGTTACTGTTATTGGCCTTTTTTCATGCTGGACACTGTGCTGAGTATATTACATGTACTAGCTCATTTAACCCTTCAATGACAATTGGGAATAGAGAAGAAACTGACACTTTTTTCTGCCTAACACCCACTACCTATTTTGGAAACAGCCCTTGATTTCCTTTTGGGGAAATTATACCTCCCACACTCATAACCCGTGTGGCTTCGGGGCATCTGGAGCAATTCCACCCCCTTCTCTGTCCCATGGGTAAAAACAAATTTTTAAAAATAATTATTTGGGAAAGAAAAAACACTTACCAATTAATTCTGAGATGAAAAAATAAGTTAAAATTAAAATATCAAAATTATCCACAATGATGCAAGGCCATGTAACCACCGAGAGAAAAGTCCACAGCCTCAAATGCTTATATTAATAATTAAAAAACATTTAAAAAGTGAACTAAGTATTCATTATATAGAACTAGAAAAAAAAGAAACGAGAAAACAATTTAAAATATAAAAGCATAAATAATGAATTTTTAAAAAATCAACAGTCTAGCAAAGTGATAAATAAAACTGAAAGTTGGTTCTTTGAGAAAATCAATGAAATGGACAATCCTTTGGTATGTACGACTGAGGAAAAAGACACAGATGAACAATATTAGGGATGAGAGCGGGGATATGATTTCAAATATGGAAGAGATGTTAAAATAGTGGTATGTGTAAATTTTATGGTAACATATTTGAAAATCTAGATGAAATGAATGCTTAGTAGGAAAATATATCTTCTCAAAGTTCTCTGAAGAAGAGGCAAAAAACTTTACTAATAAAGAGAAAAATATTAATAATGGAGAAAGATACTATTAGATTGGTGCAAAAGTAATTGCCATTACTTTTAATCGCAGAAACTGCAATTACTTTTGCACCAACCTAATATAATTAAAATACAATATCTAGATGATTTTTAAGGAGCTCATGCATAAAACCGTAAAAGAAAAACTTAATGTTACTTAAACTGTTCCAGAACAGGAAAAATCAGAAATAGCTGCAGTTCATTTTACGATTCTAGCATAACCATTACACCCAAACCTGACAGAGGTGGCATAAAACAGAGACCAATCACATTAATAAATCAAGATGCAGGGATTCCAAATAAAATATTATCAAATAAAACTCATTGGCGTGTCCTGATAAAGCACAGACTTCCTTGATGTGATAAAGGATACATATTAGAAAATTAAAACAATGTTCTTAATATTGAAATCCTATTAAATAGGAACAAATCAAGAATATCTGACATACTGCTATCATTTAACACTATGCTGAATGTGATAAAGCAAGACAACAAATGTGGAATATTAAAGATGCATATCACAGTGTCATTTTTGCAGGTGATATGATTAGTTATCACATTAGTGATATAATTAGACAATTTAGGATAATCAACTGAAAAACTATTAGAATAACAAAGTTAACTTCAAAATAAATATACATAAATCAATGTCATTCTTATATAACAGTAATCATCAGCTAGAAAACACAATGGAAAAAAAGGGCAATTTACAATAACAGCAAAACTATAAAACACCTAGGAATAAACTTAGAAATGTGTAAGACTTATATGAATAAAACATATTTGATAGAAAAATAATATATAACATTTATTAAAATCAAGTATACACATATCCTGGGCCTACTAATCCTTCTCCAAAGCATCCATTTTACTAAATAAAGGCACAATTCATAAGAATACAAACCTTTTATCTACATCTCTTTGTATCTGAGTTGTTGCAATGAGAATGTAACACTTTGGTAATTCAGGTAAAAACTAATGAAGTAAAAATATCTGAAGGATTGAAAGAAGATGTAAATAAGTAAGGAAATATATAATATTCTTAGATGGGAAGACACAACATTGCAAGGATGTCAATTATTGCCTAATTAACATACACATTTCATATCTGAAATGATTCCAAAGTTCACTTGGAAGAGGAAATGTATGAAAATAAACATTTTTAACAAGAAGAATGAAGAGAGGGGCTTGTTATAAAATGTGCTGTGATGCCCAGTCATTAAGCAGTATAGTATTGCTACAGAGTTAGACAAATAAAGGGAGCCCAGCAATACATACATAGAGATACAGAAATTTAGTATACGATGCAGGTATATTTCAAATCAATAGGAAAAGGAACAATCCTTCAATAAATGATATTGAGACAAATGATTATTGATTTGGAAAAATATAAAGCTGGATCTCTACTTCATTCCTAAAACAGAATAAATTACAGATAAATTAGGGAGTTGAAATCTAAATAATACGAGTACTTGAATAAAATACAGAAGAATAATTTTATAATGCTGAGGTACGCAAAGGCTTAAGTGTGACATAAGACCCAAAACCATTAAAAAAAGACTGACATATTGGGGTCCATTTCTCAAAACCCACACACTTCTGCATGATCAAATAAAACACCATACATGAAGCTGAAAGACAAATAGAATAGGAAAAATATTTGCAATTTATAAGACAGTCAACAGTCCTAATATATAAAGAGCTCCTACAATAAATGCAAATAATGTTACAAAAGATGAGCAATTTGTGGAAGAGTATAAATGTAAATAAAAATGTGAAAGATTCCCAAGATGCAGTAATAATCAAGGAATTACAAACTAAAACAAGATATTTTTTCCCATTTATACTGACAAAGTTCTTAAAAATCGATAATATTTAGTGTTGATGAGCGTGTGGAAAAAGTCACACTATACAAGAGTGACTACAGCATAAATTGATAGAAACTTTTGGGAGGAGAATTTGGATGTCAAATAATGTGTTTTCTAGGACCCAGTAATTCCACTTCTAGAAATTTACTCTACAGCAATACTACTACAAATTGCAGCAATACTACTACAAACATTAATAAGAAATGTTCACTGCAGCATTGTTTGTAATTTATAATTATACAAAAAACACATGGTTTATATAAATTATTTTATATCCAAGTAGCGGAACATCATGCAGCTATTGTAAGGATAAAATATATTTCTAAGAACTGACACGGAAAGATATCCATGATATGTTTTTAAGTGAAAAACATCAGGTATGCCTGTAACAATAGAGAGATCACACACAGAGAATACACTGCTCAATCTGTTATCGATAGCCATCTTTGGGTATGAAACTGCAGGATTATTTTCTGCTTTATACAATTTTATATTATTTTAACCTTTAGCTATGAATATATACTACAGTTTTAGAAGTAAAAAAAAAAAAAGCAAGATATTTCTTTCTTTCTCTTTCTATTAAAGAAGCAAACACTTTTTTGGCAGGGAGAAGGAGAGCAATATGTGAAGCACAAGAATTTCCGAGCGTTCTCAGCCCCTGGTTGGTCTTCAGGTTTAGATTTAAAGGCCACAGACACTGACTCCAATCTGTTAGTGCTTCCTATCCCCTCATACATCTCCCTGCTTTTGCTCTCTCCATTTCCAGTCCAGTCTATACCCTGTGATCTTTCTCAAACCCTATTAGACCATGCCCCTCACCTACTTAAAAATACCCAGTGGCTTTCTATCCCAACAGGCAATGTGAAAACTCCTTAGCACAGCATCCAAGGTTTCTGGGCTCTGCCCCACACTACCTTTCCAGCCTCTTCCTCCACGTCTCATGTGATGCCCCAACTATGCCAGCCCCTCCATGCAGCCCCTGATGTGCCCTCTGTCTCATGCCTCTGAGCCTCAGCAGAGGGGTTTCCTCCCCTTCCCTCTGTGCCTCCTTCTCCTTCCTGGCTGCTAACTGGCTCCTCCTGGGCTCGCAGCACACTGTCCTTTCCTCGATTACAGCATTTATCCAGGGCAAGGGCTGTGCCTTATCCATCTCTGCATGCTCAAGGGCCCAGCACCAAGCCTAGCATAGAGCAGGGGCTCAGAAAATGGCCAGGGAAATGAATGGACCCCATGTTGAATCTTTATTGGAATATACACGACTCCCTTCAACCTGGCCTCTGAAATTCTATTGCTCAGTGGAAGGGTGGCTGCGGTTGCCAGGCACCCCACTCCACAGCCACTCTGTTAAGGGACAGCCCCACACTGTGGTATCCGCAAGCTAAATACTCATATTTCTCAGAGTGCTATAAAGTGCTTCCAGAGGAGCTAACGTCACTAAAAGGAAATGCAAGATGATTCCCCCAGTGAAAGCCTTAGAAACCTGCCTCTATATTGGGTAGAACCGAGGCTGCCCATGTGCCAAGGAAAACACTCTTGAGCTTGTCTTTCCAACCCTGGCTCAGAGATTTGCTACTGTGCACAGAAAGGCTCCCCAAACGTCCGAGGCCACCAGGATCCCGGCCAGAGAGTGAGATCACAGACAGCCGCTTCAGTCGCCAAAGTATTTTCCACTTCCACTAATGCACTCGCGTATCTGTGACCACACTGTACCTAGTCTTTAAGTATAACAAAAATAATAATGGAGGCAGATGCAAAACTGTCAGCTTTACTCATTACTCAATGGAAACTGTGTAACAAAAGACAACATTCTAAACCTCAATTATCAATCCCTGCATTCTCTGGAAAACAAGCAACAGATTTTCAGAGGGTTAGCTAGATCGAAACTGATTTTCACTTCCTCAAAGTAAATTCTTTACTGATTTTGCTGAAATGAAATACTGAGAGGTTCCTTGGGCCCTCTGGAAGGAAGAAGGCATCTGATTGTGAATTTATTTGTGGTTTTCAGGCTCAGGTGTTTTGATCTCTCCCTGCCTTTCTCAACGGAGATGAGAGGATGTGAGTCCTCATGGGGAGGTCGCAGGCTTTCAGTGGGCAGGGGCTCCTCCTACTCCATGGCAGGAGCCATCTCTGTGGGCTCCACCCTTCTCCAGGACACCCTGTGGACACAAGGCACTTGGCCTGGCCAGATCCAGCTGGCCCAGCAGCAGCCCTGCCTCTTGCAGCCCTAACGCCCTGGTCAGGGTCTGTAGGCAGCGCTATTCCCACCAAGCCTGGGAGCCAGTCTCACCCAAGGCAGGCCAAGCACTCAGCCCTCAGCTCTGCCAGCAGCGGGTGATGGAATAGCCAGTGCTCTTGTTAGTCTGGTCTTGTGTGGTGGGGTGGGATGGGAAGGTAGGGGAGAGCCTGGGCCGTCACTGGCTGGGGTCAGCTTCAGATTGGAAGGCCTGCCTACACCTACTCTCCTTGTATTGCCTCTCCTCTGCCCATGAGACTCAACTCCCTTGGGAAAGGACCCAAGAAACTTGACCCTCTGGACTGTGGTCTCCCGGTCACCTCCTTGAGACCCATCCTTCTGCTCTGCACCAATTGGTGCACTGGTTCTCCAGCAGCAATTTTACTCAATTCTGACTTCCCCTTCTGCTACACCAGCAGGCCTTGTGGCCAATGCTCCCCTCATTAGGACATTCTGGCTACATCGTCAGAGGATGCTCTGCAGGGAACAGAGGCCGAAGTGGCAGGAAAGCATGTCTGCTGACCAATTAGAAGAAGCAAGGACCCTGAAGGAAGGTGGCAGGTCATTGGGGAGAGGAAGCTGCAAGGGCACAGGGTGATGTGCTTAGGAACCAGCTCACTCAGTGATGTGCGCCGCCATCATGACAGGGCCTTAGCATCACAAATACTCACTGAGGACCTCCCACATTCTAGACACAGGGGTATACAGCAGAACCAGACAGGCACAGGCCCTGAACCCATGAGGCATGCAGCCTGGCAGAAGAGGGACATTCAACAGAGGCATTAATTACACAAACGATTAAGGGCATGAAACTGCTAAAAAAAAAAAAAAAAAAAAAAAAGTAATCCTCTAGCATACATTTACGTGGGGGAATCATCCTCAGGTGCCACTGAGAGACCCCAAAGGAATCAAGAGGTGAGTGAGACAAAAGAGGGTTATCTATGTCTTCAGCATTCACAGAGTTCATTCATCTGCTCTCCCCCTGCCCTGGCTACTCTCCTCAGCTCCAGAGATGTAAAGTAATCTGCCCAAGGTCACTCTGTGACAATGGTAGGATTCCAGCCCAGACAGTTTGACTGCAGAACCCACACTCACATATACTATGTCATATGTGATGTTCACATGTAGCTCAACACATACACTGGAGGAAAGATAAGAAAACTACGAAAACCTGAGGGATCTCTGTTCAAATCCTGGCATTGCCACTTATTGTTCAGTGTGATTCTGGGTGAGTTATTCAACTCCTGGGACCTTGCTTTCTTCATCTGGGAGATAGAGATAGTACCTGTAACTTTCTCACAGGGCTGAAGACGAAAGCAGGTAATGCATGTGAAAGGGTTGCAGATTATCTGGATAATGTTGGCCCTCAATGAAGTTACTTGAGAAAAAATTCCTGAAGCTTTAGGAGGAGATGGGGGTACAGACCAGTTTCTGGAAACCTTCCAGAAGAGACTAGGCCGCCCCTCACAGAGCTTTCCCTGACTTACCACTAAAAACCTCCTTACCAACTAAGACTTATGGACAGACAGCCTTAGTGCTAGGATCTAAGAAATTTAATATACTATAGGGCAGATATACAGGACAGAAATTGAACAGATTTACACCTTTTCTCTTGAAACCAAAATAATTCATATCTCCTGGGGCTTTTCCCAAGACACAGTGATCCAAGGCTATGGAAACCAGAAAATTTGGGCCAATGACCAGTACACTCACTGCCCAGTAGGAGCTGATCGGAGGGGTTCTAGAATGCTCTGACTCACTCTTTTGCCCACCATCTTCTCACATTCATTTGTAGATTGCTACTTCCAGAAAAGAACTGGAGTGTGCTCAGAGGGAAGCCCAAATGCCTTGCCTATTAATAAACCCCAAAGCTGAATAGATTTTATTACATTCAAGGGTACATTCGGGGAAAGAAAATCCAAAAAGGATAATACGAAAGAATACTTCCAAGTAATGGGTTTGAACTGCATGTAGGAGAAGTAGAGGGATAAGAGAGACCACACCTCCCCACACAGTCTATTCCAGGATCTGGAAGAAAGTTCAAACAGCTTTTCTTTTGAATACAGTACAAGAAGACAAGGTTTCTGTGATAAGAGAGAACTGTCAGAGATGAAACTGCGGGTGGATGCGATGGAAAGAGAGATGCATGAGATATGAAAAAAAATCAAAGAATACTAAAAACATGGCAGAAGAATTAAAAAATTAAACAATAAGGAGTGAGGCAGATACTGCGGAGATTTGCATCATGGATGTGGTGGGCAAGGTTGGCAAGCTCTCCCTCAGTGCCAATGAAAAGAGAAGGGGAAGAAGGGGAAGAAAGAACATAAGGGGACACAGGGGCCTGAGAACAGAGAGATGACCCAGAGAAGGGTGTTTTCCTGAATTCAAGTAGTTAGCCAGAATGTATCTAGGGATAGAACTCAGAGTTTATCAGGCTCCAGGAAAGAGATCTATCTATCCCTAGATACATTCTGAGTTTATTAGGTTCCAGGAAAGAAATCTATTCCTAGACCCATTCTGGCTAAACACTTGAATTAAAAACAAAAACGAAAACAAAAAACTCTTGCAAAGACTCAGGCAAAACACAAAAAGCAAAAAATAAAAAAATAAAAAAACCATAAAAGTGACCCCTGACCCTCTTTATTTCCCTTTCCCCTCCGCTGTAATTGAATTATACACTCCACCAGACCAGCTATGATGCTGTATGGTAGCTGCTGTCCTTCCCACCTGCTTCCCTGTGGGAGGAGGAGCTTCTAGAAGGCAGGAAGGATTGTTTACCCATGAAATATTAGTGGACATCTGATGATATGTCAATTGCTTTGATTTTTCTTTTAAGAAGGATATTTTCCCTTAGTAATTATGGTACTTAGATATAAAGACCCAAAGAGATAGGATTTTGGATGCCATAAAATTCTGGTCAACGCACTTTTTTTTTTTTCCATATAAATCTATGGGGTTGTTTCACCATCACAGACCGGCGGCAGCAGCAGCTGTCAACTTCTGAATTCACTCTTTTTTTCTCTCTTTTTTTTTTGAGACGGAGTCTTGCTCTGTTGTCAGGCTGGAGTACAGTGGTGCGATCTCTGCTCGCTGCAACCTCTGCCTCCTGGGTTCAAGCAATTCCCCTGCCTTAGCTTCCCGAGTAGCTGGGACTACAGGCGTGTGCCACCATACCCAGCTAATTTTTTTTGTATTGTAGTAAAGACAGGGTTTCACCATGTTGGCCAGGATGGTCTCGATTTCCTGAGCTCGTGATCCGCCCGCCTCGGTCTCCCAAAGTGCTGGGATTACAGGCGTGAGCCACCGAGCCCAGCCCTGAATTCACTCTTAATGGATCACACCCACTGTAGCCACACTCCCTCATCAGTGGTCTGTGAAGCCCACAGACTCCTTCTGCAGATGCCACCCAAACCCCTGGGGCAGAAAGCAAGCACTTGGGTGGCTTTCACGGTTGCATCCCATCTGGTGAGCTCTGAGGATGAACGCCTTTCTTTGGGGCTCGGTAGTGAGGCTGCCCTAGTAATCCAGTTGTAAGAGCCCAGGAAAGGGCATCTCTGTTGAGTCCAGTTTGAGATGGGGACGAGGATGCCTCATGCCAACTCCCTGAGCACGAGCATCTCAAATGCAGGAAGCAGGAGCTTATACTTGGCCATGAAGGGCATACAAATGCCCACTCTGCACAGGCTGCACCTGATGCAGCTGTGTGGGTGGGGTGAGGGGGGTGGTAAAGTAGCCTAGGGATACCAGTAAGAAGGCCCATTTGGAGCTTGGAAAGCCTAAAGCAATGGTGAAAGAGGAGTAATTTGAAGTGTTCTATTCAAAGGCTGCAATGGGTACTGGTCTGGGAAAAGGCCTGCTTCTCTCCTTCGGTGAGGGTTCCTGACAGTGATCTGGCCCCTGGTGACCCCGAGCCCACAAACAGGGGCACTGGGAGAGGTGGGGCTCAAATGAGGCTCCTGGGTCAAGGGAGCTGCCTCAGAGCATGGGGTGGGAGAATGGGAGCCTGCAGGCAAAAGAATGCTGGGAATGGTGACCGTGGTCACAAGCTCTGGGCTGAGCAGCACTTGTACAATTTCATGGAGTCTTCATTTTACAGAAGAGGAAAGGGAGGCTCAGAGAGGCTAAGTTGCTTGTTCAAGATCATACAGCTAGTGTGTGGCAGAGCTGACACTGCACCTCAGGTCTGACTCTTGAGTCTGGGTCCTGATCCATGGCATGGCTTCAGCCTTCCCTTCCCATCCTGGCCTTATTTGACCGCATGTGATCGTGTGAAGCTGTTGAGCCAGGGCAGGGGTGCTGCCACATGGGCTGACCTGAGCCATCTCCTCAGCTCATCTACCAAAAGCACTCCAAGGAAAGCATCATGACCTTCTTCATCCAGGTGGGGAAACCAAGGCTCTGAACAGTAGGGTGAGTTTCCCAAGGTCTCTTGGCCCACAGTTGGAGGAGCCAAGGTTTGAATCCAGGTCTGGTTGGCCACAAACCCTGCTCCTTCAACCTCCTGGCCATGGCTGGGTAGACTCCAGGGGCCCACCTGTCAGCCATGAACCTCTGTTTTGTGTTCACACTGGGAGCTGAGTTGTGTGGTCCCCACTCTCTGTGATCCTTAATCCAGTCCTGGAGGGTAGGCACACAGGCCTTGCCCTCAGAGGGGGCAGATGTCCTGCTGGGGACTGGAAACATCTCCAGACCAGAACAGGACTTAGTTCCAAGTGGATTACCACGAGCTCAGGAAGACAAGTCTGATTCATAGCCCATCAAACCTCACTGAACAGGCTCATGGTGCCGAGCTCCACTATGTTGCTGGGCTCAGCCCTCTAGCGCCAAACGCTTCCTTTAGTAAGATCCTGGTGTCAGCACCACCCCTACCATGGACCTCACAACAAAACCTTCTGAGATTTCTCAGCTCCAACATTGGAAGACAACAATAAGACACCAGTGTCAACCAGTGGATGAACTAGACTCAGAACCAGGAGGCCTGCCGCACTCTGCAATAGCAGCAGCTGCTCCAGGACCAAGCGACCCTCTGCCGGCCAGCCTGGACAGGGTGGGGCTCTAGAGCCAGGTGGTCTTAGTGGGTCAGGGGGATGCTGCCATTGACTTGTGGCTTCAGGACAGTTCCTCGGCCAGAACAGTTCCTCTGGTCCTCAGTTTTGGCCTCTGTAAACAGGGCTAACAACGGTGCCTCCCTCATGTGGAGGTGTAGACAGAATGAGGTGTATATGAGGTCACTGCTCAATAAAGGTTAGGGTGATGGTGATAACATTAGTAGAAAGTGGCAAGCCCAGACTGCAGAGAAACGAGGACCCAGGCCTCAGTTTCCACTCCTCTCCAACGTGTTCTCCCTCCGCCATCCCCACATTCTGTTCCATCCACAGCGAGGGCTGAAAAAGCATGCAACCGCCTTGAGAACAACTTATTCCCTTGCCCTTGCCTCCTCTCTGAGCCTCTATCACAGCCAGAGGTGAAATGGACTCTCTTGTTTGGGGAAGGGGATTCTCCATGGCCTGGGAGCCCTCCCTACTCTCTGGGGTAGTACAGGAGGTAGGGAGACCTGGTTTGAACACCCACCCCACTGGCTGACCCTCAGTAAACAACCTCACCCTTCTGAGCCTCACCTCATGTGCTCTCACCTCATGTGTCCAGGCTGAGCATTAAGTGAGGTCATATAAGCAAACCAACACGGTGCCTGGCACACAGCAGGTTTGTTCATTCATTCAGTCATTAATTTGTTTGTGTATTCACCAAGTAGCTGCTAAGCACTTTCTCAGCTAAGCTCTGTGCTAGGCTCACAGGATACAACAGTGAGAAAAAACAGACGCTCCCTACTCCCCTTATGGGCCTGACAATGGCCAAGCACTGAAGAAGTGCCTGTGTCCTTCCTCTCTTCCATGGGAGCCCCACATCCAGCCCGACTGGCCCCCACCTGGGTGTGCAGAGAGAATCCCAGGCTGGGGGCTCACAGCTTGGGAGGCCAGCCGCAGTCTGGGCAGGGGTGGCAGCCTGGGAATTCTGCTTATCTTCTGGGCAACCGCAGCTTCTCATACACCGAATCCACAGATACTGTGCTGCCTCCCACAAAATGTGCTTTATTTCTAAGACATGTGTGCTCAAAAAAGTATAATTATATATCAGTAGTGCTACCAATTCCTGGTCTATGTGAAGGGACTCAGGGTTTTATACCTACTGAGGAGGAGTTTAGGGCAATGTTAGGTTACAGACTTCACTGTAAGTTCTAAAGGACTTGGGCAAGTTAATGTATTTACCTTATCTGAATCTTAATTTCCATTTTTTCAAGATGAGCATAACTCCAACCTTGCAAGGCTGTTTTGAGAATCAGAGTTTTCGTGAATGCCTTTAATACACCAATAGTAATGATAATGATAACACCACCACCAGTGACTAACGTCTATTAGCATTTACTGAGTGCCCAGCATCGTGCTAAGTGTTTCTCAGGCATTAATTCATTCTTTTATTCAATAAATATGTATCGAGGGAATAGAAAACTCAGAAATAAAGCTGCACACCTACAACCATCTGATCTTCAACACGGCTGACAAAAACAAGCAATGAGAAAAGGACTCGCTACTCAATAAATGCTGCTGGGATAACTGGCTAACCATATGCAGAAGATTAAAGCTGGACCCCCACCTCTCACCATACACAAAAATGAGCTCAAAATGTATCAAATATTTAAATGTAAGACCTTAAACTATTAAAAGTCCTAAAAGACAATCTAGGAAATACTCTTCTTGACGTCAGCCTTGGCAAAGAATTTTTGGCTAAGTCCCCAAAAGCTAATGCAGCAAAAACAAAAATAGACAAGTAGGACTTAATTAAACTAAAGAGCTTCTGCACAGCAAAATAAACTATCAACAGAGTAAGCAGACAGCCTACATAATGGGTGATGATATTCACAAATTATGCATCTGACAAAGACCTAATAACCAATCTATAAGAAACCTAAGCAAATCAATAAGCAAAAATCAAATAACCCCATTAAAAAATGGGCAAAAGACATGAACAGACACTTCTCAAAAGAAGACATACAAGCAGCCAACAAATATGAAAAGCTGCTCAGCATCACTAATCATCAGAGAAATGCAACTCAAAACCACAGTAAGATACCATTTCACACCAGTCAGAATGGCTATTATTAAAAAGTTAAAAAAATCAACAGATGCTGGTCAGGCTGCAGAGAAAAGGGAACACATACACAGTTGGTGGGAATGTAAATTAGTCCAGTCACTGTGGAAAGCAGTCTGGAGATTTCTCAAAGAACTTAAAATAGAGCTACTATTCAACCCTGCAATCCCATTACTGGGTATATGCCTAAAGGAAAATAAATCATTTCTATCAAAAAGACACATTCAGGCTGGGTGCGGTGGCTCACACCTGTAATCTCAGCACTTTGAGAAGCTGAGGCAGGAGGATCACTTGAGATCAGGAGTTTGAGACCAGCCTGGCCAACATGGTGAGACCCCATCTCTACTAAAAATGCAAAAATTAGCCAGGCATGGTGGTGGATGTCTGTCATCCCAGCTACTCACGAGACTAAGGCACAAGAATCACTTGAATCTTGGAGGCCAAGGTTGCAGTGAGCTGAGATTGCACCACTGCACTCCAGCCTAGATGACAGAGTTGAGACGCTGAGTCAAAAAAAAAAAAAAAAAAGACACATGCACTCACATGTTCATCACTGCGCTATTCACAATAGCAAAAACATGGAATCAACCCAGGTGCCCATCAATGGTAAACTGGATAAAGAAAATGTACATATATATACCATGGAATACTATACAGCCATAAAAATGAAATCATGTCCTTCAAAGCAACACGGATATAGTTGGAGGCCATAATACCAAGCAAATTAACACAGGAAAGAAAAGCAAATACCGCATGTTCTCACTCAGAAGCAGGAGCTAAACGCAGGGTACACATGGACATAAACACAGGAACAACAGGCACTGTGGACTATTAGAGGCAGGAGGGAGGAGGGGTGTGGGCTGAAAAACTACCTATTAGGTAGCACGCTCCCTACCTGGGTGATGAGATTCATACCCCAAACCTCAGCATCATGCAATATTCCCGTGTAACAAATATGTACATGTACCCCCATATCTAAAATAAAAGTTTGAAATTTAAAAAACAGATAACGTATCGAGAATCCACCGTGTTCTCCATGCCGCAGATACTGCAGGAAACAAAACCAATACGATTCCTGCTTTTGTGTGGCTTACTGCCTAGCAGAGCTGCCAGACAGTAAACAAATAACTGCATGAATAATTACTTAATTAAAATGGAATAATATGAACAACAAAGAGTACATCCAGTCTTCCATTTATGTAAATGCCATTATTTATATTTTCTAGATGAGGAAACGAAAGGTCAGAGAGGTTGGGAAGCTTGTCTCAAGCCACAGACCTGGTAAGTGGCAGGGCTAGGCCTCAAATCTCATTGAATAGGAATTATTTTGCCTAGAATAGTATCAGAGTTCAAAAGCATCTGCAGAGAGCTCCACATCTTCTGGGGCTCTACCTCTAGTCTAAGAGCTGCTCAGAGTAAAGGCAGAGTCGGAGCAAAAGGCTTGCTGTGCCTCCATGCAGCCCTCCCCGGCCTGAGTCAGAAAGATGGAGGGCTTGGTGCCTTGGAGTTACTTAACCCTGGGAAAGAAGGCATCATGAGGAAGAATTCTAGGTCCTCCAATAGTCAACAAATGAGTTTAGGGAAGTAACTGCCCCATTTTTTGAAAACATAAGGGTAGCAGATATCACCAGTAGGTGACAGCCCAACCAGGATACCTCAGAGGAACCCTGGGTGAAAAGATGCAGGTCGTCACAGGGCCTGGAGGGTAGGTGTGCCCACCTGGCTCTGCCACTGACCAGCGCTGTGGCCTGGAGTTTCTCCTCTAAAAAACAGGGAGAATAAGAGCACCTCCCTCGGAGGGCCACTGTGAGGCCACAGTGAGATAATACCGACGAAGTGCTTAACTCAGTGCCAGACATGGAGCAGCTGTCCTCTTGTAGACACTGAAAGTCAAGCTGGTCCTCCCTCCAGCAAAGTGGATTTCAACAATGAAATACAACCCAGCTGGAGTGTCAGGGCCCAGCAGCTCTATTTCTTATCTCACTTTATATACTGTAAGGCTATTTTTGCCTTACTCACATATCACCTTCATGATTTTTGCCAACATAGTACCTATATTATTATTATTTTTTATTGTGGCCAAATACACCCACCATAAAATTTACCATTAGTGACATTTATTATATTCATGCTGTTGTGTAACTATCATCACTATTTTGTTCTGGAACATTTTCTTCACCTCAAAATGGAATGCTACACCCATTAAGCAATCACTCCCCATTCCCCGCTTTCCAGCCTAGGCTACCACTAATGTACTTTCTGGCTCTATGGACTTACTGATTCTGGACATTTCATATAAATGGAATCATATAATATGAGACCTTTTGTGTCTGGCTTCTTTCACTTAGCGTTTTCAAGGTTCATCAGTGTTGTAGCATGGATCGGTACTTCACTGCCTTTATGGCTGAATGGTATTCCACTGTATGCATATACTACTTTTTGTTTATCTATTCATCCTTTGGTGGACATTTCAGTTGTTTCCATGCTTTGGCTATTGTGAATAGTGCTGTTATGAACATTCATGTACAAGTTTTTGTTTGAACATGTGTTTTTACTTTTGGGTATATACCCTGAGTACAATTGCTGGGTCACACTACATGATTTTTTACTTAAATTTTTGAGTGAAATCGTAAGTTTGATGTGTTAATCACATTAAGATAAATACTTAGCTATCAAAGTAAGGTTATCTACCATGCCATCTAAAATCATGAGGACCCAAAGTAGTGCATGCCCACACTCTGGGAAACTCAGATTTCATGTGTTCCTGCACGAATCGTCCATGAGGGCCACCGCTGGGGTACTACGGGTCCAGGAGCTAATGCTGGGTGGGGATCCAGCGGTCACCTGATGGGTCAAAAGCACTGTTAGAGGGGGACAGCCAAGGATCTGAGCCAGGGAAGCAGCTCCATTTTCAGGCCTCAGGGCTAAGCTTTCAGAACATGGGGTGGAGAGGAGAAAAGGAGGTGGCAGGGAAGGAACAAGGCTGAGGGTTCCAGGCTTCAGCACCAACAACGGAGATGACTTCAGAGCAGAGGCTCAAAGAGGGGATCTGGGGGCTAGTCTCACTCAGGCTGCCCCCCTCCCACAGCCTAATCCATCCTCTGCTGTGCTTGTGGCCAACTCCCCAGGTGCCCGGAAGGGGAGGGCAAGGGCAGAGCAAAGGGGCTTGCCTTCAGCTTTCTTCAGACATTCTCCAACGAGGACTCCTGCCCCTATATGGAGACCTCTGTCTTGGTAATTACGGAGCACCTAGAAAGAAGGGTTGTTTTCAGTGGGAACTCTTTCATCTCTGTCTTAAATTATACATCATGACTTAACGTTAACTCTGATGTCTTCTAGAATTCAAGTGAGACATAAACATACTCCCAGAAGCACAGAGTCTGCATTCATTACTGGGACCACCTTGACCAAATAAGAGGTGTCACCAAGTCTATTTATAGTTTAAACATCTCTCAACTGCCCTTTCTTAAAATCTGTTGAGGTAGTTTCCACATAAACAGGGAGGAATGTCTAGGCCCTATCATCATTCTTTCATTAGGGCTTCATGTCTGGAGGGTAGGCAGATGTCAATCAAACCACAGCACGGGGCTATGGAGAAAAAGTATAGGAGCTCTGGGCAGAGCAATGGAGAGAACTGAGAGGTGTAAATTAATAAATAAAAGCCTCCATCTAAAATCCAGTTATCATTTAATTTAAAATAAGACCAGTGTGAAAGCTAGCAGGGTTGTGGTGAAATCGGGAAACCCATACACTGCTGGAGCAGGGTGAGCTGGTTCAACCCTTTGGGAAAGCATCAGGGATTCCAAAGCCAGAATAATATTGGTATCCTTTGACTCAGCAGTTGCACTCCCAGGAACTTATTCTGAGGAAATAATTCTAAAAGAAGGGAAAACATTGTACACACCAGGGTATTTATTGCAGGGAAATCTACGGTGGTTAAAAGAAAACAAACAAAAACTTGGAAACATTCTAATGTCAAACAATAGGGAAATAGCTAAGGAAATTAAAATAACTACTTAACAAAAAATACAGAACCACAAAGTACTGGAATAGTGGAATTTTAAGTGCTTTAAAAAATTTTACAGCATTGTTATACAGTTTGTACATTTCAAAAAAGATTAATCATTGTTGAGGTAGTTTCCACATACTACCTGATTAATCATTAAGATATAACTTTCTTCTAATAATTGTTATTTACCGTCCAGATTTAATTATTATCAGAGTAGCAACATAACCACATACATACATACACACACAAATGTATATAATTTGTATACATTTGTGTATAATGTAAATATAAATAAAGAGTCAACAAGCTCAAAGAACAGTGGTTTCCTCTCAAAATGCCAGGCAATTAACTACACAACCCTCTTCTCAGTTATTTAATTGGCTGATCATTGTGTGCTCTGAGCCAGCAGCAAGTAAAATGTTTGTGGTCCTGCTGTGATTCCAGGGTCTTATTTGCAACCCAAGAGAACTGAGCTTGGAGGCCCTCCTGCGGAGGGAGTCCTGGACCTGCTAACTCAATCTGACCTGTTTGGACACTCCATGGTGCTTCTCTGCTAGCCACCCTGACTTCTGCTTCCCTCCAGATGCGCCCATCATGCCCACCCCTCCAACTGCCTCCAGAGTCCTCTTCATCCAAACAATTAGGTGGGATCACTTAGCCTGGCATTCTAGGCTGTCTGCAGTTTGACCCATCTCACAGACCACTCGCAGCATAGTGTGGCACTCACCAATGAACACACTGCACAGTGGATGATCACCTCCCTTTTCTTAGACACTCTACTCCTACTGTTGCAACCTGAGACCAGGGCTTCCCATACATCTGCAATATGAGGCTGGTCTGTAAGGACGGATCCCCTAATGCCCTCTTAGAGGCATCTCCTGCTCTCTATGATGTGACGAGGCATCTAGGGCTCAGACCGCAGGGCAGGAGTGCCCACAGCCTTTGCTAGCCTGCCACTTGTATTTTCTCCCAGAATGTTCCAAATGAAGCAACTACCATTTAGAACGTTGCTCCTGTCATTATCAACAGACCTACGCAAGGCTGGATTTTTACAAAGGAATGTGGAAAACACCAAGTACTATAGTGGAATGGGGTTACATATTCAATAACATGATTATTGAAAACATACTATTATTGAATAATTTATTGAATACATAACCCCAAATGACAAACTCATATCAATGATTCATTTACATATAAAGTAAAACATGCAATAAAAATTTACATTTCAATTTTCTATATTTAAAATATTTAAAATGAAAAATACTTAAAAAAATACTTTCAAAATGTATGAGCAAAAGCCTGCCAGTTGTCCTTACTTGGGAAAAAATATTCTTTATTCTGAGATTATGCCCTGCTTACACTGTAGGTGTTAAAATGTTTCTTTCTCCAGGAAATGATAAGGACAGTTTCTTTCTTTCTTTTTTTTTTTTTTTTTTTTTTTTGCCATTAAAAAAATATTGGCAACCCTGTGAGAGTCTCTGAAGTTTCATTTTGAAGCTTCCCTTGCCCATGAAATCCAAAGTCTGGGACCCACTGGCCTGAGATCACACGTGGTTCTCTGGCAGCAGTCAGGCTGTTGGTTGGCATGGACTGTGCCTGAGCTGGAAACCCCCAAGGGTGCTTCTGAGCAAGGAAAGCGAGATGGCTAGGGAGGGAGGCAGCTTTGCGTTACTGTTGGCTGGAGGACATTTAAAACTTAAAATATTTGAAAGTTAAGTAGGCAGGAATTTCAGTTTGGCACAAAAATCTCAAACTTGAATTTACTTCTTCCCTCTTTTTCAGTCAGAGTTTACACCTTACTGTACGGCTGACCACCTGAATCCCAATCTCACGAACACCCACAACCCCTGGCATTCCCTGGCACTACCCAGCAAAGCCCTATCTTTGCATCGGTCTCAGAAGGAGTCTCCCAGATGCTGCACCAGCTGCCCAGCGCTGCTGGAGGAAATCTCCACCGCTGCAGAAAGGCCATCCCTCCACTCCCTGGACAGCCCTCTCCACGTCACCCACCTGGGTCCTCTCCTACTCCCTTTGGTGCCTGGTCTTTCCCAGCAGCTGCCTACCCCCAACTCCCTGCTATTCAGCCCTGTAGGCACCTTGACTCCTAAATGAATGACCTTAGCTGCCTGCCCCTGCCCCCTTATTGATCTGCCAGGGTTTCCACCCTTCCATCTCTCCAGGGCCTGCCTCTGCAGCACAGCCAGGCTGTCCATCACCTCCATGTTCCACCCTCGCCCAAGTCTCTTCCAGCGTGGACTCCATGGCTGCCCCATGCTGTTCTGTGTATCTTAAATGTCTCTACCAGATTTTTTTGGGGGGAGGTTAAAACTTTTTTTTTCAATTAAAAGGGCATTTATGGTCATTCTAGAGAATATAGAAAGGTATAATGAGAAGTATAACTGCCTATAATCCCATCACTGTGAAGTAACTGCTCTTAGGATTTAGGTGTGTCCTCCACATAAACATACACACCTGTACAAGCTAATCACATGCTGCCAGGTGGTCCTGGTGGAATGTTCTGTTGGTGGAAGACCCCAGGGGATTCATCCTTCAGTGGAAGTGGAAAGGATTCCAGCCCAGGTGGGCACCAAGGCACTGTCTCAAGTGCTGGGTGCCCCCAGAGGCCTTTCATGACGATCTAAGGGGTAGACAGGGGCTGTTGGCCCCTGGGTACATCCCGTTCAGGACTTTCTTGACTGCAAATAATCAGAGCTATCATTTTACACAAGTGCCCGGACGGCTCTGGGGTCTGGGAATGGGCAGCCACAGCACGTCCATCTGATCCGTCAGCCAGAGACTGACCTGTTGCACTGCCTTCCAGGGTGCCCCAAAGTCAACTCTCAAGGCAGGAGGAAAAGTGGTAAAAGGAAAAGGACTGGCTTCCTTGGTAAAGAAGAGGAGTTGGCCCTAACAAGACAGCCAAAGCTCCCTTTTTCTTTCCTCCCACAGTCTCACTGCTGTGATAAGGGTGACAACAATAATAATAATATACAAAAGCTGACCAGTGTTGAGAACTCCCTGGATGCCAAGCATTGTGACAAGCCATCAACACATGTCATCTCTGCGTTTCCCAAAGGGTGGACACATGCCATGAGCGGATGGCGGCTGGCATGGGCGGGTGGCACGGGAATAGGGATTTGTATCTATTCTTAACAAGCATTAGAAAAACTACGGCACATCAAACCCCTGAACTCAGACTATGAATAAAATAGACTTCAAGAGAAAAACTGAGCAAGAAAGTTAATAGAAATGGCAAAGGTGGTCACAGATGCCTGAGGTCTGGGAAAACACTGTGTTACCTCACTGACTCCTCTCAGCAGCTGTTCTACCTACATGGAGGCCGAGGCACAGGGAGACCACCCACACCACACGCCTGACTGGTGGTGACTGGGATGAGGGCCCAGGCCTGTCTTGTCAGAGGTGGACCTCCACTGGCCCAGGGCCCTGCAAAGGAGGGTTCTGCTTCTCCTCCCCTTGCCCTTGATGCTGACACCCCCACCCCAGCTGCTATGCACAGAGCCCAAGGCAGACGCTCCAAGCGCTGGGTCATGCCACTAGTCATTGGGCACCATCTCCTGACAAGCTTCCACTACTGGTCCTGTTTGTCTGGGCATCTCAGCTGGCACAGCTGGGCACAAGGTGGGTTGGGTTCATGAATGTTTGTGCCACTGCAGAACAAGAGGCCCCATTCCTGAAGAGGAGAAGATGGGGTGGCCTGACCTGGGGAGTCTGCCTCGGACCTGGCACTCACAACTTCCTGAAGCCTCACTAGTCAGAGTGACCCAGGAATGGCAGGTCAGCAGCTTCTGAAGATGGGAACATGGGTGACTTGTCAACTCATACCTCACTAGGTCTGCCGTGTGTCAGCACAGGACTACGTGACCCACCTTCTGGCCAAACCTTCCTCTGAGGCAGGGCGAGCCCAGACAACACACTGTTGGCCCTGAGGTCTGTCCCTGGCTTCCAGGATCATCTTCCATCCCTTCTAAGGACAGAGCTGAGGTGCAGGGGCCAAATTACAGGGCAGCAAATTACAGGGAGAGATAGAAGAATCAGGTAAATCTCAAACCAGGAATCCCCATCTCTGACAGGACCAGAACAGGAATGTGAAGAATTCTGATTCAGTGTGAACTAAAAATTACTGCCAATTAGAGAGCTACCTATCCCCCAGTAACGGTAACCCTAGTGTATTAATAATAAACTAGTGAGAATGGCTACCATGAGCTGAGCTCCTAATGGATGTCACATCAGGCTTTTCCTGCATTAATGAGCTCCATGGAGTCCTCACGCAGCTCTCTGAGGCAGGCACTTCCTAGATGTGGGCACTGAGACTCGGGGACACCTGAGGTCACACAACTACCCAGGGTGTGTGGAGATGTGGACCTAGACTCTCTGTCCTTCCGTGGCTGACCTCCACAGGATTCTGTGGCTCTGCAGGGCTGATGACTGGCACCGAGAGCCTTTTCTTTCCAGGAGTTTCTTCTATAGAGTATGTGCAGCAATTGTGAGCTTGCCCAACACCTATTCCCTGGAGTAGTGTGTGCCCAGGATGGTTCAGGGTTCTGCCTCTTGCACTGTCACTGTGGTTAGTGAAGCCCATTTGCCCTCTGTCATCCAAACTCTGGGAACCCTGGAGCACTCCTCATTCTCACTGGTGGCTTGATGGCCACAGTGCTCAATAAGCACTTACCAGGCTGAGCAGGACCTGGCATTCTGGCCTCTCTTCCCAGCTCTTCCTTACTGACAATGCAGCCACGGACAAATTGCTGCCTTTCTCTGTGGCTTAGTTTCCTCACTGATAAACGATGGGGTTGGAACTTACAGCTCTAACATTCGAGAACATTTTGATTCCAGAGATTGGAATGCTATACCACACAGAGCATTAAGTCTGTGGAAATGAACACATGTTCGCTACCCGGGGAGGCCTCCTCATTCTTCGGCCGTGGCCTACAGCATCCCTGCAGAGCCGAGCCCTCCTGCCTTCTGACATGGTTAGCTCTCCCATTTGAGGTTCTCATAGGTCCTTGGCTGCTCCTTTGTGATAATCAGCCACTTTATACTTGAAGGACTCTAATCATACTGATATTAGTGGCTTCCATTCTCTGAGGGCTACGTGTGAGCTCAACATGTATTATCTCCCTGGACCCCATTTACAGATGAGGGACCTGGGCTCAGAGATATCAAACAACTTGTTCAAGGTCAAATGGCCATATCCATCTAACCCCTTAGCCTCTACACGCTGCTTGCTCAACACATGCCCCCACCAGGCTGCAGGTCCAGCAGGGTCAGAGCCCACACCTGATCTGCTCACGCCATGTATCTCCCCAGTGCCCAGCACAGGCTCTGCCCCACCTCAGTAATACTTCTTAAATGAAAGAAGGGGGAAAAAGATGTATAAGTCAGAATCTTTTGGTTTCCAGTGATAGAAACTCAACTGGAACCAGCTTCAAAAGGGAAAAGGACGGCAAGAATCCTGAAATGGCTCATGGGACCAAAGGCTGCAGCTGTGTCCCAGGACAGCCCCACTGGCAGGGTGGAGTTGGGGGTAGAGCTGGCGGCCTGCTGCCTGCAAATCTTGCTCTCACCACTCTTCATTGCTGCCCCTCTCAGGGAGTGACTTCCCCCCAGTCACTCAGCCTCTCCATGTGGCTCAGGTCAGCTACAGGCAGCTGTGGTGTCATCCTGACAGTTCTACAATCAAGGAAAGGAGATTCTCTCTCCCCTGGCTTCAGAAAAACCAAACAATCCAGACAAGGACTCCAACTGGCCTAGAGTGGGCCACTAGTCTGGAGGGTGGAGGGACAGGATACACTGTGGCCCGGGTGGGACACTAGTCTGAGGCCGTGGCTGGGGTAGCTGGGTTGCATGCCCTTCTCTACAATCAGGTGGCAGATGGGCAAAAAGAACAGCCATCCCCTTAGGCAACCTTGTCAAACAGGCCATTATCTCAGTTACCCATGTATACTTTCAGCTTTTTGTCAAACTCAATTCCTATTAATTGTGGGGTAGTTAAAAATATACCCCTCTCCCAAGGCTGAGGTTAAAATCTCTGACATGGGTCATTCCTGTGGCCATCTGTTCCTAGCCACCAGTGAGGTTGTCTCTACACTTGAGTCTACCGGTTCCCATGTCTTGAGTCCCTGCTGACAAGAACAGAGCCTGGGGTGATGAGAATCTAGAGCAGTGTTAGCACCCACTGACTCCATGCGGTCAGAGGCAGAAAAGAGCTTGGGTTTGGAGTGAGGCAGACCTGAATCTAGTCCCTGACCCTTAATCACTAAGACAAAGGCATCCCACCCAGAAAACCAGGTATGCACCAGGTCCTGCGTGATCACAATGAGGAGATGATGAAGGTGAGGTGATGGTGGGGAGAGCTTGCAAGTGTGGAATGCCTCTGGGGGGGCCAGGGCTGAGCTCAGGACTCCACGTGCTTCTGCTCACTGTATCCTGATGACAACCCTAGGAGCAGACTGTTTTAATTGCTGTTCCATAGACCTGGACAGGGAGGCTCAGAGAGGCTGAAGAGCTCTCCCAAGGCACACAGTCCCATGCAGGGAGCTGGCATGCAAACTCCACTTCTGCAGCGAGTGAGTGGTGGAGGAGGAAGCCTCTGGGAGCTCCCAGCAGGGTCCCGGGAAGAGGGTGGGTGCTCCACAATGCTCAAAAGGCTCTCTGGCTCAGCTCCTGCTTTCTTCTTTCCCACTCTCTCACTTCACCAAATCATCTCTGCTGCCACAGGCCTCCCCCTCCCTGGCTGGCAGTGCCGGCAGGTCTAATGCATTTGGGTTCCCCTTTGGGCTGCAGCCAGCTGGAGCTCAGGGGGTGCTTCTGCCCCTTCCTGCCACTTCTCTCAGAGAGTGTGCAGAGACTCCTTGGGTAACCCTGGGCCTTCGGGCATTTGTGGAGGTTCAGGTGGCCAGACCACAGACTCACAACCTGGGGTCACTGGATGGCTGAAGTCGTTACTACTTTATTGAGGAATCTGGATCCACCAGGGGTATAAACACAAAATGCTTTCGTTCTCTCCAACACCCACTCCCCGACTATGCTATGTTGCCTCCCCTTTCCAATTTTGGGCAGCAAGTCCCTAAATGAAATCTGGGCCAGATTCTGTAACTTTGCAGTCACTTTCCATTATTAGAATAGTCTCATTTCAGGATTTAACACTTGGTTCTCTTTATTTGAAAACTTGACTCAAATGCAATTCAAAGTTCATCTTTGTTCTCCTTGCATGCCCCTTCCCCACAGTTATTTACGGCTCTGGGAGCTGGGAGGAGGTAGGATAGAGTTCTGCTCTTTACCAAGTCCCCTTGCCTTTGTCTTTGTAAACTTCCTCCCCTACCGCCTTCACAGACTCTAGCAGAGCCTGGCTTGGGACCCACCCTCTCAAGCAAGATCTGCTCCCACAGGGGTTGTCCATCAGTGGTGGGGAGGGCCCCTAGTCTGGTTCCCTCAGAAGTAGGTGGCTCCTGTCAAGCCGGTCCCCACAGAGGTGGTGATATGGGTCTCCTAAGGTTGTCTTTGGCTTTGCCCTGGCTCCTCCATTGCCAAAGGGCACTCAAATCTTTCCCTGCCACAGGGGCACATGTCCCTGGCCCCTGCTCTGGGCTGGTTGTCCCTTGCTTGGTACAGCAGCCACCTGGCTAGCCATAGCTCCAGCCCCTCTCCAGCCTCTGTGCCCCTTCACATGAACCACAGTAACTTCTTGGCTCCATGTGGGCCCATCTTGCAAGGGCCACAGAGACAGGAATGAGAGGGTGGAGCCCACTTCTTCCCAGATACTCAAGTCCTTCCAAGGCCTTGTGACCCCATGAGTTTCTGCTTTCAGACATCTCTATACTAGAAACAGCCACCAGTTTCTATGTTCAATGTGACCCAAACTCCAGGGGCTACGTGTCAATCTCCCTCCCCAAAGAGGGAGAGAGGACTGAAAGGACACAGCCCCTCTTCTTCCATGCTCCTTGGTGGGCCGAAGGTCTATAGCTCATCACATTCAAGTGTCCCAGGCAGCAGTCTGTCCCAGGCACATTCAAGTGTCCCAGGCAGCAGAGATGAGTGCTGTCTCCTCTCAGCACTACACTTGCTGCAAGTCTAGGACCCTCTCTCTTCCCCACAGTGCCCATCTTGGACTCACTGGGCCGGAGAGGGGGTGGAGAAGGAATTGAGCATGGGTGTTGGGCAGGGAACCATTACTTTGGTTTTACTCTGACAGACATTATAATGATTACTCTCAGCTGTTCAGAAGCTCTGAACAGTGAGCTATGAGTTTTTAAAAATAAAGGGGTAAGACATTTATTTTTATTTAATATAAGCAGCATGTTTCACAGAGACTGTATACATTGCAACAGTAAAAAACAACAACAACAACAAAAACAAAATGAAGATCTGAGTCAGTTTAGGGAGCAAGACCTTGCTCTGTAACCCTGGCAAGATTTTTCTCTTTTCTAGGGCTCGGTTTCCTCATCTGTATAGTGGAGATTAGAATCATCATACCTATGGTGAGGCATGATGGACAGGAAGAAATGAATTAACAAAGAGCTTCACATCATACTCAACTTCACAGTAGCATGGCTGCTATTATTACTGATAGATTTTTTCAAAACCCAGAGCTAAGAAGAGGTAATGAAAGGGGTCTTAGGTGGGGAAAGGATCCAAGCCACTGGCTCAGTGTCCTCCAGGCTGCTCCCAGCTCTGCAGAGGAACCTAGCACAGTGCCAGGCACACAGCAGGCCTGTAACATGTATTTTGTGGAATGGGTGATGTCCTCCAAATTCCAGGATTCTATTTATCTGCTGCTTATCAGAGGTGTTCGGAATACAGATTTAAATTGCATTTAGTGTAGCAACCAAAAGAGACTGTGGGTCTTTAAAAAAACAAAGGAGGAGAGACCCCCCCTGTGTGTGGAGGGTGGGCAGCCATCCCATCGTGGCCAGGCAGGAGCCGGCAGCTGTCTCCCGGCGCCTGCTGCAGCTGGATGGCGGCCGTGAATATTTTCTTTCTTACGTGAAGCTCCTCTCTGTGTGTGCTGAATCACAGCATTCACGGGGGGGGGAGCGAGGACAAGAGCATTTACTAAGGGGATACTGGGCATTATCCGGAGCAGCCTAGGAGGCAGGGGCAGGGGACCAGGCAGGGCCAACACTCAGTCAGGAAAGGAGCATCTGACACCCACAGTGGGTGCTGGGGGCCCAAAGATAAACACTCTGACCACAGAGACCAGGCCCAAAATAGGCCGAGTGTCTGGGGTGTCAGCTGGGATTTGCCCCTTCCAGCAAGTCACGGCTTAAGCATTCTGTTTACCAAACGTTTCTGCACACATAGAAACCAGGAGAGTTTTGGTTCCATGTTAAAGAAAATGGAGAGGGTCCCCCTAGGGTGGATTTTGAGGTGTTGGAAGCTTCTCTGACAATGCCGGGAAGGAGGGCCAAACCTGGGGCTGCCCAGAAAGAGCCTGGCAGAGGAAGAAAGGCAAGGGCAGGCCGGTGGGTGAGTGGGTGGCAGGGTGGGGCTTGTCCCTACTGGGTCCACCCCACCCACAGCCCTGGCTGGCAGGTAGCAGAAAGGGGGTGATATTTGCAGGCAAAGGCGGCTCTGCAGACGGGGACGCCACCTCGGCATGCTCTCAAGCTCGCTGAGTAAACAAAACCAGCTGAGTCTGTCAACTCACAGTGAAGACTGAGCTGCGCTTCCAAGGGCTGCCAGGAAGAGGGGGTTTCCAGTGTCAGAAGCCTGAGGATCTTTCTTTACCCACTCTCACTCTCTGCTAGGCTGCCCTTCTCTCCCCTTGGGGACTGGGGCTGAGGGTCCGGGGCACCGGGCAGGGCAGCCTCCCCAGGGTGCACGGTGCCTCCTCCTCCCATTCCCTCCCCATGGGGCCACGCCGCTCTCTCCACAGGCTCCTTCCCTGCCCCTCTGTGAAGGTGGTGGGGAAAGAGTTAACGCTTACCATGTGCCAGCCATGCAGTCATGCACCTAACATGTACATGTCCTCAATGGTCACGAGAACTCTATGAAGTAGGTGCTTTTTCATCCCTGCTTTGCAGATGAGGACACTGAAGCATAGAGAAGTGACATGAATAAGGGCACACAGCTAGCATGCAGTGGGGCTGGGATTTGGACCTAAAAGTCTGGTTCCAGAGCCCACAGTCTATACCAGTACACTGGCCTTCCTGGCAGGGTGAGGATGAGGATGAAGATGTTGATGATGATTATGAAGAAAAAATTAGGTACTTACTATATGGCAGGCACTTTGGATATTTTATGTCATTTAATTCTCATGGCAACCTTATGAAATATGGGTATTATTTTTATAATCCCCAATTTAGAAAAGGAGAAATGAGGCCCATGTTAAGTTACTTGCTCAGGGCCATTCAGCTGGGAAGGGCAGGCCCAGGGTTCAAACCCAGGTCCCTCTGACTCTAGTACCCGGTGCTGCACCCTTCACTCATTTGTGTGACAGCAATGCTGACTGAGCACCCCCTGGTGTGTGTCAAGCACTGTGCTGGGCACTGGAGACCCAAAGGCAATGAGGTGGCTGCTCCACCCTTACAGCGTGCTGGGGAGGGAAGAACACTGATCACACCATCGTGTCAATGAACCTAAAATTCCAAGGCGAAGCAGAAGTATACCTAGTCTGAGCCATGCTTCAGGTGTTTTGTTGTGGTGGTGGTAGATAATTCACAGAAGTAATTTCTGCAAGACGATTTATAGGAACCTTTTTTTAACGTACCCTTTATTTCCTTTTCTGTATCAGGAAAGCAATTGGAAATCAGGGACGTGTTAATGAAATCAGTCGAATGAAGTTTGTTTCACATTCAGACATCACAATGTGGCTTAAATGCTACATTTTCCCAGGGTCAATGACACTCAGAAGAGTGAAAGGGCAAGACAGCCAGCTCCCAGGAAATGCCTGAAAAAAGCCAAACCGCATTTTTCCTGCATGATACGTAACCAGCATCTGCACTCACCAAACAGCTCTCAGATGCAGGTTATGGTCACTGCCAGCCCAGTCCTGACTCTCCTTCATGGCAAACTCCTCTATCTCGAGGAGTGGTTCCCACAGCAAGGGCCTCATGTGAACTTGTTAGAAATGCAAATTCCCGGGCCCCAGATTTACTGAATCAGAAACTGGGGGTGGGGCCCAGCAAACTTTTAACAAGCCCTCAGTTGATCTTGAAGCGCAAAAGCTCGAGAACCACTGACCTAGGATGGGCTGAAGTGGTGAGCACAAGGACCCACCACTGACTGGGTGCCTGCTATGCATATCTCAAGCACACACCTCCAGGAACCTTCACAATAGTTCTGGACATAAACAGGATGATCCTACAGATGAAGACACGAGGGTCAGGAGCCTCCCTAAGTTGCCCAACCTCACACTGCTGGGAAGCTGTAGAGACTGAAGTCTGTTAAGAGTGTGGACTCCGGGTCAAACAGGCCCATGTCTAATCCTGACTTCGCTGCTTACTGGCTGCGTAGATGTAGACTCCCTCACCACTCTGAGCCTGAGCTACCTCATCAGTTAAAATGGAAGACGGACAAAGAGAACTTCTCCTGAGAGGCTCCGTTTTTGAGAACTCAATGACGTAATCCACACAGGAGGCCTCCCCAGTGCCAGGCATGTGGTGAGTGTGTAACAGATGGCGGCTGTTGGCTGTTACATAAGAACAGAGGTCTTGCAAGCTTCAAAGGCCTGTGAGTACCCAATATTGATGTAATCAAGTCCAGGCAGTGAGTCTCAGTTACTTTACTCACAGGAGAGCCCTTTAGACTAGTTTAGTGACCAGTTATTTTTATTTACAAATAACTCTTGTCAGCTTTCTGGAATCTCAGCTGGGTGAGAAGCAACAAATCAGGAGAGGGATGAGAGGCTGCTAGGAAAGTACCAACAAACACGGCTGCCTGGGGCTTACAGGGCTCCTGTCAACATTGCCCTCCACCCCCACAGCCCACAGTCAAGCTAGTCTATTCAAGACGACTGAGTCACCAAGGAGCGGCCAATAGTGTAATTAGCCAAGTTTATGGAGGCGAGTGCACATATGCATGTGTGGGTCTGTGCAGAAACATAACAAGAATAAATACAAATTTTAAAACACTGTATGTTGAAAGAGATAACCCTGTAGCTTTCTAGCCAATTCAATTGTCTAAAATGACATGGTCCCCAGGGCCTGGAGAGCTGAGCCTTCTCCATCACATAGGCAGATAACGAAGAGGTTGAAAGGGCAGGCTTCTGGGTGCCAGACTGGCCAAAGGTCAACACTGGCCCATTGTGTGACCCTGGACAAGTCCATTAACTTGAGCCTCAGTTTCTTCATCTGAAAACTGGGGAATAATAAAAGAATCTACCGTAGCTCATAAGGTTGTTGCAAGGATCAATAAGTGCTCAGTGAATATTATGAATTATTTTTGGATGTCAATACATGCACTGTCTTTCCATAAGCTTGCTTTCCACTATGTTAAAAGGATTCTTTTCTTTGGTTAAGCAGACTTCATATACAGGCTGCAGGCAAAGGAAAAGGCAGAGAAATACTTCTTTGACTAAAGGACTATTAGTAGTCAGGCTCTATGGCAGTGGTTCTGGGGACAGTGACAGATGTGCAAACCAAAAAGGGACAACTTAAAGGAAAGCTGTCCGGAGAGATACAAAATGACTGATGACCTTCAGAGGACCCAAGTGTATTAGAAACCCAAGATAACAAGGCTCCAAATTACTAAATGAAGAAAGCCAGCATTTACTGAGCACCTGCTATGTCTCCAATATTGCACTAGGACATCTGTACTCACAATGTCTCACTTTTTACTCCCGGCCATCTTGGGAAGGTGATATTACTATCTCCAGTTCTTAAATGAGGAAACTGAGACTCAGGGAGGATAGGTAAATTTCATAAGTTACAGGGCTAATAAGGGGTGGAGGTGGAATTCAAACCCAAGCCTAGCTGACTCCTATCGACTCGACCAAGTCACCTATGGTCCAACAGGGAGGGAGCTGGTGACACACGTGTCCTCACTCGCTTCCTATCTTCTCACTTCCTGTGGGCACCTGCCACAGGCCAGCCCTAACCCAAATCCAGAAGGTAAGAGAGCCCATAGAGGCAATCCCCACAGGTCAGCCAGCATCTGGGCACAGGGCAGGGTGCCAAAGAGCAGATCCTGGGAGCAGATGAAGAATATTGAGCAGACAGGAAAAACAGATCCCTGCCCTCCAGGGTTGCAGGCCTCTGAGCCAGGATTACCCAGCCCAGCCCAGGGAGGGAAGAGAGAAGGCGGTGGGGTAGTCTGGAGGCTGGCAGGACTGAAGCAAGCCTCCTGCACTGGCTGCCTTTACTCCCTGCAGGGCCTATGTGGGTGCCCCTGAAACCCCCAACATCAGACCTACTAGTCAGAAAGGTCGCTGCCAGCAGCCCCTGTTGTCCAGCACCAGCACCTCCATCTGGGGTGACACCACCCTGCTCTCATTCCTGAGAGGCTCACTCTATCAGTCTTTTGCCAGAAGCCCTCGTTTATCTAATCAGCTGCCTCCTTGGGTCCCAGGAAAGATAAACAAGGTCAGCAACAGCTTGGCTGGTCTTTGGAATGGGAATTTCAGCAGGTACCTGTGTAAGGGGGTTGGAATCCCCCCCCACTGACTATAAAGCTGTCCTCAGTACCTTGTCTCCTGTTTGGGATATAGGTCCTGTCTGGCACAGACAATGTTCCAGAAGTGACAATATTTTTAAAAAATTTATATTGGATGGGAATTATTTTAAACAGCTTTGGAAAGTGTCTATGAATTTTTCGCTATGAAGAAACAAAGCAAACCAGCAAATGAAAATTAAATCTCTACTCTTGCCAGTCCTCAGTCTCCTCTCTTGGGGATGGGGCCATGCACCAGCTATGGTATGAGAGAGCTGGACACGCCTTAAAATACTGTTACGAAACAAAATGAAAACCAGTCAGCTAAAATTCTCAGCAAATTGTCTTTGGGCAAATTGACCTAGAGCCCAACTCTGGTGCTCAGATGGAGCTTAAAACGAATATTTGTTGGCTGTTAGGTGACACCCACACTTGAGGAGAGGTGTTGTCCTCACGGTCCCCTGGCAAGTGAGTTGAGAAGTCACACGTGAGCTAACAACAGGCTCTCAAAGCTGCTTTGTACCCAAGCATGCATCCTGTTATGACTTTTGGATATACTTGTTTGGCCAGCATTTAACAGTCACAGTGTCCTCAAAGGGCTTTGCACGGTGCCTGGATATCCTTTGTGACACTGGACAGTAGCACCACCTTAGAATCGTCCCACAAGTCCAAGTCTCCTAACTTCTCCTCACCAGAGCCAGGGAACATGTGGTTCCCCCACCCGGCATGGTGCGGAGAGTCACAGGACCTGACCACGCGCCTTCAAGAGAGGAGGGGACCAGCTGGCTCACACTCAGTCTAGTGGCAGCTGTTTTATTAAATCTGGACTGATGGAGGCTTCTGGCAGTTCCACAGGCTTCTTGATGCCTGGACACTCCCCAAGACCTTTCCAAGGCCAGCTGACCAGGAGAGGAGGGGCTCTGCCTTTTGGCTCCTCAGCCACAGGCCAACCTCACTGGGGCCTTGATGACTAAAACTGCCACACTTCCTTGAATCTGACAAGTCATCAACTGTAAAAAGCATCACATTCTACTAGGAAAGAAAAAGTGCTGCCAATTAGACTATGACACACCACTGATGGTGAGAAGCATCTTGATTGGTCAGAGACCTTAAAACAAGAAGCAGCATGCTGGTATTAAACAAGAGCAACTTTTAGCACTGTTCACAATAGCAAAGTCTTAGATGCAATCCAAATGCCCATCAATGATAGACTAGATAAAGAAAATGTGGCACATATACACCATGGAATACTATGCAGCCATAAAAAGGATGAGTTCATGTCCTTTGCAGGGACATGGATGAAACTGAAAACCATCATTCTCAACAAAGTAACACAAGAAGAGAAAACCAAACACCACATGTTCTCATTCATAAGTGGGAGCTGAACAATGAGAACACATGGACACAGAGAGGGGGGTGGGGGGCTGGGGGAGGGATAGCATTAGGAGAAATACCTAATGTAAATGACGAGTTGACAGGTGCAGCAAACCAACACAGCACATGTATACCTATGTAAAAAACCTGCACGTTGTGCACATATACCCCAGAACTTAAAGTATAATAACAATAAAAACAAGCAAAATTTTTTTTTTTTCAGGACAATCGTGTTCCTCCTAGCTTTGATGCAGATTTTATTCCCAGTCCCATTATTTCCTAGCTGTGTGGCCTGGTACAAGGAACCTCACTTTGCTAAGTCTCAATCTTTTTGTTAGTAAAATAGAATAGTAATATTTCACTCATATGGTTTTAAAATGAAGTGATACCTATAAATGTTGAGCTCAATGTCTAGCACATCACAAGTAGCTACATAAGGTGCTCCAACAGGGCTTGTGAGGACAGTACATCTCTTTCACCTTCTAGTGCTCAGGTGGTACACTGAGATGTACCAACCTGGGATCTTGGGGTTGACATTTCCCAACAGACTATGATCAGAAGCAGGGAGGACAGACAACTGGATGAAGGACAACCAACCAACTAGGCTCATGGCAGAGCACCAACAGCAGAACGGGTACAGAAGGTTTGGGTGAGAAAACAAATTCATTGGGATATGGAGTTCCAGTTCCTGAAATGGAGGAGTGGACTGTTTTGAACAACTACTCTGGTCAATAACAATTACAAACTCTGGACCAAAAATATTAAAAAAATTTAAAAAGACCTGCTTGAAATCAGTGGAGAAGGAAAGCATACTAGAGCATTTCCCAGTTCACGGTGACACACAGAAGAATGAATCTGAAACAGAAAGCAGCAGTCTACTGTCTGGGAAGATGGGAAAGAGGTTGGACTTTGAGGGTGGAAAGTTAGTGGGGAAATGCCAGAAAAGACACAACTACAGAAGAGAAAGCCCCAAAATTACTACACCAATTCCCTTCAAATCCTTAGCTAACTCCTAAACTGTATACAAGTAGAGAGACTCCAAGGAGCACAACAGAAGGCAAAGTAATTTAACTGCCTGCTAGAACACAACCCAACATTCTTTAGAGGAAGACAAGAAAATACAGAATGTCTTTCATGTATCATCCACAATGTCCAGTATACAATAAAAAATTATAGACATGTGAAGAAGCAGGACAATATGACCCATAATCAAGAAAAAAAAGCAGTAAAATCAAACTCACTAATGAGCCAGATGTTGGAATTAGTAGGCAAGGATTTTTAAATGGCTATTATAAACATGCACAGGATTTTGAGAACATGAAAGATAGAATGAATCAGTGGATATGGAATCCCAGAAATGGGAATTATAAAAATAAACCAAGTGAAAATTCTAGAACCAAACATTGTAGTATCTGACATAAAATACTTTAGACGAAATTAACAGCCGATTAAATGCTGTAGACAAAAGGTTAGCAAATGTGAAGACAGGAAGGAGAAGTGATCCAAACTGAAGCATGAGACAAGAAAAGATAAACAAATAAAGCTTCAGTGACCTGTGGAAGAACAAGTGTGTAAATGGGGTTCTAGAAGGAGAGGGGAGAGATAATTGAGCATAAAAAATTAAGAAATAATGGCTAAAAATTCTCCCCATATCCCCAAATTTAGTAAAAACATATAGGTCCAAGAAGCTCAGTAAACCCACATGGAATAAAGGCAAAGAAAACCACACTTAGTCACATCATGGTCAAACTGCTAAAAAATCAAAGATAAAGAGAAAATCTTAAAAGAAGCCAGAAAACAGAAGATCCATTATGTATACAGGAACAACAATAAGGAAGGCAGTTGACTTCTCAACAGAAACAATGTTGGTCAGAAGACAACAGAAAGACATTTAAAAAGTACTGAAGGTAGCAGGGAGTTGGGGGTAGGGGTGGGGTGGGGTATGGGAAAGAGTCAGTTTGGGATGTGTGAAGCTTCAAATAATGGTGGCACTCTGAGAATGCAAGATACAGCAAAACTGCCCCCTCCCAAGTACACCCCTCTAAGAACACAGTATACCTGCATCCCCTGACCCACCGCTCCTCATATATACGCAGTCTCCCAGTGGACCATCCCGCTGTTTCCAACAGAAAAAAACCTGCAACTGTCAGGAAGGTGGTAAGACACGAAATCATTCTTACGAATTGTGTCATTTACATGAAGAATCTTTGTATTCTACCACCATGTAAATGTCACGCATTTACTGATAAAATTTTAAAAAGTCACACATTAAATGATAAAAACTATAAAAAGGAAAGGAAGATTCCCTTCTCCTCAAATGCTTTAGTCACATGATGCTTCTGTCTGACAGACAAGTGGAAATGTGGGAACGGTGCTCAAGGAGGTCAGGGGGACACGGAGATCCAGGAGTCACCAAGTTAGAAGCATGCTGGAGAGGATCAGGGTGGGAGTGGGGAGAAGTCTGAGGGCAGGAGCAGAAGCAACAGCAGCAATTTCCTGAGCAACCGCTAAATGCTGCAGCCGGGCGCAGGGCCGAATGCTTCAGCCCCATCATCTTACTCAATCCTCACAGTAACCCTGGGAGTAGTAGCATCCCCTTTTTACAAGTGAGGAAACAGAGCTTCGGAGAGAATAAGAAAGTTGCCCGAGATTAGTGAGAGAGCTGGGATTTGAGCACAGGTCCCTTAGACTTTGAGCCATGGCTCTTCATCCTCCTCCAGCCAGCAGTTCGTTTATTCACTCCTCTGTACTGGGCTACACGAAAGGAGGGCGCTACATGGCCCGCACACACCCCTGCCTCAGGGGACTCACAGCCCAACGAAGGAAGCAACAGAAACTACAAGAGCTTTTTGTTGAGCCTTGTACTAGGCAGTGTGTGTTACACTTAATGTATCACATCTTATTTCATTTTCTCAACAGCCCACAGCCCTGTGAGGGAGATCCTCATATCATCCCCATTTTACAGATGAGGAAAGTGAGGGTCAGAGCAACCAAATGGTAGAACTAGAATCTGACTCCTGAGCTCCCCAGTGCCCAATGCCACCAATTTTGACTGCCCAATGCCACCAGTGGGGCGGGAGGTGTGCAAAGACGGATGGGGCAAGACACCCTGGTGCTCCTTCTCCACTGAGGGGATCCTAAGAACTTTGAATAGTGAAAACAACTTTCTTTCAGTAACCAAGGGGCTTGTGCTGGACCTGTTACCAGAGGGTGGGAAAGTCCTAGGACACTTTGTCTGTAGCTCACATTAATCCAGTCTCCACTCAATAACTAATGTAGCCTTTAAAAAATAAAACCAAGTCTCAACACTGTCTTGCTCAAAACCTTTCAGTGGCTCCTTACTGTCTTTGGAATAAAGTTCCACCTCTCTAACAAGACCCCATCTTCTCTCCTCAGCCACAATGTACTTCTCTCAGCTCCTCTAAAGGGCTCCCTCCAACTGCTCTTGCCCGAGTCTATCCCAGTTACTAATGCTGTGTAACAAATTACCACCAAAATTTAGCGGCCTAAAACCACCATCTTATTATACGCATGGGGCCTGTGGGTCAGGAATTTGGAGATGAAACAGTAGAATGGCTCTCTCTGCTCCCCAGTGTGTGGGGCCTCAACAGGAAGACTCTACAGCTGACAGTGATGCAGCATCTGGGGTGACTCTGTGGCTAAGGGCTGGGATCATCTACAGGCATCTTTCCTTGCTCACGTGTCTGCGGCTGATGCTCCTGTCAGCTGGGACCTACACTGTGTGTGGCCTCTAGCTGGACTTCTTAGGCTCCAGCTTAGCTCGGGGCTTCAAAAGAGAGTGCCCTGGTGAACAGGGTAGAGACTGCGCTGCCTTTCCTCTCCCAGCCTCAGAAGTCAGGTGGTGCCACTTCCACCACATTCCTCTGGTCACAAGCAAGTCACAAACCCTCTCGGGTTCAAGGCGAGGAGCAGGGACCTCACCGCTCCATGGGTGAAGTGTCAGGGTCTCCTTGGGGACTGGGAGAGATTGCTTGGGCCATCTCTGAAAGAGGAATCTGCCACAGGGTTGGGACGGGTGCCTGGTAGTAGGGAGGATGCCTAGGGGCAGGGAGAGTCCCATTAAAGTTTTTCTCCCAATTTGTTCCCAAACATCATCACCACCATCATCACTAACACCTTTTTAAAAAAGCAAAGATACCACCAATATTTCACATGTTCTTGTCCAAGCAGAGGGGCAAACTTGTACCCTGGGGCTCCCTTCCTGGTGCCTGCCATCCTCCTACTCTCTGTATCCCCGCAGGGTGCCCGGCAGCAGGCCTGTCCTCCTGCACTGACTGTACCTTCTCCCAGGCTGCCAGTGCTGACGTGTCTGGAGGATGCTTGCATCATGGGGTCCAGTGCCATCCTCTCCTTTCTTACTCTGATTCTATCAACATTCACAGAGCTCCACCTATGCGGCTGGCTCCATGCTGAGGACTCTGATGCAGTTCCAGTGTTTGTTCCTAGAAGAGCCCAATAGGAGGTCACATTTTGATGAAAACACAGGCTAAAGAGGATCACAAAGCAGAGGTTCTGGGAGCAGGAGACCCTTGATCCACCCATCTCCAGAGTCCTAAGCTCAGTTCAAGGAGGCGTCCTTGACACTGTGCCAAGCTCCTTCCCACGTGACCTCACAGAGTCCTCGCTGCAGCTGTTGCAGGTAGATTACTAGTATTAATTAGCTCATTTACCGATGCATGGAAGGGATGCCCAGAGAGGTGAAGTGAATTAATCAAAGCCACTCAGGTGTGAAGTCACAGAGCTTTCCTCCAGGGCTGCCTCCACCCTCAGCCTGTGGTATTTCCACTGTCCTAAGCCACTGCCTCCTGCTAACTTCGAGCAGCTCCGATGCCACAGCTTCTGTGTGGACAGCCTTGGACTCCTTTCCCCAGGGTTTAGAGATGAGAATGAGGCCTCCACGAAGGGCGGCTGATGGGGAGAGGCGCTCTGGGCTGAGCTGCCCCGCCCGCCAGCCTGGGGCTCAGTGGGGCAGTGCCCAACGAGGCATCCAGGGGGAGGACCCGCTGCCTGCTGCTCGCACGCGGCTGCACGCACAGCTGGAGCGGATCTAAACCCATTCCCTGAGTCAAAGGGGAAGCGCTCCGCCTCGCAGCACGCGGGAGCTGCCTGAGCTTTGGGGAGAGGGCGGGCCAGGGAGCAGAGCTGGCCAGGCTGCCCGTGCCAAGGAAGGAGGGGGCCTGCCGAGGCCGCCAAAGCGGGCTGGGCGGGAGGGGCCAGGCCAGCTGGGGCCGGAGCTCGTGTGACATCACCGGGCGGCCCGCCTCTGTCTGGGGCTGAGGGGAGGCCCGGAGCCTTTCTGGGGCCTGGGGGATCCTCTTGCACTGGTGGGTGGAGAGAAGCGCCTGCAGCCAACCAGGGTCAGGCTGTGCTCACAGTTTCCTCTGGCGGCATGTAAAGGCTCCACAAAGGAGTTGGGAGTTCAAATGAGGCTGCTGCGGACGGCCTGAGGATGGACCCCAAGCCCTGGACCTGCCGAGCGTGGCACTGAGGCAGCGGCTGACGCTACTGTGAGGGAAAGAAGGTTGTGAGCAGCCCCGCAGGACCCCTGGCCAGCCCTGGCCCCAGCCTCTGCCGGAGCCCTCTGTGGAGGCAGAGCCAGTGGAGCCCAGTGAGGCAGGGCTGCTTGGCAGCCACCGGCCTGCAACTCAGGAACCCCTCCAGAGGCCATGGACAGGCTGCCCCGCTGACGGCCAGGGTGAAGCATGTGAGGAGCCGCCCCGGAGCCAAGCAGGAGGGAAGAGGTAAGGGGCCAGCTCTGCGGCCATGAGAGGCAGGGGCGAGAGGCAGCCGCTGGCCCCGTGGCTAGGGCTTCCAGAACCCTGACCCTCCAGCTGGGGGTGTGTGCTGCTGGATCTCAGAGGGTCACTCCCTGCTATCGCTTGGAGCCAAACGAGGCATGTCCGGGGCAGAACCTGTGGACATTTGGTGGTGTTTGGGGGCACATGATCATGGGCTGGCATCTCGAGGACTTCATGAGTAAGCCTCACTCTCCTCTTTTGGACAAAGAGCCTTTGGGGTGCCGGCCGGCAGCTCCCGGCACGGCAGAGCAGCTGGGAGTGTGCGTGTGTGTAGGTGTGTGCTTAGAGGGCAGCGTACTGAAGAGCTGCAGAAGGCAGGGGTGGCCCAAGGACTTGGGTAGTCACTTTGAAGCTTTGGATTCCTATGCCCCCAGGCCGGGACAATGTGAGGCAAAGGCAAGCGCTGTGCTGAGGCGCTGGGAGCCCCTGCTCGGAGAGTTACAGGAGCTGGGCTGCCTCTGCTCACACCCTCCAGCTGGCGAGGAGAGCAGAGGCACCCAGCACGGGAACGGACGCATCACCCAGGGGCTGCTGCACTGGATGGTACCCCGGGTCTCCAACTGAGTGGATGTGGCCAAGATACAGGGAGGATGCGGCTTCCCTGGTACCCCCGCAAGGGGACAGCAGGGGCTCCACATACCAAGTCGCCTGAAAGCACTCAGTATTAGATAACATTTCCAAACAAATTCTTCACTGATCCTTCCCTTCTCCTTCTATGATATGTGTGTCATGGGTCAGCTCTTGCCTCTGCTGTAGGATTATGAGAGCTCCCAGAGGCCAGTTCAGTTACTTGGAAAAGCATCTCCTTTCACCCCACTCTCTGGGGAAAATTGAGAATGCCACTTCCAAAGCCGGCCAAATGCTCCCCACATGTATTTTTCCAAATGGAGGCAGAGTAGGGCAGTCCTCATGAGCTGGCTTCAAATCCCAGCTCTTCTACCTACTAGCCAATGGCTCTGGCAGAACACTTAGCCTTTCTAAACCTCAGTTTTCTTATCTGTGAAATGGGATAATACTGCCCAGGTGGTAACAATGGCCAGAGAGTAACAGCTAACACTTATATTGCACTTACTCTATGCCAGACTCAACTTGTAGAATCCTCATGACCACCCTATAGCACAGGCATTATTATTCATCCCTGTTTTATAGGTGAGGAAACTGAGGTAAAGTAATGTGCCCATGGCTACATGGCTAGTAAGTGCCAGGACCAGGACTTGAACCCAGTGGTGTGGCTCCGGAGCCACTCAACCACACCCTACTGCTTTCTAGGAGAAAGCTAGGCGCCCATGCCTAGGAAGGCCTTGGCTTAGTGCCTGGTGCACAGCAAACCCTGAGCAAACCTTGGTCACTGATGATTACAAACCACAACAATCAGGACTGGCACAGAGGGAAGGGAAGAGCAGAGACACGAATTCTTTTTTTTTTTTTTTGAGATGGAGTCTCGCTCTGTCACCCAGGCTGGAGTGCAGTGGCATGATCTCGGCTCACTGCAAACTCCGCCTGCTGGGTTCACGCCATTCTCCTGCCTCAGCCTCCCGAGTAGCTGGGGCTACAGGTGCCCACCACCACGCCCAGCTAATTTTGTGTGTGTGTATTTTCAGTAGAGACGGGTTTCACCACGTTAGCCAGGATGGTCTCGATCTCCTGACCTCGTGATCCGCCCACCTCGGCCTCCCGAAGTGCTGGGATTGCAGGCGTGAGCCACTGCACCCGGCCAGAGACCCAAATTCTTTCCCTGTTCTGGACATATCCTGCTAGGGTTTTCAGAAAATCCCACGAGACAGAGATAATACTGTGGCTACTATCACTGCCCACACTGGAGGGCTTTCCAGGAGCCTGAGGAGAGGGGGGCTTTATGTCTGGGGTTTGGGTTTGGGGCCACCTGCAGCATGCCTGCATCCTAGAAGTCCATACTAAGAAAAAGTGCAGACATATTAACAAAAGGATCTAATACCAACCTTACAGGAGGAAGGGCATCCTGCTTCCCACATGGGCACTGCCTGTCTGCCTATTGATCTCCCCAGCAGAACCATAGTGGATAAGAAAATGCAGCTACCTTAGTGCTGTGGGAAGCTCACAAAATCAGGAGGATCCATAGTCAGGTTTGCCCCGGAGTTGCAGAGGAAGAGGCAAGGAATGGCCATCACCAAGTCTGGCACTATGGTGGCCATGTCTGGTGGATCTTACACCAGACAACACTGATACATCTTAGCCCAGGAGAGGAGCTTCTGTGCTGTGGCCCCCTGAGGTTCCAGTGGGCTCCCTGCACGCTTGGAAGCATTTTGAAAAGGTGACATCAAGTATTTGCTTCTCTAGCACAAGGCCTCTGGGGCTACTGAAGCCACAGGTTTCCCTGCTCCAGCCTGGAACCATGGTGGCTCACTGTCTTCTCTGGGCAGCTTAGGATGAGCAGAGGCTCTGACTGACTTCATGAGCTTGGCAAAAAAAATGGGACTACTTACTACTAATGAGGCAGTCTGGGTGGAACAGACAAAAATGTGTAACGCACATGGTCCAGCAGGGGACTACATGTTATTGCTGAAGCTCACGGGCAGAGCAAATAAGCTGTTCCTCCATCTGGCCCTCCATCCCCCAGTGATTTAGGAAGTACCCACTGGGCTAAATAAGGCATATACATTATGTCATTTCATCCTCACCACAACCCTAGAAGGTAGGTTCTAGTTTTAGCATCCCATTTTACAGATGGGAAAACTAAGTCTCGAGAGGTTAACTTGCCCAAAGTCACACAGTTATGTGATTATGTGGGACTGGAACCCAGCTCTGTCTGGCTCCAAAGCCCCTGACTTCCTCTCACTTCAGTGCCTTGTTTAGACACCTCAACTTCTCTTATCCTGACTGTCACTGGGTCCCTGCCCAGTGTCGTCAGTAGCCACATCTGCTTTGGTTGCTGTCCTATCGAATGCTGCACCAACCCCTCTGAAAACCATGGACTTACTCAACTTTAGCGCATCCCTTGCTCTTCATGGAAGCCTACTTCTGAGGCAAAATAGGCATGACTGTTACTCTTAGAGATGAGCCTCAGCACAGTTATGAGGGTACCTGTTATGTGGTAATATGGTCAGTGACAAGAGGAACTGAGCTTCGAAACCAGGTTGGCTGACTTGTTCCACGTGCCTGGGTGCTCTGCGATACTGTCTCACCACATCAGCACCAGGAAACTCTGTCCCCAGCTCAGTGGGGGCAGAGCCTCAGGGAAACACTGGTCCATGTGACTAAGATACTATTGATGCGCTTTCTACATCCGTACTTGGAGGCTCCTTTAGGACTGAAGAATCAGAGCTCAGGTCCTCATCACCCACACTGGGCCACACACGAGCAATTTCTGAGAAAACATCAGGGAGATGGCAATGGGTAGCTACAATAGAACAAACATAACAGACAGCAGCCCTGCCAAAGCAGGTACATTCAGCAACTGGCCTCTCTGAATCACAGCCCATTTAATCTGGAATGGTCTCAACTGACAGCAGGCAGATGGGGGAGGGGCTCTGCTTCATAGAGCCCACAGCCCAGCAGGACTGGGCAGACAGTAAATAATCACACAAACACACAACTGTGTGAAAGCTGTAAAGAGGTGGCACAAGGAGCTAAGAGGGTCCTCAAGGTGGGTGGTGCTGTCCCCGTCTTACAGAAGTGGAAACTGGGGGTCAGGGTGCAGCACCTCTCCCACGGTCTCTCCATGCATGGGCCAAAAAGCAAAGATTGAAACCCAGACCTGTGCTGGTTCCACCCCAGCCTGCTGCCATCCTGGACAACCACACTGTGGAAATCTCAAGAAAGAATCAATTCATTGAATAGCATTTCTTTTTTGTGAATTTATATAAAACACCCCAAATAGAAGAGTTATTCAGCCACAGGCAGCTTGGAGTTTGTGGTGATACACTGGTCACGTCAGAAGCCTCATTCTGGGGGTAGTTTCTATGACAAAACTGTGTTCTTTCACATGGACTGTGAGCCATATGACTGAGTTCATAACAGTGTTGGGGGTTACAACGTTACGATGGCCTGTCACATGTACACATCAATCACAAGCCACATTTTGGTCCCAGGAATGTTAAAATGTTGGGTGTGGCAGGAGAATCCCTTGAACCCGGGAGGCGGAGGTTGCAGTGAGCTGAGATCGCGCCACTGCACTCCAGTCTGGTGATAGAGCAAGACTCCATCTCAAAAATAAAAAATAAAATGTTGGGTGTGGGGAGCCAGGCCTCTCACAACTGAACTATTGTGTCAGTCCATTCTCTGCTGAAATCAGCCTGTCTGGGGCCAGCAGCCCCAGAGCCTCAGCAACCCCCTGCTGCCTAGTTGTCCAGACAGGCAGTACCAAGACCACCAAGGAAAAGCCCAGAATGGACTCTGTTCTTATCTTCAAGAGATGCCTGAGGACCTGCCCAGCTCCAAGAATCCTTAAAGTCCTGCCTGAGGTGGTCCCACTCCAACCTCCATGAGGGAAAGGCTGTGTCTGTCTCAGTTACTGCCGAATCTCTAATACCCACTCAGGGCCAGGTAGAAAAGATATCTGTGGAATGAATGAATCAATGAAGCAAGCCTCAGGCCCAGGCTCTCAAGCAAACAAGCTTCTCTACCCCAGGGTGCCACACCATTCCTCTCTCTGTTGTCCAGCCAAGGGCTTTTCTGAGGCTAGGTCAGGTGCCCCACAGCCCCCCAAGTTTCCCTATCTGGGCATGGATCTCTTTGCATTACAAATGCCTAGTCTCTGTCTCACCTACTACCGTGGACCCCTTGAGGGTAAGGACCTCACCCACCTTGTTCCTGTTCTACCTCCAGCCGCTGGCACAGTGGCTGGAAGAGGAGAACTTATTGGGAAATACATTATACAAATGAAGTTCTTGAATTCCTATTTAGTAACCTAGGTGCCATCCTGGATACTCAGTAGTCAGAGGAGGAATCTGCCCTGGCCCTGCTTTTTAAAGAAGCTGTAGTCAGGAGGGAGATAACCAGATGACTGCAATCTGAGTCTTGGGTGTTGAGTTGGAAGCAGCCACAGCTGCACTTGTGAGCTGAAGGAGGGAGGGAAGACCTCACTGAATGGATGGCTTCATGGTGAGGTCAACTTAGGAAGACAGGCAGGCATCAGCCAGGACAGTGGGGGAAGGTACTCGAGGCAGGAAGCACAGCACATGCAAAGGCAGGGAGGCATGACAACACAAGGTCTGTTTTTAAGCAGGACGCTGACATGATCAGATGTGGGTGTCAGACAGACAGCCCTGGAGCTGCATGCAGTGTAGACTGCAGGGGAGAGAGCACCCAAAGGCAGGGAGGCCAATTAGGATTGTGTGGGTAAGAAACCTGGCCCTGGGTTAGACAAATCTGTTACTGGGCCCAGCTCCACCACTTGGTAGCACTGTGCCCCTGGACAAGTGGCTTCATCCCTTACCTTTGTTTGCTCATCTGTGAAATGAGGATAGTCATAGCCCCTGCCTCAAAGAGCTACCGGGATCAGTGAGGCAGACACAAACATTGGTTGTCCCAGTGTTTGAGGAACAAGTCCATCCAAACAGCCAAGGTGGCCCTGGTGCCAACTTCTCAGCCTGGTCCAGAAAAGCAGCCCCAGGCAAGGCCTGGACTTCCCAAGAAAGTCACCCTGGGGCAGTGCTGTCCACCCAGCCCTTGACTTCTCCCTCTTGTCTAGGGCTTTCCCAGTTGTAGGGCTCCAGAGCACACTAGGCACTGCCGGAAATGCAGCAGCCAACTCAGAAGCTGGACTCTGAAATGGCTTCTGCAGACTCTTCCCCGCCTCTGCTCTGTTGGCCAAGGCTCCTGGCACAGAGGCCTCAGTGCACAGACTTTGGGGGAATCTCAAAATGGTTCCCAAATAACGCACTGTGAAAAAGTAACAGCAGTGTCCTTGTCCCCCGGAAAAGGCAACCAGCTCCCCCACTCCCTAACCACATCCCCCTCTACCCTATGATCTCATGGTGTGACCACAACCCGCCTCCTCCATGAACTCTTCCTGGAGCCAGCAATTCACCAATGGCAGGAGCACAAGAGCCCAAAGCATCAGGCAGATTCGAACCCCCAGTGCTACTCCTCCAGGCAAATCTGTCTTACCCTGCTTCTCTGACTCATGGCTCCCATCACCCATGACAGGTAGTAGCAATGCACAATGGCTAGCTGCATGGGAAGGCTAAATGGGTGGGTGATGGAGGGCTGGATGGATGGATAAATGGTTCATTCAATGGTCTTATGAGAGCTGAACTAGAAGGGTTTGGGAATTGACTCCAGACTCCCCAGGTGCCTTCTGGTGGGGAATCATTCATAGCATCCTCAGCCAGGAGGGGAGGGCAGCTGGAGATCTGGATATGCCCTCCCTGGCCTCCGGGCTGATGGTGAATCATCCAGGACAAACAATGCACAGTCCTTTCACCAGGTTCTCCAAGGTGAGGGTGTCACTGCTCATCCCAGATGCCCATTTTGGGGTCTTACCACTTGCGTGATCAAGCAGCTCTTTCCAACATCCAACAAAACACACCCTTGTGCTGACCTGAAAGCTATTTCTACTTATTCAGTCAACAGTGAGTAACATGCAAGCTGCATCTCAGCCATTAAACAAACAAGCACCTTTTATTCATACTGGTTGAAGAGACAATCTTGATGCAAGGCAGGGTTTGGACCTAGCAGTTGACAGCTAAATCCCAGTTGTGATATTTACTTCCAAGTGATCTTGAACAAGCGACCTAACCTTTCTAGACTTGGGTTTCCTCTACTGCCAAATGCAGATATAATACCTTTCTCTTAGGTAATGGGATCATATAGTTTGTTGCTCAGTCAGGACAATATTGAGAGTGAAAAGGGGGTGCTATTAATAACTACATAAGACCGCAACCAGCATGGCGAAACCCTGTCTCTACTAAAAATACAAAAATTAGCCAGGTGTGGTGACAGGCACCTGTAATCCTAGCTGCTCAGGAGGTTGAGGCAGGAGAACTGCTTGAAAGCGGGAGGCAGAGGTTGCAGTGAGCTGAGATGGTGCCATTGCACTCCAGCCTGGGTGACAAGAGCGAAACTCCATCTCAAAATAATAATAATAATAATAATAATTACGTAAGACAACAGACCTCAACTGGGGCCAACCAGGATGTATGGTCCCCTACTCATAGAGCTATTAAGAGCCAATGAGATAGAGTACAGCTGGGCACCCAAATTCACAACAAACGACAGCCATTATTAGCAATACTACTGGTCACCTGATCAGCTGGGCCTTTTCCTTCATCTGGATCCCTCCCACATCTTGGATTACCAACTGGTTTGGATACTTCCCTACCAGCACACCATACATTTCAACAGCTTAGTAGGAACACCTGCTAGCTAATGTTGATGTTTTCATCTGTCTTCTGTCCTGATGATAGTTTCACAAACTTGATTCATGCTCAGGTCCACCAGACTCACTCAAGCACAGCTCAGGCTTCTAGCTTCCCAGAACCCCGACGTCAGGGGCCAGCTGGCAGTTCCAGATTCCCTGACTGCCTTGGCAGAGGCCCGCTTCTCAGGCCTCCTGCAGTGCTGGGATGCCTCTTATGGCGTGGACCCATTATTGGCCTTCATCTGTGATCACAGACCAATGGGCAGTGCTGACCAGAGGACGGGTGGTGAGGGGGTGGTTCTGTAAGTCCTCCAGGCAGGACTACAACCTGGACTGATGATGAATCAACTCCTGAGATCCGGATTTAATTTGGAGGCTTCCCTGGGATCTGCAGGCCTAATGACGGCAAGAGCACTCCTGTCGTCGTCCTGCCTAGAGGGTCAGAGAACAACCTCTTTTGGGTTTCCAGTCACTTTGGCACTTTGGTTTCTCTTTATTCACAGTATGGTATCTTTGGGGGTTATTTTGGGATCTGTTAGTGGCTCTACTACTTATTAATTTGTGATTTGGGCAAATGACTCACGATCCTCAAATCTCAATAGTTTCCTCAACTGCAAATAGGGATAAATGTCAGCTTTGCTGTTAGCCTTAAAAGTATCTTTGTGGGCATCAGAAAATTGCTACAATATAAATATAAAAAACATAAAGACTATGAATGTGAGTTGTGTCCCCTAGAGTAGCACAGTGCTCAAGTGGGGCCACCATGCATGGCGGCCCTCAAATAACAGGCCGCCTTCCGAGGGCTGTTGGGAAGATTAAGTGAGATAATGTATATAAAGTGCTTGAGCCATAGTGACAATTTATTGTTGTTATTCTTTTAATTGCTGGAACTTTTCTCATTTCTAACCTTTGGGGTGAACTCAAAAGAGGATCCCAGGCCGGCAGCTTCTGCTGCAGGGCAGAACACACAGCTCCATCTGATGAAAATGACAGCTCTTCCCACAAAGTGGCCCCTTGCTTGGGCTGTGGCACCACAGTGGTGAGAGGGATGCGGACACATGATGTGTGGCCCCACCACATCAGGCCAAGCGGGGACATTCAGAGGCAGCCCACCGGAGACTGGGTGGGACCCAAGCCCTGGAGAGGCTGCCTCCCAGTGTACAAAGGCTGTCACGTGGCACAGTCACACCAGCCTCACTTGTGGGGAGGGAAAACCCATGCGTGATGGAAACTCCTCACAATACAATGTGGAAAAGCAATTTTAAGAATCGTTTTTATTTTAATTCTGAAGCCAAGGAAAACAGTTGGATTTGCTTTTCTTTGTTGGACACAGGAAAAAAGTGAGGAGCATCACTTTGATTGGAGTTGAGTTCTTCTTCAGTCCTAAGATGGCTGGAATGCCGGGGTGGGGGTGGGGGGTGTTACTTCTCTTGAGATACAATGAGTTGAATAAATATCAAGAGAGCAAAAGTAAACAAACTTATTACTGCCCATTAAGAGCCGCCAAACTGGCAAAAAACTGCTGGGGGGAGGGGAGGAATTGGGGTTGGAGTCTTGGACTCCAAGGAAAATAAATGACTCTGAGGCTCAAAGAGAAGCCCAAGGAGCATGGCCCTTGGTATCAGGTTGACCCAAGTCCTAGGCTCAGTCACCTTTGGCTGTTATCTGCCGTGTGTTCCTGGGCAAATCACTGAGCCTGTTTGGGTTGCAATGTCTCCGTTGATAAAACAGGGGTGAATAACAACCCACCGGATTACCTGGGACAATGTATGTCAGGCGCCCAGCACAGTGCCCTGTTCCTTCCCTTCCTTCCTGTAACCCAATCAGTTCTGAGTCACCCCCACTAAGCCTAGGCCCCACAGAGGTGTAACAGTAGGACTCAGAATCAATGTAGTTACAAGAGGTCCCACTGCTCGCAACATGACCTCAAAGTCAGCTACCCCTACACCTTTTTGAGCTTCAGTTTCCTCAGCCTAGAAATGGGCATAACACTAGTAAGTCACTCTGAGTGTTGGAATGATTAGATGAGAGAATGTTGATGTGAAGGGTCTGGAAGCCCTAAAGCCCTGTGCAAGCATTAGTCAAGGAGATGGTGTGAGTGCTTGGCACACTGCCTGGCCCACACCCAGCATCCTCACTGTTGTTGGTTTTGTTTCAGCTTTGTTGTTCTTGCTATCGTATTGCTAACACATTATTCCAATCTCCCGCTTCTGATGCACTTCCATGCTGCTCACCTAGTGTGCAAGGTGGGTTGGATCATCCCATTTCACAGAAAAGACTCAGCCTTTGAGGTCTCAAGTGCAATGGCAAGAACTCTGTCGGGGAGCTGTGAGAGCCCATGTTTGGGAGAGGATAGAACTCAACCATAAATAGTGCAAATCAAATCTGGAGGTCCAGGAAGGCTTGGAAACCAACCTTGTCTTGCAGCCAGGTTGCCTCCTGGGCCTCTGGCAGTTTCTTGGCCACAGTGGAGCCCTGCGCCCACATGGGCACAGAGAGGTGTCTGTCACCCACTGCCTCAGGTGAGCAGCCTGAAGAAGGCGTTGGCCCAGCAGGCCTGCCCTAGCCCAGGGTCGGGGGCGGCTCCTCCCCATTGTTCTGGGGTGGGTGTGACCACTAGCACAGGGGCAGCCAAAGCACCGTTGGAAACGAGGCAAACACTTCCAAACTCAGCTGGGTTTCCACTGACGTCACTGCAGCCCCACCTCCTAGCAGAGCCCAAACCAGAAGCTCCCACACACCTTTCTCTGCCTAGCCTCAGAGAGGCCTGAGCAGGCCATAGGAATCATGCTTGGGCTTTGTCATTTAAGTGGAAAACAGCTCAGCAAGGCCCCAGGGAGCACAGGGTCTCTTTTGTAACTGCTCACTGGCTGGTCCAAGGTGGAGCCCAGACCCAGGGTCCTCACTGGAGAAGCCCCCAAAGGGGTTCAGGGAGGACAAAATCTTTAGGTCCTGTGTCATACTTGTTATTTTAGCACAGATTAATGTGAAATCAGAAAGTAGTGATGCTAATACCCTTTTACTAGTAAAAACCAGATTAAATACATGCCTGTGTCATCGTTAAGAGTTAGCAGGTTCCAATCCAGCAGACCAGGGTTGAGCCCTGGTTCTGCCACCTTCTAGCTTTCTGATTTTGGGCAAGTCACTCAGCCTCACTGAGTCTCAGTTTCCTCACCTGTAAAATGTAAACAGCAACAGTATCTACCTTAAAAGGAGATTATGAGAACACGGGAAACTGGAAAACACTTGCAAAATGTTTAGTCCAGGGTCAGGTATATAGCGGACCTTGGTCAATGGATGTTATTAATAAATACACACATAGGCCCTCCTCTGCGCAGCTCTGACCTCCTCAGGCAGTCACTTGTCCATGGGATCCCTGCCCCAATCTATCCCTCTTTCCAGCACTCCCAGCTGCTCAGCAGCTGTTGGCAGGTGTGTCTTGTCATTCCATCAACAAATATTTATTGAGCTCCTATGTATTTCAGGCCACGTGGTAGGCACTGCACATGGAGCAGTGACCAACACAAACACCTCCCTACCATCATGCAGCTTGCATTCAAGGGAACGGGGAGGAGACAGCGTGTATCTTATGGTGATAAGGACACTGGAGGGGGAATGTGGTGAGGTCACAATCTTAAATCAGCAGGGAGGGTCTAACTGAGAAGGTGGTATTTCAGCAAAGATTGAAAGAGGTAAGGGAACAAACAACGAAGAAGGGGGCAGGGACCAGCAAGTATAAAGGCCCTGAGTCCTAACTGTGCTTAGAACACTTGACAGACAACCAAAAGGTCAACCAGGTGGTTGGAGGAGATGATCGTAGGGGAGAGGGGTCAGAGATGAGACCAGGGAGGAAGTGGGGGCCAGATCATAGAGTGCCTTGGAGACCCACTAGCTTTTCCTCCAAGATGGTGAGCCACTGGGGGGTTTTGAATAGAAGAGTGACCCCGTTTGACTTTTTAAAAAGGACCACTCTGGCTGTGAAGTTGAGGACAGAAGGTAGGATGGGCAAGGCTGGGGCAGGGAGGCTAGTTAGGAAATTACTCCAATAGTCCAGGTAAATGATGCAGGTGGGTTGCAACAGGGTGGTGGCAGGGAGGTGGGGAGACACAGGACTCTAAGAATATTTCTGGCATCGTAATTTGGCGGTGAATTAGATGTGGGGTATGAAAGAAAGAAAGGCGTCTAGGATGACTTCAAGACTTTCGGCCTGAGCAACCAGAGTGGACATTTATGAACACAGGAAAAACTGGGATGAACAGGTTGGGTTGGAGATACGGGGAAAAACGAGTTCATTTCTGGATGAGTTGAGATACCTAGCAGATAGTCAAGTGGAAATGTCAAAAAAGCAGCTGTATGTATGAGTCTAGAGTCCTGGGGAGAGTTCCAGAAATAAATGCGGATGTAATCAGTACTTGAGGGTGATCACCAACGTGACCTCTGGATGAGATGACTAAGGTAAAGAAAATTCTGAGGACTGAGTTTTGGGTCCCCTCAACAGTAGAGAAAGGACAGGAATATGAGGATGAACCAGCACAGGCTCTGAGGAGGAACAGCCGGCAAGACAGGAGGCAGGGTGGCGCTCTGGAAAGGAAGGTCAAGAAGGGAGCCCAACTGTATCCCACAGTGTGAGAGGGAAAATATTAATGAGGATCAAGAACCAGCCCTTCCATCTGGCAAACAGACAGGGGATCCTGTCTAGGGCAACCTAGAATGAAGGGGAGCGGGCAAAGCCTGATGAGGGTGGGCTCAAGAGAGACCAGGAAGAGAGGAACTTTCTGGAAATGGTGAGTGCAGGCATCTCTTTGGAGGCTTTGCTAAAAAGGGGAGCAGAGAAATGCAACAAGAGCTGCAGAGGGGATGTGAGGTCAAGAGAGGGTTTTAAGTTGAGAGAAAAAACCGTATGATTATAGGAAAACCATCCTGATGTTGGGGAGACGGTGAGGACTGCTGGAGCAAGGCCCTCGAGTGGGCAAGAGAAGGGATCTAGCACGTGTCCTCCCCTCCCTCTTGGCCCATTTAACTCCTACTCATTCCTCAAGGGTCAGTGTAAAGGGCACTTTCTCAGGGAAGCATTCCTGACCCTCTAGGTCAATTCCCTGTAATACTCCTTTACAGCATGTGACAGTTGTGCTTTCTGGCATTTGGGAATGGCATAATGATGTGAAAGCCCCATGAGGGCAGGGACTGGCTCCATCCTGTTGGTAGCTGTATCCCTAGCCACTAGCATGCTGTCCAGCAAATCACAGGTGTTCAATCAACATCTGGTGAAAGGATGAATGGTCCAAGAATAGAAGTGAAGCAAATCTGGAGACACATTCTGTGTTCTGCTCCCTTCTAACTTAATCACGTTGCAGTGGTCAGGACTGTGCTGTCACTGGCTACTGCAAATATTTGGATTCAGAAGAGCTCAGTTGTTTGTTCCTGTTTTGGCTCTGTAGCTTAGCTAACACAGTGACCAGAGCCACGTAACTGGACACATCCTTCCACTGATATTGTCCACTAAACCCTGAATGTATTCCATAACATGTCTAACGATTCATTTGTTTATCAAATATTTGCCCAAAGTGCAATATCCTGGGAATACAGGGTTGAATCAGACAGACGACATGCCCTCATGGAGTTAGAATCCAACAGAGAAGATCAAACAGAACTGCTATTCAGCACAGCGGTGATGGGTATTACAAGGGGAAAGTTCAGGGGGTGTGAAAGTATAGAATAGGGAGACTCAACAGTCTGAGGAACCAAAGGTAGCAGAAGAGAGAGACCAGAAAACCCTCCCTCTGCCTCCCCTCCCCAGCCTGAAGCTGCCTGGATACGATTCTCAGGCTCTAGGCCAGGAGTTCAGCAAGGGGGCTGCGGGCATTGGAGCTGGCTCTGGGAGTAGCAGGGCCATGGCCTCCTGCCTTCAGATGCCCTGAGACCCTCCCTCTTCCCTTCTACCTCTGCTGGGGCTTGCCTGTCTCCTCTTGCTTCCAGAATGGCTGCCTGTTCTCTGACTCCAAGAGAATATAACCCAGCATCCTGAAGCAGAGTTTTTGGAAAGCTCTGCCTGCCTGGCGAGAAGGCTGGGATCACTGATGGCACAGGGCACTGACAGTGGTGGGACCATCACTGATTCTCCCCTCTGTTTACTTTCAGGCTTTCATAGATTCTATTCACAAAGAATAACCACCATTTTGCAAGGACCATGAGGCCACTGTGCGTGACATGCTGGTGGCTCGGACTGCTGGCTGCCATGGGAGCTGTTGCAGGCCAGGAGGACGGTTTTGAGGGCACTGAGGAGGGCTCGCCAAGAGAGTTCATTTACCTAAACAGGTACAAGCGGGCGGGCGAGTCCCAGGACAAGTGCACCTACACCTTCATTGTGCCCCAGCAGCGGGTCACGGGTGCCATCTGCGTCAACTCCAAGGAGCCTGAGGTGCTTCTGGAGAACCGAGTGCATAAGCAGGAGCTAGAGCTGCTCAACAATGAGCTGCTCAAGCAGAAGCGGCAGATCGAGACGCTGCAGCAGCTGGTGGAGGTGGACGGCGGCATTGTGAGCGAGGTGAAGCTGCTGCGCAAGGAGAGCCGCAACATGAACTCGCGGGTCACGCAGCTCTACATGCAGCTCCTGCACGAGATCATCCGCAAGCGGGACAACGCGTTGGAGCTCTCCCAGCTGGAGAACAGGATCCTGAACCAGACAGCCGACATGCTGCAGCTGGCCAGCAAGTACAAGGACCTGGAGCACAAGTACCAGCACCTGGCCACACTGGCCCACAACCAATCAGAGATCATCGCGCAGCTTGAGGAGCACTGCCAGAGGGTGCCCTCGGCCAGGCCCGTCCCCCAGCCACCCCCCGCTGCCCCGCCCCGGGTCTACCAACCACCCACCTACAACCGCATCATCAACCAGATCTCTACCAACGAGATCCAGAGTGACCAGAACCTGAAGGTGCTGCCACCCCCTCTGCCCACTATGCCCACTCTCACCAGCCTCCCATCTTCCACCGACAAGCCGTCGGGTAAGTGCTTCTGGGATCGTGTTACATGTGGGTCTCAGAGCCAGGCACCAGGCTTCCCTTGGCTGTGTCCACAAATGGGGAAAAGCCATGGCCAGTTGAAGCCAGGCCAAAGACATGCACAATCCCCCAGCAATCCCTTGGGCTGAGCTGCTGGAGCCAGCAGGGTGACGGGTGGCAGGGGAACCACATTCCTTAGATGGATCCTCAAAGATATTACCAAAAAATGGAGTTTCAGAAGAGGGCAAACACTCTCTGGTTTCTGACAGGAAAGAACCCAGAGCCTGTAGTTTTCTAGGCTCTGCATGAGATCCCGTGTGTTGGCAGATAGAAGAGAATGTCTCTCCTGCAGCTCATGCACTGTGCCTGGCACAGGGTTGGCCTTCTGTAAATGTTCACCAAATAAACAATGGGCCAAAAGAAAAGAAAGTATTACCCATGTTAAGAATATGATAAACACATTGTAGGGGCTGGGCATGGGAAGGAGTCCTTCCTAAAGCCCACACACTTCCTAGAGTCTGCTGCTGTCTAGAATTTTCAATGATGCTTCCATATGCTCTTACATACACGTTTCATCTTAAAATACAGCAATTCTCCGAATACCGTTATGGGGGAGGAATGGGATTGCTGGCAGGTTTTAAAGCTTAACCAAGATACTGGCACCGGACATTTCCATGTATGTTACATAATTAACTCCTGGAGCTCCTTGCGGACAGGATGAATAACTTGCTAATAGGCTTAGGATGTTCAGGCTAGATTTGCATTCAGGTCTTTTCACTTTAAATCTCTGGCTGACTTCTCTATGCTCTAGGACTCTAGGAATCATCATTTCTGGAAGAAGCAGGCCAGAGGCTCCCCTGTCAGAATGTCAGCACACATCCAGTCCCCTGAAGCTCAGCCCCTTGTTCATCCAGAACACCTGAGCCTTCCCAGTGGGCTGCCATATGAGAACTATATTCATCTCTGCATAAATGAACCATGTATCTACTCCAAGTCAGTGCTTTCGGTACCATTTCATTGTATAGGCAGGGAGAGATTTTTACTGAAAATATCCTGCTTTACACTTATTTCACACTTTTAAAAATAACCACCAGTACTGGGAATAGCAGCTTCTTGCTAATTCCAAAGAGGGGCTGAACCTGAGTGCAGGAGGGTGGCCAGTGCAGAGGACAAGGGCAGCATTGTTTTCAGATGGGGTGGGTGAGGTGAGCTAAATGCAAAGTGAGCATCCACTGCAGCACCTCAAAGGAAAGACCTGGCCTGGGTGCAGGATTGAGAGCAGGCGCTTTGGAGTAGGCTGGCTTGGATTTAAATCCGGTTTCCACCACTGATTAGCTCTGGGACATTAGGCAAGTCACTTTGTCCCCCTGAGGCTCGGTTTCCTCATCTGTTAATTGAGGATAGATTAAAATAGTGCCTGTCACTTTAGGAAACGAAATACTGCAAAAAACATGTTTAGCACAATGCTGGGTCCACGGTAAACTACAAGCCTCCTTTGATCTAGGTCTTTTCATCTTAAAACAAGGAGACTGAAATAAACAGTCCCTTTTTTAGCTCTGGCGTTCCATCTGTACACGTGTCTGCTTTAAATCAGAAGCTCTGAAAGAGAGGGCAGGGTGTGTTAATTTGTCTTGATAGAATACCGAGAGGGTAAAACGTGCCCTTGGGCACCAAACAAAGGCTCAGTTGAATGTTGTTATAACCCTGACTGGAGACAGGCTGGACTCAATGGTTACTCAACAGATCTCCTCTGGCCTAAGTGTCTCTGGTTTCTAACTCAAAACATTTCAGGACATTCCTGGGCTTGAACTAAGCTGGCAGATACATAGTATAGGAATAAGACCTGGGTTTGCATCCATGCTCTACCCCTTGGTTAGCTGTTCGCTCATGAGATAGTTATTTAACTCTTCTGAGCCTCAATTTTCTCCTCTGTAAAATGGGGACAAGGGTCATAACCTCACAGTGTTATGCTGTGGATACAATACAATCAAGCATGAAACATTATGTCATGTAGTAAAGCCAACATTTGCTGAGCCCCTACTACATGCTAGTCGCAGCACTAGACTTGGGGAAGTAGGTGACAATTGTGGTCCCTGACCTCCAGAAACTCAGTCTGGGGTAGACGGCAGGTGCATGAATGCATCTGGGATCCGTCCAATGCCCATGATTTCTAGTCCCTAACATCAGCACATCAGATCTGACAATGGATTTCTCTGGGAGGGAGTATCCGTCGAGGCCAAAATTTCTAAAATCAGGAATGCAGTGAAAACTGGGCTGTCTGATCACTGTGGTGATACCCTGGTGTGCTAAGTGCCCTGGGGGACAGTAAGGTGGCATGACTAATTCTGCCTAGAGGGAAGGGAGAGATTAGATAGACGTGGCACTTCTTTGTTGCATCTTGAAGGATTTGTAAGATTTTACCAGGCAGACCTGGGAGTTGGGAACCCAAGTGACTAGTGGGTCCCTGATGGAGATGAGTCTGTGCAAGGGCCCAGGGGCACAGTTCTATTCCTGGCACCTCAAATGGTTCAATCTCCTGCTTCTTTGTGTTCACAACCCAGTGTGGGCTGTGTGTATCCAAGTGTCCTGCACTCGCCCGTCTTTTGTCTCCCACTTAAGAAAGCACGCCGTCATGGGAGGGAATGGCAGTGATTTCATCACAGAGATAACTGGAATGCATTAGAATTTATCCTTCTTTGTTACGCAAGGATCCCCAAATGTTGGTACTTGCTCATTACCAGTAGATTTCTTGTGACCCATCTCACCACTGAGCTCCCACACAAGGCGCTGCCAGCTGGGATTGAGTGCCTAGCTGTGGAAGATGAATGGGTAGACAGAGCCCAGGAAGAGAGCAGCTGGGGGAGGGTCCTGCCCTCTCCTGGTGTTGAGGACTAAACTGGGAGGAAAAAACAGATGGTCTCTCTGCACGGAACAGTCAGGGCATCCAATGAGCAGAGAACATTCTTATCAGGTCTGTTCAGAGAGCTTGGGGCAGGTTCTTATCCTGGAAGACAAAACACTCTTCTGTGCTCTTACCCAACAGATCCTTTGTTCTTAGGGACATCACTTAGCCAGAAATACCTTTGCAATTAAACACCTTTGCATCCGAGCCTTGGCAGCTTCCAAACCTTTCACTCAGCAGCCTCAGAGCCATGTGCTCTTTTCTTCGTCTGCCCACAGCATGCCCTTCCCCAGGGGACTAAGGGAGCCATGGCTGCTTATCTGAAGCTGTACCACAAGCCTGTTCCCAGCCTTACTGAGACAGTAACAGGGTGGTCCCAGGCCAGGATGGCCTACTGAGAGCCTGAGTGAGGAGGCACAGGCAGCTCCTGGCTTCCCTGGCTCCTCACCTGGGCTTTGTCCTGTGTCTCTCAGGTCTGGCCAGACCCAAAGGCATTTTGATTAGGATGATTCTGTGATGAGGCCTGGGCCAAATGGCCCTATCTGTGGTCCTCTGCCCCACCTATCCTGCTGCTGCTATTAGAAGAGGAAGGCTCCAGGGGTCATTCTCTAAGAGGCAAAGGATAGAGCAGGCACCTGGGTTCTGGGAGGCCTGGTACTGTTTCTCAGGCCACCCAAGGCAGAGCCACACATTTGCCAGCCCTCCTGCACAGTGCCCATCCCAGAGACTGATCAGGGAGGAAAGGACAGCGCCAACAGCAGCTGCCACAGACGGGCTTTGTCAGAAACTAATCTTTAAAGACCAAAAGGAGTGAGCACTTTTAGCTGTTTTCTCTCCTGAGAAAGAGAATACAACCAGTTCACTTTATTTCTCAATGAGTGAAGAAGAAGGGGCCATAAAACCATGAAATACTGGAACTATTAGGGGCCTCTCAGATCCCCTAGCATGGCCTTCCTGTAACAGAGCCTGTTGGTGGCAGAGCAGAGATCGACCCTGGGACTTGTACCTTGCAGGATATTGAGGTTCATAGAGGTCAAGTAACTTAGCCAAGGGTACACAGCTAGTAAGTGGCTTGGCCAAGGCTCAAACCAAAGTATGTTTTAACTACTCTGGATATTGCACACTTCCACGGGAAGGCTGGAGGGGAACTGGTGTAAAAATCACCCCGTGAATGTCTGATTTGGCCCCAGCTGCCACAGGGACCTGACCTTCTATCTCTACTTCCTGACCTTCTAGCTCTACTTCCTGGTACCACGTTCCAAACAGTTCCTTAAAATGAGCTCTGGGAACAAAGGTGGTAGATTTGTTATTAGAACATGGTTCCAATGACACAAAACACTGTCGCTACCAACCCACCAACATCATGCTCCCCCTCCCTAGGCCTAGCAGGAACCAGCCAAGCTCCCCAGTAGAAAGTACAACGTGCACCTGACTCCCAGCAAATGGACCCAACTGAAGTCTAATTTTTAATTTTTATCAAATCTGGACATATCCTCTGGGGTTCCTTCTACTCAGCATTTCAATGTATAGCTAAGTCTTTCAACATATAGCTAAGTGTGAAGTTCTGATTTCTTTAAATGTTAGCCCTGACTGTATAAATGTCAGTAGACATGACCTTCCCTTGGGACCACATGAGGAGGTCCCCACATTGCTTCACTGACAAGAGTGCTAGCAGGAAGCCACCCCATCTCACAACAGATGGGCTATTGGGCTATGGCCAGGATGGCATGGACAACTTGAACAAGAGTGTTTTCCTAGATGGATTTTCCACCTGTATTTTATTCCACCCTATAAGGTAGGAAATACGTACACGATTGTGGTTCCCCAGCACAATGGTATGTTTTAAAACAGAGAAATATATGATGTTGTAGCTCCCATTCTTTCTGGAGGTCAAGCAAGCAACCAGGTGAAAAGGTGTCAACCCATGTGTGGCTGGGTCAGCTTCAGTAGGCTGGGCATCCAGGCCCAAGCACTGCAGAGAGGTGGAGAAGCACAGGGTGTGTGTGGTGATGGTGGCGAGTGAGGGTGACTCTGCCCATCCTGAGTCAGCCTTCAAGGTCACAGAGGCTGAGGGAAAAGCCCACACAGGTCTCCTGCCTCCAGAGCGTGTGCTGTTTCCACTGTACAATACTTTCTTTTATTCTAAAAGGTTTTGTTAAACAAAATAAGATTTCAAATTCAGTACAAACTACATAATCCAGTGATTTCTCAAAGAGCACTCTTTGCTAGCTTCTTCCTAAACAAAATCTACTCTAGGAAGATGGCCCACCTGGATGATGGTTCCAGGAGGGCCAGCTCCCTTATTGCTTTGCTTTCTCTTCCTCCTCTTCTGGTACCTTGGGGAACTGATCACAAAGAGCCTTTTGAGGGTGATGGAAAGCTACCCCTCCATTCCTCAGGCAGTTTTCCAAAGATGACACTTGGCTAAATGCTCAGGGTATTTACAGTCATAGGAGATAAACTATCAACTTGTTACTGTTAAAAAAATCTTGAGATCTGGGATCTTGATGCCTGAAAATCCCAAGATTGGTACTTGGCAAACTGAAAGAAATCTAGAAAACCCTAGAGATCAGGCATCTGTGGCCAGCTAACTGGTCATACAAATGGATTGTTGTGGTGAACTTGTATAGTATTAATCCTGAGATGCTGTCCCCCTCCACCCCCACCCCCACAAAAAAAATAAATAAAGTAGTATTAAGTTAGCCTCATACAAATGCTGGCACCATGCTCCTGGACTTCTCAGCCTCCATAACTGTGAGCCAAATAAACTTCCTTTCTTTATAAATTACCCAGTCTATGCTATTCTGTTATAGCAGCAGAAAATGGACTATGTTCAGTCTTGTAAAAGTAATGAAGTATATACTTCCAGTGGTTTATACCCACATCAGTGAAGGATGCAGGCAGCAGAGACCTCTTGATGGGAACACTGGAGATGATCTTTCCTACTATCCCCGCATCACCACTGCCTCAACTTCGGCTCTCCCTGGCATGAATCTGGTCAAAGATTATGCTGAAAATAAGCCTGATGGTCCTCATCTTATATCTCAAGATGAGCCTGTGGAACTACAGGGCCTGGAGTATTTATGTGATCCTTTGTTTAAAAAAAAATAAGTTACTTTTCCCTGATATTTTTGAATACAGTAAGTCAAAACTACTATACACACAGAGAAAAATCTTGCTAAGACAATTTGTTTACGTTATAAATGCAACAGCTCCTAAATGTTGAAATTAAGTATCTTAGATGGTATGTCTAGAGTAGGGTCCAAATGAACAAAAAATCCACTCATCTGGCACCATCCCAGACATAATGTGCAGAGAGACCACTACAAACTGTCCAGGCTTTCCCACAAAGCAGGTTTCCTTTGCCAGGGTTTGGTCTGGATGTGGATTATCATCTGTTGTGGGGTCTCTCTTTCCAGATGGATTTATTATTATTGGTTCTCAGCTGGAAAGCACAGAATGAAGGTAGCAAAGGGGATGCAGCTCAGGATGGTGAAGGATGGAGGGTGAAGGATGGAGGGTCAAGGATAGAGGATTGAAGGATGGAGGGAGGCACACAGAGCATTGAGGGACTCATGGAGTGAGCCTGCAAGGGTTCCTGCCTGAAAGGAGCCCACAGTCTTATGGGGACACAGATCCCCAACAATCCTAATGTGGTGTGATAACTGCAGCACAGAAGGTGGACCTGAGTTCTAATCCCAGATCCTCCACTTTCCAGTCATGTGATCCTCTTGAGCCCTGGCTTTCTCACAGGTGCAGGGGCTTATGAGGATGAAATGAAACGGTGTGCAAAGCACATGGCAGGTGAAAGGCTCTAGATACATGATCATCACCATTCTTACCTTATTCCAGTAGAGATAAATATACAAAGCATTTTGGGAACACTGAAAAGGATAAAGTAGCTTTCCTGGGGTTGGGGAAAGCTTCCTGAAGGAGGTGATGAGGAAGGTAAGGGCCTTGTGGTGCTCTCAGAACCACCACCAGTGATAGTCAAGAAATCATGAAGACAAGTCTTGGTGCCAGACAAATGTCCTGCTTTCAGAAAAAGAATGCATACCAGAAATCACATACAACTGGCTTGTGGTGAAGCCCCAGTAAAATTATAGAAAAGAGTACACAAAGGGTTCGTGAGCATTTGGAAGATTAAAAGGTCACCAATGAAAGCCGACATAGGTTCTTAAAGAAGAAACCAATGAAGCTGATCCCTTCCTTGGAAAGGGTTAATACACTCGCCAACTATGGGACTGCTACCTGTCCATATCTGTGGATTGTAGTCATGGGTCTGATAAGTTCTTCCATGATGTGCCTGCAGGACAGCACCACAGTCTCTGACAGAGCCATGGCCACTCTCATTAGTGTGCCTGTGGAACCCTGGGGCACTGCCCACCTCTACATCAGAGACCTCCCTCACCCAGGAAGCCTTGGGTACAACTGGCCACTGCCCCCAGGGAGCCAAGGTGAGCTGCTCACCTCTGTACACAGTGAGACCACTAAAGCCCCTTCTAAACTCTTTTTTAAAATGTCTTTAAAGCCCCTGTTTCTCCTCCTGCCCAACAGCGCTGGTGGAAACCTAAGAGCGACGCAATGCTTTGGACAGTGGCCTCTGGAAAGTAGTGCTGCAATGTCTGTTTCTCCCGAGGTCAAATGAGCAGAAACAGGACCTTTATAAGCCCTTTCTGGGCCCTAAGAGCTCTTACTTGAGAGGCCTCAGGCTGTATCACATGCATTGAAATGACCTACCTCACACATTTAATAGAATTTTTACTGGAACAATTTTGAAAGGATTTAATACTTTTGCTTTTAAAATTATTTGGCTAAGAGTAACTCAATTAATTTATGGTTGGATCTCATTTCTCAGTAAACATCAAGCATATTCAGGAATTCTTGGGAAGTGAAAAAAATCTAACCTACAAGTTGTTTTCAAAAGTAGTAACATTTTCATGAAGACAAAATTTAACAATTAATGAACTTGACAAGATGTCACACTTTGTAGTAATTTAATTACATACAATAAATTTTGATTTTGCAGTTTTCTTTTCATATTTTAGAGCCAGTAAGTCTTTTTAGGCCTCAAACATTTTCATCAACTCCTGAAACACTCATTGGCCCCAGGCACCATGCCCATCGTTTGAGGGCTAAAGCGGCCTGAAAGCAGGCACAAGCATTTGGACCTTTTCCCTGGAATGATCAGAAATGACATGTGTGATATCAACTCTGAGGTTCTGCAGGAACTGAAATGCCTTTGGGACCATACAAGCTATTCCTGTGTTTAGGTTATTGTTTTGTACTCTGGTTCGCTGAAAAGCAGTGATTGACATAGAATATATATACATCCATAACCAGAATCTTATTTTGCCAAGCCTCTGGATAAATGAGATTCGAAGACCCCCAATAACTGCTTCTCACTGTAGCCACCCCTCACACCCCATCCCCCGACCCTGTGTGTCTGTTCTCCTGCCCTCATGGGGTGCCCAGTGAGTCCTGATGCTGGCCTGGGTGGGACTCTCACCTAAGCAGGCCACGTGCCGTGGCACTCAGATGCATTAATTTGGGTAGGAAATTGCAGATCCAATTTCAACAGTTAGTCATTTCTCCTGTTAGAAAAATGTTTCAGGGAGTGGTAAGAAGACTTTTTGGAGACAGACCATCAGTGAGAGTAACTGAAAACAGCATACAGTTCTCATGAAAAGCAGACTGCATCTTAGTGATATCACAGAAGCCTCTCCCTAGTGCCTGCGTATGGACTAAAATATTCACAGGAGCAACTTCCCAGAACCAAGAGCCCCCCAGAACATTTCCCACAGGCCACAGGGTCCTCTGAGTGGCCTAAGGTGGTCAAATTCTGACACCTGGGGCTGGACTCAGGGGATAAAAAGGACTGTCAGGCTGCTGGCCAGCCATGGGGTCCAGTCCCGCTGTGGGCAGGAAGGACTCTGCTCCTCCCCCCACACCTCAGGCACGTCAGAGAGAAGAGGCATCCCTCTTGCCCACGGAGGCCTCACTGCTTAGCTCCCAGCCTCAAGGTCAGATATTCACGGAGCCATGTTTTCCTAGTAAGAGGGGCACTGCACTGAGAGCTGATGCAGTTTGTGAGCCCATTTCTCCACTAGGGCCTGGACGGGTAAATCAGGCTGATGCTGGTCTGCCCCAGACCCACAGAGAGAGAACTGGAAATAGGAAGTTATGCTTGCCTGGCCTAGGTGCCGGTTCTAACTCAGCTTGACCAGAAAGGCCCTGTGTTGGGAGTAGCAAGCACTGTATCAGCCATCAATCAAGTGGGTCCTGGTTTCCTGGGAGGCCATGGTCCTTGTGTGCCTAATCCCTGTCAAGAACCCCAGAGAGGAGGAAGGAAGCACCCAAAGCTGATCACCTCCAACACTTACCAGGGTATGGCAGTGGGGTCCGGGCTGAGACCTGTGTACTTGGTACTCCCCTACTTGCTGATGTCCCTCCTCTGGAGGCCTCCTGACCCCAGACCCTGTGTGCCTACCCATCCTTGTTGCTTCTTCAGGGAACCACACAGACTCGGCTCAGCCACGGGGCTGCATTTCTCTTCACGTGGAACATTTGGCCACAGCTCCCCCAAGAATGTAAATGTGGTCTTTATAGAGATGAGGTCGCAGCACTCGCTCCACTCTGAGCCCAGGTGCTGCCGAGTTAGTGTTGGCCTGATGCTCTGGGCAGAGCTGCCCTCTCAGAAGGGGCGCCAAGTTAAACACCGCTAGGTACTCTGCACTGGTCCAAAGGGAGCGCTTTGCCCACTGCACGTTGAAAACTCAGTTTCATTGACAAAAAAGATTTCCATTCTTCATGTCAATATATCTTTGTGGCCTTCTCCACTGAAATTCTGACTTAAAAATACATGGAAAACATCTACTGGTAAATATCTTACATTTAGTCTTGTATTGAAAAGCAAATATAGTAACGTGTGTGGAGGAGGAATTAGTTGGGGGGGTGAACAACTTCAAAAATGTCAGCTTTCATCTATCAAAGGAAACAGAAAGGGATAATCTTCACAGAGCACCTGCCCCAGCTGGCTCCCATGCTGGCCGCTCTTGGGTTCATGACATCCTCAGAATAGCTATGGTCTCTTCCCATTTCACAGAAGAAGAAATTGAGGCTCAATGAGGACACTGCCCAAAGTCACACTGTGCATAGGTGAGGCCATCGAGATTGGAGCCAAGGGCTCCTGACTCCAAGTGTGGAGTCTCCCTCCAGCCCTCGCTTCCTCAGCCAGGTCTTCCTCCATCGAGGCCAGACCCTTGCCTGGCCCCCTACGAGGGCATTATTTATATGGAACAGCTATAGATTTTTCACAGTATTATTTATATGTTACAGTTGTGGATTTCTCATCAAAGTAGGATGTTTTGTCTCTGCTATTTTAAAGGAGCCACATAATTTTACTGCTGACAATTTTTCAATGTTAACTCTTTTTCTGACTAATTTTCATCCATCAGTGATGTTTCTGACCTTTGCCACTGGTGCCTTTAATGTGTGAAAAGGAAATGTGTTTGAATGCAGGAGATTTCACAGAGGTCTACTAAGGGTTCTAAGGGAAATTGTGTTTGAATTTGTGTTTTTGATGGAAGCTAATGGGGCCTGATTGTCATGTGAAATTCCGTGTACAGACACATATGCACATTTTTTGTAACAGCAGAAAATACTAAACATTTCTACACAATTTGATACCTACTCGATTATTCTAGAAAGCCTTAAAAGAATTACCCCGTTTGCCTTTTTTAAAAAAAGAAAAACTTCTTCTACATCATAACAGACACTACAATCGTTGAAAAATGGGCAAAGAACACCAAAAGGTAAATACGGAAGAAAAAAATCATTAAAGATTTTTAAAAGTTTTACACCTCGACAAAGAACTGTAAATTTTTATGTTTTATTTTTTTCGCTGGCTGACTGGCAAAGATTAACATTAGTTCTAAGGACACAGAGCTAAGTCAGCATGGATCCCTCATTCTTGAGTTCGTTCTGGTTGGGGGAAAAGAAGTAGTGTGTGAGCTCTGCACACCCCCTGGGTGCATACACCTGCTGTGTCCTTTACCCACCAGGTAACCTTGAGGGGCTCCTCTAATGACCACAGGGTCTGCTTTCCTACCTCACAGGAGTGTCAGGAGGGTCACCTGTGGAAATACGTGGCTAGGACCATAGGAAATGCTCAGTACACACTGGCTATTATTATTACTACTTCAGTCACTACTCTTAGAGCAAGGAGTTTATAACCTGGGACTTTGGGAATCCATTACCTTCTGAAACTGTATACAGAATTGTGTGAGTCTGTGCATTTTTCTGAATAAAGGATCTAGAACCATCCCCAAATTCTTAAAGGGACTAGTAGCCCCAAAACATTTAAAAACACTTGCCTTTAAAAAGAGCCCTTGGTGGAAATGCCAAAGGTAAAACTGAGATCATTCATGGCGCCCACAAAGGCAGCCCCAGCTGGAGCCACGAGGCCAACTGCCACTCTCCCAGCAGCCTCCACAGCCTCTCCCTACGTGGCGCCTCCTTCAAAGGCAGCCTTTACCTCTGACAATTCTGCAGCAGTCCTGGCAGCTGTGCAGTAAGAGGCTGGGCTGCTCGCTCTCAGTGGGCGTTATTTTGCAGGCTTCTGCCGGATCTTCCGTCACCAGCATTCACATCGAACGGCCTCTCCTGTGCTGCTGACTTGGTAAGGAGCTGGGAGGCCTCCCACGCCCACCGGCGCTCTGCTCCAGCTGTTGGGGACAGACTCCCATTCTCTGCCTCCATCCCTGGGGCTTCAGCTAAACACAACCAAAACCTTTTTCTCCTTCACAAATGCTCTTTCTGGAGGTCTAGCCTCCCCTTCCCTGGGAAGGATACTGAGGGAGTGGTGGGGGAAAGGCAGGAAGTGGCACTGGCAAAGGAAGCAGCTGCTTGTGCCCCATCTGCTACCCTGGGGTGGGGAGCATTGGGTCCTGCCCCATCCCTTAGAGAAGAGGCCTGGCAAAAAGGTAAATGGGTGAGAAGATCCTTCCTCCCCAGAAGATGAAGGGAGAAGCCCCTGAGTTAAGTGTCAGCACCCAAACCAATCTTTCTTATCGGGGCAATACTGGGCAGTGGGAAGCAAGGAATGAGCAAGACAGCCCCTGCCTTCCCGTCAGGTTCTAGGTGGATGAATGCTCAAACACAAGGCTTCTTCCTCAGGAACAGCCCACCTGAGATGTCTAACAGAGACCAGAAACCTAAATCTTTCTGGTTTATAACTATTACGTGTGAACTAGTTGAGCCCAAACACCAGCCAGGAAGGAATCTGAGAAGTGTGACCTGTACCAGAAAAGCTGAGTATACCTGTCACTGATGGGCACCTCCCTTCAACTCACACAGAAAGAGAAAGGACAGGAGTCTACAGGAATTCAAGTGGGGAGGAGGTAGTGAGGTCAGCTCCTCCCTTGCAGGGCGTCAGAGCGGCCCCACCCTGCCCTGAGCTTCCGCTGCCCAGCACCGCATCTGCAGAGGCTGGGACTCAATACACAGTTGTTGAATAAACATACAAATTGATAGAAAACATACAATGGTACTTTCTTAGCACTTTTGTCCTTAACCAGTCTCATTGTGGGGATTTTTATTTATTTATTTTTTTGAGACGGAGTCTTGTCTTGCTCTGCCACTCAGGCTGGAGTGCAGTGGGGCCATCTCAGCTCACTGCAACCTCCACCTCCTGGATTCAAGGGATTCTCCTGCCTCACCCTCCCGGGTAGCTGGGATCACAGGTGCGTGCCACCACACACGGCTAATTTTTTGTATTTTTAGTAGAGACAGGGTTTCACCATGTTAGCCAGGATGGTCTCGATCTCCTGACTTTGTGATCTGCCTGCCTCAGCCTCCCAAAGTGCTGGGATTACAGGCGTGAGCCACCGTGCCCGGCCCTATGAGGAATATTTTGAAGAGACTGAAGCAAAATGTGATTTTCTTTCTTTCAGCCATTTTCATCTGAATGGCTAGGCCTTGACCTTCTAAAGCTTCCTCAGATCAATGAGAAAGGCCCCAGCCTGTCCAGACCCTTGGTGACTCAAGTTTGTACCTTCTTGCTGATGTGACCAACAATGGAACATAAGAAACTGCCTGGGGAGGGCAGAGTTGATGGGCAGGGGTGGGGAGGGCTAAAAGACCAGTGGTATAACACCCATTCCTTCTGACTGGGCTGCCCAAGCTCAGTGCAGTCACAAAGAATCACAGAACCCTCTGGTCTCAGTTTCAGAAGAGAGCCATGGATTGGGCTGTATCCTGGACATCATCCTTTAAGTTTATGAGCCTGCAAGGAGGACCTCAGAATGCGTGAGTGCCAAGCATCTGGCCCTCACTGAGCTTCCTTTGGAAAACACACAGATTCAGCTGAAAGGGAACCTGGCCCCCTAAAAACACACTTGAAGAGCAGTGAATGAATTGCAGAAATATCCCAAAGTCTCTGGCTACATGGCCAAATTCTGGGCATGGCCTAGGCCCCTGTGACTGTGGAAGTTCATTTAGTAAAAGCTGCAGCAGTCATCACGAAGCACTGTCACTGGAAGGGCAGACGTGGAGTCAGAATTGAAGGGTGCCAACTGTACTTGGCCCCCAGAAACAGTAATCCAGTGGAACTGAGTTTCCTTGCAGAAGCAAAGCCATCAGAGCCTGCAGGCACTGACTGATGTTGCCACGTTTAGTAGGTCCACATCTCTTTTTCCTAATATAATGAACACGAAAAAGATCACTCCAGCAACTTCCCCCAAATGATCTCAGTAATCCTGACAACACTATATGAGGGAAATCTGATCTTCCTTCTACAATCAGAAGAAACTGGGGGCTGGGAGAATGAAGAAGTCTGCCAAAAGTCAAACTGTGAGGCGGGTGAGAGGAGAAAGTGAGCTTGGAGTATGGGCATCCTGACCCCTGGTCCGAGGCTCTTGTCTTTATAATTACTTATTAAACTCGCAAAACAAAAATTGGTTACCTCAGACCGTGGGCCTGTGGCTCCCAGCTGGAGCCTCAACAGAGGTTGTGCCTGCTTGGGGTGCAGCTGGGGGTGCGGCCTGGTGACAGGCAGGTCTGTGATGTATATGCATGTCTGTGTCCCCAGGCCCATGGAGAGACTGCCTGCAGGCCCTGGAGGATGGCCACGACACCAGCTCCATCTACCTGGTGAAGCCGGAGAACACCAACCGCCTCATGCAGGTGTGGTGCGACCAGAGACACGACCCCGGGGGCTGGACCGTCATCCAGAGACGCCTGGATGGCTCTGTTAACTTCTTCAGGAACTGGGAGACGTACAAGGTGAGACTCGGCAGGGGATGTCTGTGCTGCCCACAAGGTGACTGGCCCACCCCAAGAGAGGCCTGAGCAACCAATAGAAGAGCCCACTCAGAGGTACATGCTGACCAAGCCCAGGCCTGTGCGGCCCCAACAACACATATACCTGAGGCGAGAAGGATGCAGACAGGGCCATTTTGCAAACCCACCAGGGGTAGTGAGGACCAGCGCCTCCTCTGCCTGCTGCTAGAAACTGCTGCAGGACAAGAGTCAGTAGACCAGACCACCACAGCCCCACAGGACAGGGTGAGAGTTTAGAAACGCTGGTATGGGGGCCCAGGGGTGAGGAGCATTTCACTCCCAAGTGGGGTTTCCATGGGGAAAGACCCGCTCTCAAAGCCCAGAAGGCGCAAGTCCCAAGAGGCTCCCAGTTCCTGGGAGAATCCCCCAAAAAGTCCTGGTAGGGAGTTGTGGCAATGCTCAAGTCCTAATTCCAGGCTCATCCTCTGGGCTCCCTGGTTCCCAGGGAGTTGAAATGCTCATCTGTGTAGCAGGGAAAGTTGCCAGGACTCAGTCATACATCGTTCTTCCCCCTCTAAACAGAGGTAGTACTAAGGAAGGCAAGAGTGGCTCTGTTTGCTGAGTGCCCAACCCGTGCCAGCACCATGCTAAGGGCTTTCGTGCATTATTTTGTTTAATCTCGTATCAACCTCCTGAGGGAGGTTCTGTTATGGACCCAGCTTACAGATGAAAGTGTGGAGTAATTTGCTCAGGGTTGCAAAGCCAGGAATTGGCCCAGTAGTGACTGCAGCTGAGGCCTCTGACACTGAAGCTCACAAACTACCTGAAGCCATGATGCCTTGCACACATGGCTCTGCCATGCCCCTTCTTGAGTCTCCTGTCCTGGTTGTCCCCCACCCCACCTCCTGAACAGCCTGTGTCTCTGCTTTTTTCTCCTCTTCCACCTACATTAGGAGCGGGAGACTCCTCCTTTCTTAGAGGCAATACAGTGCAATGATTAAGACTGGGTTCTTGGTTCAAATCCTGGTTCACCCTCAGGCATTCTGAGACCCTGAGCCTCTCTGGGCCTCAGTTCATCCATACTAGGGAGGATAATGATAGCACTTAGTTCTTCGAGTTGACATGAGGATTAGTAAAACAACCTATGTAAAGTTCTTAAAACAGTGCCAGCACATCACAAGCGCTCAATACTAAATAATTATTGTATTAATGAATCACCGATTCCCAAGACTTTAGTGGCCGTAACTCAGCTGCTGACCCCAAAACCACATGCAAAAAAAAACAATAACCACAAAACCACTGGGTTTTAGACCTAGAGGGGAGCGCCGGTGGATGGGACACATGCGTCACAGCTCACACCCGTCTGGTGCGTTACAGCTTACACGTGACCCTCACACACAGCTCATCTCCAGAGAAGGAGGTGAAGCTCAGTGAAGGTCAGAGATTTGTCTGAGGAATGCCTGCTGCGTGCCTACTTAGTGCCAGGCCCTCCACCTGCCACAGCACACGTGTTCCTGCAGCAAGCCTGTGGGGAAGGTAATATAGCCTCCCTGATGTAAGAACAAGGAATCTGGGGTTCACATGATGCCTGGCACAGGGTAGGCACTCTACATATTTTTGAATAATGTGTGAGTCATGGAGAGATTAAGAGGTGGAGTAGGGGTCTGAACCAGGTCTGCTTCATGCTCTGCTTGTTTCCCAGGCCCCTCTATCCAGGGCTGAGTGTCTGACAGCCAAGCCTGCTGGCTGCAGGTGCTGCAGGCTCCACATTAACACTCTCCTGGGTTTTCCCCAGCAAGGGTTTGGGAACATTGACGGCGAATACTGGCTGGGCCTGGAGAACATTTACTGGCTGACGAACCAAGGCAACTACAAACTCCTGGTGACCATGGAGGACTGGTCCGGCCGCAAAGTCTTTGCAGAATACGCCAGTTTCCGCCTGGAACCTGAGAGCGAGTATTATAAGCTGCGGCTGGGGCGCTACCATGGCAATGCGGGTGACTCCTTTACATGGCACAACGGCAAGCAGTTCACCACCCTGGACAGAGATCATGATGTCTACACAGGTAGGAAAAGTGGAGTCAAACCCAGGTGCAGGGTAGGGAAAAGAGGTCAACCAGAGCCAGAGCCCCTGACTCCAGGGCTTGGAAACGGGAAGATCCCAGGGTGAGAAGCAGCTGGGCCAAGCTGCCTGACCCTGTTACCACCCCCTGAGGGTCCCTTCTCCTGCCCACAGGTCCCCTTCACAAAGCTGGGTCACAGTGGCATTTACAAATTAAGAAAAAAAAAATGGGATGGGGCGAGACATAAAGAGGTATACAAATCACACGTACCAGGGCCAGCTGGGGCCAATGCAGAAAGACATGTGTTGGGCTGTGGCCTCACCACTTCTGTCCCAGGCACCTGGTATAGAGCTAACCAACTGCGTAGGCTCTGGGCCACACACCTGGGCTCCAGTGCTGGCCCCACCTCCTACCAGCCATGTGTCCTTGGGCATACTGCTAAATCTCCGTGGGTCTCAGTTTCTGCATCTGGAAGTAAGGACAAGAACTACATTGCAGAGTAGGGAGAAGGGTAGAGAGAATGTACCTAAAGTGCTTTGTCTAGGATTTGGCACATAGCGAGGGCTCCATACAAACTGGCTTTCTTCATGGTCACTGTTACTGCATGTAATGCTAGTGCAGTGCTGAGAGGAAGCTATTAAGAGGAAAGCAGATAGGAGAGAGAAAGTGATTTGTCTAAGATCACATGCTTCAAATCTAGGTCTTTACTAAGAAGTCTTTATTAAACAAAAAACAAGAGAAAAAAACAGAAAATCAGAAGAAACAGAGATATGGTCTGGCCCTGAGTCCAGATATCAGCCTCCCACACAGTTAATGCCTCCCCAGGGCCAACACCCAGTTTCTTGAGATGAAGGCCTCTCAGTCTGCCATGCTCCTCCCTGAGGCTGGCACCACCTGACGGCCGATGCTGCCTCCAGGCTCAGGCTGTCTGCTCTCAAGGGCAAACCCAGTCCCCTCCTGCCTCCATTTCCTATGTGGTCTTGGTCAGAAGGCTACTCCCTCCCACTTGAGAAGCGAGCTCTCAAGACTGTCCTACAAATGGCCTGTACTTCAGGCAGGCCCTGGAACCTACATACTAAGGTGGAGGGGATCCTCATGCCAGGTCCCCATAGCAGCCACATTCTGAAGGGTAATTCTCCCAACATCAGGGGACAGGAGGGACATGACCTGCCCATCCCTGTATCACACAGACACCTCTGTCCGCCCACTGACACTGAACTGGCCTGGCCCGAAGGGGCCCTGGAAGAGGAACAGGCCCTCATTCTGAAGCAGTAGGGGCTGCCGAGGCTTCTAGAAGAGCAGGGCAGAAGGATAACCTTCAGAGCTGGTCAGACCCTGGGACACAGGGGCTGCTACAGCCTTTCTGGAGGGCCACCTCCTTAGGGAGCGGAAAGTGTATTCTATGATCCAAACTCAGATCTAGCCAGCAGCAAAATCAGTAGCTGGCAAGGTCCTTGTCCCTGGAGGTGTGTGGGACCTCCGCTGGCAAAGAGGAGGCTGGTTATGGCGTGCCCAAGGATCTCCCTGCTATACCAGTCCAACACTGCCACTTGGTCCCTGTGGCCTGGAATCATGGCCCAGAGGGACCCCCAGAAAAACTCTGGGAAAACCTGGCTCCACCTCCCCTCTTGCTTTCTGCCTCAGACTGAGTGCGACCTCCTCACCTCATCCCACGGCCTCGGCCACCTGCTCTGTTGGGCCCTCCAACCCACAATTCTGACTGGAGCAGCCCCTCCCCTGAGTACGGGGTCCCCTTGCCAGGCCCAGTCAGGAAAGTGGGGACCCCCCTTCACTAAGAGCAATGCTGGCAGATAGTGGCCCCCTGTCCTCCTGCCACAGAGTGCACTGCCCCTGCATGCCCGCGCACACCTTCCCACAGTTTTTACTGTTGTTCTGAACTGCTTGTCCTTGGCAGCAAAATTCAGCATGATGTGATAATGCCAAGAGTTTTATGGAAATATCTTTCCTTTGTGAAGTAATACAAAAAATTGTTTGGATGGAATACAAGCTGGGGAGGACTGGAGGAGCATTTCTTCTTAAACACTTTCTTTGTCATTCTTTAAAGACTCCTGATCCAACAGTTTCAACTCAAAAATTCCTAAGAAAAAGCTTTTCTCCCTCCCCGCCCACCTCAGGCCATCTCCATTTCCTATCAGAACACAAGGTGTGGAGTTCCCTTGGGGCCTCCTTTGCACCCAGCCCTGGGCTAGGTGTCAAGTACGCATCCTCATTCAATCCTCAGAGCCGCCCTGTGCGGCAGGCGTCATTTTTATTCTCATTTTACAGATGAGGATACAGTGGCTGGGAGAGGTCAAGTCACTTGTCTGAGATCACACAGCTAGTTAGTTACAAAGCTGAGCCTCAAAGGCGGGCCTGAAGCATGGCCTCTCACCACCCATGGAGACGGGTCCACCTTTCAAGCGTTCTTGCTCCAGATGCCTCCCAGAGAGGGCTTTGCCGAAAGCCCTGAGCACTATGGACGCAAGTAGAATGGCCTCCTCCCAGACACCCTCTCACTGCCTTCTCTCTTGCAGGAAACTGTGCCCACTACCAGAAGGGAGGCTGGTGGTATAACGCCTGTGCCCACTCCAACCTCAACGGGGTCTGGTACCGCGGGGGCCATTACCGGAGCCGCTACCAGGACGGAGTCTACTGGGCTGAGTTCCGAGGAGGCTCTTACTCACTCAAGAAAGTGGTGATGATGATCCGACCGAACCCCAACACCTTCCACTAAGCCAGCTCCCCCTCCTGACCTCTCGTGGCCATTGCCAGGAGCCCACCCTGGTCACGCTGGCCACAGCACAAAGAACAACTCCTCACCAGTTCATCCTGAGGCTGGGAGGACCGGGATGCTGGATTCTGTTTTCCGAAGTCACTGCAGCGGATGATGGAACTGAATCGATACGGTGTTTTCTGTCCCTCCTACTTTCCTTCACACCAGACAGCCCCTCATGTCTCCAGGACAGGACAGGACTACAGACAACTCTTTCTTTAAATAAATTAAGTCTCTACAATAAAAACACAACTGCAAAGTACCTTCATAATATACATGTGTATGAGCCTCCCTTGTGCACGTATGTGTATACCACATATATATGCATTTAGATATACATCACATGTGATATATCTAGATCCATATATAGGTTTGCCTTAGATACCTAAATACACATATATTCAGTTCTCAGATGTTGAAGCTGTCACCAGCAGCTTTGCTCTTAGGAGAAAAGCATTTCATTAGTGTTGTATTACTTGAGTCTAAGGGTAGATCACAGACTGTGTGGTCTCAACTGAAAGGATCACCCTTGGCATCTGTGTGCCTGGATTCTTCCAGAATGTCTACAATGCTAATCTCTCACATAGAGGTTCCCAGCTTCTTAAGAACCCCTTTTGGCACCTAATCAAATTTCAAAATCCCTCCCCCCACATTTTCATACTTTTCCCCATTCTCAGGACTTTTCACCATCCATCACCCACTTATCCCTTCATTTGACACCATTCATTAAGTGCCTTCTGTGTGTCAGTCCCTGGCCACTCACTGCAGTTCAAGGCCCCCTTTCCGCTCTGCTGTACTCCTCGCCTACCTACTCCTTGCCTTTTCTGTCGCACAGCCCCTTCTTTCCAGGCGAGATTCCTCAGCTTCTGAGTAGGAAACACTCCGGGCTCCAGGTTTCTGGTTGGGAAGGGAAGGCCAGGCCAAAAGCTCCACCGGCCGTATAGATAATGTACTCGCAGTTTTGTATCTTCCATTCATACTTTAACCTACAGGTCATTTGAGTCTTCACACAAATAATAACCTATCTGGCCAGGAGAATTATCTCAGAACAGAAGTCATCAGATCATCAGAGCCCCCAGATGGCTACAGACCAGAGATTCCACGCTCTCAGGCTGACTAGAGTCCGCATCTCATCTCCAAACTACACTTCCCTGGAGAACAAGTGCCACAAAAATGAAAACAGGCCACTTCTCAGGAGTTGAATAATCAGGGGTCACCGGACCCCTTGGTTGATGCACTGCAGCATGGTGGCTTTCTGAGTCCTGTTGGCCACCAAGTGTCAGCCTCAGCACTCCCGGGACTATTGCCAAGAAGGGGCAAGGGATGAGTCAAGAAGGTGAGACCCTTCCCGGTGGGCACGTGGGCCAGGCTGTGTGAGATGTTGGATGTTTGGTACTGTCCATGTCTGGGTGTGTGCCTATTACCTCAGCATTTCTCACAAAGTGTACCATGTAGCATGTTTTGTGTATATAAAAGGGAGGGTTTTTTTAAAAATATATTCCCAGATTATCCTTGTAATGACACGAATCTGCAATAAAAGCCATCAGTGCTATTTGGATGTATCTACACTCTGTGTTACTGTTTTAGAATGCCTTCCTGGGGCCTCCCATATCAGAGCCTCTTTAAGTAAAACCAGGAAGAGATTCGGCACCAGGACACACACCAGAATCATTTAAATCACACCCACCCTATCTCTGGTTACCACCTATACCCTCAGAAGTACCACAGTAGTACTTCAGGCCAAGATGGCTCTCTGGAGCTCCACTTCCCCACATCCAGCTGTGTCCTGGATGTCTCCACCAGATATCCTCCAAGCACCTCACGGGCAGTGCACTTAACACCTGACGTACCTTTCTTCCAGGTCTGGTCCCTTTTCACCAAATGGCACCAGGTACTCAATTGCTCAGATCAAAAACAAGGACCTCTCCCTTCCCCTGCCAAGGACAATCCATCCCTCCACGCCAAGCCATCTTGCCTGCATTAGCGTAGGATCTTATCTCCTCTCCCTTCAACTACTGCACCAGGCTCCAGACCAGGAGTCTCCATCTCCCTCATTCCAGTCCAATTTCCACCCTAGCTGCTAGAACTGTCTCCTTGTAAAACAAATCTGTGGGTTGGGAAGTGATTCTAGGCATGACAGGAAACCCCAAAACCTAAAGGAAAAGACTAAAAGATACAACTTTTTTCAGAACTCAAATTTTCTGCTTTCCAAAAAACAAAGCAAAAAAATAAAACATGACCAAGATTAAAAGGCAAATATTGAACAAGAGAAACATATTTGAAACATATATAGCAAATACAGAATATTCGTGCTATGCTAAAACCTCTTTCAAATTAAGAAAGATGCAAATCCTGTAACAGAAAACTTGGCAAAGTACATGTACACATGAGAAGACTCACAAATGGCCAGTAAACAAGATGTCAACCTCAGTAGTAATCAGAGAGGTGCTATAAGTGAAGGATAAACCATGACGTGTGGCCTGTCAGATTGGCAGAGATGAAAAAAATGTCAATCTCCATGTTGACAAGGGAATGGACAGATGTGTGCACTATGGATGGACATATAAATTGACTCCATATTGTTGAAGAGTAACTTGCCAGTGTATATATCAAAATTGTAAATGCACTTATACCCTGGGCCCCAGCAATCCTTCTACCTAATGACCAAGTGGCATAACCATATGATAGCTTTTTCTAGTAAAGCTGCAGTTAGAGAGAGATGCACTGATACGCACTGAAGCCTACCATGTGATTAGAAACAGGCGTGTGTGTGTGTCCGTGTGCGCGTGTGCATTTTACGTCACCTTCACAGAAGCTCTGTGAAGGAGGGATCATTATTCTCAGTTTACAAAAGAGGCGGAAATGAGGCTTGAAGTCAGACTGCTGGTAAGAATACCCCGGCAGCAATTAATCCAGAAGGTGCTGGGTGTCAGGCATCAATTAAGAGTTCTCAACTCCCTTCTCCTAAGCCCCTAGTCAGTTGTTGGGATCACAGTGGAATCTGAATGCTATTTGAGGAAAATATCTTAATCTTGGCCCAGACTATAGTCACCCCTCCACACACATCTGGAGTGGAGTGTGTGGGACATAGGGAACAAGAGCAAAGGAAAACAAGGCCCAACCTTACTGGTCACTGGTCTTGGCTCCAAAACCCCAAACAGAGAGCTCTGGAAAGCCATTGCTGGACACTGCAGAGCCATCCTTTTTCTAAACTAGTTAGGATTCAAATGAAAGCAGGTCATGATACCAGCTATTTCTCCCAAACCCCATCTCAATACCCAAGACTGAATCTTAATCAAACCACACCCAGGCTATATAGAAGGAGAGGAAGGAAAAAGCTCATCAGAGATGTGGAGAAAATGAAAGGTAGGGGTCAGTTCACTAAGCTGGTGGCATGGAAGAAGAGCATGGGGCAGGAGGGCTCTGTCCAAGCACCCTAGCCTGGGTACCCAGTGAACTGCTCTACCTGCCAGCAAAGACAGCCAGTCAGCATCCTGGGGTCTTGCCAACCAGACCATCCTCTCCTATCCCATCAGTGACCTTTTAAGGACTACAATCACAGGAGTCCTACTATTACTAAGTTCGCCATGGTGGTTGCACTGCATTTGCAGACCCAGAAGGAAGTCAATGAAGCCCAGACTTTCTCCTGCCCCAGCCAAACCCCTGCATCCCAGTTTTAGCCAATACCTTGGTCTCTTGGGTGACAAGCGGCACCCACCTGCTGGGCTTGTGTGAACAGGGCCAGAAGACAGTGATGTTTTCTGAGCAAGTGACACTGAAAAAGACCCCCTCCCCGTAATCTTGCCAATTTGAGCAAGACTGAAAGAGAAACCTTCACATTACTGAAAACAATGGTAATGGGAGTGTACCATGCTCACAGTTCACAGACACTCTTAGGAGGTTCAAGGTGTCCTCTCTGATCTCCCAAGACCCCCTCATCTGTTTCACACAGACTTGTCAAGACTCTGGTTATAGTAAGAGAAACCCACATGACTAGATTAAGCCAAAAAGGGAAGCTTTTAAGTGTAACAACATGTCTAAAAGGCGCTCTTTCTGCCTCACTTTTATCTGAGACTTCAAAGGCTAAGGACAAGATAAAAGCTGCAAGATCATCCCTGCAAAGGGCATGGCCCCGCACTGGCTCTCCAGCATTAGTTGATGGCTTCCCTGACACTGTGTGAGAAGTATAGAAAGAAGGTCCTGGAGAGGGGAGAATGAACTGTCCTTCACGTGTCCCCACTACCACAAGGAAGAGGGGTGTTTTCATCCACCTTCAGTCAAGTGAGAGGGACTTCAAGGGACCATTCCCACAGCCTGGCATGGGACAGCATAAGCACTCCTGTCTGACTCAGGCCCAGGGGCACAAAGAGCAGTGGGAAGAGGGGCCCACATTGACAGCACAAGGCCAGCCCACCGAGGCACAAATTCAGGCTTCCTAGGACCAGAGGGCTGCCTGGATGGTGGGGGTAGGGGCAGGGCAGGAAGTACAGGAGCCAGGGAGGGAGCTATACATTACTCCAGGGAGGGAGCACGAGCTCTGAGTTACCAACAGCTATGAAAGATGGGCCGTTCTCTCTCCCTTCTTCCTCCCCTGTTGCCACGGGCCAGAAACTTCAGTGAACAGGTTGGGGAGGCAGTGGGACTGGCCGGGATCCAGCGAAGAAGTGGACTGCGTGTCAGCCAGGTGCTGTGGCTCACGCCTCCCAGAACTTTGGGAGGTCGAGGTGGGAGGACTGCTCAAGCCCAGGAGTTTGAAACCAGCCTAGGCAACATGGTGAGAACCCCATCTCTACCAAAATTAATTAATTAATTAATTAAACAATTAGCTTGGCAAGATGGCATGTACCTGTGGTCCTAGCTACTCGGGAAGCTGAGGTGGGAGGCTCACTTCAGCCCAGGAGGCAGAGGCTGCAGTGAGCCAAGATCATGCCACCACACTCCAGGCCTGGGCAAAAAAAAATGAGACCCTGTCTCAAAACAAACAAACAAACAAACAAGCTGACCATCTGTCTTCCCCCACTCCAGACCTCCACAGCTGGTCAGCTTTAGGAGTCCAGACTTGCAATTACTACACTGGACTGTCTGGAATGAGGAAGTGTTAGAATGGATTGGGCTGCTTCATGCCTAGCACCTCAAAGACCAAAGGACCTGCTAAGTTCTCAGCTTTGACTGGGAAAAGAAAAGTCCACAGAGTAGGCTCAAAAGGACACTGGGGAAAAAATGAGTTTGGTTTCTTCTTACACCTGATTGAGTCCAGCTCATTTAATAAGCTGGTTACATAAGGACACGAGGTATCTCCCCAAGTCCATGGGCAGGGACACAGCTGGGCCTCACAAGGGCCAGGAACCAGAAATTGCCTGGAAAGCCTTCAAGATGCAAGGCAGCAACTTTCTCAGCCCCTCTCCCTTGCTCTTTCCTTTTCCCTTTCCTGCAGGGTCTCTTTCTCTGCTTCTCATCAAGCATCCATCTGTGGACTATTCTCTGCAGTTGTCCTGGCACATGGCACCAGATGGCATTTTTCAGTTCACGTCCTCCTGATCTGAGTGCCAGCATATCTATGTTCCAATGCTGGCTCCCAGATAGAGGATCCAACTGGCCCAGTTCAGGCTGGGTATCCACCCCAACTCTATGGGCTCTGCCCGTGGAGCAGAGCTAGGTGGAAGGAACACTGCTGCTGGCGTGCAGTGCCAAGGGAGAAGCAGCGGAAGTAGGTTCCCAGAGAAGGAGGGGTCACAGGCTGGGTGTCTATCCAAAAAGGTGTCTAGACTACACTCCAGATGTTATTGGTCCCCATCCTCTCCAGGACCATATTTTGCCAGCCAGACATTACTCATCAGATGGGATCCTATTCCCCAGCCCTTCCTGCTGCTGACCCCTGCACTATCCCGGAAATCACATCCAACCCTTCTAAGCCCAGGTGGCTAACTAACATGACACCTGGCTGTGCCCAGATGGGCCTCTTCCTGGGTACGCTGCCCTTCCTGGGTATGCTGTGTTTCTCAATAGGGATACAGGGGGCAACAGGGTTCTCACTGATAGGGTCTTCTTAGCTGTATTTTCATGTGGATAGCACTAATACTAGCCATCATCTATAGGGTGCTTTCCATGTGCCAGGCAGTATGCATGGCTCTTTAAATTCTCACAACAACTCTACGAGGTGGATTCTATAATTACTCTCTCTTCAACGTAACAGAAAACTTACATCAAAGAGGTAAGTGAGCTGCCCAAGTGCATGCAGCCTGACACTCAGAATGTGAACTCGAGTCAGTCTGATTCCTGAGCTCCTGCCTCTACAGCATCGATCACTATACCCAGGGAGGAAGTGAGATCACACTACAGCTCCTATGTCACCCCGTATCACTCAGTAATACATCTGAGAATCACGGTGATATGGAGCCTCCTGCCCACAGCAGGAGTGGATATGTCAGGTAGCCAGCCAGCCTGCCTATGCAGCAGCAGCAGCTTGATACCAGAAGGTCCCTAGATGTCAGGAAGCCAGTCCATAGCTGTCTGCCTAATTTATCTCAAACAATGGACACGGAGTAACAAGGGGCAGTGCTGGAGAATGTTCCACAGCTCCCTGGGCTACCAATCCTTTGCCAGGCTGCAGCTCCTCTTCTTGCCAACTGTCCTACAGCTTACAGACTCATCAGCCCCCCTGCTTTGCTACTCCGAACATCCTACTTGTGGATGCTCTGGCAGTCACCAGATGACCAAATCTACCTGGTTCAAGCCTTGGTCCTCATTATCTGGTAACTGGGTTCCAGTAGTGGTGGCTCACCTCCCATATCCATGCTTCCAGGCCTGGCACTTGCTTACAGGTCTCTCTCAAACCTCAGAGTCAGGCCTGAACCAGCCCTAGTCTGGGATTCTGCCTCTGTGGACATGATGTTTCAATACCAGCCATCCCTGAGACATTCAAATATCCGTGTCTCTCCTGAATGGCCATCCTGGGCCAGCTCAGCCCACACTGGGAGCCCAGACGCAGACAATCTCTCCCATCTGCGTGGCATTCCCACAGCGCTGCCACATGCGGCACCTCCTAGGTGGGTGGGCCATCTGCCTGTCCCATGCTGTGCTTGCTGATGGTCATGATATTAATAAATCCAGCTCCAAGGGCTGGTCAAGGAATGTTCCCTCCCCACTGCTGCAGCACATCCTGAAGCTGAAGGGCTCACAGTACCAGGAGAGGGCTCCTTGGAGGAGGAAAGACAGGCCACATTTGCCCTGAGCCTCAACAGAGCTGGGAATGGCCCAGAGCCTAGAAGGATAGTTAATGTGGAGGGAGTGGAATTAGAATTCCCTTCTGGGGCCATGTGATGACAGAGGCCTACGCCCTCGTCATCTCAACAAGGGAAAACGATTAAAAGAAGCACACAGCCTTCTCCAAGCCTGGAAGGTTGACTAATGCCCAGGCAAGTGTGCAGGGCATGGATTTAGGTCAGCCTCCTCTCCACAGGAACCCAACAGCAAGGCAGCCTTTCCTCATCAATCAGGGCAGTGCAGGCCTGTGGTAGGAACACAGGGAGATGGAATAAGGATAGATATTCAGGAAGCAGAGGCAAGGGCAGAGGGTGGCTGATCAGTTGGGTAGGAGGCCTGAAGGCCTGGCTACCTATCTTAGAGCCCAAGAGAATTGGTGGGCAGAGAAATGTATATTTAAAAAAAAATGCCATTTTGTGCCTATCATTTTAGCATAAATAAAACACGGTGGATAATATCTAGTGTTGGTAAGAGTGGAAAAAATAGGCATACTCATATCCTGTTTGCAGAAATATAACTGCAAGCATTTCAGAGGGCATTCCAGCAGTAGGCACTGTAAAGTTGCAAAGAGTTTTTGCCCCAGCAATTCCACTTCCAGCACTCAGTGTTTCAGAAGTACTTTAACAGGAGGATAAAGACACACAGATAAGGATGCTCCCCACTGCACTACAGGCTGAGCATCCCTTATCCAAAATGCTTGGGACCAGAAATGTTCCAGATTTCAGACTTTTTCAGATTTTGGAATATCTGCATTATACTTACCTGTTGAGCAAACCTAATCTGAAAATCTGAAATCCACAATATTCCAGTGAGGCTTTTCTTTGAGCATCATGTTGACTCTCAAAATGTTTTAGATTTTGGATTTTCAGATTAGGGATATTCAACTTGTATATGTAAAAGGGAAAAACTAGAAACAGTCTAAATATTTATCAGTTGGGACACAGCTAGACAAATCAGCACTCATCCAGGCGATATCCAACACGTTGCCCATACATCTGTGGGTGTCAAAGAGCTACCAGAAAGAACAGGGGAGTTCTAGATTTGCTGCCACTGTACAATATCTATGATAGTTTATATGTGCAAAACAACACATATAAAATGTTCCCACTTTGGTTAAAAAGCACAATATCATATGTGCCCCTCCACAGGCATGTCCTTTTGTATTTGTGGATAAGAATGTCTGGAAGAACACATACCCACTGCAAACACTGGCTGCCTCTGGAAAGTGGGAGAAGAAGAATGGCACATTCACTTTTTACTTTATAAACTTCTTTTCAGTGTGAATAATTTTTACAACAAGCAATGTGTTACTTTTGTAATATTTAAGTTTTTAAAAGAATGAGTGGGCACCAAATGCCTTTCTGGATGGTCACAAAAAAGGATATATCTTTGTTTCCCTTGAGTACTCAGGAGCCCACTGTATACTCCATCAGGGAACAACAGGCTTCCTAAGGGTAACATTCCAGGCCCTCTCAGACCCTAATCAGTCATCCCCAGGCACCCATCTTTCTCATAGAACTGCAAGAACTCATCACCTCTCAAAGCAGCAACCACTTTCTCTAGCCTATCGAATCCCCCCACCTCAAAACTAGCTTTCGAGAGGAGTCCAGCACGTCCTGTTGCCCTAGAGGCCAGTGTTGTAGTCCTTTATGTGTTGAGTTTTACAGTTGATTTTGTCCCAGTACAGATTGGTCAACAAAGTAATAAATGTGGAGTAGTGATAAAGGTTGTGCAATGTGCTCGTTATCCATTGCTGTGTGACAAATTATTCTGAAACTTAGCATCTTACAATAAACATTTATTGTCTTGCAGTTTCTGTGGATTGGGAATTTGGGCATGTCTTAGCTGGGTGTCTCTGGTTTAAGGTCTGTGATGAGACTTCAGTCAAGCTATTGGCTGGGGCTGCAGTCTCATCTGAAGGCTCGCCTTTTTAGCAGAATCTTCTTCCAAACTCCCTCACATGGTTGTTGGCAGGTCTCAATCCCGTGCCACACGGGCCTCTTCACACGACTGCCAAACACAGAGCAGCTGGATTCCTCCAGGATGAATGATCCAAAAGAGAGTAGAAAGGGCAAGCACTCAACATAAAGGGATAGTCTTTAATGATCTAATCTTGGAAGGGACATCCCATTATTTCTGTCATATTTGTTAGAAGCAAATCACTATGTTCTGCCTACACTCAAGGGGAAGAGATTATACAAGGATACAAATACTAGGGAACAGAAATCATCGGGGGCCATCTGAAGAGCTGTCTACTACATGAAACATCCCAATGGCTCCAGGTTGGTCTTGAGGATGCAGAAGCTCCCCAGTCTTTCCTTTGTCCCAATCCTTTTCTTTATTAGGGCCAGCCCAGGTACAAGAGGACAATAAGAATGCGTCAGTAGAAGACCAGTGTCCACTCAATCCACTCTGTCCCCACCCATGAGTCAATGTGCTTCTCCAGGACCTCCCACCAGGAAGTCTCCTTGTTCCACACAGGAAGAGTCCCTAGAAGTACTTTCCTTCTCAGGTGTGGTTTTACCCAGAGGTTAAAGGCCTGTTCTGGTGAACACATGGCATATTTTGAGGTTAGTGGTTGGGGCACTGGAGTCAGACCTGGATACAAGCACTGATCTCACCATTTACTAGTGTGTAAACTTTAATGTGAATCTTGTTCATATTTTGCAGCTAGCAAATAAGACAAAAATAATGCCTCCCTCAGAGGAAGGAGTGTTGAGAGGATTAAATGAGATAATGCAGTGCAATCACATAGTAAAACAGTAAACATGAGTTTTTGTAATTAGTGTTAGTTTCTAATTCGAAATCCAAAAAACTAAAGGAAGTCAAAGAGGAATAGTCATCCTAATGAGTATAAAGATTCCTACCATGAAAACACTTTTTCTTGCACAAAATGGGCTTATGCTCATACCTCGTTTTGCAGGGTCAGACACAACTTCTTGACCCAGAGAAAAGCTGACTGCAGATCCTCCCTTTGCCCCAGAAGGGACAAATGGGACAAGGTTCTCCCGCTCTGGGCAGCAAAGCATTCGGAAAACAAGACTTTCCACCTAGTGCTCCTTTCTTGGCCCCCACATGTTTTCCTTCTACTGTTTATTTCCATGGAGACGGAGATATTAAAAGGAGGATGCGTAAGTTAAGGCTGGGTGGAACCTCAGCAGTAAGCATGAGATCTTGAGTTAAACTTGGTATCCGCCTGGGATATGATGTTGGGTAAGTCATGAGTCAAGCTATGTTTTTTTTCTTCATTCATAAAATGGGTTTTAATAACATCCACTGGCCTTTTGTAACAAATGAGAAAGACTACAGAGTCCCAGAAAAAATGTGAATTTTAAGGTAACAAATCCGGAGATTGCAAAAGTAAAGGCAATCTCTTCCCTTCTGGAAGGGAGAGATTTGAAACAAAATGTAGCTAACCACTCTTCAAAATCATGGAAATAGTTTCCTTCATTTTGGATGGGATAGCGTCTTTGAGATCATTCTGTTGACTGGGAAGTATGTTTGAGCCTGGGGTCGAGGGAAGCTTTTCCTTGCTTGCTGGATCCCAGAGAGGGTTGAATGCCTAGATTTAGGGAAGGGGAGATTTGTTCAAAGGCTTCCTGGGCTGGGGGTGGGGAGGGCAGCAAGTTGGCCCCTGTAGCATGTGGCCATCAGGGCAGAATAGAAAAAGGAACAAGGTCTATTGCTCCATGGGCAGGCAGACCAGAATCCAGCCTTAAGCTTTGCTTTGTGGACTGACAGATACCTCCTTTTCCAGCTAAGGAAGCAGCCTGGTTCCACACAGGTCCAACTGGGAAATGCAGGAGGGGACCAGCGGGAGGGCTCAGAAGTCTGGGGCCAGGCAGCTGGCTGAGGCACCAAGCAACAACCAGGATGGATCTGTGGAACAAATGAGTGCTCCTTGGGGAACCTTGGAAACGTGGGGAGGGGAAATGAAAAAAAGGCTGGATTTCCTGCATGTGGAATGGAATTTTTTCAGTTGGGCATTAAAAGCTGGCCAACCTAGGGACAGCCAGTTAACATTATTGCTAATCCTGACAAGGGAACTACTGCACCTTGGTCCTAGGGTGGTGGCCCCCATCAAGGGGGCAACGGCCACCACTCATATCCCTGTTCAGGGAAGCAGCAGCTCTGCCGCATCCTTGGCTTGATCCCACCCTTGCTTGCTCTTTCCTCTCTGCTTTAAGGGGTCCCACAGCTGAAACGCACAAATGGATTCTCAAAACCAGAGTACAAGGACATGCTATGTGTCTTCATCAGGTATAAGGGATATACTCTCTGACAACTGTTTTAGGTCTCTCCAAGGCTTTGCTCTAAAATGAACTGCTTTTAAAGAGCCTTCCCCCTCCCTGGAAATTTCTGAAATACAGTGACTCATCACAGGCTTCTACAGGATCCCCTAACTGGCCTTCACTCCTCCAGCCTGACCTCCTCAAAGCCACTTGCTGCAGCCAAGGTGAGGTGTGTTCAATGCAAATCCAACCCAGCATGCCCTTGCTTAAAACCCTTTCATGGCTCCCTCCTGCTTCTAGGTTGGTCAGAGCCTGGGCTCCCCACTCCCTCCTGACTCCCATGTCTAGGCCCTAAGCAATCTTCCCCTCCCTTCCACTGCAGCTGCTCCACATGACACCTTCCCCCTCATTCACTACTCTCCGGCCAGTTTTTCTAACAAACATGTTTTTCCTCACTTTAGGGTTCTTGCACAAGCTGTCATCTTCGTGTAAAATGCTCACTTCCCACCTCTTCACCCAGCTTATTCATCCTTCAGGACTCTACTTCCCTCCAGAAAGCCCTTCCTGGTTCCCCCAGACTAGCTGGGGCCCCCTTGGTTTGCTCCTTTGCCTTTTCCTTCAAAATGCTCAGCTCACTTGCAGTTTCTTGTCCAGTGCTGGTGATCACAACTGGACTGTGAGCTCCATGAGGGCAGGGGTGGTGTCTGACTGGGAGGCTTTGGGGCATCAGAGTAAACACTTTTTTTGACCAATGATCACTTCTTTTTGAAAGCCCTTTTAGATATCCAACAGTTTAGCCCTGTTGATTTTATATTTGGAAAAATTTGTCTTGATTTTAAACTTTAGAATTTATATTTGCAAATAAAGTCTTACTTTTTGAAAAATGGAAAGGTTTGCTTGTTTGAAGGAATAACTTACGTTCTAGAAATTTACTTCACATGTTAGAAGTCTGGGTAAATTTACTAAGAATGTCTCCAAATGTTTTCTTACTATCCAGAAGTGTTAGAATACCTAATTTTTGTTCCTTGAGAGATCATAATTTTCCACACTGCTATGGTTACTTTTAGAATCAGCTCTAAACCATTTAAGATCCATCACATTTCTAATTTAGTTATTTCCTGAAGGAAATAAGTAGTAAGAACAAAACACCCCCTAAATCAATACAGCTATTTATAAGCAAATGATGTAGACATTCTTCAAAGCTCTTTGCTTGCTTTTGTTATCATTCCAATCTAACCGGGTATTTGCAAGGAGCTGCTATCAGATAAAATCAGCTGCAAATAATTGAACTATTTCTCAACACTGTTTTCACACTTTGAAGTAATCTGCAAGAAACTTTTTGATTCAAAGAGTCTTATTTTATAAATGTAATACATTTTTCCCTCAGTATTTTTAAAATTATGTTTCATCAGGAACTCACTACACCAAAGTACAGCCAACTGGCTCTACAATTTGCATTAAAAGGAGTCAGAATCACACCCATGTGGTTAGTAACAAAGGCTAGTACTACATAAAGGCATCTTTACATGGAACAAAGAGACACATATGTGAATAGTCACAGGAGACCAGTTAGCATATAGAATCTTCCACAGAGGGTTAAAAGAATTGTTACAAAAATAAAGCCCATAATTGCTATTAGAGACAAATAACTGCTGAAGCAGCATTCACGGTCTCAAGCAACAGAAGTAACAAAGCAGCTTGAAGTATCAGGGACTGACCTACAGTTCCTCCCAGAAAAACAGCCTCCTCTCACCCCAAGGGGGAAAAGACCTATAGTGAGGACTTTGCCAGAGAAAAAACAAATGGTTTCAGATATTTTTTCCTATGTTGTACTTTCCAGGAATTATATAACTATTCCTCTTTAAATAAACAAATCTGTCCCTGGGACAGGTTGCATTTTTGAGAAGAATACACAACCTGGATTTGGGTAGGGTATGTCCAAGGCAACCAGACATGCATGCAGGTGGAACTCCCAGCTGCCTCAGGAGGTCTTGCTTCATTCTTTTTTAAGCAAACTACGGCACCCCATGGTAAACCCTCATACACTATCCCAAGAACAGAGAGCAGGTGGCAGTCACCTCCTCTTCTCTCCCTCTGACTTGTATATGTCAGATGCAACATAAGAAATGTAGTCCACCTGGTTTAAAGGGAGAGGAAAATAATCATAAGGCTGAAGGGATAAGACCACAGCAGTTCAGCTGGACTCGCTTAGAGTCAGAAGCAGGAAGAATGCAGGAGGATGGAGGCCTCCATGGAGCCTCTTGGGAAGCACCTGCCAGGAAGCAGCAGCTGAGATGAGGTGATCAAGGACATGGGGGGCTGCATCTGTCTAGAAACTCTGAGGGGCAAGAGGCCTGAAGGCTGGCACAGGCTGACCAATGCCCTTGGAAGCCCAAGACTGCACTGCTTTGTGGTCCCACAATAGGGAATGTCACAAGAAACAGGAGCAATAATTTATACCCTTCACACAGTGCCTGATGGGGGCCACCCACAAGTCATAAATAGCCAGAGGACACAGGTGGTAACCACAAGGGTGTGTAGGAAAATAATAACCTGAATAGGGTGGGGAATCAGGAGAGGGCAGTGTCAAGAGCTTAGGGCTTATAGCCAGGCCATCTGGGCCCAGTCCTGGCTCTGTTACTTTCCAGTTATGTGACCTTAGGCAACCTCTCACTGCCTGCTTATTCACTGGGCTATTGTGCGCATTCAGTGAAATGATGCATTCAAATGCCTAGCAAAGTGCTAGGCACAGAGAAAGCAAACAATGCACAGCAGCTCTCATGATCATCCTTATTCGAGAAAAGAGGCCATCCTTAATGACCCTGGAACACCTCTGCTAGTGGAACCCGTGGGCTGCACTAGGCTACCCTCACGGTAGTACCATCAACGTTGTCTCTCAATTGATGAGCCTCAGGTGTGATGGAAATGGACTTGGGAGCTCTGCACAGCAACATGCCTTCCATCTGCAGACCTGAGATGGGGATTTGCCAGTAACCAAGTAGAAAGACACTGCAGTTTATGGTAAGCCAAAGAAGAAAACAAGGAAAGATGCAAAAGCATGAAAAAAAGAAATAAATAGAATTCAATCTATGGCATAAGGTGAAACAAATATGAAAGTGGTATATTCCCCTACTAAAAGGCAAGGCTTCTCATGCACGGTCCAACTAAATGCTGTTTGCAAGAATCATGACTAAATCAAGGCAACTTAAAATATTAAAATCTCGGCCAGGCACCATGGCTCATGCCTGTAATCCCAGAACTTTGGGAGGCTGAGGCAGGCAGATCACCTGAGGTCAGGAGTTCGAGACCAGCCTGGCCAACATGGTGAAACCCCGTCTCTACCAAAAATACAAAACTTAGCGGGGCATGGTGGCAGGCACCTGTAATCCCAGCTACTCGGAAGGCTGAGGAAGGAGAATTGCTTGAACCCGGGAGGCAGAGGTTGCAGTGAGCCGAGACGGCGCCACTGCACTCCAGCCTGGGCAACAAGGGTGAAACTGAGTCTCAAAAAAATAATAATAATAAAATAAAAAATTAAAATCTAAACTATAGCCAAAGATTTATAAAATAAATGCAAATGAATCAAAACCACAATGAGATATCGTCTTGGGCCAGCCACAATGGTTATTATTAAAAAGACAAAAAATAACATGCTGGCAAGAATGTGGAGAAAAGGGAACTACACACTGTTGGTGGGAATGTATGTTAGTACAGCCACTGCAGAAAACAGTATAGCGATTGCTTGAAAAACTAAAAATAGAGCTACCATACAATCCAGCAATCCCACTGGGTATTTATCCAAAGGAAAAGAAACCAGTACTGTACTTGTATGTTTATTGCAGCAGTATTCACCTTACCCAAGATATGGAATAAACCTAAGTGTTTATCAGCAGATAAATGGATAAAGAAAATATTATACACACACACACACACACACAGACACACACACACACACACAATGGTGTACTACTTGGCCATAAAAAGAATGAAATCCTGTCATTTGCAGCAATATGGATGCAGCTGGAGGTCACTATGTTAAGTGAAATAAGCCAGGCACAGAAAGACAACTATCACATGTTCTCACTCATATGTGCTAGCTAAAAAAGCTGATCTTATGGAGGCAGAGAGTAGAATGATAGATACCAGAGGCTGGGAAGTGTGTGTGGGTGGGAAGGAGGAATAAAGAGAGGTTGGTTAATGGATACAAACATAGTTAGAGAGAAGGTATAAGTTCCAATGTTCAATAGCAGAGTAGGGTGATTATGGTTAACACTGTATTGTGTATTTTGAAGTAGCTAAAAGAGAGGACATGAAATGTTCCCAACACACAGAAATGATGAATACTCAAGGTGCTGGATACCCCCAAATACCCTGACTTGATTATTATACATTCTATGAATGTAACAAAATACCACGTGACCCTTAAATATGTAAAATATTATCTATCAATACAAATAATGTCTTCACTTGGCAAAAAAATCCAAATGAAAAATAAAATAGATGTCACACAATTAATATCAGACAATAGAAGTAAAAGCAAGTAACAAATGGAACCAAGATAACTTTGTACGGAGTACTTCACAATGAATCTACAACTGTTACAAATTTCTATATATTAAATATGTAAGGCAGAAACTACTAGAAATATAAGGGGACTGTAACATATATTTCTTTCTGGATAGACCAAGTTGTCAAAAATTTATAATTTGAACATTACAACGCAATTATAGATTAATTTGAGACATTACACCTTCTTTTCCAGCATGCACCATGAAACATGTATAAAAACCGATCTTACATTAAGCCACAAAACAAATCTCAAAAATTAGAGAAAACTATGTTTTTAAAAACCTAAGCCATTCATAGAAGCATTACTCATAATAGTCAAAGAATGGACACAATTCAAATGTTTATCAAATAAATGGATATCGGGAGGCCAAGGCAGGCAGATTGCTTGAGCTCAGGGATTTGAGACCAGCCTAGGCAACATGGCGAAACCTCGTCTCTACAAAAAATACAAAAAAATTAGCTGGACGTGGTGGCGTGCACCTGTAGTCCCAGCTACTTGGGAGGCTGAGGCGGGAGGATCACTTCAACCCAGGAGTTTCAGGCTGCAGTGAGCCAAGATCATGCTACTGCACTCCAGCCTGGGCAAAAGAGCCAGACCCTGTCTAAAAAAACAAATGGATAAATTAAACGTGGTGCATCGGTACAATGGAATATTATTTGGCAATAAGAAGGAATGAAGTACTACTCATGCTCTAGCATGGATGAACCTTGAAAACATGATGCTATGAGAAAGAAGCCAGTCATAAAGACAGCATATTGTATGATTGGATTTATATGAAATTTCTAGAATAGGAAAATGTGTGGAGACACAAAGTAGATTAATAGTTGCCTAAGGCTGAAGGTGGGAGAGGAGGGTTAGCTAGAGGGAAATGCGAATGACTGCTCATGGGCGTGGGGTTTCTTTATGGAGTGATAAAAATGCTTTAAAACTGATCATGGTGATGGTTTGCACAACTGTGATTATTACTAAAAACCAGTGAATTGTACACTTTAAATGGATTATGTATTAATTATATTTCAGTAAACTGTTTTAAAAATAAAAACAAAAGCCTAAGCCCTTGAAAATGAAAAAAACACTGTCTTAAATAATATTTGCATAAAAGAAAAATTAAAACTATAGGGAGTATTTAAAGAATATCACTGAGACTATTACACACCAAAACACGTAGGATGCAACAAAAGCAGTAATTAGAGGAAAATGTATAGCCTTAACTGTTTTCTATATTAAAGTGAAAAAAAAACATATACACAAATAAACCAGTAATTCAACTCTAGTAGTTAACAGAAATGGTGAAACAACTTAAGGAAAACAGGAGAGATGAATCATAAGAGACAAACATGGAAAGTCCATATTTCATTATGTTTAAGATGTCACCTTTTATCAGGTGTGTCTTTTTTTATGTATCACTAAGAAAAACTGCTGCCAATTAAAAAATGTCACAATGCTTTGTTATCAATTGCAAGATGTATCCCAATTTCAGAAGTGTTAAAATGTGGAAAGAAAATGCACATCCTTGATTGATAAAATACAGTAAACTAAAAAGCAGAAAGACAGTGTGACTGAAAACAAATCCAAAATTTAATCTTTGGAAAGACCAATAGACAAACCTCTGGCAAGGAGGTAAATTTTAAAAAAGAAAGAAAACAAAAAATACAAAGTATGAGAAATACTAAACTATTAGAAATACTAAAGCAAATATAACCATATATATATATATATATGTTTGCTTTAGTATTTTTTAGTTTTAGTATATTTTTAGTTATACTTGCTTTAGTATTTAGTGTATATATATATAGAGAGAGAGAGAGAGATTCAAATTTATAAGAGAATATTATATTGTCAAAAAATTAAATAAGAAAAAAACTATGCTAGTAATATTGAAAATCTGGAACAAATGGACAATTTTCTACTAAAAAACAAATTTTCCAAGTTGGCTTTAAAAGAATTAAATATTCTAATTAATTTTTAATTAAAAGAAAGAAAATCTAAATAAACAATGCTCATGAAAGAAATTTTAAAATTGTCAAAAATGTAACTTCAAAAAATTGCACTAGATCCCTTGCAAATATCAGGAGTCACTTCTACATAATGTTGGTTTCCCTTGTTATTAGAATTATTTTAGATCATAAAAGATCAAAAGATTTTTTCATAAAACTGGCAAAACCCTGACATCCAAACTACAAGAAGTATTTTTCACCTATCAAATTGGCAAAGACAAAAAAGAAAGAAAGAAAAAGGAAAAGGAAAACCATGAAAAAGCATAGTATTTGTAATGTGGGAGAAACAGGCAATTTCATCCCCTTCTGATGAAAGTACAAATTGACACAACTTCTCTGGAGTGCATTTTGGAAATATACATGAAAAGGCATACGTTTTTGCATACGTTTTGAAGCTGTGCACACTTCTAGGAATTTATCACAAGGTAATAATCATAACTACATGTAGAAAGTTTTTGCAATAAGGACGTTCATTGAGACATTTTAATAGCAAAAATGTAGAAATACCTTAAATCAGGGGTTCCCAACTCCTTATTAGGAACTGGGCCATACAGCAAGAGGTGAGCGATGGGCTAGCAAGCATTACTGCCTGAGCTCCACCCACTGTCAGATCAGTGGCAGCATTAGATTCTCATAGGAGCGCGAACCCTACTGTGAACTGCACATGTGAGGGATCCAGGTTGTGTGCTCCTCCTCAGAGTAATCATCTGAGGTGGAACAGCTTCATCCTGAAACCACTCTCCTAAGCCCACTCTCCATCCGTGGAAAAACTGTCTTCCAGGAAACTGGTCCCTGGTGCCAAAAAGGTTGAGGGCTGCTGCCTTAAATGGTCAATATTGGAGAGCAGATTCGAGTTTGACAAATCCATCTGATGGGAATGAGTCATAGCATCGAAAAGTAGATAAAATTTTTAAGATAAAAATAACATTTTTAGGATAGAGTAAGCATACATATTTTAGATATGCCCAAATCAATAAGATATGAAGCAAATATCTTTAGGTGAGATAACAAAAGATATTAACTTTTTTCTCTAATTCCTTACAATTAACATGCATTATTTTCTAACCAGAAAAATAAACATTACTATAATTTTATTTGTACAAATATGAAATATACTAATAATGCCCAGAGAACCAGAACAGAGGGTTTGTGCCTGACATGCCCCAGTTCAGGAGGATGTGGATGAACCAGTACGAGTCTTATCACTCTCATTGTGACCCATCTGGGCTGCAGCCTGGGGAACCCTGGGGCCCACAGGTCTTTTATATAAAAAGCAGAACATCACTTGTATATCACCCTAATCCAGGTTTCCAACCTTGGGAAGTACCAACAGCCTGTTCCAACCCAAAGAGCCAACCAATTGCCTCTTTATCTACGGGCCATGTCGCTTCCTGGAAATTTTTCAGGTAGAAACTGTAAAAACATCTTATTTGGCACCGAGTAGGTTTCTTAAAAAAAAATAAGCCAATTCAAACTCCTACCTAGATAGGGAATACTTGGAACCATCTTCAGGCTTCGGATATATTCCCGTGTCCGCTTGTAATTATCTTCTTTCGACATCAGGTAGTCCAATTTCTCAAAGGTAGTCTTGTCTTTTCGATTTAAAAGCTAGAATGAGAAGAAAATATAGCAAAATAAGTAAACCAGAAGAAGCTAAAGAGTGGATAACTGTGGATGAAGACTAAAAGGGAAAATCCTAAGTGACATATCTATGGTGTGCCGAATCCTGGACAGAACTAAGGATTTTAAAAGGCTGTTTCGTGCATATGAAGAAGGAGGCAGGACTCGACTCCAGAGGTGGGGCTTGGACACTGGACCAAATTGAGGACTAGCTAAAACAGGGACGAGGCAGAAGCAGCTTTCTATAAGACACGTCCACCAGTGTGCCACGTCAGTTTACCATTGCCATAGCAGCACCTGGATGTTACCACCCCTTTCCATGGCAATGGCCTGAAAGTTACCACCCTTTTTCTAGAAATTTCTGCATAATCTGCACCTTGATTTGCATGTAACTAAAAACATATATAAATATGACCTGCCTCTGAGCTGCTACTCTGGGCACAATGCCTATGGGATAAGCCCCATACCACAAGAAGCAACATCTCTGCTGCTGCTGCTATACAGTGCCACTTCAATAAAAGCTGTTGTCTAACACCACCAGCTCACCCTTGAATTCTCTCCTGGGCAAAGCCAAGAACCCTCCAGGGCTAAGCACCAATTTTAGGGTTTGCCTTCCCTACATCACAGAGATGGAAAGCTTCAATCTTGTCATTGTCACAGAATCTCACACTTGGAAGTTATCCCCCAAAGCGACCTGGCCCACTGTTCTACATGATGTCAGAATCCCCCACATAACAGCAATTTGTGGGTGCAGAGAGCCTACAACAGCAAGGTGCTGAGGTAGAAAAGCAGACTGCTCAGGGTCACCTGAAGAGTTATTTCACAGCTACACCAGGTCTCTTTCCCTGCATCCACAGCTATTTGCTCTCCTCACCATCTCCAGGGCTGAAAGTCCCAGTAAGTTCCACACAATTCACATGCCCATGTATACAAAGCCAAGCCACCACTCGAATCCAGGCTATATCCTCCAGATCCCCTACAGTCAACTGTGTCATATTTACACTGGGTGTGGTAATTTTAATCAAAAGAAGATAACCTTCTTTTCTACATGCAGTCATCGAAGGGGCAACTTAGTTAAGCAAATACAGGATGAACAGGTATCCCTAGTCAGAGATTAGAGAAGCAAATCCTTTGTGACTGAGATCTCTGGTATGTAAATGGCGGCTCAATGTGCATTTGAAGCCTTCTCAAAAGAAAGGAACAGAAACCAGAACTCCTGGTTTTCAAGACTTTATGCTAAGGACTCAGGCTGTGGTTAACCTGAAAGTCCCAAGTCAAGGCCCAGTGCCAGAAAATGGCAACATGGCTGACTAAACGTGGCTTTAAGGAAAGAAGTCTAGGCAGAAAGGCCAGGCTTAAAAGGAGGAGTTCGGGGAGGGGTGGCTGAGGCAAAGCATGAGGCTGATGCTGGCAGCACCTGTGAGTCTAGCTGCCAGGGCCTAGTGCTTCTGGGATTGGAGGTCAATGGCTAAGCCCAAGAGCATGAATAAACAGAAGCCCCAGGGTTGGAGTCCCTTTGGCCAAGTTCTTCAGACCTTGATGCTCTGTGCAAGAACCTAGAACAAGAGACCCACCATGTCCATCAGACTGACGTAGGCCAGTGTTCAAAAGCCCCATTGTGCAATGGAGAGGAGTGGGAAAATGACTGCCTAGCACCTGGGGAAGCAGTGCAGTTCCTGAGACCTGGTCTGCAATTCCCAAACTCAGGCCATGTCTGGTGCATTAGGGAGCCCTGGGCTGCTTTGGGCAGGCCCTGCCTGGTTCCTTCATCTTCAGCCTCTGGGACCACAGAGGATGCAGCCATAAGACAGCCCACTTGCACAGGAGCAGTGATAGCTTACGAACTTCGGTAAGGAGAGGCAGAAGAATATGCTGAAAGGAAGGTTCTGGTGCTGAAGAAGTTGAAGAATAAAAGTGAACTTTTCTTTTCCCACTAGGGAATTCAGGACATCTCAGTGTGGGGATGCTACACAGATGCTCAGGACAATGGCTGCTTAACTGGTCTGCTAAAATGGACAGGGAAAAACACCATCTTCTACTTGCTGTTTGTAAGACACTGTAATATATAACTCATCTAATCTTCACAAAGCCCAGTGGTAAAAATGGAGCAAGGACTTTTACCTCCATTTCCAGTTCATAATCACAAGTATTAAGTAACTTTTCCAAATATCTTTGGGGAACTTGATTCAACACAGGAGAGAGATATAGTATAGCAATGTGGTAAGTAAACAGAGACTGATAACCCAGACAAATAATAAATGAGCTACTTGGGAGACTGAAGCAGGAAGATTGCTTAAGTCCAGGAGGTTGAGGCTGTAGTGAGTCTGTAGTGAGTCTTGATTGCGCCACCGTACTCCAGCCTGGGTGACAGAGCAAGACCCTGTCTGTAAAATAATTATTATTATTATAAATGAATTATGGGAAAAGGAAGTGTCAAGGAAAGCTATATAGAGAGGCAGCATTTGAAATGAACACTTAAGGATGAGAAATTTGCCAATGAACAATATATACTCAGACCAGAACCACATACCTACTGGAAAACAGCTCCATTGTGGTTTGTTTTGTTTTGTCTTTGTGGAGACGGAGTCTCACTCTGTCTCCCAGACTGGAAAGGAGTGGTGCAATCTCAGCTCACTGCAACCCCTGACTCCTGGGTTCAAGCAATTATCGTGTCTCAGCCTCCCAAGTAGCTAGGATTACAGGCATATGACACCAAGCCCAGCTAATTTTTGTATTTCTAGTAGAGACGGGGTTTCACCATGTTGGCCAGTCCAGTCTCGAACTCCTGATCTCAGCTGATCCGCCAGCCTTGGCCTCCCAAAGTGTTGGGATTACAGGCATGAGCCACCATGCCCGGCCAAAGAACTGCTCCGTTGTTAAGCCGACCACTCACGCCCCTTATTCAGGAGGTCATTCTTTATTAATACAACCTAGAACCCCTTACTTGTTTGGCAATGCCAGCCATTAAACAAATCTGGATGTCCTCCTCACACACACTGTGCCTGGGCCAAGCTGGCTCCCAGGGCTCAGGCCACTGGTTCTCTGGTCTCAGCTGGGGGACTGCCCATGTTCCCTGCCATGCCCAGCCTACCTGCCCAGCCTGTCAAGTGCCTGTATGGACAGCACCTCAGAGCTGATCAGCCTATCTTCTATGCCTCATCCCCAACTTGCCCCACACACTCACACAGACATTCAGAAGGGCTAAATCTAGTTAACTTTACTCATCTGCTCCCTTCTGTGCCTACAAATGAGACTCAGACAGTATCAGATTTCTCAAGAATAGTGCATAAGTCACTAGAAGACATCAGAAAACCCTAAACATGTATTTCCGATGATGTATTTGAAAACTGAGAATTTCCTCTAGATAAATGCAGGAATAAGCCAGGAATTAGTAAGACATGGGAAACAGGAAATTGTGGATCCAATCCAGGAGTAGCAAAGGGAGATTCCAGGATGACCAATGAATAGCAGGCCTTAAGAACAACTGGTGCACACTGGATCAGCCCTGGAAGAGATGTCCCCAGAGAAAAAGAAGGCTTGATTAAAAACCTGACATGATGGCACATGGAGGGGAGGGGATAGACATATTTATTATATATAATAAAAAATAAACATAAAATAATTTTAGGATTACTTAGATATCTGGTAGATAGGATAAGAAAAAGTTTTTTAAGGCAATTAGAAATTCCAGAAAAATAGGTAGGGCATGGTAGCTTACAACTATCATTTCACTACTTTGGGAGGCCAGGAGTTTGATACCAGCCTGGGCAACATAGCAAGATGTCATTTCTACAAAAATATTTTAAGGCCGGGCACAGTGGCTCACGCCTGTAATCCCAGCAATTTGGGAGGTTGAGGTGGGCAGATCATGAGGTCAGGAGTCTGAGACCAGCCTGACCAACATGGTGAAACCCCATCTTTACTAAAAATACAAAAATTAGCCAGGCCTGGTGGTGTGCGCCTGTAATCCCAGCTACTCAGAAGGCTGAGGCAGGAGAATTCCTTGAACCCGGGATGCGAAGGTTGCAGTGAGCCAAGGGTGGGCCACTGCATTCTAGTCTAGGCCACAGAGTGAGACTCTGTCTCAAAAAAATAATAATAATTAAAAAAATTAGCTGGGCATGGTGGTGCACACTTGTAGTCCCAGCTATTCAGGAGGCTGTGGCGGGAGGATTGCTTGAGCCCAGGAGTTCAAGGTTGCAGTGAGCTATGAGCTATTACACTCCAGCCTGGGCAATAGAAAGACCCAAAACAAAAAAACAAAAAACAAACAAACAAAACCAAACAAACCAAAACAAAACAAGAACAAAACAAACAAAACCAAAACCAAAAACAAAACAAAAAAATAAATAAATCCAGGGAAATGACAAAATATTCAAGGAAGGACATGTTATTCATAGTTTACTACTTGACTATATAGTGACGCATATTTACTCATTCCTAATCATTAAAACACCAAATATTCATTTAACAAAAGTGATTTCACTATAATGATGAATGTGTTTGAGGAACAAGGGAAGGTGGTTCAGGAAAACTAAACCAACATCTACCATACAAAGAAGTCACCAGATGCTGTCTAAAGCAGATGGGTCAAGAAACTGTAGCAAAAGCACATTGGTAAGTATATGGCAGAAACTACTAGAAGAAGCCAATAAACTGAAAGTGGTTGCCTCTGGGGAATAATTGGGGTGTGGAGAGATGAGTGACGAATGTTAGTTGTTTCACTAAACCTTTCAGTACTTAGTGATTTTTAAAATTCACGTGCATGTAATGCTGATAATAAGTTTTTTAGGTTTAATTTTTTAAATATAGGGTTTGTTTACTCAGAAAATAACAGCATTTACTCACATGTTTTAAGCTTTCATTACAAGAACTATAAACTGCAAACCTCATCTGAACTTGAGGGTCCCTTAGATTTTGGAGTTTATGGGAAGCCTCAGGAAGAAACCATCAGAACTACATAGAAGAAAGTAAATTGTCTGCTTACCCAGAGTCAAACAGATACTAAAACCATTCTTGTTCAAGAAAAGAGATAAGAAAGTAAGGTTAAAGAACATTTCACTAAGTCTAGCTTCACTTCTAGTAAAGTTTAGAAGTCTTGGGGCACCCTGGGATTTTCTTCCATAATACTGATCATGATTGTGCTTGCCTGTATGATAACATTTCTGTCTCCCTCAACAAATTATGGACTCCAGGAGGAGGCTGACCATGCTGGCTGCATCCACTCTACTGTTCCCTGCATCTGGTATGATTCCTGACACAGAGGAAACACTGCCAAAATATTTGCTGCATAAAAGAATAATGAGAAAAATAACAATAATAACTGAAAAACCCAATTACTTGGAAAATTTTGAATATTCAAATAATTCTTGGGCAAAAGACCAAATAAAAGCCAAGATAATGGACTATTTACAAGCCGTACATAATTAGAATACTATACGTTAAACTATGTGATGAGGCCAAAAGCACATTAGGAGGAAAATTTGTGGCTTTAAACTCATTTATTATTAAACAAGAACTAATATAAATGAACTAAATATTCAACTCAACAAGCTAAGAAAATAGTGGGAAAACTGGAGAAAGAAATCAATGACAAAATTGGCATGTTAAAAAACAAACCATCAAACTAAAAAAAGCTAAATATCAAACCTATAGAAATGATAACTAAATCTAAGAGCTAATTTTTATAAAATATCAATAAAATAGGTAAAATTTCTAATAAAAAGCAAAAATATACAACATAGGACTGAGAAAGGGGCTATAACCACATATGCAAAATGAATTAATTTATAAGGTAAAAACAAAGTCCCTGCTTATTAATTTTGAATCATTTTCATGGTAGAAAGGGTAAATGGGACTCACAAACCACGAGGTCAAAAGCCAGGAAGGTCACAAATCTTGGAGAAATATCTGAAGAAGTGGGTGGCTTTTGGAAATTTCCCATCATGCTCTGAGTACCTTGTATGTGGCACTTGTATTTGACTGATCATACCACCACTCCCCTTTCTAGTAAAGCAGTTCAAATCTGGAAGTTGTCTCCATGGAGGAGAAAAAAATTTCTCCAAATTTTCTTTATGAGGACTTTGGTGTCTTGTTCCCTTGCCTCGAGAGAATAATATTTCTTGATACATGGAAATATTTTTTAGCAAAGAGACTGTTGCTCCAAATATGTTAAAATTGGCTCAAAATTCCATTTCAATTCCAGTGTCTACTGTTGATATGCAAAGAATTTTTAGTGTTGTGGATAATCTATGGACCAATGGATTCAGCAGACTAAGGTATGGAATCAGTAAGGAAATGAACTGGAATTTTTAAAATAATTTTTTACTTCTCTGGATGCAAAATACCCATTTCTGAAAAATAAAAAACTACAAAGTCACATACCTAATATAAAATATTAGATGCAATGGAGACTATCGCATGTAACACAAGGAAAAACTGTAACTGAAATTTAGTGGTGTGCTGGCTAGCTGTCCATGTTTGTCTTTGACTAAAGCTATTTTAAACCCTGTACAGACAGAAGTTAATTTGTAGAAAATGTAGTAATATAAATAATTCCTGTCTACGGAAAGGCAAATTATGCCTCATAAAATGCTACTGATTATCACCATGGGAATACTGACTAATTTCATACCAATTTTAAATGTGATTTTAGCCTTCCTTACCTGATTATAAAAGTGTAGTACTCTAGCTTCTCTTTTGATACGGTTGTAATATCTTACTGGTTCTCTCTTAATCAATGAGTTAAATAAAACCTTTGACAAGTATTCATCTTATATTTGTATGAGTCATGATTTTATCTTTTTAAAAAATCATCCTTGGCCGGGCGCGGCAGCTCACACCTCTAATCCCAGCACTTTGGGAGGCTGAGGTGGGTGGATCACAAGGTCAGGAGATCGAGACCATCCTGGCAAACACGGTGAAACCCCGTCTCTACTAAAAAATACAAAAAATTAGCCGGGCATGGTGGTGGGCGCCTGTAGTCCCAGCTACTTGAGAGGCTGAGGCAAGAGAATGGTGTGAACCTGGGAGGCGGAGCTTGCAGTGAGTCAAGATCGCGCCACTGCACTCCAGCCTGGGTGACAGAGCGAGACTCCGTCTCAAAACAAAAAAAAACAACAAAAAAATCCTTAAACAGTTACACACACACACATATACATACATGTATCCAATCACATGCATATGCACATACATACACAATCCTGTAGGATAATTTTCTCATTTATTTCTAATAATGTTGTTAATTTTTTTATTCCAACCATGGCAACCCAGCAGATATTCCCACAAAGACCCAAGAGTAGAGAGCTGGGAGGTTGAGATCGATCCCCTGATATAAGTTTGCCAAGGGCCCATTCAGGGTCCAGATCTGGTCTGGCGGTGGGCAGAGAGTCAGGCACCAAATATACATCTCATTTGTTCAACCTGGTTTAGCAAGGAAGAATCAGGAACACTACATAGGAAAGGGCTCTCTAGGGGAAGAACAAACTCTATTACCCAAAGAAGGAACTGCAGGAAGAGGTAGTCCTGAAAACAAGTCTAGAGGGATTTCAACAAGCACAGATGGGGCTGGAGAGGACCCGAGGCCACAAAAGGCATGAGCACGGGCCTGGAGGTGGGCATACAAGGGATGTTCAAGGAAACAGTAGTTTGGCTAAAGTGGAGGTAAGTGTTGCTTTGCGTAAGACTAGAAAAGACTGGAGAGATGGAAACTCACCTTTGGACAAAGTGTGGTTTTGACTTGGCCATTTGGATGCCATAGGCATGTGAACACCATTTTGACTGCTTATTCTACTTTTCCAGATACTTCAGCTCAACTTGCAAACAGGGTACCAATCACAAACTGCTAAGCATGAACAGCAAATCGAAAAGAATGAGTTGATTATGGCCATGTTTTAACAGAAAATTCCTCAGGCCAACTCTAGCATCTCTTGCACACATGACTTGGGGCTCTGAGTTGCTGTGCTGCTGGTGGTAGCAGATGCACTGCTGGCCACAGCTGAAAGGTGTATGGTTTGTTTTTTAGGGTCAGGAAGTAGGTATGAAATCTTCTGGTGTTTGCTGCCAATGTCAAAATGCGTCTATTATGTCCTCAGCACTCTGCAAGACACTCAGCAGCCACCAGCTTTCATCATGTGCCACATCCCTAGATGCAAGTCTCTCTCAGAAACACTCACGAGGACAGACCAATTCTCTCTCTCATTCTAGCTCAGTCTCTTTCCTTCACTCAGAGGCATCACTGAAATACAGGGTTGGAAATCCACATGATGGTTAAAGACTGGCTGACAAAATATTATTATCATAAAACTGAAGGTGAAATAAATGCTCAAATGGCAGATCAAAAAGAAAAACTGGTGTCGGAATGGTTGTATCTGAGCACAATGCTGCTCTGAAGGAGCGATGGCACACAGCCCCCATCCTAGCAAGGTGGACGAGGGGTTGAGGGAGAACACTAAAAACTATCTTTAACCAGGGATGTGAAAACCTTGAAGGTATGTTTTGGAGAGATCACTCCAGTAACGGTGTGAGGGTGGCCCAGAGACAGCAAGTCCCAAAGCAATGGGACCAGCTGAAAGAGGATGACAGTTCAGGCCATAAGTAAAAGGCCCTGTCATACAAGGATGGAAGCCTCTGCCAACCCATTCGAGAATAGTCAAGAAGAGTTGAAAATATTAATAACAACAACAACAACAACAACAACAACAACAACAGGTAATACTTACCAACCCCTCAATATGAGTCAGGCATAGTTCTAAACATTTTTTCATGTATTTACTCATTTAATCCTCATTGTAAGAGGTAAGCCCAGGGCTCAACCCAGGTGTCTGATTTAAGAGGCTATGCTCTCAATCTCCATGCCCCTCATTTCTTGGTCTGAGGTCCCCACACAAATGCAGGTCATATGTAACATGTATTCAGATCCCTTCGCTGCATGAGGTTCAGGCTAGGGTGACAATTTCTCACAGATGAGTTTTTCCACTCATGCTCCCTTGGGGCTCTCCTAGGCTGGAGAGGGACTTTTTGATGCAGCAATACCTGACGTGTCTCTCTGATTTCTACGGGTAGCTGAATTACAGCCCCCCATGTGTGGGCAGCCGGACTCTCCTCTCTGTGCAGGCATTACAACCCTAGCTCCCAGCTGCAAAGGCTTATACACAGCAGTTTCTCTGAACTCTGCTCACTGTTTTGACTCTGAGAGCACTTTATTTTTAACACATGGTGACTTCCCTTTCTTGGCTTCTAATTTAGCTTTGCTTGTTGGTTTTTTAATTTGGTTGTATTTTATCCAGAACTTGTGTTTGTGTGTTTGAAGCAGGAGACTGGGAGGGAGAGGCTTATTTCTCAGTCTACCATACTGCCTAAGAGCCTAAAACACAGTCTGTTAAGAGAGTCTTCTGGCACTCACCATCATCTTCCTGGAAACCAAAGTTTGATTTCAGACATGCCAAGTGTGAGCTGTCAAAGGAACATGCAAGCAGAGGGATCTATGCAGCAGACAGCTGGAACAGGGTTCTAGGGTGCAGGAGAGAGATCAGGGCTATAACTGAAAAGCCAGCCATCACTGGGGTACAGGAGGTGACACTTGAAGCTCCCCAAGCAGATGAGACCACCAAGGGATAGCAAATGGATCAGGGAAGGTGGAGAGGTCACAGCCTTGCAGAACATCCACATCCATAGCAACAAAAGAAGTCAAGAGGAAGAAAATTAAGCCAAGGGAAAAGAGATTTTTCAAGAAGGGAGTTATGAACAGTGTCCATTGTTGTAGCAATGTCAAGGAAGATGAGGGTGCAAATGTCAGCAGATTTGACTGAGATCTTCTGAGAAGCAGTTCCAAGCCAGGCTATGAGGAATGATGAGGATGTGTGAGTGAGGGCTACAAATGTTGGTTTCCTCTGCATCTATCTCCTTATCGCCTCATCTGACTCACCTCCCACCTGACCAAATGCTCAGAAATGCCTCCAAAAAGCAGCTCAGGCCTATCACCACCTTCTCAACAACATCAGAGGGTGGCTACTGAGGCACTGCATCAGTCAAAGGGGGCAAAGGGCACTTCCTGGATGAAAGACTTTGAACTCCAAAGTATCTGAATGTCATACATCTGCCGTCCTGTGATATTTGCAAAGTGGCCTTAGTTCTTTTGGTACAAGGAGCAATTCTCTGAATTGCAGAGCTCAATGACTGTGTCCCCAGATATCTAGGAGTAAGAGCCCCACTCCCAGGATAGTTCCCCTCCCAGGTCACCACCCTCCAGACCAGGTCTCCTGACCCATCAGCTATGATTTCCTGCCTGCCAAGAATTTCAATTTTCACAATGCTGCTGCAAATGAGTCAAACTCTTTGGATCAATTCAGTAGGAAAGAGCAAATCACTCTGGGAACATGCACAGAGCAAGAAGAGAATGTACGTATGTGTGCACACGTGTGGGGTATGTGTGTGTTTATGTACATGCGCACACGTGGCATGTCTAGCACCTGACTGTAATTACTATAATGAGTGACTCATCCATATGCTAGGAATTCCATACCCTTAGATCACTCACAAAGCAGTCAGTCTCCTCTTGAGATCACTCTAATCAAAGAAAAGGTTTCATTAGCTTCTCAGTTGCTCAGGCCCAAAACCTAGGACTCACCCCTCATTCTCTTCTCTTCATCTCGACATCTCATCCAGCACACAATCTGTCAGCTCTCCCCAACATATCCGATATCAGCCTGCTGTTCTCATATCCCCAGCCATACCCTGATCCTGCCAACATCCCCTTGCTCCTGAATTCTGCCCTAACCTGCTGAGTAGGCCCCCAGTTTCCACTCTTGGTCCCCATCCCCCACCCAGTTTGTTTTCCACACAGTAGCAACAGTAATTAAAAACACAAAAACCAAAGAGCAACTGGAAGCCAGATTGTGTCCGCCTCCTGTTTAAAATCCTTCAGTGCACTTGGAATAGAATCTAACTCCTCTCTCAGGCTTTGAGCCCTACATGATTGGCCCCGCTGCCCAGTCACTGCCTCTCACATCCATCTCCTCCTGGCACGCTGAGCTCTGGCCACACTGACCTCTGAGTTCCTTGCTCACAGCAAGCTGATTCCTGTGCAGGGCTTTGCACCAGCCATCTCCTCTGCCTGGAACACTCATCCCCTCATCTTGGCACGACTGGTTCTTTTTTGTCATTCAGGCCTTGACTGAAAGTACATGGCCTGAATCTACGTTAGGCCTGTACTTTAGCATGACACTAGGGAAGCAAGGCCTTCTCTAACACCACACTAAAGCAGACACTCAGTCATTCTCTGTCATGTATTCTGCATCGCTTTTCTTCCAATTTGACAGCTCTTTGCTGATCACTTCATGTATTCAATAAACATTTATTGATCACTTCTTGTGCCAGCCAGACTAGGCACATGTTTATTCTCCCCAACATGAAAGCCCATGAGGACAGGGGCCTTGACTATGGCTTCAGGGCCTGACATTTGAGAAATGTTTGATTTGCAGAATGAATAACAGCCACACGGTGATGTGTACTCAGGAAATCAGAAATGGCTGCTACAACTTCTTGCTTAGGTTTCATGGCTTTAAGGGAGCCAATATTCCAAAGTGGTCCCAGTGCTGGGATAAATCATTACCCATCTGCATTTTTCCAGGCCAGCTATGGTAGTCTTCCTGTTTGTGTATGCAGATGGCATTTATTAAGGGCCTACTGTGTACAGGCCTATGTTCAGTGTCAGTCGGTCCTGTGCAGCTCACCCAGCAGCTAGCACTTAGCAGCCACCCATGGAGAGGCCAACAGGACGCCCTGCCCTAGCTTAATGGCCAATTCTCTGGAAGTCATCCGTGATGCAGCCAAGTGGCAGGTATCCTCCCACACCTGTAACTCCCTTCCACCAGGTTTCCCAGATATTCAGGCTTTCAGTGCAACCCACAGGGATGGCACAGAGAGCTGGCCTGCCCTGTCCCCAGGCCCTGTGTGCTAGCTGCATTTCTCTAGCCCCATTTCCCAAGCAGTGTAGGTGTCTATTTGTCCCTGCCCTGTGCCCAGCCTGATTCTCTCACAGGTTCTTGCCATTAGCAAGCCATCCAGCATACCCGCCAAGAAGACGGACTGTGGATTCCAGCAGGACAAGGCTGTGTCATGCTGGTTCTGTCACTCACCAGCTCTGGATCTTGAACAAGTCATTCTATCTCTTCAAACCTCAGTTTCCTCCTCTACAAAACAAAAACTATCATAGCACTGACCTTTGGGGATGTTATGGCTGGTTCTTCCAATGCCACCTGCACCTCCCTACTCTGTGGCACATGAGGTCTCCCCAGTCCCAACTCAAAGGACAAGTGAGCAGAGAGGAAACAGCTCTCTTTGGGCAACATTTCTATGGCCATCTCATACCAGAAATTAACAGCAAAAGAAGGATGCAATGCAACTCAGGACAACACATACAATTCAAACAACAAATGTATAGTGGCTGGGCACCAAGGATACAGAGAAAAATCAACATCATCGATGAGGAATGCAGTCAAAAGGGGGAGGCAGACCTATAAACAAAACTGCAGAGTCGGTGCATGCTCCACCCTGCGTGCTGTTACCAGACAGGTGCATCAAGAATACAGACAGTGGAGTCTGCCATTCCACTGGGGCTGGGGGTGATTTGGATGAAAGAAAAAGATGATGAGTTTGGCCCCCTCTGTTTCCTAAATGTTCTATGCCAAATGTAGTCCTTGGATTAACAAGACATGTGAGTGAGTGAGAGGGGAGAGTCTGATCTAAAACAAAGGCTGAATAGTGGGTTCACCAAGAACAAGCAGCTACCCCACAAGTGACCTTGGAGACCTCATGCTGTAATCCACACAGTGTGTATCACCTCCTCTCTCCCTGACACAATACTGTGGCAGTTGCCATTCTTATTTCCTGGGATGCTGCATCTACCCACCTTTTGCTCTGGTAAGTGGCTCTCTGTAACCAGGGAAAGAGCCCTGGCTCAGCCCTTAGGACACAATAGGGAGGTTTCTCAGAATAGGAACAGGGACATGTTGTTTCCCTGAGTCCCCAGCAAGGTGACATGTAATCTTAGTTCCCTGGCATCTTCCTCTTCCCCACCAGCTAAATGCCAACTGAGGTGCAAAGACAGGAGCCAACCCAGGGAAGTAGAGGAGCAACAGAAGCCATGGTATAAACAATCAATCCAAGGAATCAGTGGCCAGAAGGCATTTGCAGGGCAGCCTTCAAAGTCCTGCTGCAGCTCTCTGGCTCATTGGCTGCACATCCCCTCCCTGACAGGCCCTCCTCTGACTGCTCTTTCTGCTGCACTCCAGCAACCAGGTGCCAGGCCAGCAGCAGCCACACCCAAGACAGAGACCCAAAGGCCTGGGAGGCACTGGTAGTCTACCAACCTTATTTTCAAGTTCCTAATGCAATACTTATGTTACAAAAGGGAAAACAAAAACAAAAATAAAAAAATAAGACCCCTCTCTTGTTTTGGCTGACAGGGAGTAAGCTGGAATTGTCTTTTTTGTTCAGTGGGGTATGGTGGTTAAGAGCATGGATTCTGGAGCCAGGCTGCTTAGGTTTGATCCTAGCCCTGCCACTTAGCTGTGGGACCCTGCATAAACCACTCTACCTTTCTGTGTCTGTTTCCTCATCTATAAATGACAATAGTAACAGTGCCTATCTCAATGGGTAGCTGTCAGAACAAAATGGTTAATATATGTAAAGTGTTTAGGGGCCAGGTATAAAAGCTGACACCTGTAATCCTAACAGTTTGGGAGGCTGAAGCAGGAGGACTGCTTGAGCCCAGAAGTTTGAGACCAGCCTGGGCAACATAGCAAGGCACCATCTCTACAGAAAACTTAAAAATTAGTTGGATGTGGTGGTATGGCCTGTAGTCCCAACTACTCAGGAGGCTGAGGTGGGAGGATTGCTTGAGCCCAAGAGGCTGAGGCTACAGTGAGCTGTGTTCAGGCCACTGCACTCCAGCTGGGTGACAGAGTGAGACCTTGTCAGACAGACAGACAGACAGACAGACAGATAGATAGATAGAAAAAGCATTTAGGGCAGTGCCTGCCACATGCTTTTATCTTGGCATATGTGTGAGGAAGAACACAACCCAGATGGCCTGGAAGGGAGCTAGGTGAATATGCCCACACCTTTGAATGGGTCCTGGGTGCAAATTCCATTCCAGGCTCCCCAAGGAGATTTCTTCTCTCTCTCTCTCTCTCTCTCTCTCTCTCTCTCTCTCTCTCTCAATCAATCTCTCTCTCTTTTTCAGAGATGGGGTCTTTGTCACCCAACCTGGAGGGCAGTGGCATAATCATAGTTCACTGCTGCCTTGAATTCCTGGGCTCAAGGGACCTTCCTGCCTCAGTCTCCTGCGTAGCTGTGACACAGGTGCACATTACCATGCCCAGCTAATTTTGTGAATATTTGCAGAGATGAGGTCTTGCTATGTTGTCTAGGCTGGTCTCAAACTCCTGGCCTTAAGCGATCCTCCCACCCCCAGCTTCCCAAAGTACTGGGATTACAGGAGTGAGTCACTGCACCTGGCCTGGAGGTTTATTTTCATTACAGCAAAGAACCATCAACAGGAGTGAAGACCCAGCCACCTTGAGTAGGGCCTGTCAAGCCAAACAGAGTGGTCCTGGATACTGCTGTGACCTGCTGCTGCCCACTGTCCTGGCAGTACACAGCATCCCCTGGAGGACACCATCGCTTCATCCATGGGCCTGGCCCTATCACTGAGTGGACCGTATCTCTGCGCAAGACCCTTAGACACCCAGCCCTCTGTATTAACTATCTCTGCCTCCACCAACTGTACAGCTTATAGGGATTGTTGAGAGTTACAATATTACTGACAGTAAAGTCTAGGCATCATGAGAAGATTCAAAAATCATCCTGCTGGGTCCTCACATAGCTCCCGGCAGTCCAAAAAACAATAACAGCATCTAAGTGATGGAAAATTCATTTGAAAAAGAATCTCCAAGCAACTTTTGAAAAAAAGCCTCACTGGTCAGATGGACTTGGAATCACAGGGCTGGCAGCAACTGCTAAGACCGGTGGCTTCCAAACTTGCTTTCGACCTCCAAAGCCATTGCTCAGTTGAAATTCACCCAGAAGTCCAGTACATAAAACTGATACAAACAGAGCTGCTCTGGTGGAAATAGTGCCCAAACTGCCTGCTTGGCAGCATCTCTCCACTCTCTCAGCCCCTGGCGGCACCCAAGGCAACTCTAAGGAACCCCTGGGACTCCACGAAGCACTGATGGAAAACCAAGAATCTAGGCCAACCTCCCCGAGTTGATATGAGAAAATAAGTCGCACAGAAGTCATGCTCTGAATGGCACCTGAATGCAAACCCAGTTTTCTGACACTGGGCTAAAACTTCTCACTCTACTTTGCGAGGACTAGATCTATGGAAACAGCAATTTAAAGAAACAAGGCTCATTTTCGATCACCTACAACATAATCCCTGAGTATTTTAAAAGCCCTTGAACCAGCCAAGTAGGAAACAGAGCCCAGCCCCACAGACTGGCAGAAAGCAGTTCGGAAATGAGTTGCAGAAGCACATCTGACAATTCCATACAGTTTTTGTCAGTTCCGTGGGATATAAACAGGTCTTAAAAGGCTTGCGCTGTGTGGCTGTGAGAGACCCCAGATCAGGCAGGCCAGGAGGTGAATGCTAATGAGCTATGGAAATAGCAATTACTTCCCCCATGTCAGGCACTATGCCAAGCGAAGGAGCATAAAGAGGTCTGAGATATTTTTAAAGTATTTTTACAGCAGAAAAACTTTCCTACAGACTCAATTATGTAACTATCAGACTCCACCTCTGAGCTGAAATTATCCAGGGCCTTAGGAAAAAAATCCGTTTTTTCCTACACGGGGGTCACAGGTTTCTCCAGAGAAACTTAGCGGTATGGCTAGTGACCCAGGGCAGCTGCGAACCATCAGCCCAGAGACCTTCCCAAGGACAGTTTGGAGCCTGCCAGAGAAAAATTCCAGCCAAGTGGAGGGCAGAAGTCATGCCGCTGACCCGGTCATCACTCATGACATCGTGGTGTCCAGGAAGATCCACTCTGGGGGCTTCTGACCCCAGCCACGTCAGCACCTTCACCATTCCCTGGTGCCAAAATGGGGCTGGGGTCACTGACGGAGTGAGGATGCCTACAGAACTGTCATCAACTCATAGTAACTCTGTTGTTGGCAAAGTATAGACAGTAAGAGAAAGGCTGGGGCTTGTGGAATGAAGAACTTCACCAATGAAATGATAGCCAAAATTAGATAGACTTAGGGAGATTAACTTACAGCCCAGGTTTTTGTCAGCCTGAAGATGGGAGCACTTTGTAATGCTGATACCACAGACATGAGAGAATGAAGGTTGTTGAGTTCTAGAAGTTTCTGAAAAAAAGATATGGAATAGATTATTTTGCTGCTATAAACAACAGAACAAAAACATGCTCAAGTGTTACCAAATGTCATATTTATGAAATTCAATTACACTTAAAAATATCTCATGTGGAAAACATAGTTCTAAGGATTTCATAGAAACCATATGCTTTTTTCCTCTTAAATTGTCAAAAGGTGAGTCTGCATCTAAAACGTGAGTCTGACTAGTCTGGACAGAAACGTGGCACGGGGTAAGGTTTGATAGTGTGCATTACGTTCTTTCTTTAGACAAATCTGAATACTGTCCCAGCAGGCTTTTGTAAACTAAAACCCCGACTGTGCCAACAGCATCAATGTGGGTCTTCTATGATTATCTTAACACCAGAAGGAGACAGAGGCCAAGGAAAGATGGTACCAATCTGCATAATCCCTCTCAGCTGGGAAGGCAATGCTCGGGCTTCCCCATCACTTGACCATGTTCCTTTGAACCAGACCCCAAATTAGTGAGAACATTTGGATTCAATTCAGTCTCAGACAAGTTTCTTACCATGGAGGGAAACAGAATGAGACACAGTCGAGTGTAAGTGCAGAAAAATGCGACTGCTCTGTTCCTGGTTTTATGCTAAGAGAAACCTGCTAACAGGACGGGGGTGCCATTTCTCTTTCTTGGGAGTCAATGAAGTTTGGGTTATTAGGCACGCTCTATGGAATCAAAAGACCTGGTTCCAATCCCAGCTCCCACTACTTGTGTGTCCTAATCCTTCTGAGCCTTGATGTCCTCATCCTTAAAGTGCAGAAGGCAATCACGGCACTTCTGCTACATGAGACAGTACATATCAACTGCCTAGACCAGTGGCTGGTCCCAGGGCAGGAGCTCAGTACAATATGAGTCTCAGCCTTGTCTTTGCCCACCCCTGTCACTTAAGTATTTCCAAGCTCAGTTGCCCCTTCCTCTAATATGTCTTTCCTGACTGTGTCCCCACAGAAGTCCATGCATATCTGTAGCACACTGGATTGTACTTGCTTTTTACTTGCCTCTCTCTCACCCTGGACTGTGTGTTTCCCGAGAGCAGGGACAAAGTTTTGTCTACCATGGTGTCTCTGGTACCCAGTACAGTGCCCAGCACATTGTAGGGCCTAGTGAAATGCATAAAGAAAGGAAAAGCCCTTATACTTAGTCCTCACAACTCTGTTCCTACTTGGAAATTTCTCTCTCACCACATGAGCTAAATACTTCATTTCATACATCTCGTAACATTCTCTAATTGTTTCCTGTGTGTAAGAATAGATTCTCTAAGTGAACTGAATTTCATTCTATGTATCTGCATTGTTATGCCTGTCACAGAACTTCTTTTTAGAGCTGAAAGGGCTCTGGAAATTATCTAACCCACAGCTCTGGAAATTATCTAACCCACCCCTTTCATTTTATAGATGGGAAAACCAAGGCCCAGAGAAAGGAAGGGGCTTGCACAAGGAAAGACCCAGGGCACAGAGCCAGCATGACAGTCTGCCACACAGAAAATGGCAGAGATTAAGGAGGGATCATTTTGAATTCCATGGGTGGGCACCATAAACACATTTCCAAACTGACAGCCCAGGAGGAATGGAACCACATCCTACTTTCTCTTGTGGCCCAGAACAGAACTGATTGACAGCAACAAATATCATTAAGCCCAGCACCAGTTCCAAGTACTTCAGGAGAATGCATAGGAAGTAAATGTGGCCATTGCTCTTAACATAAATAGATGATGCACTTAACCCGCCCATGAGGGCCAGTAGAGCAGCTTCCCTGAAGGCAGAGAGGCACGACTCCGATTCCTGCCCACCACTGACTGGCTATGGGGCCCTGAGCATGGACACTTCACCTCTCTAAGTTCTCCTTCCTCTGCAAATGGAATAATAATCATGTGAGCACTGAATATGATGAGGTCAGTAAAGCAGGTGACCACAGCATGGTGCCTGGCTCGTAAAGGGCAGCTTTCCTAGGACCTGGGTGGGAAGACAACACATGCACACATGAAGCAAGCAGCGAAACAGCCAGCACGATGCTGCGGCTGAGAGTCAGGCAAGCCTGGGTGGTTGAAACCAGTGTATGGGGAGGAGCTACTGGGCGTGACAGTACTCCAGGATGGCCCACGGGATGGCATAGCATTCCTAGAGATAAGGGAAAAGAAGGGAAAAGGTGATTCCCAACAAGGACAGAACCTATCAGGCCGGGGGCAGGAGGTGGGGATGGGGGGCTGCAGAGTCATCTGGCCCAGACCTGAAGCTCAGTGGGAGGTGGGTGGGGTGTGCTGACTGCTGACAATATTGTGCAGGATGTAATGATATCACAAGCATTGAGCATTGATGCTAACTAAAATCCATCAACCCCCAGAACTGGCTAAATCTAAAGTAGGAGAATGAATGGATTCCAGGGGCAGCCTCTGGGTCCTGCCTTGCGGAGAGACTGTGAAAGCCCAGGTAAGGAGAATGGCTGGCCACTAAAATTATAGGGTGTGGGGCACGCTGCCAATTTGCGCACAAGGTGCTAGGGGGCTAGTGAGCACCCAGGCAGGTCTAACAGCTGGCTCTGCCTAGGGAAGTCAAGCCACAGCACCCTGTTTGAACTGTGCCTGGCAGGCCCACAGCAAAGCAGCTCCCAAAGTACTGAGGAAACATATTTTTGGGGAGGAGGTGTGGGAGAGAAGAGGGAAAGGAAGGAAAAATAATAATAAAAAGCTTACCTTGGCTATTTTCACAAAATGGCTGAGGATTTCTGCCCTTATTTTTAAAGTCTGTGCTGTTAGAATTTCTCGTACAACCCAAAAACTGACCTGTAGAGTCAAATACACACACATACACACATACACACCAGAAAAGTTGTTAATTGCTGGACCACCCGTGTCCCCCTTGCCCACCGCTGTTATGGGATTTCCAAGAGGTCAGGAAACTGGGAGAGGATAGCCTGGGGTCACATGAGTTAAAGAGTTCCTCTACAGCACCCAACCCTGCAAATGGGCCGTGTTCTCAGCACCCTGTCTCCAGTGCACACTGCAGTGCCAAGAGAAAGCAGCACTTTCCTCGTCATCCCAGGGAGCGCTGGGCCTCCGTGACACGAGTCTCGAGAAGAGTTGCTGGGAATCCTGAGATGAATCAGACTGAATTCCTGCTCAGAAGGATCCCAGTTGTGGGGAGATCATAGATGATGGGTGGATGGAGGGACAGATGGACAAAGAGCCAAAGGGACATGTATATTGGTAGGAACACTTGTGAGGTCCATATCCCCAGCCAGCCCTAAGATAAGGAGGATTCATCAATATTTGCACAATTTTAACAAATTTAATTTTTTGGGAGAGGCCCATCCCATAATGTAAATGATATGGAAGTATCTCTTTCAAAGTTCCATAAAGCAATGCATGTTACAGGGCATGTTTTCCCGGAGACAGCATGCACCAAAAAGGGTATGATGGTAGCTTTGGTTCAGAAGCCCATTCATGCTTGACCTCTCACATACTGCAACAGCCTGAACCCCTGTGTCTGATGGTGGAACAGGAAAGTCATCTACCAGAGTGGAGCTGACTCACATGGCACCTCAATGCAACGGAAGAGACTCATGCCAAGAAATGCTGGGAAGTGGCTAGCTCTTCCTGTTTATGTTTCACTTCTGTAACAACAGTTCTATGTGAAACACGGATGCCCAAGAGTGCAATGACAGCACTGCAAAGAAAGGTGGAGAGCCAGGCAAAGCACGGGGCATAGGGAGAATTAAAAAGAAGGCAAGGCATCTAAAACCCCTAAACTTTATAGGGAAAAATATAGTTAAGGATATTCCAGAGCTAATAAAACAAGCTTACTGCTGCAATAAAATGTATTCTCGTTATTGAAATACCATCACTTTTCAAATAGAAAGCAAAGAAAGAGAAACCAAGAATCAACAATGTGCTTTTTATATTAAGCAGGAGTATTATAGAAATGTTTTCTCAGTGTAATTATCTGTGGTTGCCTCCAGGACATGACTGGGTTTCCATAGAATCATTTTTTTCCAAGGAATTGCCCACAATTAAGCTCAGACTCAAATATTTACTAGCCAGTTACAGAAAAAAGTTTTTCTAAATACCAAATGGGATGCCCATAAACCTTATATTTTAATATGTGTACATTTTTATGGCATATTATCACACTCAAGTGTGATAGTTTACATGTACAATTTAGTAGATTCCTGCATGTCAAAGAATCACACGTTTATGGCATATTACGGAACATGGAAGCATTGACTCTGGAACTGCAGTCCATGTTGTGCAGAGGCAACTCTGAGTCAACAACTCGATTCAGCAGAGTTCCATGAAGCCCCTTCGGTGTGTGGGCTCCAGGCACTGGGAGCCCAGACCTTCCTGAAATTGAGGTGACCAAAGGAGGAGGCAGAATCCTTAAGGAATCGCTGTATTAGAAGGCAGCTGGTAATAGTGGCCATGGAAGAAGTTCAAACAGTAAACCAAAGTATGAGAGAGGTAATGACAGAGGAAGGCTTCTCGAAGAAGATAGGCCTTGAAAGATGGGTAGACTTTAAACAAGAGAAGACTGAAGTGTGGCCATATGTTCCATGACCAGGGACGGCTGGATAGGCTGAAAGCACTGGTGTTGCAGGAGTGCTGTGGGTGGGGGTTGTGAGTGACGATGAGGGTGGGGAGGGAGAAAAAGACCAGATTGGGTGTGTGGTGAGGAGGGGAGGACTGGTGCAACAAGGTGAGAGGAAGGAGCTAAAACACTATGCTACACAGGGACTTTCAGAGGCTTCTGAGCAGGGTGATAGATGAGATCCTTTGCAAGGATAGAGACACCCATTAGAAAACTGATGCAATGGTCTCAGTGAGAGATGAGGAGGTCTGAGCCAGTGCCATGCTGAAGGACATGGGAAGAAGAGGGAGATAAGGAAGACATTACAAAGGTAGAATCAGCATAGTTGTAAACACTTTTTTATTTTATTTTCTTTTCTAACTACAAAACTTAAGTTTTTAACTTCAGAAGTTTGATGAAGAAAACAAGGAATAAGAGATAAGTACAAAAGTAAGTCGTAAGAGATAAGTACAAAAAGACAAATCTCAGTCTCACATATAGACCAACATCATAAACACTGTGGTATGCATCCTTCTAGTCTTTTTTTCCTTTTTTTTTTTTTTTGAGAGGGCGTCTCGCTCTGTCACCGAGGCTGGAGTGCAGTGGCACGATCTCTGCTCACTGCAACCTCCGCCACCTGGGATCAAGCGATTCTCCTGCCTCAGCCTCCTTAGTAGCTGGGATTACAGGCATGCACCACCACACCTGGCTAATTTTTGTATTTTTAGTAGAGATGGGGTTTCACCGTATTGGCCAGGCTGATCTCGAACTCCTGACCTCAGGTGATCCACCTGCCTCGGCCTCCCAAAGTGCTGGGATTACAGGCATGAGCCACCATGCCCGGCCATCTTTTTTTTCTCTATATAGAACATGTTTGTCTCTTAAAACTAAATTGGTGTATATTAATCATATATCACAAGATTTTTATAAGTGAATATTCTTCTACAATTTTTAGCAGCTTCCAAGTATTTCATCATAGAGAAGTATCATCATTTTCTTAAATAACCCTCTACTGTTGAATAGGTTATTTCTAATTTTGTTGTAATAATGCTGAGATGAACATCTTTATACATATGTTTGTACACTTTTTATTAAGGTCCTCAGATAAATTCATGTAAAGTGGAGTGAATAAAAGCGTGTGTACCTGTTTTCAAAAGTATATGTAAAAAAAGTGGCCTCCAAAAGGTCTATTTGTTTACCCATCAACAAGTTGAAGCAGATCCATGTTGCCATACACAGGCCAATACCAGTTACTATCAGTTTTTTTTTTTTTAACTAATTCGATGGAAAAAAATGGTATTTCACAGTTTCAATTTCACATTTCTTTCATGACTATTCAGGTGTTTTTTGTTTGTTTGTTTTGCTTTTTTTCAGTTAACTTTTTTTGTTCCAAATATTTATAGGTCATTTGTATTATTTGCCTTCTGAACTGCCTGCACAGGTCCTTGTGAAGAACTATCTTTCTACTGGGACATCTGTCCTTCCAACCTCAAACTCCTGGGCTTGAGTATCCTCCCACCTCAGCCTGTCAAGTAGCTGAAACTACAGGCATGCATCACCACACCTGGCTTTTTTTTTTTTTTTTTTTTTGTATGGATGGGGTCTCACTATGTCACCAAAGCAGGTTTTCTCTTATTATTGATTGATAAAAGCTCTTTGTATATCAAATAAAAATACATGTTGTGAGTCATATATTGTACCAAGAGCATGTAGACATTGGTACTCTTATACATTGTTTGGAGGAATCGAAATCAATAACATTTTGAAGAACAACTTGAACATATCTTTCAAGATGTTTAAGGTATAGTCTCCCTAGAATATTTACCTTACAAAAATACAGAAATATAGAAACACAGATACACAAGGTTTCATTGAAGCACTATCTACAATTTTTAAAAGCCCATTGATAGGGAATTGGTTACACAATTTACACTACCACTTCAAACTCTGCAAGGAAGTCACTAAGCTCAGCCAATATTTAACAAGTGGGAAGTTACATTCTACCTTCTTGAGATCTAATCTACATAGATTATTTGAAATTTTCTGCATGAGAGATTTGTCGATTCTTCCACATTTATTTATATCAGTATAGATTTGTGGATATTTATTTTATACTTTGGGTTACAATCCAATACTATTATTTATATGCTGCTCAAATTGTTCCAGCTTTGGCCTTTGAGAGTTCTTTCAGTTGGCTCCTGCATCCCTTTGACACAACCCCTGTATTGTTTTGGTTTGTTAGTTTGAGCACTTCCTTACCTTCTGGCAATACAATATGCAACAGGCTCATCTTTTATATTTCTTGCCTTAGTCTTAAAATTAGTCATTTCTCCAAGGAACGCTGGTTCCTTTTATCAAATAACAGTATTAGAAACCAAGATTAGCACAAAACAGGTATGAAGTATGCTTGCTGCTACTGGGGTATCATCGTTTCTAGGTCCTCTCAGCTGGCAGAGCCAAGAAATTGTGTGTGTGTGTGTGTGTGTGTGTGTGTGTGTGTATGTGTGTGTGTGTGTGTGTGTGTGTGTGTGTACTAACCCATGCCTATACACATATCTGTAAAGATTTCTATATGTAACCATCTATATCTGTATTAAGCTAAACATGAGTTCATACTGATGTCTCCAACCGTAATCCATTACCACGTGGGTCGTTCTAGCCTCCTCACACCTGGCTTATCTGTAATTTCCCACTCCAACAGTGAGAAACTTGGTTCCCACCATCTGCCATCCATTTCATTATACTCTCTTATATTCATCTATTTCTTATATTGTTTGATTCCAGTACACAGGGATAATGGTTTCAGAATTGTTACCCATCCCCCTTGGGAAACAACTTTATCAAATGGAGTATGGTGTTTATATACAGTTCCTTTGTCTTTAGCCTTATAGGCTCCACTCTATTACAAATTTACTTAGGTCAGCAAAGTTTTCTCTCCCTGTCCTCAGTGAGGTTGTTCATACATTTATAATAGATTCTTTTATTACATTCTGCTATAACATTTTGTAATATTATACGTAACAAAATGTAACAAAGTGTTACACTGATCCCTCAAGTTGAATTTTAAAAATTTGCATATATTAAGGTTTCCTCTTGGTGCTATAAAGTTCACAAATGCACTGTGTCATGTATCCAACATGACAATATCATATAGTTTCACTGCCTTAAAAAAATAAATAAATAAAAACCCAGGCTTCACCTATTCAGCCCTCTCCCCTTTCCAAAGCCCTGACAAACACTGATTTGTTTATCATCTCTATAGCTTTACCTTTTCCAGAATGTCAAAAAAGGAAATATAAATGTAGAAGTATAATCATGTTGATAACTTGATTTATGCTAGCAAGAACATTTTCTTTGCTTTGTAATAAACCAACAATAATGATTCAGGAGGAGGAAGAAAAGAGAAAAGGCATCCTCCATATGCAACCTTTCAAGACTGGCTTTTTTCACTTGGCAATATGCACTTAAGATTCATCCACAACATAAAGATGGGAACAACACACACTGGGGACTATTAGAGGAAGGAGAGAGAGTGTGGCAAAGGCTGAGAAACTACCTATTATTGGGTACTATGCTCACTACCTGGGTGACAAGATCATTCATACTCCAAAACCTCAGCATCATGCAATATACTCATGTAACAAACCTGCACAGGTACCCTGAATTTAAAATAAAACATGAAATTATTTTTTTAAAAAAAAGATTCGGGCCGGGCACTGTGACTCATGCCTGTAATCCCAACACTTTGGGAGGCCGAGGAGGGCAGATCACCTGAGGTCAGGAGTTCCAGACCAGCCTGAGCAACATGGAGAAACCCCATCCCTACTAAAAATACAAAATTAGCCAGGTATGGTGGCGTATGCCTGTAATCCCAGCTACTCAGGAGGCTGGGGCAGGAGAATTGCTTGAACCCAGGAGGCGGAGGATGCAGTGAGCTGAGATCACGCCACTGCACTCCAGCCTGGGCAACAAGAGTGAAACTCTGTCTCAAAAAAAGAAAAAAAAAAAGATTCATCCATGTCTTTATATGACTTGATAGCTCATTCTCCCTTTTTTGGAAGAATGCTATTCCACTGTATGGATTTACCATGGTTTATTATCCATTTACCTTACCTAATGAAGGATGATATCTTGGTTACTTCTGATTTTCAACAACTATGAATAAAGCTGCTATAAACATTTGTGTGCTGTTTTTTGTGTGTGGATATAAGTTTTCAGATCAGCTAGGTAAATACCTAGGATTGCAATTGCTGGATTGAGTGTCTCATTTCACATTCCCACCAGCAATGAATAAGAGTTTGTGTTGCTTCAGATCTTTGACGGCAATTGGTGTTATCAGGGTTTTTTGTTTGTTTTATGTAGACATTCTAATAGGTATGTAGTGTTTTGTGTTTCCCTAATGACAAATAATGTTGAGCATCTTGTCATATGTTTATTTGCCATCTGCATATCTTCTTTGGTGAGCTTTCTTCAGATCTTTTGCCCATTTTTTAATTGGGCTATTTTCTTATTGTTGAGTTTCAAGAGTAAATTTTGGATACAACTCCTTTATCATATATGTGTTTTGCAAATATTTTCTCCCAATCTGTGGTAAGTCTTTTAATTCTCTTTACCATGTGTTTTGCAGAGTGAAAAAAATTTAATTTTCATAAAGTTCCAACTTATTTTTTCTTTCATGAATTCTGCTTTTGGTGTTTTATCTGATAACTCATTAACAAATCCAAGGTCATACAGGTTTTCTTCTACGTTTTCTCCTAAAAGTTTTATAGTTTTGTCTTTTACCTTTAGGCCTATGATCCATTTTCAATTAATTTTTAGGAAAGGTCTAAGGTCTGTGTCTAGGTTCATTTTTTTTTTTTTTTGCATATACACACAAATATTTAAATTCTTCCAGCACCACTTGTCCTTTCTCCGCTGAATGCCCTTGTACCTTTATCAAAGATCAGCTGACCATATTTGTGTAGGTCTATTTATCAGCTCCATCGACCTATGGGGCCAATTCTTTCGCCAATACCATGCTGTCTTGATAACTGTAGCTTTACAGTAAGTGCTGAAATCAGGTAGAGTGAGTCTTCCAATTTTATTCTTTTTCAGTATTGTGTTGATATTTGTAAAACAGCTTTCTAGGATTTTGATTGGGATTGCACTGGATCTATTGATCAAGTTGGGAAGAACTGACATCTTAACAGTATTGAGTCTTCCATTCCATGAAGATGGAGTATTTCTCTATTTATTTAGCTCCACTTTGATTTCTTTTATCAGTTTTTGAGGTTTCCATATTAACAGAACCTGTACATATTTTGTTAGAGGTATATCTAAGTTTTATGGTTTTCTTGGTGATATTGTAAATGGTATTGTTTGTTAACTTCAAATTGCAGTTCCTCATTGCTGGTCTAGAGGAAATCAATTGACTCTTGTATACTGGCCTGTGTCCTGCAACTCTGCTTACTCACTTCTTAGTTCCAGGAGTATTTTTGGAGATTTCTTTGGAATTTTCTATCTAGATAATCACGTCACCTATGTATAAAGGTTGTTTTACTTCTTCCTTTCCAATCTGTATACATTTTATTTATTTATTTTCTTGTCTTACTGTACTAGCCAGGACTTGCAGTAAGATGTTGTACAGAACGGATAAGAGAGCACATCCTTGCCTTGTTCCCAGTCTTAGGGGGAAAGTATTCAGTGTCTTACCATTATGTATGATGTTGGCTGAAGGACTTTTGTAGATGTTCTTTATCAAGTTGAAGAAGTTCTGTTCTATTCCTAATTGGCTGAGATTTTTTTTTTAATTATGAATGAGTACTGGACTTTGTGAGATGCTTTTTCAGGTCAAATGATATAATAATATGATTTTTCTACCCTAGCCTATTGTACAGTGGATTACATTAATTGATTTCCAATTGCTGAAGGAGCCAAACACACCCGGAGCATAACCCCAGTGGGTCATGGTGCTAATAAACTTTTAATACACATAACCTATTATTAACACTATTATTGTTATAGTGGTATAGCTAGCACTGGCATTTAGCTACTGAGGACTATGATATCTGGGACATGCCACGGCGGAATTATAAAAAAACAGAATAGTTATGGACACAACTTTATTCAGTTAACCAACCATGAAAAAAACAATCAAAGAATAAAACAAAGAAAAACAACAAGAAAAATCCAGGTTTAAAAATACTACTATTTCTTATGAAAAATCTACTTTTGCCACAAATTTCTCCTAAGTCCATTCACAGTTTTCTTAGAAACCAAGAGTTTGAAAGCATCTTAGAGGTCCCATCTACTCCCTGCCCTGACAGCTGCATGGTGTTCTACAGTAATAAAGCCCTTGTCTGGTCTCTGCCTCAGCCTTCATGGTTAAGAAACTTCCTTATATTAGGAGGAGGCCAACTGCCTCCCCGTTTCCATCCCTTGGGCCCTGCACTTATTGACCAGGCCCCATAGATTATGTTGAATCCAGCTTCCCCATTAAGAACTCCTCAATTGCTTGAAAACCTTGATGACCTTCTCCCTGAGTCTTCTCACTCACAGATCCTCCACCTATCCCTGTATAACATGTTTTCCTTCCCCTACTCTTCTAGTCACTGTAATACTTACATGCCACTCCTGTGTGATAATTCCCACCCTCACCCCTCACGTGAGGCACCCAGAACCAGACGTAACTGTCCAAGAGTGGTCTGGATAAAGCTGAGAAAAGCAAGATTACTACACACATACTAGAATGCCTAAAACACAAAATAGCTGACAATATCAGTTGCTGGCAAGGATTGAAGCCACACACTCATTCATTGCTGGTGAGAATACAAAATGGGACAAACACAATCTAGCTTGTGTTCCTAGGTATATACCCAGCTGATCTGAAAATCTAGCCGAGTGCGGTGGCTCAGGCCTGGAATCCCAGCACTTCAGGAGGCCGAGGTAGGCAGATCACGAGGTCAGGAGTTCGAGACCAACCTGGCGAACATGGTGAAACCCCGTCTCTACTAAAAATACAAAAATTAGCTGGGTGTGGTGGCATGCACCTGTAATCCTAGCTATTCCAGAAGCTGAGGTAGGAGAATCGCTTAAATCCAGGAGGCGGAGGTTGCAGTGATCTGAGATCACGCCACTGCACTCCAGCCTGGGCAACAGAGCAAGACTCCACCTCGGGGATAAAAAAAAAGAAAGAAAGAAAGAAAACTTTAGTACATACACACACACACACACACACACACACACACACACAAATGTTTGTAGCAGCTTTATTCATAGTTGTGAAAACTGGAAGTAACTAAGTAACTGAGATGTCCTTCAGTAAGTGAATGGATGAACAAACCATGGATGGTAAATCCATACAATGGAATATACACATACAAAAGAGCTGTCAAGACATATAAAGTAATATAAAGACATGGATGAATGTTAACTACATATCGCTAAGTGAAAAAAGTCCGTGTGAAAAGGCTACATGTTTATGATTCCACGGTAGAGATGGTAAACAGATCAGGATCTGGATTGCTATCTTCCCCTCCACACCAATCCTGCCTTCTTCCTTGGGCAACTTCAACATCACTGCAAATGACCCTGGCCTCAGATCCCTTGAGCACTTCAACTTTAGCAACTAGACCTCCCTACCACCTCAGCCACCTCTTTCTTCTTGATTTCCCAGACCTGCTCTATGTCAGAAAATTTCGGTTCCATCTGGGGCTACAATCTTTAAACATTCTAGTCCTTACTCTCTCCTTGACCCCCACTGTGTCAGACCTTTCCTCTCACCATGTCCTGGATTCCCTGGCAGCCCTTTTCCTTGGCATCCTTTTCCTCTTAAGCAGACCAATCCCCTATCATTTGTCACTTCAGCCTTTTCTTTTCTTCTGAGACAGCGTTTCACTCTGTCGCCCAGGCTGGAGTGCAGTGGTGAGATCTCGGCTCACTGCAACCTCCGCCCCCTCGAGTGCAAGTGATTCTCCTGCCTCAGCCTCCCAAGTAGCTTGGACTGCAGGTGTGCACCACCATGCCCAGCTAATTTTTGTATTTTTAGTAGAGATGGGATTTTGCCATGTAGGCCAGGCTGGTCTTGAACTCCTGACCTCAGATGATCCACCTGCCTTGGCCTCCCAAAGTGCTGGGATTCCAGGCTTGAGCCACCATGCCCGGCCTACTTCAGCCTTTTCTTTGACACTAGTTTAACTTCCCTTGCATCTTGACCCTTCCAAAAAATCTGCTTTGCCAACCCCTAAGGGGATGGGTCTAACCATTTGCTCTTCCATGCACCTACTCCTAGGCTGAGAAGTGCAACTAGAGAAAACCACCTACTACCTACATGCACTGGGGCCACTTAGAAAATCACAATCTCTATTTCATCTGGGCCACCATCACTGCCCAAGAGTCTTGCTGTATTTCCAGAGTCAGCTCTCTCTCCTTTCCTGTGTAGCAGCTTTTTTCAAGCTTTCCCCAAACCCATCAATCTTCTCGCCCCACTCCTTCCCCCTTTCCCTCCCATTTCACTGACGAAGAAAAGCCATCACTCTCCTTGTATTGCACCTACAAATGGGTCTACATCTGCCCCTTTCCTTTCTGCTGACTCATCTCTTACACTGAAGAGGCACCCAGGTCTTGGCTTCTTCCACCTTTTCTGAGACTTTACCTCATTAAGTACTTCCTCCCTCTCCTCATCTTTAACTTTTCCAGGTCCACTGGCTCCTTCACATCCTTAAGGATCTGCTCACTTCAAAGAAGAAAAAAGCATGCAACCACCTCCCAGGACTTTTTTGACTCCTCCACTCTCCAGCCACTCCCTTCTCAGCTCCCCTTGGAGCCAGTGTTGTAAGAATCACTTACACCTGCTCTCTTCATTGCCTCACATCTACCACTCAACCTGCTACATCCCTGCAAAACTGTCCTTGCTGCTAAAATCAAAGGACTCTTTTTTAGCCCTGTCTTAGAAGACTCATTCTGTAGCATTCCCTCATTTCTGAAACACTGATTTCCAGATACTGCCCTTTCCATATCACCAAGTGTTCTGCTCCCAGGTTGCTCTCTCTCTGCCTCCTGTGTGGCCTCCTCTCCTCTGCCCATCCCTTAAATGTCAGCAATCCTCAGGTACTCACTTGGGCCTCTGTTTCTCCTTGGATGATTTCACTGACCCCAGGCCTTCAAATGCAGGTGACTCCAATATTTGCATCTCCAGGCTGGACCTTTCCCCAACTTCCGGACTCAAATATCCAATGACCTCCTGCATACTTCATCCCACATGTCCAAACCTAACTCATCTCCAACTCTCAAAACTGCTCCTCCTTTGTGTTCACTGTCTCAAGGATGGGACTGCCCAAATACCAAAAGAGGACCCTCTTTTACTCTTCTCTGTCATTTCCCTCCATAACCAATCAATCACCAAGGGCTGTCATTTTGTCTTCTAATATTTTCTTGTGCCCAGCCAGTTTACAGCTCCAATCCCTCACTCAGATTGAAGGAACAGACCCCACTCTGGCCTCCCTTGCTCCTGCACATGCCTTTCCTCTGGTTTCCCCGTCCTAGCACAGATTCCCCTGGACTGGAATCGCCTCCATCATGTTTGCCTCCTACACTCGACTATGAGCTGACAATGGCAAAGGCGACAATTTGTTTATTGTTGACCCCCTGAACCAGCACAGAGCCTAGTACATATTCAGTCAATGACTACTGAATACATAAATGAATAGAACTAGAGTGATGAGCGTCATATAAAAGGGAGTATTACACAATGAGGAAAGAGTAACTGTTTAGAGATAGCATGTGGAAGAAAGGAGAATGCTAACATTGTCTCCCAGCCCTGTGATAAATTAGGTTTGGAAAAGCAGAAGTTTCTATTAGAAAAGTGTTCAGAAAAAAACAGAAGGCCCCTTAAGCAGAGGAATTCACCAGCTATGTAAATTTGAGCAAGTTGTTTCACTTTGCAGAGCCTCAGTTTCTTTATCCATGAAATGAGTGTAAAATATCTATCTCATTAGGCACGTGAAAATTGAATTAGATAGCACGGGTAAAATGCTTAGCATAGTATCTGATTCAATAAGTTCAGCATTAATGCTCAATAAATGTTTTTAAAATAGTTTCAATTAAAGCCAAGAGGAAGCAGAAACATTCAGTCACTAGGCTCATGAGCATGGGAGTTCAGAGGGCAGACAGGACTTGAGAGTGACAAGGTATCAACAGAATGGATTGGGGAGAAAGTTCAGAGCAGACTGGAAGAGTACAAGAGAAAAGAAGGTCTATGATAACTATCTGTCTTCCTTTCTGGCCCTCATCCATAGCTTCTTCCTTCCAGAACACCCTGATTTTCCTTGAGGAAATACCCCTTCTCCATTCTCAGTCCATGTGGCCTAGGCCTACCGCCTCTCCTCCATAGGAAGGCCTGTTTCCAAGACCTGGCCAATCAGAGCTTCATGTCTTCCTGGTCACAGTGATTAGATCATAACAAACAAGATAGGCCACAAGCCAGGGCAATCTGAGCCACTGAGTCTCAATTCCAGGGCATCAGATAGAGCTACTGAAAAAGCAGCAGGTCTTTTCTCCTGAGGTTGCCCTCGGAATATGATACAAGCCTGGAATTGTTGCTAGCCATCCTGCAACCACAGGGGGAGGCTACCTGAGGTAGAACCAGCTCAGAGGAAAGCAGAACCTGGAGGTGGAGAGAGCAAGACCAAGTTCAGATGGTACTGTCCCCACTGCCTAGATTCAGCAATATTTGAAGTCAGTATCTCCCTAGATTTAGTTATTATACATAAACCATGAAGCTCTCTTTTGTGCTTAACTGAGTTTGAGCTGGGGTTTCAGTCATTAGCAACTATAAAATGTGTCCATGAGACAAGTTGGAAACATTTGGCCCTGTCCAATCTCCATGAATGGAAAAAGGTCCTGAGACCCAAAGAGAGGAGGGGCCTTAAAGCAGGTTAGCAGCACGGCCTAGACTAGAACCACGTTTCTCCCAATTCCCTCTTCACCTTTTCCAAAATTTTCAGCATCTTTGTGATACAAGGCCAACCTTGCACATATGCCCAAGCCTGTTGGTCTGGTCTTAACCTTCCTTTCAGCTCATAGCTCCTACTACTCTGCCCCTTTGTTTAAGCTTACATGGAATGTTTACTAAGTGTCAAGCACTGGGGTGACCCGTTTATATTCATGATTCTTGTTTAGTCTTCAAAAACCACTTAAAATGATTCTTCCTGTTTTATAAATGAGGACTACCAGGCTGAGAGAGGCCAAAAGCCAACCCAAGATCATACAGCTAATAAGTTGTTGCGATAAGACTCACACCCAGGCCTGTGGGATTCCCTGAGACACAGCTTCTCAGTCTATTGTCCGCAGACCCATAAATGTCCACACATAAACTTCCGGAAGGCAGTGAACACCCTAAAATTAAATGCAAATTTGTATATCTCTGCAGTTTTCTGGAGGAACATTCATATGTGATACTGTCAGATTCTCAAAAGAACCCAAGACCCAAAAAAGATTGAGAACTTCTGTGCTACACAGGGTATTCCTTGGGGTTGTAACATAGGCTGGCTCATAAAAGACCTTTAGTGAACTTGGCCAAACTCTTCCATCTCAGCCACTCTATGAGCAAATCCCAAGGGACTCGGATCCCACGGAGAAGCAGGCAAGCACTAGCCACTGGGTTTCTGTTTGGCCACAAGAAGCCTCAAATCCTCTGGCAACCTCCTCCCAATCAGCTGATCTTCACATTTCTCTTTTCTTCTCCCAAAACATTTGGATGCTTACTACATGCCAGACATTGTGCTAAAGCTCTTCATATTCCATTTGTTCTTCATAACAACAGTGCAAGGAGAGCACTACTATTATTCTCAGTTACAGAAAAGAAAGCTGAGGCTCAGACAGGTAAGTGACCTGCTTTCTTTTATTTGGAGTCTGATGAGTCTTGTTCTCACACATAAAATTCTGCCAGGAAGGGACGCCAACGAGTTCATCCCAAAGAAGGCAGCTCCAATGGCTGACCAGGCCTGGCCTCTGGCCAATTTTCAAACCAGAGCTACCAGGGCTATGTCCAGAAGCTGCTGGCTCTCCGACTGGCTGATGGGCCAGCAGGAAGACCATTTCCCAGAGCACTGTTTGAAAAAAAATGTGACTTTGCTTCTGGCTCATTTCATCACTTGGTCTGAGCTGGACACAACACAATTGTTCACAGAATAAGCCACATCGCCTTTGCCAAGTTGACCTGGCATCCACATGCAAAGCAGATTACATCAGAGCCCCAGCAGACCCTCCTCTGGGAGCTCTGTGGCTGGTCAGAGGTGGGGACTGAGTTGGCTCCCAGTCAAATAGTTTTGTTAAGGAAACTATGAATTCCCTGACAAAATTCTCACACTTTTTTTTTTTAATTAAAGACTAAGCTCAGTTGAAAAGAGACGATTTTTCAAAACAAAGAAAAAAGAAGCAAAAGACTTTGGAACTTCTCTTTTCAAAACAAACAGTGTGCAGCCCCTACTCCAGATGCACCTAGGTCTTTCTTGGTTCCTACTATATCTCATCAAATAATAATAATGCTAATTCGAGCCTCAATCTTCAAACTACAAGCTGGTGCCTTTCTGAGGATCCCGCTGGACTTGGGGTGGAAGGTCAAGGCTGGAGAAGCCTGGAGAGGGTTGAGCAACAGTGATGCACAAGACCAAGCATTTCCGAGAGAGAAGGCCCAGCTGGAGAGAGGGCCCAAAGGGAATCCAGGCCCCATCACCCAGAGGGCCAGTCATACATACTACGCAACCTCTAGGCTACTGGCCTCATTTGAAACCAGAAAAATAAGAATGAAGGAAATCTGTCAACAGTACAACAGTACAATTTGGGGGTTTGCATGCTTTCTCCTGAAGATCACGCAGGTCTGGCTGAGAAATAAGACACCCTACCTCCCTCAGTTGATCCAAGTCTCCAATCATCATTCCAGATCTTCATACCTGGAGCACAGGTTCTTGTTGGACCAAGTCAGTTTAAAGTAGTGCAAGGCCAGGGATCAGGCCATCAGGAATTCAAGAAAATTCAATTTAAAAGGTACTTCCTGAGCACCTCATCTATTCGTTCCATATATTGTTAATGAGGGTCTATGATATGCCTGACATTGGGCAAGGTGGTGGGGGACACAGTAATGAACAAGATAGACATGCTTATGGGGCTCCCAGGCCGGCAAGGAAGGTGGAGACTACAGAGTTATACAACATGAGGACAAATTAGTAAAGGATCACAGGGAGCACAGGGTACAATGTGGGGATATGTGACCTCACACAGGCTGGGGATTCAGGGAAGACTCCCCAAAGAAATGACATTTAGGCTGAGATCTGACTGGAAGTTGAACAGGGAGGAAGGATTCTGGGCTGTGAAGACCACACACATGGGGCCTGACAGGAGAGAGATAAGGTATATCAGTAAGAGAAGGAAGGCCAGGAGGAGGGAAAAGAGATGAGGCTGGAGGAGTGGACAGAAGCGAGATCCACCATGCTGAACCTTGCAAAGCATATTAAGGTACTTGAACCTTAGCTTAAGTGAAACTGGAAGTCACTGAAGTGATTTAAGCATAGGAAAGGTATGTTCAGTTCCACCTGCTCTGTGAAAATGGACTATAATGGCACAAAACTGGATAAAGGTGGGGGACTCATATGAGAAGCTGGATCTGGGGCCAGCTGGGAGCCTGGGAGACAGCTTTGGGTGGGGGCTCGCAGCCTACAGGGGACAGCAGCAGATTGCTCTCTGGATAGGCACATGCAAGGGGTGTTGCTTACCTGGTTAAACCTCCGGGTAAAGGCCACAACGTTAGGGGCAAGACTGTGTTTCTCCTTCTTACTCCATCCACAGCTGGCTAGTTCCTAGGAAGCACAGAATGAATTTCAACAGTGATTCTAGTTGGGATGCAAAATACACCAGGGGCATTAAATGGGAACATGAGCATGCATGAAGGTGGGAAAGGGCTGACACCTTGGCTGTTCCCATCTTTACTAGGTGGAAGAGAAGGGCTGGGTTTGTAGGTGACAGTGCAGCCTGGGACTACCAGAAATGAGGATAACTGGATTACTTTTCTCAACAACTCTGGCCATGTTTCCCAGGATTTCTGTGCCAAAAGAAATCCACTGCCACTCTGCCAGCTTCTCTAAGACCAGAAGTCCTTCTTACAATGCAAATTGTCTGAGGGGGCACAGAAATGTTTTAACCAGCAGAACTCATCCCCACATAGTTGTGATGCCAGGGCTCCATTAAAAAATCTCAGATTTCACTGGCCACATGACATCATCCATTCCTGGTGTGAGGCAAAGTCTCAGTCCAAGCCTACTGCAATCAGAGAAGCTTCTGGTATGACCTCAGATTCTGTCCTGAAGTTGGCCCCTCCAATCCCTCATATAACCAAAAGCATGCAGAAGGAAAGGTCCCCTTTAATATCTTGTTCAGAGGCCTTGTCTCTTTTTTTCCACTAGGTTTAGCATTATAATTTGAAGAACTGAATTATCTAGATTTTATTTATCAGTAAGGCTGGCTCTTAGCCAAGGGATAAAAGCTGGACACAATAGGAGCAATCTAATGGGATTACTTGGTGCTACAAAAAAGGACCAAGGAGAAGCCATCATCCAAATGCCCAGCATTCTCAGTGTGTGCCTTGTGGAGCCCTGAAACAGACTAGAGGAAAGGTAGCAAAGGTTGCAAATTCTGAAATTCTCCACCTATAAGTTACAAGACTGCCTTTTAATTCCTACCAGGCCTCAGTATTACTAATAACATTGGTTTTTTGCCATTGACCTAGAGTTTTCATAAGATCTTTAGTGAGAGGCAGCTGCCCAGCAGCTACAATAGATACAGATCAGGGGTCTCCTAGGAGAGCAGGGAGGGGAGCAGTAGGAACAGCCCAGGACAAAACTGGCCACTAGCAGTCACGTCTGAAGGGCCACGCCTGTCAAACAGACCTTAGGACCTGACAATCAGCCACAGACAGGGGCTTGGTGGGAGCCTGGCTAAAGGCAACAGCAGCTCCTGGTCACAAGATGAATGCCCTGGACTTAGGAACACAGAGGAACCAGCCAGAGGCCGAGACACCTCCTCCTGGTGCCTCACTTCTGTCCTTAAGGTCACCCACACAAGAGAACACAAACAACCTGGAGCCTGCCATGTCCTTCACACCCTCACAACTTAGACTCAAATAATAGCAATGACAACAGAATTCACTGGTGCTACCATTTAGCAAGAATTCCCCACAGAGCAGGTGCTGGACAGGGCACCTCACCTATGTCATCTCATGTAATTCTCACCACATCCATTTTAATAAAGAGGTTTCTTTCTCTTGGATGAATATTGTGACTCTACTTCTTTTCAAAAGCAGAGATGAGTCTCTTTAAGTTGTAGAAGTTACAGCTGTTTACTATGATTCTTCTTGTTCTGATGACATATATTTGCACTTGGTTTCTTTTTTTAATTTTTATTTTTGTAGAGATGGGGGTCTCACTGTGTTGCCCAGGCTGGTCTCAAATTCCTGGCCTTAAGCGATCTTCTTGCTTCGGCCTCCAAAAGGGCTGGGATTACAGGCATGAGCCACTGCACCCAGGCTATGTTCGGTTTCAAATGTATGTTTGACCTACCTCAGTTACATGTACTATCTCCCTCTCTTTAAAACACATACTTGAATCACTTTGCAAATATATGTTATTATTGCCCTTTTAAAGTTTGTTTGTGAAGACATAGGCCTCTCTCCCCAGTGAATCACAAAGCCAGTCCTGGAAAAGTATGGGTTTATAACCAAATATAAAACCCAACTCATAAAACTGATGTTTCAGGACTGAGGCACGGTTGTTGCCCAATTTCTAGCTGATAATTGCTCCCTTTGTATTTTTCCTGAATTTTCGAATAAATAGCAGAAGTCATGTGTGTGTGTGTGTGTGTGCACACGCACATGTGCATGAGTGAATTTAATACAGACTCTGTGGTCTTATTTCCACACCGTAATAACTTCAGACAATACCCAGAAAGGGAGCAGTGTGGACCCCAGGGTCAGATCCTGGCTGGCCACACACCAGCTGCACAATGCTTATCTTCTCAGAACTTCTAGTTTCTCATCTTAAAGTGGGTATGATACTATATTTATCTGGGAAGCTCATTATAACAATTAAATGAGATTAAGACATGCAAAGCACCTAGCACGTGACAGGTACTTGATAAAGGTTACCTGCCTTCCTCTTCCCAGGGGCACGCTGCTGTTAAGCAACAAGGCAGTATTCAGACTCAGCTTGAACGCCAAACGTCTTCTTTTTCCCACACCATTCTCTCTTTACTGTCTTGAATTATTAACAAAATCTATTATTATTTCTCTTTCATTTTGCTGATATCATGCAGGCAAGAACCAGTTGGTACTTAATACATCTTCCCTACATTTACTTGGTTTGAACATTTCTAAGACCCTAATTCAAAAACTCTATGTGGAGTTATTGGGTTTTAACAATTTCCTAAGGAATCTTTCGCACTAGAATGCATGTAACATTTAAAATTAACACATCAGCAGAGTAAAACATTATGTTTGAGAAGTACTTTGATAAAATGGAAGGAGCAAAGGATTTTGAGCCAAAATATCTTGCTCTGAATCCCACACCATGTCACTTATTTCCTGGGAAACACCAGACAAATCACCTCTCTCAGCATCAGTTCCTTCAGTACTAAATATGAAGATGCTATAGCTAACCCCACAGAATTGTGACAGAGACTGAAGGAGGCAGAGCCTGACAAGGGAGGTGACATGCGGGGCACAGGGCCTGGCTGGCAGTAGATGCTCAAGCAGCCTCTGTTAATGAATGAAGCATGAGCACTCCTCAGTGTGAAGACCTCCCAAATTCAGCACAGAAGATTTATCACAAGGTCAGAAGAAGTATGACCATTCTGTCTGTGCTAAACAAGTACTGGGCCTGACCGCTTTGGCGCAGTTCCTCTTCTGTGTTTGGTCTTACAGGATTACAAGAGATTCCATCCGTGTTAAGTGGGTTTAGGAAAATGTGAAGTAATAGAACAAAACTCTTCCAGTCACTAATGCCTAAAAAAGGTCCACACTGTGGAACTTATTTGAGTGTAATTTAGTTAAAATTGACCAGAGGAGACAAGGCTGATTCTAGAAGGGAGACAAGGGTTTGGGATGAGACCAGTACGGCCCTGGTAGCTCTGTGTCTGTGGTGAGCCACTGAGCTACCCAGGGACTGTCGCACAGCCCTTCCCATGGGCGCTGAGGCCCACATCTTGCCCAGACGGTCCCTGGCCCTGACTACGTGGCTGAGCTGACTGGATGTGAGGGGACTAAGAGCCTGTGCAGTCCTTTACCAGGTGCTGCTGAGACCTTCCTCCTGTCACCAGGGTGTTCCTCAGGCTCATCAGGGAAAAACAGATGCTATGAGAAGAAAACTTCCTGCCACCAAACTTAAATGTCCTTGCATCCTCTCCCTCCTTCTGGCTTTAATGAAAGAGGGGCTTCTTTCGCTCTCTTCCTGCCCCCATCCCACCCCTCTGCCTTCTCAGAGACCTTACTCTGATGCCCTCTGTCATCCCTGTACCTTCCACGTCTTCCTCTCCAATTTCTCCTTCCTGCTAGCATTTTAACATGCATTAAGCTTCTCCCATTAATATTAATAACAATAAAAAACACCTCTCCCAGACCCTGTCCCCTCCAGCTCCTGCTCACTCTTCTCCCTTGCAAGAGAACGACTTAAACTCACTCCCCTCTCCTACCTGCCTTCCCTGCTCTCTGCTCCCCTGTAACTGTTCCTTCCCCTAAGACAACTTCCCAACTAGGAAATTAGCGCCCCTTCACCGGCCGCTCTTAGCCTCCACCATATTTGTTGTCCTCTGCCTTGCCTTTGCACACTGTGTTCTCCTGTTGTCTCCCCACCTTTCGGGCCCCTCACTCTTAGTCTTATTTTCCGGCTGCTCTTTTCTTTTCTGACACAATCTCCACCTCAACTTGTCCAAGGTCATCTTCTACATTCTTCTATATTTCTCCCTAGAAGATCACATATACTGACTGTTGTGGCTTCAACTACATGTCTGTGTCCAGCCCAAGTTTCTCTCCTGAGCTCCCGTCCAAGATAGCCAGGTGCCTCCTGGCCATACCTTCTTTGGCATCCACAGACAACTCAAAATCAGTGGGCCCAGAACCAAAGGGGTATCTGACCAGCTGCCTTAAATAAAAAACACGTTAACAACAAAAAATTCATTTAGACATTCATCTGACAGTCAAAGAAGAATGTTTATCACAAAGACACTGTGGAAATAATCCCTAACTGTGCAAAAAAACTTAGTCTTAATACCCCCACCTGTAAGCATTCCTAGGTGAAAGCAAGAATCAACACTGGTTTCAGCTGCCCCTGCAAAGCTGCTCTGGGCCACCCCACCATGAGGCTCACTCCACTAGCTGCCGGTTTTGTGCTTAGGGGTCTGGGAGTCAGACGCCTTGAGGTGAGCTGAGACAGGCCCAACCCTGACCGTGTCTGGAGTCCATCACGTAAGGCCTTGGGAAAGGAGACTGGGGAGTGGTGACAAGTCCTCTCTGAAGACCCCCACGGCATCTAGGCCATCGGGCCACAGGAAGCTGGCGTCAGCACATGGCCCTTCCACGTGTGCCTAACTCTCACTGCAGTCATCTCCAAATCACGTTCATCAAACGTGTCCACATGGAAAACGCATTGCCTCAAGGGCAAGTCACTACAACAGACCTCAGGACCACTGCCAGGCTGGCACCAGCCAACAGCACATCACCACTGTGCTCAATGGCTTTCTTCTTCCTCCTCCCTCCATGTTTCTCCCACTCTTCCCATCCTACCCTCTCACAGGAAGGAAAAAAAAACAACAGGAAAGACCTGCCAGATTTGCTTTTATAAATCATCTTCAGAAGAACTGGTGGGACAATTACACACCTAACCAAAGGAGTTCTGAAACACCCTGGGAGATAGGTGACCCAGTAAGGCAGTCAGGGAGACAGTGCCAGTTTTGGGGACCTGACCAGAGTGGGTCTGACTGGGGAGTAAGGCATTCAGGGCCTAGACTCTTGTGACAGAGTTAAGAATGGGCTAAGGAGATGGGCAAATAAAAGAGAATGGCTGGCGTGTCCTTCAGGGACTTCCATGCCTTGTCACCCACAAGGAAGTCTACATTCTTCTCTATCTATATTCACCCCAGGAGACCATATATACTGACTGCTGTGGCAGTAGCAAAGGTGCATGATGTCCACACCTTCCTTGTGTGGAAGTTGGGGGTCTAGAGGCCCAAGCAGGAGTAACAGAATTCCATGAAAGCTACCCACCTGGGATCTGGCAGAGGGGCTGGCTCTGGTCTCAGGAGTGAGCTCTGGGGGCACAAGGGTCACAAAAAAGAGGCCACAGCATGTAGTAGTTAGGGACTTACATGGACCAGGCTGATTCCCTGGCTGTGTGACCCTGGACAAGTCACTTAAACTCTCAGTGCCTGACTTTCTGCATCTGAAAAATGGCATTAATAATAGCACCTCCTCTGTAAGGTAGTTATAGGAATTGAATGGGCCGATATTTGCAAAGTGCTTAGAAAAAAATGATACATTGTAATATTTTTAACGTGCTCATTAAATTAAATAATGCTCAAAGGGGAAAGGCAGCGCTGAGCAGTGGGTGCAGGGGCTGAAAATCCAGGCCAGGAGAGCCCCTGGAATCAGATGGAGGAGGCACACAGGACAGCAGTCCCTGGACAGTAGGACTCCAATGGTGCCAGGATGAGAGCCAAGGCCCAGCCAAAGGGAAGCACCAGCAAGATTTATTGAGCACCTACGTTGTGCCAGGAACTGTGCTACACACTCCACAGAGACCATCTCATTTTATCCTCACAGAACCCTCACAGTGGATATGACTGCTCTGACCTCCAATTTCTAAATGAAATAATATGTAACAAGCAGGTAATTTGTCCAGACCACACAGGTAGTGGATGGTAGAAGTGATGGGAGCCCATCCTCACCACAGCCAGAACAGAGCTGCAGGCCTTAGCCGGGGCTCCGGCAGGCTTGCAGCCTAGAGGAGAACTGGGTGACATGAAGGCATAGACCAAAGCAGAACCTGGGCAGGCTTCTGAGAGCACCACACCTGAGTTAGGGCCAGCCCAGGAATCGGGCTGCCATAGCCAGAATGGGGCACAGTGCCTCTGGCAACACAGGCAGGGCTTAAAAGACAAAAGGGATAATAGGATCCAGAGTTAAAATGTCTACAGATACATAGGGAGCTCCTCCAGGGGCAGAGACTTAGGGATATCTAGAATCAGTGTTTACTGAGTGTTAAAATGGCCTGCTAGACTCTGGGCTAGGGGACTTACATGCTGTAACTTGCTGAATCCACAAACAAGACGATGAGATAGGCACCAATTGATGGATGAGACTATGAGGCTCAGAGAGATTGCCACATGTCTAAGGTCACATGGCTAGTAAGTGCTGGAACTGGGATTCAAACCTCAGTCTGATTCCAGAGCCCACGCTCTACATGGTGTCAGAAAAGTCAGAACTCACAACAATCTGAGACTACAAAGCAGGCTAAGGGAAGCAAAGAAGCTTCTTGGTTCTTTTAGGCAGTAAATGTGCCATAGTTTATGGATATGCTAATTGGGGAGAATACGCATCTGGTCTGTTTCAGGGAAGCCTCATCCACTGGTGGGTGGGGGTCGCATCCAGTACCACCAGTTCTCCCCTCAGTAAAATCTGCAGTTCCAGCAGATCCTAATAGTTATTAACAAAATATAAATGCTTGTATTTGTATATATTTCACTGTAAACACAATCAAATATCATCTTTTTCTATAACTCTTAATGAGACCATGAATGAAATATGTGAGAGAACAATGAAGTTAGTCCATGATTAAAAACAAGTTTCAAAAGGGAGAAGCTGATTCCATCATCTGTGTCTGTGACAAACCCAAAACCACCTACAACTGGTTCCATATTAAGTTCAAAACAGGTTGCGTGTTCAAATGACACCTGACATATGCATTTGCCTAACATCACTCCCAAGACCCCTCTGACAAAGCACAGAAGTAAAAGATAGACCTAAACTAGGAAGAGAATGGAGTGGAGGGCACTACTACCCTCGTCAAATGAGAGATTTCAACACATTACTGGAGATCAGCACGGATTTTGATTAAACGAAAACAGAAAGTCTCAAGCTAGACTATGCCAGGAAGGGGCTACAGAGGTGGTGAAGTCAGGCTGCCTTGGGGGACCTCAGAAAGGCTCCTGGCTCAGAGTCATTAAGGAACAATAAACAGAGGACAAATGAAAGGTCAGTGTACTGGACACTGTCTCAGCCAGCACCCCCACCCGCTGCCTGCTAGCATCCACCCCCGGGCAAAAAGTGGGATGGGAGAATTAAAGGCTTCCATGCTGGAACCCACAGAATAAAGGTCGCCTCGTTTTGCTGACAGTTAGAGAACTGCACCCTGCATGCCAGTCCCCACCCTGTCATCCTGCAGTGTGGGCAACCTGCTGTGTCTTGCCCAGGCCACTTGGCTATCCCAGGCAGACTCCCCTCAGGAGAAAAGCCAGGGGAAAAAAGTCACAACACCTACAAGCCACCAGGCATATGAGTGAAGCCAACAGAACGGAAGGAAAACCAAGGTAATAAATGACAATGACTTTGGAAGAAAAAGAAACAAAAACTTAGAAAAAACCCCTCTAACGTACTTAGACACTGTTAAGAAAAGGAAATGCAACAGACTGAAAAAACATTTTGTAAAACAAATATGTGATAGAAAAGAGACTTGTATATAAAATATAAACTGTTACAACTCAACAATAGAAGTCAAACAACCCAATTGTGATGATGGTTAATACTGTGTCAACTTGATTGGACGGAAGGATGCAAAGTATTGATCCTGCGTGTGTCTGTGAGGGTGTTGCCAAAGGAGATTAACATTTGAGTCAGTGGGCTGGGGAAGGCAGACTCACCCTTAATCTGGGTGGGCACTATCTAATCAGCTGCCAATGCGGCTAGAATATAAAGCAGGCAGAAAAATGTGAAAAGACTACACTGGCCTAGCCCTCCAGCCTACATCTTTCTCCCATGCTGGATGCTTCCTGCCCTCAAACATCGAACTCCAAGTTCTTCAGTTTTGGGACTCAGGCTGGGTCTCCTTGCTCCTCAGCTTGCAGACAGCCTATTATGGGACCCTGTGATCGTGTGAGTTAATACTTAATAAACTCCCTTTTGTATATATATCCTATATATAGATAAAATTAGTTCTGTCTCTCTAGAGAACCCTAATACACCAATGTTTTTTAAAAAGTAAACCACATCTGTAATCCCAGCACTTTGGGAGGCAGAGGCAGGAGGACTGCTTGAGCCCAAGAGTTTGAAACCAGCCTGGCAATATAGTGCAACCCTGTCGCTACAGAAAATTAGAAAAAAAACAAAAAACACTTAGCCAGGCATGGTGTGCTTGCCTGCAGTCCTAGCTACTCAGGAGGCTGAGGCAGGAGGATTGCTTGAGCCCAGGAGTTCAAGGCTGCAGTGAGCCATGATCATACCACTACACTCCAGCCTGGATGACAGAACAAAGACTGTCTCAAAAAAAAAAAAATGAAAGAAAAGATTTGTTCATACACTTTACCAGGAGGATGCGTGGATGGCAAGTAAACACAGGGGAAGGTGCTCTATGTCATTAGTCAGTAGGGAAATGCAAACTAAATGACAATGGACACCACATTTAATTCAATCATCGCAAAAAGCACACATAAGTGACAATACCAGGTGCTATGGAGGATCAGAACAGCCATTTAGGAAAGCAGGTGGGCAGCTTCCCATCAAGTTAGGCACACACTTATCAACTGCCCCAGCAATCTCACTGGTAGGCCCAGCAATCCCATTGGGTAGGTATTTACCCAATACCAATATATGTCCACAAAAAACTTGTATGTGCATGTTTACGGCAACTTCATTCTCTATTTCCCCAGACTAGAAACAACCCGGATTTCCACCAGCTGGTGAGGCGATGAACAAATCATGGTACAGCCATATAATCCAATACTACTCAGCAACAAAAACACGAATGACAGAGTGACGCATACATCAGCGTACACGAATGTCAACAGTTTTATACTAAGTGAAAGAAACCACACAAGAAAGTATTATGATTTGACTTACATGACATTCTGGAAAAGGTAAACATGACAGAGACAGGAATTAGATCCTTGGTTGCCAAGGACTGGGAACAGGAGGCAAACTGGCTACAAAGGGGCACACAGAACTTTTGGGGTTGACAGACAAGGTCTCCACATGAGAACACTCATTCTTCACAATCACCAAACTGTTTACTAAAATGGGTGATTTTTACTGGATGTAATTAAACCTCAATAAATATGACGAAGGAAAAAAAAGGAAAGAGTCCAACCATAGAGCATTGCAAAGGAAGGTCCTATAAAAACAGCTGCGCAAAAGACTGGAAAACAACTAGTTCACACTGGAGCAGGACAAAGTGCTGCTGAAGGGAAGCCTCTGGGGAAATATAAAAACAATTAAAAATATAACATGAATCAACATATAATACATACCCAGTATCAAGCAATCAATGGATTAAAAGAGAAGAAAATCTACAGGTCTTGTGAGGCATATTCTCTTTTGAATGGCCCAGGGTTACTAGGGAATGAAACACAATCCTGGCATAGTACTTGGCTTGACTATGTGTAACAGTTACGTAGCCATAATAATAAGTGTTGTTTGATGGTTTTCAACTTTAAGAGTCCACCTAAGGAAAAGTGTGATGAGTTTGGTGAAGCTCATTAATTAGGCAATGTAAAAGTATAATCAACAGAAGGTGGGCAGTGGAGAACTGGAGGGAAAGCATAGGAAGTGAGCGGTCACAAGATACCACACAAAGCTGGTGAAACAAGAAATTCAGGCTTTGGTGTGCCAAATAAAATTCCAAAAGTAACCAGCAGAAAAAACAGTTTAAAGAGTGTACCTTTGGGGAGGGGACTGAGGTGAAGGTTTTTCTTCATAAGCTTTCCTGTACTATTTATCATGTACAAGATCACTTGGAAAAAATAATTTTTAGTAGATGACATATTACACATTGTAAACCTTGTAAAAAATATATTTTGAAGTTGAGTAAATACTCTAAAATATGCCTAATTTTTATAAAGTCATAACCTACTTATAACCTATCAGTGTCAACATTTATAAATAACACACAGTTTTCACATGACCACTAGGTGCTTCTGTCCTTTTTTTTTTTTTTTTTTTGAGACAGAGTCTTACTCTGTCACCCAGGCTGGAGTGCAGTGGCGCGATCTCAGCTTACTGCAACCTCCGCCTCCCAGGTTCAAGCAATTCTTCTGCCTCAGCTTCCCGAGTAGCTGGGATTACAGGAGCCCGCCACCATGCCTGGCTAATTTTTGTACTTTTTAGTAGAGACAGGGTTTTGCCATGTTGGCCAGGCTAGTCTCCAAATCCTGACGTCAGATGATCCACCCACCTCGGCCTCCCAAAGTGCTGGGATTACAGACGTGAGCCACCGCGCCCAGCCCTGTTTCTGTACTTTTTGATGGAGTAATCATGTGAAAATCATGACCAGCTGGGCCTTAGGGAAACACACCTGTCCTACAGGAGAGCTGTTAAGGCTAGAATCAAGTGCATGCAGGTCCCCTGGTAGCAGAGGGAGGGAGCGTTAGCACTGAGGGAGTCAGAAAAGCTCATGGCTGGAGGGGAACTCACTGCCAGGCACTGTCCCAAGCCCTCCCTGGAAGAAGACCAGCTGCAGTGAAACATGAAAGAAAAACAGGAAGGAGAGAAAGACAAAAAGAACAAGGAAGCAAGGAAAGAGGAAGAAAAATTGAAGAAAAGAAGGGAGGAGGAGGAATAAAGGGATTAAGGGCAAGTGGGAAAGAAAGAAGAGAGAGCCATCTAAGTGCCAGGACTGTGCTGGAAAGGTTCCACAGTGAGTCAGACCGGGTCTTGAAATTGGTGTCTGCTCAAAGCAGGGACAGACAGGAACATAAATTACCACAACTCAAGGCCACAAAGGACAACTGGACTTTCCTGCTTTATTTCCCAAGGTTGCAGTCCTAATAGACATTGCCTAGGTCCAAGCCTTCTGGGAGCTGCCAGTGGACTGAGGTATCTTTAGTTCTTTCTTGGACGATGATGGTGGTGGTGGTGATGATGATGATGATGATGATGGTGTTTGAAGAAGGGAAAGAGTTGATATGAAACCATAAAGGAGGAAGGAAGAGAAAAAGGAAGAGACAACAGTGATTGGCAGTTTATAAAGCACATCTACATTCATTTATTCACCAAAATTAAAGTATGTTTTAGGAAATGCAGCAGTGAACAAACAAACATGCTCTTACTTTCATGGTGCTTACCTTCTACAGGAGAAGAGAGATTTCTAAAGAAATCATAATAAGTCAGATGATAACTCCTGCGAAAAAGCATGAATGAGGATGAAGGTAGGAATATTTGGAGGGGATGTCTCAGCAGGCCTGTCTGACAAGCTGGCATGGAGTAGAGACAGGAATGAGGTAAAGGAGCATGCTCTGCAGGTATCTAGGGGAGGAGGGTCCCAGGCAGAAGGAAGTGAAGTGCACGGGTCAAGACCCTGATTCAGGAACACCATGAGATATCTGAGAACAGCAAGGTAGCCCATGGCTGGAGCAGAAGGAGCCTGGGGAGGAGTGGGAGAAGAAACAGTGAGACAGGACAGGGGTGGGAGGCCAGGTCCCAGCCTTAAGGGAAGGTAAAGAGTGCAATTTTTTTTTTTTTTCTGCATGGGATGGGAAAACAACGTAGGGACTGGGCAGAGGTGGCTCCCCAAACCCTCACATGGAGTGTTTGGTAGGCTGTATTGCCCTGATGCCATGAGGGAGAGCACGGCAGAGAGGGCCCAAACCCTTTAAGCACCTTCTACTATACTAGAATCAAGTTTGGTAAGTGCACGGGATATTTGCATTTTCTTATGTGAGAGCAACTCACTTTGGTAATTTGAAATAAATACCTGTTAAGGGCTGTGTGTGTGGAGAAAGGGAGGAGGCAGTATGGGCCGTGGAAGAAATGAACATGAGGGCCTCCCGAGGCCCCAGAACCCCTGGCTAGACAAACCACAAGAGGGGGAAAGGATCACTGTGGAAAAATGGTGCCTCCAGTGAAATCAGTATACACATATATGTACTCACTGAATAAGCAGAAGCAATTTATCTTTCTCAGCTTTCAGGTCATACTAGTTTCTATAGAATAACAACTCATTTACAGTCACTACTGTTTCATCAAATCCTCAAGCTACCATCTGCTTGGAAAACATACAGACTTAGGGTCAGGAAGATGATGCAAATTTCCCAAAACCTTCCCTCTCCAGCCCTAGTACTACGTAGCTCTGCACAATTAGAACCAGCTGTCAACGCAGGGCAGCAGCCAACTGCAACCCTGTGAGCAGTCTCCTGTCCACGTGACAGAGAAAGAGCCCGATTAGCGGACTGAGAGCAGCCGCCAGCAGCTCTGCTCACAAGATTAACAAACTGGGACTAGGCCCACAGGGCCACATGCTCATTCCACTCTTACACTGGGAATTATGTTCAATTCCCTTTCTCCATATTCTTGGGAAATGTTTTTTTCCGAATACATCATTCAGATGTTCTCTTTAAAAAAAAAAAAAAAAAAGAAGAAGAAGAAAAACTTTTCTTTTTTTTAATTAGGGACCTAATACATGTTCATTACAGAAAACCTGCATGATACAGAAGCCCAATGAAGAACTTTTTTTAAAAATCTGAATGCCTTTTTTTTTTTTTTTGAGACAGAGTCTCCCTTTGTTGCCCAGGCTGGAGTGCAATGGTGCGATCTCAGCTCACAACCTCCACCTCCAGGATTCAAGCAATTCTCCTGCCTCAGCCTCCCGAGTAGCTGGTATTACAGGTGCACCAATATGCCCGGCTAAGTTTTTGTATTTTTAGTAGAGACGGGGTTTCACCATGTTGGCCAGGCTGGTCTCAAACTCTTGACCTCAAGTGATCCACCTGCCTCGGCCTCGCAAAGTGCTGGGATTACAACTGCGAGCCACCAAGCCTGGCCGGCAGGGTCTTATTACATTGCTTAGGCTGGCCTTAAACTCCTGGGCTCAAGCAATCCTCCTGCCTAAGCGTCCCGAGTAACTGGAACTATAGGCAGATGGGCCTGGCCTCCAATGAAGAAAATTTAAATTACCTATTAGCCTTAACACTCAGAGAAAACTAAAGTTTACATTTTGGTTTATAATAATGACAATAAAAACAATAACATTTACTGAGGACACTTTCTAAGTGTCAGGCACAATGTCAGTAATTTTACATATATTTATCCATTGCTCCCTGAATTCTCACAACACCCCTATGAAATAGGTACTATTATTGCCCCATTTTACAGATGAAGAAATAGAGGCATAGCTGGAGAAGTTCAACAATTTGCTCAAATCCTCATATGTGTTCAATATGAGAGCCAGGACTAAACCTAGGCCTGTTGCCTCTGGAGCCTGGACCCTCAGCCACAGAGCACATCCATGGCCGGTAGCTATGCCCACACTCACAGGTGCAGGGGCACACACATGCACACACACTGGCTCTCAACTGAGCTCATACTATAGCTGTGGTTTTATAATCTGCTTTTGTCCTTAATACATTACAAACATTTTCTCACATCTGCCCACCCTTCCTTTTTAGAATTCCTGTGATATACACACATGACATCTCCTAGAAACAATTCATCACATTCATCTTCCTTTGTTTTTGCTCTGAGTTTCAGAAGAAAATTGTAGTTTGTCCCTTAATTTATTACTTTGGTTTTCTGCAATCTCTAACTTGTTGCTCACTTTTCCCATTGCAATTCATGTGTCTCAGCACAGTTCAATCTTTCTTAATGTTGATCCTCATGTGCTGCAGGGTCATCCTGACTATTGCTGGGAATACAAAATGAAATTTTTGGAAGTACCTGCTTCACAGGAAGGTGCAGGCTCTGACCTAATCTTCGCACTGCCTTCTATTTTTGACTAACTGAAACTTTTCTATATTTGATGAGTATGCTAAAAACCCTGCAAGAAACGAGAAAAGTTAAACCAAAGGTTCCAAGACCACATGGTTTTACCAGTGAGTTCTCTCAGGCTTTTGAAGAATACATAATTCTTATGGCAAATAGTTTATACCACAGCACAAAAAGTGACGGAAAAAAAAATCCCCAAACTTAACAAGTTTGGCTAAGAAATACAGGAATCAGCTAATGTTAATAATCAAACAAGCATATTGATAATTCCAAGATAAAAAAGTGATATGATCCTCTCAATAGATATTGAAATGGTAATTGGAAAAATGTAACATTCATCTGAGATTTTAAAAAAGAGAAAAACAACTTAGAAGCTTAGTAGTATCTGTCTCAAACCAACAGCCCTCATTATACAATTGAGAGAAACACTACAGGAATTTGAATTGAAATTTGAAACAACAAACCCCCCATGACACATGTTTACCTGTATAACAAACCTGCACGCCCTGCACATGCACCCTTGAACTTAAAATCAAAGTTAAATAACAGCCTCAACCTGGAAACACAAATGTCAAGCAGCAGAATGGACAGACAAGTTGTGGTACATTTATACAATGGAATATTATTAGTAAGCAATAAAAAATAATGAACAGCAGCCAGGCGCGGTTGCTCACACCTGTAATCCCAGCATTTTGGGAGGCCGAGGTGGGTGGATCACAAGGTCTGGAGATCGAGACCATCCTGACTAACATGGTGAAACCCTGTCTCTACTAAAAATACAAAAAATTAGCCAGGCATGGTGGCGGGCACCTGTAGTCACAGCTACTCGGGAGGCTGAGGAAGGAGAATGGCATGAACCCGGGAAGCAGAGCTTGCAGTGAGCCGAGATTGCACCACTGCACTCCAGCCTGGGCGACAAAGCAAGACTCCATCTCAAAAATAAAATAAAATAAAATAAAATAAAAAATGAACAGTAAATGCATGCAACAACAGAAAAAAGAGTAACAACAGGTGCTACAGCCTTTCTCATCTAAGTTTCTTATCTGAACCACAGAGCACAGAAAATGATTTGAGTGACTGTTTCTTAACTCTCCTGAGATGGTACATTCATTACATACAATGGACCTTCAGGCACAAGGCTTAATTCTCTCATGAAATCCTGGTTGCGAAAGGCCTATGAGGCTATAACCCAGCAATGTCCAACAGAAATATAATGTAATCCACACATTTTAAATTCTCAAATACCATGTTTTAAAAAAGGAAAAAGAAACAGGTAAAATTAATTTTGACCATTTATTTTATTTAACTCAATATAGTCATGTACTGCAGAACGACATTTTGGTCAACAATGGACCACATATACAACAGTGGTCCCATCAGATTATAATGGAGCTAACAATTCCTATCACCTAGTGATGCCGTAGTCATAGAAATGTTATAGCACAACTCAGTACTCAAGTGTTTGTGGTGATGCTGGTGTAAACAAACCTACTGTGCTACCAGTCACATAAAGGTACAGCACATACAATTATATACAGTACATAATACTTGATAATAAATGACTGTTACTGGTTTATGTATTTGCTATACTTTTCATCGTTATTATTATTATTATTATTATTATTATTATTATCATCATTATTATTTTTTGAGACAGAGTCTCACTGTCACCCAGGCTGGAGTGCAGCAGCACAAACTCAGCTCACTGCAACCTCCGCCTCCCAGGTTCAAGCGATTCTTGTGCCTCAGCCTCCAAGTAGCTGGGACTCCAGGTACGCGCCACCACGCTCAGCTAATTTTTGCATTTTTAGTAGAGACGGAGTTTCACCGTGTTCGGCAGGCTGGGAACTCCTGACCTCAAGTGATCCACCTGCCTTGGCCTCCCAAAGTGTTGGGATTACAGGCGTGAGCCACTACACCCAGCCCACTGTTATTTTAGAATGTGCTCCTTCTACTGTTTTTTTTTTTTTTAAGTTAACTATAAAATAGCCTCAGGCAGGTCCTTCCGGAAGAAGGCATTATTTTGTTTGGTTGGTTGGTTTGGGTTTTGTTTTGTTTTGTTTTGTTTGAGACGGAGTCTTGCTGTCACTCAGGCTGGAGTGCAGTGGCGCAATGTCGGGTCACTGCAGCTCCGCCTCCCAGGTTCAAGCAATTCTCCTGCCTCAGCCTCCTGAGTAGCTGGGATTACAGGTGCACCAACATGCCCGGCTAAGTTTTTGTATTTTCAGTAGAGACGGGATTTCACCATGTTGGTCAGGCTGGTCTCAAACTCCTGACCTCAGGTGATCCACCTGCCTCGGCCTCCCAAAGTGCTGGGATTCCAGGTGTGAGCCACAGCGCCCGGCCAGAAGAAGGCATTATTATAGGAGATGACAGCTCCATGTGTGTGACCATCCCTGAAAACCTTCCAGTGGGACAAGATGTGGAGGTGGAAGACAGTGATATTTACGATGCTGACCCTGAGTAGACCTAGGCTAATGTGTGTGTCTGCGTCTTAGTTCTTAATGAAAAAAGTTGAAAAAGAAAAAATAATTTTAAAAATACAAAAAAATCTTATAGAATAAGGATATTAAAAAAGAAAATATTTTTGTACAGCTGAACAATGTGTGTTTTAAGCTAAGTGTTATTACAAAAGAGTCAAAAAGTTTTAAGTTTGTAAAGTAAAAAAGTTACAGTAAGCTAAGGTTAATTTATTATTGAAGAAAATTTTTTATAGATTTAGTATAGCCCACATATATAGCATTTATAAAGTCTACAGTTGTGTATTACAGTAATGTCCAAGGCCTTTACATTCACTCACCACTGACCCACCCAGAACAACTTCTAGTCTTGGAAGTTCCATCCATGGTAAGTGTCCTATATAGGTATACCATTTTTATCTTTTACATTATATTTTTATTGTACCTTTTCTATGTTTAACTATGTTTAGCTACACAGATACTTACTACTATATTACACTTGCCTGCATTACTCAGTGTACTCACGCTGTACAGGTTTGTAGCCCAGGAGCAAGAGGCTATGCCGTATCACCTAAATGTATAGTAGGCTATGCCACCTAGGTTTGTGTAAGTACACAATATGGTGTTCACACTAGGGCAAAATCACCTAAAGATGCATTTCTCATGATGCATCCCATCTTTAAGTGACATATGACTGTATATCCAAGATATTATCTTTTCAAAATGTAATCAATAGAAAATATAACAAATTATTAAGGAGATACTTTCCTTTTTGTAGTAAGTCTTTGAAATCTGGTCTTTTTTTTAATATTTACAGAACATCTCAATTTGAAGTAATGACATTTCAAATGCTCAACAGCCACATGCAGCCACCATATTAAGACAACACAGCTCTAACTGATGTAAAAAGACGTGACATTGAAATATAAGGTGTACTTCTTGAAAAGGTGGGGTCAAGGTAGGAGAACCAAAGACAAACCATGAAGCCCCATCAATAAGGGCTGGAGTGAGGTTGGAGCCAAGGCAGGAAGCTAAGAACCAGAGGGCAAGGTCAGCCCAGGACAAGTAGGAAGACTGAACAGATGATGACACTGCGTATGACTGACCTAGGTTGTTTATATCTCCATCGCTTGAAGTCTGTCCCCACCTCCATGCTTCACTCCTGCAAAAGGAGGTAGGGCTTGTCATTAATGGGTTAAGTAGATCCAGCTGCAACTGTTAGAGGCCTCGGGTTATAGGTAGAATGAAATAAATACAAAAAAAGACCTACAAGGACACATGCCGTTCACATTGGCAATTTTATATTTTTATGAAGTCAGGAGTCCTGGGTTCTAATCTGAGATGTGTCCTAAACCCCCTCTGTGACTTAAAGTCAGCCCATCCCACTGCAGGAGTTACAGATTACTCTCTATAAAATATAGCAGCACCAGATGGTCTTTGAGATCCTCCCAGCTCTCCCATTCTGTGAGCCTAAGAGAAGCAGGGGCCATATAACCGGCATTACATAAAAACGTTATTAAGTAAGACCTGCCCCTGGAGACTGGGCAATTGCAGCACTTTTCTTTCTTTCAGTGTTTCGAGGGCAAATGGAGAGGTTGAGTCCGAGAGAGACAGTCAGGAAGGGGTGGGGGCTTCTAGGCACTGCACTGTTGTACAGGGATAAATTGGACAAGACAATCTGGTGTGGCAGGAGACAGGAAACAGTGGGGTGGCAGGGAAGGAGGGAGCCTGGGAACAGATGGGAGCAGATGAACAGAAAAAAATGCAAATGGAAAACTCAGGTTCCAGAAAAAGAGACAGAGAGAAGAGAGAAGGAAAAAGAAGAAGAGAAGAAAGGGAAGAAAGGAAAGGAAGAAAGAAAAGAAAAAAGGAGGAGAAGGGAGAGAAAGGCAGTCAAGGGCAGAAGGGTTAAACCCCAGGTGGGATCAGGTGCATCTTTTGGAGGTGGAAACATGGTGTGAGAAGTGCCTCCAAGTGGAGCAGGGCAGGGAGGGAGGGATGTGATGTCCAGGGCAGGAGAAGAACTTGGGAGAAGAGGGGAACAAATGGGTGGTATACATGAAGTGTCCCACATGTTTTCCATGTTCCCAAGAAAAAGCTGTCTCTGAAAGTTTGCAGGTCAGGAGCAGACACAACCAGATGATCAGATACCAAAGAGGCAACCTAGGCCATCTTACACCCAGGACCATCTTGGGGACGCTGAGACCCAAACCGTGTAGCCCCAAATCTCACCAGGCAGGACGAGAATACAGTGGGAACACACTGAGATAACCAACCGCCAGGAAGCCAAGCTCCTCCTCACTTTGAGAGGCGAACAGAGTCCTTCAAGATCTGTTCGCAGTCCTGTTCCCAGGCTGAGAATAATAATAATAAACACTAATAACAGCAGCTAACAGTTTGCTTACTGTATCTCAGGCACTAGGCAAAATACTTTTCTCACATTATGCTCCGTAATTTTTTAACAATGGCACCCTGAGGAAGGGCTATGATTGCCCCCAGGTTACACATAACTAAAATTGAGATTCAGAAAGGATAATTAACTTGCCTAAAGTCAATGTAACAAATAAGTGACAAAGTGGAATTCATATCCAGGTCTGCACTCCAAAGCCCAGGCTCTTAACCACAGTGCTGTCAGCCTGGGCAGGCATTGTTACCATGATTTTCTACCAGTATTTTGAATAATAGTGACTATCTACAAAGTGAATGGCACCACAGGGGTTATAAAAGGAACAAAAAGACAGGGAAGGAAGAGAACTATAAGTTACTGCATGTTTCCTACATTCTAGGTACTATATAATGGGCTTAAATCTACTTTATTTTATTTAAGTCTCAAAACCAGACCATAAAGTAGATTTTACTATTTCATTTGATGGATGAGAAGACTGTGGCTCACAGAGATTAAATAACTATACAAGTGCATCCAGGTAGTAAATGGCAGACTCCAGAGCCTCATCTCTTAATAAGCAAAGGTCCCGGGTATGATGTAAGATAACCACACAGGAGACCAGGGAGTGGACAAACATCACTTAGAAAAGGCTGATGAGGTGGGGGATGGGGGCTGTAAAAAAATGATGGGCCTAGAGGATGCACAGGGACTGAAGGCTGTCTCAACCTAGGGCCACACCCCCCACCCCCAGGCCTCCCTGCAGTGTCCAGCCGAATTCAGTATGCAGCAAGGCAGACTGCAAGAGGGACCACAGGGTAAGTCTCCATTCCTAATCTCATAATGAAATTATTATGAGATAATAATTTCATTCAACATTTCACAGCCAAAGAGTCTTCTCCCCCATCCCAGTTAACTCGCTTTTTGATCACAAGCAGCTTGAAGTCTCTAGACAGAGTAGGATTCCTGGAAACAATGCCAGAATTTGATAAATTCCAGCAATGGCTACGCAGTGGAACATCTTATGGGGTGCTGGGCTGTTCTGGCATTTGTACTGTCTGATGATGGCTACAGATGGCTGGTGTGCACACAGACCAAGAGGAATGGCTCTTTCAGGAAAAGTTCCCTTTCCTAAAAGGCTCAAAGGAAAAACAACTTTCAAATGTTTGATCTATACAGGGATACTTAAAAGTATGAGGAAACCTTTTGAACATTTGAGCCACTAGCCTTCAATGGTGTGAAACCCCTTTTTTAAGGCTGGAAGCAAGACCATGGCAGTGTTCCCAACCTCAGGCCCGGGCTGCTCTGTTTGCCTTAGCTCCCCAGCTCTGTCACCTGCATCCTTTAATCAGTAATGCCAGTCAGTCTTCACGGAGTGCCTCCTCTGTGCCCAGCACTGTGCAAAGCTTAGGAGGACACAGCAGTGACAAGGCAATGCTTGGCTTCCGGTGGAGAAGACAGGCATCAATTATGAACATGTTGCTGAACGCATAAGGAAAAGTTCAGAGTGCAATCAGTGTATAAGAAGGACTGGCTTAGCTGAAGTGGGGGGACTAGCATGCCAGGCAGAGAGCAGAAAATGCACAGGCCTGGAGGTAGGTTCAAGGACCTGTGGGAAGGCCAGAGGAGGTGAATCAGAGAGTGAGTCGGGAGGCCAGAAGAGGGTTGGAAGGAAAGGATAAGTCACTCCTACCTGCACGCCCCCCTTAGAGATGTGGAATCACCCAAAGGCACTGGGGAAACCACTGGAGATGCTGAAGAGGCTCAGGGATGTGGACAGAGATTTAAAACCACAGATTGGGCAACGGAGTGGGATGGGGCAGACATGGGTGTAGAGATGCCCGCTGGGAGATAAGTGCCAAAGTTGAGGGGTAGCACTGGGGACAGACAGGTGGAAAAGGGGAAGATAGGGTGTGGGGACTGACTGGGAGCAGAGACTGTGGGAGAGAGAGGGGGCGTCAATAACAGACACCATGCTTCTGGCCTGACTGGGTGGGCAGGCATGCCATTCCAGGGGTGCGTACCACAGCGGGATTCTGGGGAAAGAATCAGGCTTGGTTTGGGGCATGCTGTGACTATGGCACCTGTAGGACTTTGGCTTCCACCTGTTCAGCTTCTTGAAGGAAGCACAGCTCCCAAACAACACTTGCTCTGCCAGCGCCCACAGAACCAAGGCCATAGTGGGGCCACTCTATTCTCCAGTCTTACTTCCCACAAAGCTCCTCACCTTTGCTTTAGATCAAACTAATCTGCTCACTGGTCCCTGTACATGGCCACTTTCTTCCCAACTGCCTTACCTGTGTTCAAGCTGTTCCTGGTACCTGAAATGCCATTTCTCGCTATCTTGTGTCCAAATTATACCAATTCTCCAGGCCACAACGGAAGCTCCACCAGGATGCTTTGTGTGTTGTCCTAGCTGGAAGTATTGGCTCCCCTCCCATATAGCACTTTGTCCTCTTTAGTGAGACCCTTGTAATTATTTAGGTAAATCTCTTACCTTTCCCATTAGACCAGGGATTCCTCATTCATCTTCGAGTTCCCTGAAATACCAGGCAGGGGGTCTTACACATGGTATGTGCCTGGTCAATAGGTGCTGAACAACTGAGTGATTGATAGACATGAAGCCACCATCCCAAGCAGACCCCAGGAATGCCTAAGCCAGCCCCACATGAAGATCATTTGGAAGAATTATCCTCTAATTACATTCAAATCTACAACTCCACTCAGAAACCTCAGACATCTGGCCCTTTGCACACCAGCCTTCCCCCAGATGCCACTCAGCCTCCAAGGGCTGCCTTAGTCTCAGCTTCAGCACATGTGCAGCTGAGACAGCTCAGCCCGTCCTGACTACCTCCACGTCGGAACAGCAGCAGCTTAGGGGTTTCCACAGTCTCACAATCACCTTGTGGTGTCACCCGGGTCTGAAATGGACCAAGGGGGCTACAGTCAGGGGCCTGCCATAGCCCAAGCCCTGGGTGCTCCAGGTCCAAGAGGAGGGAAGGGAAGGGTGGCCGAGACACAGGGCTGCTCTCTGTAAAGCGGTCAGGCTCAGGGGGAGATGGTACAAAATCTGCTGCCCAGGGAAGTATCTGGGCATAACATTTTGAGGCTTTTTAAGCTTAAACTTTTTAAGCTTTCCCTGCTTAAAAAGTTTATCTATAATTCAAAAGGGGGAAATAACTAAAACAAAACAAACATGAGATGACTACTTATTAGTAGGTTTTATCCAAAAACTTCATATTTTCCACTGAAGAAAAAGCCAGTCTGAATCTGAAGATTCACACCCTCAATACCTACACTCAGGAGAAAGAAACAATCTGCAGCCATAAATTAAAACTTTGCTTTAAACTCTCATTTCCCAAGAGAGTCGGGGTTTCAGGGCCCTCCACACCCTGCAATTGGGCCCTGACTGTCTGCCCGTCTAGTCGGAAGGCAAACAACACAGGCTATTTGTAATGACAAGTAAACACTAATGAATTTCGGAGCATGTCTGGTGCTTGCGTTTATGGATCATAAAATAATCTGGCTTCTTCCTGCCCCATGCTGACCTGCCAATGAGGCAAACCCAAGTATTTACAGGCAGGCAGGGGCTGCCAGGACCACTCTGTAAGACGGGGGACAGGGGATGGGAGGAACTGCCTATTAATCTTCCTGTTACATACAAACCAATTTTTATGCTCGGATTTTCAGCCTAAATCTTGGCATGTAAAATCCTATGGTCCTATAAAAGTATTTATTTTTTAAATTTCTTAGGGTGAGAGGGAGAGTCAACCTAACTGTCTCAGTCAAATATAGGCACAAACCTAGTCAGAAGTTACTAACATGGCTATTAAAGTACCAGCCAGATATAAATAAAGCTTTTAAAATGCACTTTTTCTAGTTAGACATATAATTTGTCTAATACACCCTACTGAATTCTAAGAGTCCCAAGGAAGTGCACTTCCATAAAAAATGGGCTCTTGGCCAGGCACAGTGGCTCACGCCTGTAATCCCAGCACTACGGGAGTCCAAGGCGGCGGATCACCTGAGGTCAGGAGTTTGAGACCAGCCTGGCCAACATGGTGAAACCCCACCTCCACTAAAAACACAAAAAATTAGCCGGGCATGGTGGCGGGCACCTGTAATCCCAGCTACTCGGGAGGCGGAGGCAGGAGAATCTCTTGAACCCAGGAGCCAGAGGTTGCAGTGAGCCGAGGTCACGCCACTGCACTCCAGCCTGGACAACAAGAGCAAAACTCCATCTCAAAAAAAAAAGGCGGGCTGGGGGGTGGTGGGCTCTCGGTCTAGGAACACCCTATGCATCTCCAGCCGCCAGGGCAAACCCCCTCATTGCCCAGCCAAGATATAGCCCCTGGCTTGGCCACACTGCTATGATCACCACAGAGGAAGTGACTGAAGTAGCTCTAGGACTCCTTCCACCCCAGAGGAGGTCTCGGGGAGCCTCCACAGAACCCAAAAGACCCAGATGGGCCACTGATATATGGGACTCTCCAGAGGCAGACTTTATCCCACAAAGAGACAGCACATCAGAGACCAAAGGAAGAGTTACAAAACTGTAGAATGAGCTCTCTCATAAGGGGAATCTTTCTTAACCCCAAATAGCTATGTAAAGCTTCCTAATGGCCAAGTGTCCCCACATCTGACCCAAGTCATGTAAAACTAAAGGCTGCACTAACGTGGATGATTTTGAGGCCATCAATTAGCAGGAGCCATCACTCATTCCCTGACTCCTCTGTGGGCTCCCAGCCCACCAGCCCTGCAGCCATGTTCTTGGCCTCTGCTCAGAAGCCAGCACAATATGAACACGAAAGGCACTGATCAAAGCAGATAGGGCTCTCAAAGCCAGAAGGGCCCCAAGAGGCAAATGACATATTAGGACAAGTGGATGTTGATGGACAATGGCACCCATTCCTGGCATCTTGAGAGTGCTCGGCTCTCAACCATTCCCACATCTCTAGGAACGGTACCTTGCCCTCAACCCCAGCCAGGGGTGGAATCCAGGCAGTCATTTTGAATGACATGAATCTGAACCCTCCAGGCAATTAATAAATTACTTGTGTATGAATTTGGAAGCTAGATGGAGGGAGAAAAAGTGAATCAGTCTCTAGGACTCAGGAGCTGTAGGGCAGCCACCTTAATACAGTCAGAGGAAGTCAGGGGAGGCAGGAGAAAGCGATGAGGAAGGACAAAGAGGAGAGAGATGAACAACTAGAGCCTGGCCAGGTGTCCAGGCTCTGGCTCCAGCCTCTCCCCACCTCTAGCCTCCATGACACCGCCCCGTGAGGATGGCCAAATTCCTTGTTTGGTCAAGTTGGCTTGCCAGACTCACCTGGCCTCCCACTGTTCTACTCTCACAGCCCTTCAGCACGGTGGCCCAATGAAGGAAAGGCAAAGCTCCTCTCTTGGGGAAAATGGAAGCAAACAGGAAACCAGGGACCTCCTTGGAAGAGTCAGGAGCCAAGAAATATAGACCCAGGGGCACAGTTTCCAATTCTGTGGAATTCTAGAATCTCTGTAGATATTCCTGGTGTGCAACTTTGCTTCCCTGCCTCCCTCCAGGGAAGTTAGCAGTTAAACATCAACAAACCCAGGGCTGTGGGCTAAACCTTCAAGAAAGTGGGAAGGGCAGAGGCTAAGACAGTACTCTATCTCACAGGTATGCTGGGGACATTTTTTCCAAGGCATAAAGTAGATGGTGGTAGCTTTAAAGAAGAGAAACACCAGCCTAGACTCTTAGGCTCAGAGATTCAAAAAAGTGAGGCAAACTGTCCAAGGCCACAGAACAGTAAGTGGGAAGGCCCAAGTTTCAACCTAGATAGGCCACAATCCATACTCACAACCCCTTCAGTAGATTTCACCCACTGACTCATCTCCTAGGGCCTAGATCAAAGAAACACAAATAAAGATATCCGTGACCATTAATAATGAAATCAGATCCTTTCTCTGCTAAAAGGGGATATTTATACTCACAAACTTCAAGGAAATGTGGCCCTGTTAGGTGGAGGGTGCTCTGACCTGCTGGTCCCCTTGATGGATTGGAGGATGTGTGTTGGGCCACAGGTGTTGAGAAATCTGAACTGCTCTGTACAGTAAAGGGAGATGGATGATCCCAGGGACAATCCATGATAAAGGATGAGGGGGGAACAAAGAGTCGTTCAGGGGAAAGCTGGAAGAGGCTGGGATGAGCTAAAGGGCCCACAATGATGAGGCATCCAATGGGTATGTTAGAAACAGGGATGCCTATAGTGCCTATTAAAGCTGATAGTGCAGCTCCCAAATTTTCCTTTCAATGAAGTCTATGTGGCTCCCTAATGTTCTATAAGACAGATTCTTTGAGAAGAACTTGCAAAAGTATCTCCACATCACTGTGGTGCAGTGAAAAATGGTATATGTGACAAAAATAAGCCTCTAGGATCTTGCGTGGATTTTGAAAGCAAAAAGCCTTCCTAAAGCCTTTCTAAAGCCATAGAATTGGGATTCAAGATTCAAGAACATACTTCTCAGAGAGACATCTGAGTGATGATTATAACAGCAAATGAAGGCCGAAGGAAAAGAGGAAGAGAAGAAATAGCAGCAGCAGCCATTTCCTGAGCATTGATTATGTTCTAGCCAGGATCTAAATTCATTATACATGAACTCTCCCAATAATCCTATGAAGTGGGTACAATTATTTTCACCATTTTACAGATGAGATAATTAAGATTTTGAGATGTTAAGCCCAGATTTACATATCTGGTTGTGGTAGAGCAGGATCTCAAACCCAGCTCCGTCTGTACCATAATTCAGGCTACTAACCAGGATATCACCAGTCTCCCCAAAGACAAGGTGCTTGAGCTTCCTTTCTGACTCCTCCCTTCCTTTCTGGAGGATTCTAGGCAACTAGGGATCTAATCTAAGATGTTCAGCTTCACCCCATCCCACTTTTCCCACAGCTGCCTCTACTGACGGTTTTGTTTCCCTGGTCCTGCTGAGGTCCCAATCCCCAAAGACACTTCAGCCAGTAATGAGGTTCTGGTGGCAAGCCAGTCCCAACCAGATCCCTTCACAAGCCTAGAGGTCCTCCCACAGACAGGGCCAGGGGCAGCTGCTTCTAAGAACCTAGAGTTCTGCCAGAAGGCATGAAGATTAGGTCCATGGAATAGCCCAGCTATTTGAGTAAGAAGTGTACTAGCCACACAGTCATGCTGCTGGTACAGGATACCTCATGCAGGTATCACACAGGCACTTCCAACTCAACATGTGCAAAACCAAATTCTGCACATACCCGCCCCACCCCCACATCATTTTTTTTTTTTTTTGACCAGTCTCCCAATTGACCAGACCAGAAACTTGGGAGATATCCTTGACTCCTCCCTCTCTCACAACATCCACATCCACCTTAGCACCAAGGCCTGCAGAGAACAGCACCTAGACATTCCTGCATCTATGTGGGTCACCCTTGTCCACTGCATTATCCTCACACAGACCACATCGTCTTTCACCTAGACCACAGGAAAGTCTCTGAATGGCTCTCCCTCGCAGGTCTCTTCTCCACAGAGCAGCCAGAGCAATCCTTGTAAGCCATGCAAATCTAATCAAAGCTCTCCCCTGCAGGAAACCCTCCAATGTCTTACTGCTATCAGCGGACGATCCACACTGCCTGACCTGTCAGACAAGGGTCTTCGGCCCTGACCCCTGGCTGGCTCTCTAGCTCATCTGTGACTGGCCTCATTGTGGCGTGACCCAGCCATGCTGAAATGTGTTCTTTCAGTTCTCTGCCCTCCCTGTCTTGCTTTCTCTTGCCTCAGGCCTTGGTACATGCTGCTCCCTCTGCCTGAAAAACTCCTTCTCCCCTTTACCAGTTCATTCCTCAAGTCTTGGCTTATATACTATTATTCAGACAAGCTTTCCTGAGCCCCCCACCATACACCAGACAAAGCTGGATGCTCCTTCTATGTACTTCTACGGCACGTGTAATTCCCCCGACAGCCCCTACCATTCTTTATTAAATTGCTTCTCAAGTCATGTCTTCCTTCCATAGGCTACAAGCAATGTGCAGGAATGGGACCTGACAATCTAATATGTGCATCTATGTGTGTCTGGTGCCTAAGGAAGCACCCAGTCATAGAAGGCATTGAATAACTAATTGTTGACCAAATGAGTGTTATCCTGTATCAACTAGCTGGAAGCAAAGTGTTTGGAAAAAGTAAGTTTTCCAGAAAATAGAGCTTTAACTCTTTAAGTACAGCAACTTTATACTCAATGAAAAATTACAAAACAAATACTATGTACCCAGAACTATGCTAAGCATATGGGAGACAAAGACACACAGATGTGGTCCCTGCTCCTGGGTCTCAGAAGCCTCTGGTATCCCTAATAACAGTTACGAGCTCCCTCCCCAGTAAAATGTAAATAACAAAGGCATGAGAAATGTTGTACACAATTTATCTTAGAGTTAAATTTTAAAAATCTTTTCAGAGATTATTTTCCCTCCCCTCCTCTCTTTCTCTCTCTCCTCTCTCCCTCTCTCCCTTTCATGCACAAAAGTTAATACCGACACCCTAAAAAGAATCAAAAGAAATCCAAATTGTGCCAATAAGATTAAAATGAAAACTATAACACAAAGTATGCTGTACCCTGGCACAACAGAAGCAGTTACCAGGGGTGTGGACATGTGGACCCTAGAGCCAGACCACCTAGGTTTATATCTAACTCCACCACTGAGCAGCCCTATTACCTTGGGCAGTTTTATTAACCTCTCTGGGCCTCAGTCTCTTCATCTGAAAATGAAGATAATAAAACTGCCTTCCTTATATTAGTGTTGGAAATATTCAATGGGTTAATTCATGGAAAGTTATTAGAATAATGCCTGTCACATAACGAGCATTCAATAAACAAAGTTATAATGATTATCATTATTGAATGTAACAGTGGAATTGTGAAACACTCCTTGACATTTGGTCAACCTGCCTTTTCTAAATTTAGATATCAACAAATGCTTGAAAACCCAGACTCCCAAAGGAAGGCAGTGGTATACTAAATCACCACTCCCAAAGCCTATTGACAAGAGTCAGTGAATGTCAGATGTCAAAGAACGCCACCATTCTCCAAGGGTTTTCCAGGTGGATCAACACTGCATTCGCTTCTTTTTTCTTAAGTCCCTGAGAAAAACAACGTCAAGGTTTCCTTCACGAATGGCTTGTCCCCAAAGAAGGACCGTGAATCCATACTCTGTTTTCATGTTTTGCTGAGCAGAAGTTACCTGCAAAAGCAGACAGTAGGAGTGGTGACAGTGGGCATCCTAGTCTTGTTCCTGTTCTTCAGGGTAATGCTTCTAGCTCTTGCCCATTCAGTATGATGCTGACTGTGGATGTGTCATAGATGGCTATTATTACTTTGAGGTATGTTCCTTTGATGCCCAGTTTGTTGAGTGTTTTTAGCATGAAGAGATGTTGGATTTTATCGAAAGCTGTATTCACATCTATTGGTCTCTGCAGATTTCTGCTGCTGAAGACTAAGCATGACTCTGCCACTCCCAAGCTGCACAAACATTTCTTCCAGCAGGAGAAGGTTTGCAGACTTGTCCACCCACGTCTCCTCTTGTAGAAGGCAGAGTGGCTAAAAATGCCCACTTTTCAGCAACATCTATAATGGTGAATTGAAAGGTTTACCTCACTCACATGGCCAAAAATATCTGGTTAAGTAAGCCAAGTCATGAATGAATTCCTCTTTCTCTGTTTTGTGAGTTTTCCTTTCCTTTCAAAGAAAAAAAAGTAGAACTTCAGTCTGAAGTTCAGTCAAGTACTTCAAGGCTTATCCTTTGGAGAGCCAGTGAACTCCTGTGTAGTCGAAGCAGCTTTCTGTTCTGCTCCATTTCATAAAAAAAAACCTCCTGAGAAGGCAGTGACTCAAGGCCTGGCTCTGATGAAACCACAGGCTGTCAAAGCAGGCTTTCAAGACCATTGTAATCTTTGACATCAATGCACGCTGACACAGAAAGTCCCAGCCACAGTGACAGGTGGGCCTTCTTGTTTCATGAAAGCTACAAAACCAGAAGTATTGCCAGAGAAAGCAGATGCTTCATCTGTGCACAGACAGCCTTGACATTCCTTTCAGTCAAAATTTAGCTTGGCAAAGGAACTGTTTGCCATTCTGAAGACTGAAATTTCTCAGAGGGTTTGCAGTATAACAATTCTTCTTGGATGCTGACAACATGCAGGTACAGATGTCAATAGGAGCTGGGTTGCACTAAAACTATCACTAGCAGTTCATGCAATGAGTTTTAAGAGAAATGGCACTGCTGCCAATTATTTCCATGACCTGCTTCAAAACACCAGAAGACAGGTGAGCTACTCTAGAAATCACATCACTTGACACAGGAACTGCTTAATCTCCTTCCTCTGCTCCGGGCCACAACTCAGCTCAGTCATGTCTAAGTTAAGCAGCATCACCAAGTTCTCTCCTACCAGAGTGACTTCTTTTGCTTGGCAATGCAATAAACAATTTTGAAGGGTCTTCCAAAACAAGGCTGCTGTATTAGGGTAAATCTGAGTTTTCAAAAATTTCCAGACTTTTTAACTCAAGCCTTCTTCTCATAAATAAGGTCCCCTCTCCCTTACGTATCTTCTGGAGGTGGATGCTCCTTCTCCTTTGCAGATGTCGTGCAACCACTGACAAGAAGCCTATCATTGCAGGCTAAATGTCTGCTTATGAAAGTAACACTAAAGATTATGTAAGCTTCACAATATATTTTTTCATTGACATTTTCCAACTTAAGCTAAGATCAAATAAACACAAAAAGATGTGTATAATCATAAAGGTAAGTTACAGTTTCATAAATTCCTTTCAAATGGAACATATTCCAGACACCATAACAGTAGACATAACATAGTGATGTGAAAACTGCAATTACCCAGACATAAGTAGTAGCACTTCATGCCATCCCAACCCTTTAGAGTAGAACAATGCCTTAATATAATTTAAGAAAAATAATGTTTCCACAGAAGATTGTTTTCAAAACAATTACAGGCTCATGCCTATAATCCCAACACTTTGGGAAGCCAAGGCAGGTGGATCACCTGAGGTCAGGAGTTTGAGACCAGCCTGGCCAACATTGCGAAACACTGTCTCTACTAAAAATACAAAAATTGGCCGGGTGTGGTGGCGGGTGCCTGTAATCCCAGCTGCTTGGGAGGCTGAGGCAGGAGAATCACTTGAATCTGAGAGGCAAAGGCTGCAGTGAGCTGAGATCACGCCATTGCGCTTTAGCCTGGGCAACAAGAGTAAAACTCCATCTCAAAAAAGGAAAGGAAAAGGGAAAGGGAAGGAAAGGAAAAGAAGAAAGAAGAGAAAGAAAAGAGACTTTGACTCTGTCTACGGCAAAGTAACTGATACTAACCATAAAAATTGGATAAAGTAACTATAATATCAAAAGCATAGCAATTTAAAGAGACAGAGCAACCAAAGAAGCCAGGATTTGAGGCCCAAGATGCCAGAAAGAGGATAAATGTGCTGAGGTGAACTCTGCATTTGGTACTGTTTCGTCTTCTGACAACATAAAGTGCTGACAGAGATGCTGGACAACTGAAACTCTCACAGAGTGCCAACAGGAATGTGAAATGATACAGTCACTTTTTACCTAGGTGATGGGCTGATAGGTGCAGCAAACCACCATGGCACACATTACCTATGTAACAAACCTGCACATCCTGCACATGTATCCCACAACTTAAAATAAAATTTTAAAAAATAATTTTAAAAAAAAAGAAAAGAAAGAAAGAAAGAAAACAGTTTGGCAGTATCTATTAAGCTAAATATACACACACCTTACGAGCCAGCAATTTCACTCCCACACATTGCATCCAAGGAAAATGGGAGTTTATGTCTAACAAAAGGCATGTTCAAGAACGTTTGTGACTTTTTAACGATTGCCATTCTAACTGGTGTGAGATGGTATCTCATTGTGGTTTTGATTTGCATTTCTCTGATGGCCAGTGATGATGAACATTTTTTCATGTGTTTTTTGGCTACATAAATGTCTTCTTTTGAGAAGTGTCTGTTCATGTCCTTTGCCCACTTTTTGATGGGGTTGTTTGTTTTTTTCTTGTAAATTTGTTTGAGTTCATTGTAGATTCTGGATATTAGCCCTTTGTCAGATGAGTAGGTTGCGAAAATTTTCTCCCATTTTGTAGGCTGCCTGTTCACTCTGATGGTAGTTTCTTTTGCTGTGCAGAAGCTCTTTAGTTTAATTAGATCCCATTTGTCAATTTTGGCTTTTGTTGCCATTGCTTTTGGTGTTTTGGACGTGAAGTCCTTGCCCATGCCTATGTCCTGAATGGTAATGCCTAGGTTTTCGTGCTGGAGAGGATGTGGAGAAATAGGAACACTTTTACACTGTTGGTGGGACTGTAAACTAGTTCAACCATTGTGGAAGTCAGTGTGGCGATTCCTCAGGGATCTAGAACTAGAAATACCATTTGATCCAGCCATCCCATTACTGGGTATATACCCAAATGACTATAAATCATGCTGCTATAAAGACACATGCACACGTATGTTTATTGCAGCATTATTCACAATAGCAAAGACTTGGAACCAACCCAAATGCCCAACAATGATAGACTGGATTAAGAAAATGTGGCACATATACACCATGGAATACTATGCAGTCATAAAAAATGATGAGTTCATGTCCTTTGTAAGGACATGGATGAAATTGGAAATCATCATTCTCAGTAAACTATCGCAAGAACAAAAAACCAAACACCACATATTCTCGCTCATAGGTGGGAACTGAACAATGAGATCACATGGACACAGGAAGGGGAATATCACACTCTAGGGACTGTGGTGGGGTGGGGGGAGGGGGGAGGGATAGCATTGGGAGATATACCTAATGCTAGATGACGAGCTAGTGGGTGCAGTGCACCAGCATGGCACATGTATACATATGTAACTAACCTGCACAATGTGCACATGTACCCTAAAACTTAAAGTATAATAAAAAAAAAAGAAAAAAAAAAAAAAGAATGTTTGTGGTATCACTACTCATAATAGCTCCAAACCAGAAACCCAAAATATCCATCACCATTGAAAAATATAAATAAAATATGATCTACTCATACAATGAATGGAATACTATACAAAAATGAGAAAGAAAAAAACTCCTGCTACACACAAAAACAGGATAAATCTCACATATATAATGTTAAGTGAAAGAAGCCAGACAAAATGTACGTATTTTATGATTCTATTTATATAAAGTTCAAAAACAGACAAAACTACCTATGGTGATAGAATCATGGTTACATTTGTACATAGTTGATGACTTGGAGGGGGCATGAGGTAGCCTTCTGGGGTGCTGGTATGTTTTACATCTTGATCCAGATGGTGGCTACATTGTTTGTTTGCTTTGTAAAAATGCATTGAGTTATAGCCTTAAGATTTGTGTACCTGATTATATGCATTTTAAAAAATTTCTTTAAAAGATAATAGACTTTAACAGATTATCATTTAATGCAAATGTATTAATATAGAGACTACTGCATATATATTTTATTTTTATTTTTTATTTTTGAGATGGAGTCTCACTCTTGTTGCCAAGGCTGGAGCGCAATGGCACGATCTCGGCTCACTGCAACCTCCGCCTCCCAGGTTCAAGCAATTCTCCTGCCTCAACCTCCCAAGTAGCTGGGATTACAGGCACACGCCTCCACGCCCAGCTAATTTTTATATTTTTAGTAGAGACGGGGTTTCACCATGTTGGCCAGGCTGGTCTCGAACTCCTGACCTAGTAATCCACCCAACTCAGCCTCCCAAAGTGCTGGGATTACAGGTGTGAGCCACCGCGCCCAGCCCGATTATTGCATATTTAGAAGAAAAATGTATGACAACAATACTGCAAAGAATAGGACGGAGGTAAATAGACATACACTGTTGTAAATGTCTTACACTATACATAAAATGGTATATTATCACTTGAAAGTAGACTATAAGTTTAAAATATATACTAAAAACCCTAAACCAACCACTGAAATTAAAGAAATTATACCTCATAAGCCAATAAAGAAGTTAAGGTGGAATCATGAAGTGTGCTCAATTAATTAAAAAGAAGTCAGAAAAAGAAGGAAAAGAGAACAAAAAATAGTGTGAACTTACTTTTTTTTTTTTTTTTGAGACAGAGTCTTGCTCTGTCACCCAGGCTTGAGTGCAGTGGCACAATCATGGCTCACTACAGCCTCAACCTCCTGGGTTCAAGTGATCCCCCCACCTCAGCCTCCTAATAGCTGGGACGACAGGCATGCACCACCATGCCCAGTTAAGTTTTGTTTTGTTTTGTTTTGTTTTGTTTTGTTTTGTTTTGTTTTGTTTTGTAGAGACAGAGTCTCACTATGTTAGGCTCAAGCAACCCACCCACCTCAGCCTCCCAAAGTGTTGGGATTATAGGTGTGAGCCACCACGCCTGGCCTGAACTTACTTTTTTCTCAAGTTCATACCAAACATTTATCAAGATTGACCATATTCTTAGCCACTAGTCTCAATAAATTTAAATTAAGTCATACAAAGTATGTTCTCTAACTACAATGGAATTAGAAATCAATAGCAGAGGCCGGGCGCGGTGGCTCACACCTATAATCCCAGCGCTTTGGGAGGCTGAGGCAGGTGGATCACCTGAGGTCAGGAGTTTGAGACCAGCCTGACCAACACGGCGAAGCCCCGTCTCTACTAAAAATACAAAAAAAAAATTAGCCAGAGGTGGTGGTGCATGACTGTAATCCCAGCTACTCTGGAGGCTGAGGCAGGAGAATCGCTTGAACCTGGGAAGCAAAGGTTGCAGTGAGCCGAGATAGTACCTTTGCACTCCAGCCTCGGCAACAAGAGTGAAACTCCATCTCAAAAAAAAAAAAAAAAAAAAAAAAAAAAAAAGACAAGACAAGAAATCAATAGCAGGAATATACCTAGCCATTCCTCAAATATTTGGAAACTGAATAACACATCTTTAATAGTTCATGGGTCAAAAAGAAATCAAAAGGAAAATTAGAAAGCATTTGAATTTAATGGAAATGAAGGCCCAAAATATCAAAACGCGTGGGAGCAAAGCTAGAGCAGCACTTAGAAGAAAATTTATAGCATTAGATGCCTACATTAGCAATGAAGAAAGCGCTCAAATCATTGACTTCAGCTTCTACTTAAGAAACTATAAAAGAAGAGCAAATTAAACCCAAAGTAAGCAGAAGAAAGAATATGAACTGAAATCAATGGATCAGAAAACAGAAAAGCCATAGAAAAAATAATGAAACCAAAAGCTCTCCTTGAGATCAATAAAATTAGTAAATTTTAGCTGGACTGACCAGGGGAAAAAAAGCAAAGAGATACAAATTACCAATATGAGGAATGAGAGCAGGGGACATCATGACAGATCCTATAGATATTAAAAGAATAAAAAGGGAATATTATGAACAACTTCATGGGAATAAATTTAACAACTCAGATAAAATGCACAGGCTCAATGAAAAACACAACCAAAACTCACTAAAAAAGAAACAGATAAACTGAATAGTTAGAGAAACTAAATTTGTGGTTTAAAAGCTTTCCACAATGATCTAGCTATCACTCTCATTGGTATTTACCCAAATGGGTTGAAAACTTGTGTTCACACAGAAATCTGCATATGAATCTTTACAGAAGCTTTATTCATAATTGCCGAAACTTTGAAGCAATCAAGATATCCCTCAGTAGGTGAATGGATAAACTTTGGTATATGCAAACAATAAATTATTATTCAGCACTAAAAAGAAATGAGCTATCAAGCCATGAAAAGACATGAAGAAAACATAAATGCTTATTACTAAATCAAAGAAGCCAATCTGAAAAGGCTACATACTATATGATTCTAACTATAAGACATTCTGGAAAAGGTAAAACTATGAAGATAGTGAAAAGACCAGTGGTGCCAGGGGTTAAGAGAGAAGAAGAGATGAATAGGTGGGGCACAGAGGATTTTAGAATAGTAAAACTATTCTGTATGACACTATAATGGCAGATGCATGTGATTACATATTTGTCAAACTGATAGAATGCACAACACCACGAATTAACTCTAATGAAAACTATGGACTTTGGGTGATGATGCTGTATCAGTGTAGGGTCTTCAATTTTAACAAATCCACTCTGGGGGAGGACGCTGATAGTGGGGGAGGCTGTGCATGTACGGGGTCAGGAGATACAGAATGTACACTCTATACTTTCTGTTCAATTTTGCTAGAAATCTGAAACTTATTATTATTATTATTATTATACTTTAAGTTTTAGGGTACATGTGCACAACGTGCAGGTTTGTTACATATGTATACATGTGCCATGTTGGTGTGCTGCACCCATTAACTCGTCATTTAGCATTAGGTATATCTCCTAATGCTATCCCTCCCCCCTCCCCCACCCAACAACAGTCCCCAGTGTGTGATGTTCCCCTTCCTGTGTCCACATGTTCTCATTGTTCAGTTCCCACCTGTAAGTGAGAACATGCGGTGTTTGGTTTTTTGTCCTTGCGATAGTTTGCTGAGAATGATGGTTTCCAGCTTCATCCATGTCCCTACAAAGGACATGAACTCATCATTTTTTATGGCTGCATAGTATTCCATGGTGTATATGTGCCACATTTTCTTAATCCAGTCTATCGTTGTTGGACATTTAGGTTGGTTCCAAGTCTTCGCTATTGTGAATAGTGCCGCTATAAACATACGTGTGCATGTGTCTTTATAGCAGCATGATTTATAGTCCTTTGGGTATATACCCAGTAATGGGATGGCTGGGTCAAATGGTATTTCTAGTTCCAGATCCCTGAGGAATTGCCACACTGACTTCCACAATGGTTGAACTGGTTTTACAGTCCCACCAACAGTGTCAAAGTGTTCCTATTTCTCCACATCCTCTCCAGCACCTGTTGTTTCCTGACTTTTTAATGATTGCCATTCTAACTGGTGTGGGATGGTATCTCATTGTGGTTTTGATTTGCATTGCTCTGATGGCCAGTGATAATGAGCATTTTTTCATGTGTTTTTTGGCTGCATAAATGTCTTCTTTTGAGAAGTGTCTGTTCATATCCTTTGCCCACTTTTTGATGGGGTTGTTTGTTTTTTTCTTGTAAATTTGAGTCCATTGTAGATTCTAGGTATTAGCCCTTTGTCAGATGAGTAGGTTGCAAAAGTTTTCTCCCATTCTGTAGGTTGCCTGTTCACTCTGATGGTAGTTTCTTTTGCTGTGCAGAAGCTCTTTAGTTTAATTAGATCCCATTTGTCAATTCTGGCTTTTGTTGCCATTGCTTTTGGTGTTTTAGATATGAAGTCCTTGCCCATGCCTATGTCCTGAATGGTATTGCCTAGGTTTTCTTCTAGGGTTTTTATGGTTTTAGGTCTAACATTTAAGTCTTTAATCCATCTTGAATTAATTTTTGTATAACATGTAAGGAAGGGATCCAGTTTCAGCTTTCTACATATGGCTAGCCAGTTTTCCAAGCACCATTTATTAAATAGGGAATCCTTTCCCCATTGCTTGTTTTTCTCAGGTTTGTCAAAGATCAGATAGTTGTAGATACGAAGCATTGTTTCTGAGGGCTCTGTTCTGTTCCATTGGTCCATATCTCTGTTTTGGTACCAGTACCATGCTGTTTTGGGTACTGTAGCCTTGTAGTATAGTTTGAAGTCAGGTAGCATGATGCCTCCAGCTTTGTTCTTTTGGCTTAGGATTCACTTGGCGATGTGGGCTCTTTTTTGGTTCCATATGAACTTTTAAGTAGTTTTTTCCAATTCCGTGAAGAAAGTCATTGGTAGCTTGATGGGGATGGCATTGAATCTATAAATCACCTTGGGCAGTATGGTCATTTTCACGATATTGATTCTTCCTACCCATGAGCATGGAATGTTCTTTCATTTGTTTGTATCCTCTTTTATTTCATTGAGCAGTGGTTTGTAGTTCTCCTTGAAGAGGTCCTTCACATCCCTTGTAAGTTGGATTCTTAGGTATTTTATTCTCTTTGAAGCAATTGTGAATGGGAGTTCACTCATGATTTGGTTCTCTGTTATTGGTGTGTAAGAATGCTTGTGATTTTTGTACATTGATTTTGAATCCTGAGACTTTGCTGAAGTTATCAGCTTGAGGAGATTTTGGGCTGAGACGATGGGGTTTTCTAGATATACAATCATGTCATCTGCAAACGGACAATCTGACTTCCTCTTTTCCTAATTGAATACCCTTTATTTCCTTCTCCTGCCTCAATGCCCTGGCTAGAACTTCCAACACTATGTTGAATAGGAGTGGTGAGAGAGGGCATCCCTGTCTTGTGCCCGTTTTCAAAGGGAATGCTTCCAGTTTTTGCCCATTCAGTATGATATTGGCTGTGGGGTTGTCATAGATAGCTCTTATTATTTTGAGATACGTCCCATCAATATCTAATTTATTGAGAGTTTTTAGCATGAAGCGTTGTTGAATTTTGTCAAAGGCCTTTTCTGCATCTATTGAGATAATCATGTGGTTTTTGTCTTTGGTTCTGTTTATATGCTGGATTACATTTATTGATTTGTGTATGTTGAACCAGCCTTGCATCCCAGGGATGAAGCCCACTTGATCATGGTGGATAAGCTTTTTGATGTGCTGCTGGATTTGGTTTGCCAGTATTTTATTGAGGATTTTTGCATCAATGTTCATCAAGGATATTGGTCTAAAATTCTCTTTTTTGGTTGTGTCTCTGCCCGGCTTTGGTATCAGGATGATGCTGGCCTCATAAAATGAGTTAGGGAGGATTCCCTCTTTTTCTATTGATTGGAATAGTTTCAGAAGGATTGGTATCAGCTCCTCTTTGTACCTCTGGTAGAATTCGGCTGTGAATCCATCTGGTCCTGGACTTTTTTTGGTTGGTAAGCTATTGATTATTGCCTCAATTTCAGAGCCTGTTATTGGTCTATTCAGAGATTCAACTTCTTCCTGGTTTAGTCTTGGGAGGATGCATGTGTCAAGGAATTTATCCATTTCTTCTAGATTTTCTAGTTTATTTGCGTAGAGGTGTTTGTAGTATTCTCTGATGGTAGTTTGTATTTCTGTGGGATCAGTGGTGATATCCCTTTATCATTTTTTATTGCATCTATTTGATTCTTCTCTCTTTTCTTCTTTATTAGTCTTGCTAGCAGTCTATCAATTTTGTTGATCTTTTCAAAAAAACCAGCTCCTGGATTCATTAATTTTTTGAAGGGTTTTTTGTGTCTCTATTTCCTTCAGTTCTGCTCTGATTTTAGTTATTTCTTGCCTTCTGCTAGCTTTTGAATGTGTTTGCTCTTGCTTTTCTAGTTCTTTTAATTGTGATGTCAGGGTGTCAATTTTAGATCTTTCCTGCTTTCTCTTGTGGCCATTCAGTGCTATAAATTTCCCTCTACACACTGCTTTGAATGTGTCTCAGAGATTCTGGTATGTTGTGTCTTTGTTCTCGTTGGTTTCAAAGAACATCTTTATTTCTGCCTTCATTTCATTATTTACCCAATAGTCATTCAGGAGCAGGTTGTTCAGTTTCCATGTAGTTGAGTGGTTTTGAGTGAGTTTCTTAATCCTGAGTTCTAGTTTGATTGCACTGTGTTCTGAGAGACAGTTTGTTATAATTTCTGTTCTTTTACATTTGCTGAGGAGTGCTTTACTTCCAACTATGTGGTCAGTTTTGGAGTAGGTGTGGTGTGGTGCTGAAAAGAATGTATATTCTGTTGATTTGGGGTGGAGAGTTCTGTAGATGTCTATTAGGTCTGCTTGGTGCAGAGCTGAGTTCAATTCCTGGGTATCCTTGTTAACTTTCTGTCTCGTTGATCTGTCTAATGTTGACAGTGGGGTGTTAAAGTCTCCCATTATTATTGTGTGGGAGTCTAAGTCTCTTTGTAGGTCACTAAGGACGTGCTTTATGAATCTGGGTGCTCCAGTATTGGGTGCATATATATTTAGGATAGTTAGCTCTTCTTGTTGAATTGATCCCTTTACCATTATGTAATGGCCTTCTTTGTCTCTTTTGATCTTTGTTGGTTTAAAGTCTGTTTTATGAGAGACTAGGATTGCAACCCTTGCCTTTTTTTGTTTTCCATTTGCTTGGTAGATCTTCCTCTATCCCTTTATTTTGAGCCTATGTGTGTCTCTGCACATGAGATGGGTTTCCTGAATACAGCACACTGATGGGTCTTGACTCTTTATCCAATTTGCCAGTCTGTGTCTTTTAATTGGAGCATTTAGCCCATTTACACTTAAAGTTAATATTGTTATGTGTGAATTTGATCCTGTCATTATGATGTTAGCTGGTTATTTTGCTCATTAGTTGATGCAGTTTCTTCCTAGCCTTGATGGTCTTTACAATTTGGCATGTTTTTGCAGTGGGTGGTACTTGTTGTTCCTTTCCATGTTTAGTGCTTCCTTCAGGAGCTCTTGTAGGGCAGGCCTGGTGGTGACAAAATCTCTCAGTATTTGCTTGTCTGTAAAGTGTTTTATTTCTCCTTCACTTATGAAGCTTAGTTTGGCTGGATATGAAATTCTGGGTTGAAAATTCTTTTCTTTAAGAATGTTGAATATTGGTCCCCACTCTCTTCTGGCTTGTAGAGTTTCTGCCAAGAGATCAGCTGTTAGTCTGATGGGCTTCCCTTTGTGGGTAACCCGACCTTTCTCTCTGGCTGCCCTTAACATTTTTTCCTTCATTTCAACTTTGGTGAATCTGACAATTATGTGTCTTGGAGTTGCTCTTCTCGAGGAGTATCTTTGTGGCATTCTCTGTATTTCCTGAATTTGAATGTTGGCCTGTCTTGCTAGATTGGGGATGTTCTCCTGGATAATATCCTGCAGAGTGTTTTCCAACTTGGTTCCATTCTCCCCGTCACTTTCAGGTACACCAATCAGACGTAGATTTGGTCTTTTCACATAGTCCCATATTTCTTGGAGGCTTTGTTCATTTCTTTTTACTCTTTTTTCTCTAAACTTCTCTTCTTGCTTCATTTCATTCATTTCATCTTCCATCACTGATACCCTTTCTTCCAGTTGATCGCATCGGCTACTGAGGCTTCTGCATTCATCACGTAGCTCTCGTGCCTTGGTTTTCAGCTCCATCAGGTCCTTTAAGGACTTCTCTGCATTGGTTATTCTAGTTATCCATTCAACTAATTTTTTTTTCAAAGCTTTTAACTTCTTTGCCATTGGTTCAAATTTCCTCCTGTAGCTCGGGGTAGTTTGATCATCTGAAGCCTTCTTCTCTCAACTCTCAAAGTCATTCTCCATCCAGCTTTGTTCTGTTGCTGGTGAGGAGCTGTGTTCCTTTGGAGAAGGAGAGGTGCTCTGATTTTTAGAGTTTCCAGTTTTTCTGCTCTGTTTTTTTTCCCATCTTTGTGGTTTTATCTACCTTTGGTCTTTGATGATGGTGACGTACAGATGGGTTTTTGGTGTGGATGTTCTTCCTGTTTTGTTAGTTTTCCTTCTAACAGACAGGACCCTCAGCTGCAGGTCTGTCGGAGTTTGCTAGAGGTCCACTCCAGACCCTGTTTGCCTGGGTTTCAGCAGCGGTGGCTGCAGAACAGCAGATACTGGTGAACCGCAAATGCTGCTGCCTGATCGTTCCTCTGGAAGTTTTGTCTCAGAGGAGTGCCCGGTCGTGTGAGGTGTCAGTCCGCCCCTACTGGGGGTGCCTCCCAGTTAGGCTACTCTGGGGTCAGGGACCCACTTGAGGAACCAGTCTGCCCGTTCTCAGATCTCAAGCTGCGTGCTGGGAGAACCACTACTCTCTTCAAAGCTCAGTTGGAAATGCAGAAATCACCCATCTTCTGCATCACTCACGCTGAGAGCTGTAGACCAGAGCTACAGTGGAAGCTTTTTACTCTAAAACTGTTCTTAAAAATAAACTCTATTTAAAAGAAAAAAAAAAAAAACTTTCCACAGAGAAAACTCCAGACCTAGGTGGCTCTACTGGTGATATCTACCAAATATTTAAGAAAGACTCACACTAATTCTATACAAACTCTTCTTGAAAATTGAAAAGGAAGGAATACTTCTCAACTCATTTTGTGAGGGCAGCATTATGCTGATACCAAAACCAGACAAAAACTTTACAGGAAAAGAAAAATATGGATCAATATTCCCCATTACAAACACAGATGCAGAAATTCTAAACACAATTTTAACAAATCAAATCCAACAATATACAAAAAAGATAATTAATTCATCATAACTAAGTGGGGTTTACCACAGCAATACAAGGTTGGTTTAATAGTCAAAAATCGATCAATGTAATTCTCTAAAGTAACAGACTGAAAAAGAAAAACCATATGATTATGTCAATAGATGCAGGAAAAGCATTTGATAAAACTCAAATACCCATTCCAGATTAAACTCTTAGTAAATTAGGAATACAAGGAAATTTCCTCAACCTGATAAAAAGACCTCTATGAAAAAACCTACTGCTAACAGCAAACATCATCCTTAATGAGTAAAGGCCACTTTTCTTCTAAGATCAGGACCACGCCAAGAATATCTGCACTCACCACTTCTACCCAACATTGTACTAGAGGCTGTAGCCCATGCAACAAGGCAAGAAAAAGAAACAATAGCATCCAGTTCAGAAAGAAACAAGACTGTCATTATTCACAGAGGCATCATTATCTGTGTAGAAAACCCTACATATATTTGGCAAAAGATGTATAAGGCCTATACAATGCAAACTACACAACATTACTAAAATAAATTAGAGAAGACCTACATACATGAGGTGATATACTGTGTTATGAGTCCTTAATACATGGAGTTACATTGTGTTTCATAGTTCAGGTGATGCAATATCATTAAAATGTCAATTCTCCCCAAATGGATCTACAGATTCAACACAATCACAGTCAAAATCCCAGCAGACTTCTTTGGTAAAACTTAACAAGTTGATCCTAAAATGCATATTGAAATGCCAAGGATTAGAATAGTCAGAACAATTTTGAAACAGAATAACAAACTTTAAGGATGTACACTACCTAATTTCAAGAACAGTGGAAGGAGTGGAAGAGGAGGAAAGGATTGCAAAGAGGTATTAAAAAATTTTTGGGGTGATGGGTATGTTCATTATATTGAGATGGTGATGGTTTTACAGATACATACATATCAAATTGTTGACTTTAGTATGCATAGTTTACATATGTAAATTATACCTCAATAACGCTGAAAATAATCTCATGCTGTCCTCATGTCCAATTCTTTTGAGGTAGTCATATTATAATTTCCATTTTACTGATACAGAAACTGAGACTCAGAGAGGCTAAGTGACTTGACCATGGTCACAGAGATAAAAATCCAGGTCCTTCTCTCTCCAGAGCCCAAGCTCTTAAGCTTTAAGCCATACAGGTGGAAATGCTTTTCTACACACCTGTCATTCATCAAACAAGTATTGACAAGTATTGATCCTGTCATGTACCAGACACTGCTTACTCACTGCTTGCCATGAGGGATATAGCAATGACAGATGAGGTCCTACCCTTGGGAAGCTTTACATACTGCTGAGCCCAGAGCCCTTCTCAGCTTGACTTATCAGCGCTGCCTATTGCTTTTCTCCTTATTACTTCCCAGACTTCTCTCAAAAATTAAGAAACAATTTGTGAGTTTCTGCCATGTGCGAGGTCCATTCTAGGCCCCCTCTTCCACAATCTTCTTAACCATCATAACACTATGAGATGGGTATCATTTCCACTTTACAGAGAAGAAAACAGAGACACAGAAAGATGAGGGAACTTGCCTATGATCACACAGCTACAGAGTAGCAGAGCCAAGTTTCAAATGCAGACCTTCCTGCCTCCAAAACTTATGATCCTCTCACTACCCCAAACTTCCTGGGATCATGTAGTTGTTCCTATGACAAGAGTTCAAACAAACCCTCTTTTCCTTGCAGACAAAAATCCCAACCAGGCACCAAGTCCCTATGGATGAAAACAGCTGTTCACCAAAGGCTCTGTTTTGTGTTATTTATTCACTTAAAAGGAAATTTGGTTTCTAACCAACACTAATGTCATATCCATGCTCAAGAAGGAAAAAAAAAATGAGTCTCGAAGTTGCAAAGTGTTGGATCAAATGTGCTGCTGGCCTGTGTGTGCAGCCAGTTCAGACTCCTGCCCCAGTAGCCTCTCCCCACCCTTCAGGCAGGCCTTATCCTGCGGCTCAGAGAGGAACTCCAGCCCCTACTCTTATCTCCACCATGAAATAAATGGAGTTGGGGAATTCCTTTTCTACTCTGTTTCCACTGTGACAAGAAACTGTTAAAACAGACCAATTTCTAGAAAATGTGCAAATAACAAATGTGAACTCAGAGCGGTAACAAATTAGACAGCTGTTTAGCCTTTGGGTGCTAAGTAACGATAGCTCTAATGAGTCTTATGCTGGGAGCCCTCCTTTCTATGCCTTGGCCCCAACTTGTGGACACCAAGACTGCCCCTACCACCTAATCCAGTTTTTTGAACAAAGAGAGGCAGATAGCATAGAAGTGGAAAGGATTCAAGGGATTTTAGTATTATTACTACTGCTACATCCTAAATGTATTCGACAAAAAACAAACAACATCAGGCACTGCATTAGATCACAGGAGTCAGGGATGAAGAGTAGTGGCATGATCTCTGCATTCCTGGAGTTCACAAACCAGGAGGGAAACAGACTTTGAACTCATAATTCAAACTTTTAAAAGTCGTAATATTTCAGTACGAGGGTGCAAAGTGCCATACGTAAGAAGTATGAGGCGGCTATGAGAGGGAGCATGAGAAGGAGGAGCACTACCTCGGAGCTCTGACTGCTCATCATCTCCCGGAGGCAGAGCAGAGCATTCCCGGCAGAGGGCACAACCTGTGCGGAGGTGCTGAGACAGGAGTGAACACCAGGGAGGCTGTGGTGTGCACACAAAGTGGTGAACTGGAGCAGGAGAGAGTCGGGAGGTCTGCTGCTGGCCTATTTCACAGAGCCTGGGAGGCTGCATGAAGGCGGATCTGCATCCTAGGAGCAGTGGGTAGCCACAGAGGGCGCTAAGCAGGGCAGGGACATGGTCAGACTTTGGCTTTAGAAAGATGTCTCTGGTTCCAAAGAGGAGGCTGGGGGATGGAACTCAATGTGAGGAGACATGAAAAGGCTGCTGCCATCATTCAGGGGAGGGATGGCAGTGGATTAGACTAGGTTGGTGTAGCAGAGAGAGATGGTCTGAGAAAACTGCCCAGCATGTGACCTGAGAGAGGGGTTTTAATGATGTCAGGGAAACCAATCTCCACTTTACAAATGACTGCCTGCTGGCCACATTCTTCCCTCTCCGAGGGCCAAACACTGATTCCAAGGAGCAGCAAAGACACACAGGGTTTGTCCGACGTCCAACATTGACCTCGGCTTTCTGGAACGCCCGCTTCTTCAGAGCAGGCAAACGGCATCCAGACAAAAGGCCAGAGGGTCAGGTTCCTGGACCCACAGGCAGTGTTTTCCTGAACTGCAACGTGTCATGTGGCCTGGAGGAAACTGTGGACTTCTGCAGGGAGTCTTCCATTCTGGCAGGCCAGCCTTTCTGCAAACCAGAAAAGGACCCAACAGATGCTGGTCAAGTCAAGCTCAAGGTCTCGAGCTCCAGCCTGATGCAGGAAGGGTGAAATCGAATCCCTCTAGAGTAAGTGTCCCACAGGAATATGTATTTTATCTGCAGAATGCCTCCTTTGTCCCAAAACATTTCTGTTAATGCTGCTCCCACCTCCTCATTCTAACCAGAACTGCCTTTTCCTTAAAACACACTTAGGAGGAACTTAGCAGGTTCCCTCCAGGGCCACAGACAATGAGGACTAGAGGGAGAGGACCAGCAGGCCCACCCAGACCACCCCTGGCCTGCCTTCCACTAACACTGAGCACCTGGTCCGTGCCTCAAACCCAGGAATAGATACTGGGGATGTTCTGGTTCCTCACCTCCAAGGCCCACAGTCCAGGCCCACAGCTTGTCTTCAGGGAGGCCCAAGCCGGGTCCTAACACCTCTACTTCCCCTCCACGCTGCTGTATGCTCTCCCACCATGATGCTCCCTTACCTGTAGCTCTGGCTTGAGTCTTCCCCTCCTCCCATTCTCCTGTTGTCATCTCTACACACTTCACTAAACTTCTCACTTCTGGGTGCCCCCATGCCTCAACCTCTTCTGTGCTTCACAAAGGCACTGCCATCACACCTTCAAGCACAGTCACCAGAGCCACCCCACCTCAAAGACCCTGAACTCTGAAATCCTCCTCCCTCCATTATTTCCTGGCTTCCCTCCCCTTCCCCTAACCAAATCTGTGCTTTGCTCTCTTCTTGACTTTTGGTCCTTCAGCGATGATGATGATGATGATGATGATGCTGATGATGATGATGATAAGGTGGGGTCTTGCTATGTTGCCCAGGCTGGCCTCAAACTCCTAGGCTCAAGTGGTCCTCCCACCTTGGCCTCCTGAGTCCTTCAGCCTTTTTTCAGGCCATCGGCTGTCTCTGGCCCTTCTGGCCTCCCTCCCTAAAGGCAACATTGCTGATCACCCTGCTTGACTTAACTAGGCCTCCTCCTACCTCTAGGGCCACTTTCTGTGCATCCTTCCTTGCCCCTTGTTCTTCCTGCTGCTCCCTAAGTGGGCAGCCCACTTTTCTCCAGACACAACTACAGCCTGCTTCCTCTCATCTTGGCCCTTGCAGCAGCCTCACAACCAGTATAACATCAGGCCCTGCCCTTCTCTCCAGTGTGACCACCTTGCCTCATGCAGACTGCTGCAAAATCCTCCTAACTAGTCTCCCTGACTACAGGTGGTTCTGTCTCAGTTGAAATGAACATCTTAAAATACAAATCTGTCCACGGTGCTCCCCTTTTAAAATCCTTCAGAGGGCTGGGTATGGTGGCATACACCTGCAGTCCCAACTACTTGGGAGGCTAAGGTGGGAGGATTGCTTCAGCCCAGGAGTTTGAGGCTGCAGTGAGCTATGATCATGCCATTGCACTTTAGCCTGGGCAACATAGCAGGACTTTGTCTCTATTTTTTGTTTTTTTAAATCTCTCAGTGAATGCTCAGGGCTAACAAGATAAAGCTCAAACTCCTTAGTCAGGCACATCTAAGCCTCCCTTCCAAGCCTCACTGCCGTCTCCTGCCCAGCTCAAACTGCCTGGCCCAACCTGGCTCTCTTGACACGTGTCCATGCTCCTCAAAGATGCCAGGCCTTGTATGGCCAGGTTTCAGTGCAAGGCCTCTCAATCTCTCACCCCCGCCAGGCTTGAGGCTCTTCCTTTCTTGCCACCTCCTCTGCTGCTGACCTCACCACTGGTCCTTGTATTTCCTGGCCACTCATCCTCTGGATTTTGGTCCTGGTCTTGCAGGAGAGACCTAGATACACTTCTCCCGTCATGACAGACTCCTCACTGTTCTCCAAACACCCATATGCAACTGAATCTTTCTGCTTTTGCGATGCTCTTGGCCACCCCGTTCTCCTGGCTTCCTTATTCAAACATCCCTTCTGTGGGACATGCTCCTTGCCTTCTGCCCATCCTCACCCTCACTCTTTCCTTGATACGCTAGCGCCCCACCCCTGAACACTTCTTGTTTACTATTTATTTACATGTCTGCCTGACTCAGGTTGAATTGTGCCGAGGTCCCCTTCATCGTTTCTCCAGCATTTAGCACAGTAGACTGATGAATGAGTAAATGAGTGAAGGCAGAGCTGACTACTGGGAAATCTGACAGTGGGGATGGAACAATGTTGGCAGGGGCAGTGAGAAGACTGGAAAAAACACGAGCACTTAGGAAAGCTTTCCACCTCACTGAAATTGGTACCCACTGCAGTTCGTTTCTATCACACTGAGGCCCACCGTACACCATGCCCCAGCTGCCAGTCGGCAAGGGAATGAAACACTGACTTCTGGTAAGCCTTTGGCATGTACCAGTATCCCTGGCAATGATGCTCTGGCAGAGCACAGAACTGAGGGAAGAGCAGGTTCTCCTTTTCTTCTCTCAAGAGCACCAGGCACCAAAAGTAGTATTAAATTTTGCTGAGCACATCACCTGTCTTTCCAAAGGGTTATTCATTCTGCCTGAAATTCCCTTTCCAACTGCCCCCCAACTCCCCAAATCACCAATAAGAGATGATCTCTTTCAGCCTTCAAGGCCTAGTGATAATGTCACAACCCCAAGATTGAGTGAGTTCCCCATATGATGTTTGCAGGGCTCCTAGGGCACCATGGTGTATGTCTTGGTCCAGACCTCAGCCTCCCAGCTATCCAGGGCACCAGGATGTGAACCGAGCTCTGAAGGATCCCAGGTACCATGCTCTTAAACACTCTGCTACACAGGTATCACCTCCTCTGGGACACTGGCTCCGGCACAGGCATCATCTGAATATTCTGAGCAACAACCTCCCATCTATAACCCACAGTGCCTATTCAAACTATACATTGGTGAAATGATAGCCACGCATGACTAGGAGCTTGCTTTGTACAGGCACCGCGCTAAGTTCTTACATGCCCACTGTAAGGTAAAAGCTATGACTTCCACCCCCCGCCAACTTTACACATGAGAAAATCAAGGCATAAAGAAAATACATGACTTGTCCTAAGTCTCCAAGCTAGAGGGGTGAGGCTGTGACTCAACCTCAGCTTCATCAGATCAAAGTTCATGCTCTTCAAGCTGTGTGGCTTTAACAGACCCAGCAGCTCAGCTCTGACAGAACCCTGGGCTGAATAAAGCACAGGCTGTGCCCATTTTCAGCACATTCTAAGAACAGCAGTTTCCCCTTGATGCTGCTCCATGCTAAAACTAATGACAAAAACAGTTCTGACATTTAGACCAGCCTCTGAGACACTGCTGCGCCTTCAACTCCATAGGCTGGGAACTGGACATACTGACAGACAGATGTGGTAAGGAGCTCTGGTAGAGACAAAACACCACCTTGAAAACATACCCTTTTAGAAGGCTGCTACCACCAGGACCTTCAGACAGACCTCCTTTACAATGCAGCCCTTGCCCCAAGCCCTGGCAGCCAGGAATCCACCCAGGAATCTACCCTGCAACCCAATCCACCACAGTGGCAATGGGGTTCTAGGCCACAACTTGTAAGTTCAACACAGCTGTGAGATATTATGCTACAAAGCTATATCTGCATTAATACACCAATTTTTGATAAACTTGGTCACTCGTTAGAGTCACCAGGGGACAGGGCAGTTATGGTTCCATATTTGTAACTTCCATTTTCCTTACTCTCTGCCAATCCTTAACTCACCGTCTGCCTGGCTTCCTCTAAGCCCTGAAATGATGTTCTTTGTGGTCCCCCTTGCAGAAACCAGCAGAAGTCATGAAAAGCCACAGCTCCACCCTCAGTTATCAACTGCATTTGGAAATGTGAATCTTCAAAAGGCTGAGCTCACCAGGAAATACCCTTGCTTTGCGGGAAGTGGTTACACCACAAAACAAGACACCCTGGTAATATCGCTCCTTTGGTTGGCACACGCCCTCGCTTGGCAGTGTGCCTAAACACAGCCAGATAATGTTCTGCTATGGCGCTTCCCCTTTCAGGCATCCATTCACACTCCACTCATTCAACAAATATTTATTATGTACTGTGTTCCAGGTACTGGGATTACAACAGGGTATCTCAGTATGCAGACCCTCTAGAACCAAATTAGCATAACCCTCCTTTTCTGTCCTGGTGCTTCCAAAGACCTTTAAGGGAAAAGTCCAGGGGAGAGGCCCACTTGGGTATGTAAGTAGTAGGAAAGAGAGAAGACAAGAAGTAAAAGAACTAACTGCAAGAAAATGTTAAAATTTGACCAGCAGTCTACTGCTTAGTAGTAATATTCGTATTATTATTTTTAAATTATTTTACATATATATGACGGGATAATATAAAGTAAGTAATGTTGCTAGGAACCAAAATTGTCACTGTAAAATAAAATATATAAATATCAAGGGAATTAAGTAACAACTCTATAATGTTATATTTGAATTGGAAAGATCAGTATTATATTAGTCAAATTTTTACAAGATAATGTAGTATAACGAGCAATCCTCAAATCTCAGATGCTTACAACAGCAACATTTATTTCATGCTCATAGGTCTGTAGATGATGCAGCTCAGCTCAGCTCTGCCAGGTTGGCTTTGGCTTGTCTCAGTGTGGAATCTAGACTTCGGGTCAGTTCAGGTCAACTGTAATGTCCTCATTTGGGGACTGAAGATAAACAAGCAACAGTTACCGATACATCATGGAAAAGGAAAGTTCCAAGACAGCTGGCCAAAGCTTGCCACGCCTCTCAGCAGCTCAGCTCAGATCTGCACACTGCCATGCTGCCCACATTCCATGGGCAAAACCAAGTCACAGGGCCAAGCCCAAAGTCAATAGGGTGGGGAGATATACACCACCCACAGTGAAGGTATGACAAGGAGTAAGTTGAGAAGGAAGAATTATGGAGAAATAATATCATCTACCCTAACTATGAACTCATGACATTTTCCTTTTAAAAAATAACTGTTTACTAGCTCTGTCCATGGCAAAGGCCTAAAAGCAATGGCAACCCAGTAATACTAAGCAGTCTTCACCCAGATTATGGTTTCTAAATATTATTCCCCACTAAAAGAAACCCCCTGAAGGAATGCCTAATTCCAGGTCTGCAGCAGAAAATATACAACATAACCCTGGGGATCTTGTTGGGCCAAAAAGCAGGGAAGTGATCAAAAATGAGTGGGATCACATTAAAAGGATACAGGAGCCAACATAAAAGGGATCCAACTGGTCAAAGACAGGACAATTTGTATATCAAAAAGAATGGTGACTATAACTGACTGAAACACACAGGACGTATAATAAATATCCACAAGTTCATTATGATGGAGGAGACAGACTGCTCACCAAAAACAAAACAAAGCAGTTACACACCCACAAGTCACCATTAAAGGTAAGTGGGGCACCACCTGCTTACTCTGAAAATTGATAATTAAAAGGAAAGAATTAAGTATGTACAAGTAGCCCTAGCTGATGAGGAAAAATTCTTCTTAAGAATTTCAGCTATAAGAGTCAGGCGTGGCAGCTCATGCCTGTAATCTCAGCTACTGGGGAGGCTGAGGCAGGATAACTGCTTGAGGCCAGGAGTCCAAGACCAGCCTGGGCAACACAGTGATACGTCTCTTCAAATATTTTTTAAAAATTAGCCAAGCATGGTGGCACATGTCTGTAGTCCTAGATTCTCAGGAGGCTGAGGCAGAGGATGGCTTGAGCCCACAAGTTTGAGGCTGCAGTGAGCTATGACCACACCACTGCATTAGAGCCTAGGTGACAGAGCAAGACTCTGTCTCTGAAAAAGGAAAAAAAGAAAGAGAGAAAAGTCACCATTTTGCTAGGACCAATAAAATACTCAATTCAGGCAAAGATCATTGACAGATGAAATAATTAGGTAAAAGGTAGATGGGGAACTTTACAATGAAGGAATAAAACAGTCACCACCTGAACCCATCAATGAATCTTCACATGACACAGAGCAAAACAACTGGGTGTCTCCTAATGTGACATGTGATACAAAGTACCCAGCACCACCTAGGACACACTCTTCCCAAAAAGACTGACCCAAAATCCAATCAAGCCTCTTGGGTTAACTTCTAGTTGAAACAAAATAGGCGACAAGTGAACAAGTTAAACCACCAAGAAGAAGCAGAATATTTACAATTTAGAATATTACAGAGTGCGACTAACCTTTCAATAAGTTAAGCGCATGAGGGAGGAGAGGGAGGATGGACTACACTAGAATAAAAAGGAATTTGAGAAACGTAACAACCAACCAAATGCAATGTGCAGGCCCTGGAATTGTCACTGCTATTAGTGGGTTTTGTTTGTTTTTGAGACAATTGGGGAAATTTGAAATTCCCCCAATTTGATCCTAAAGAATTATTGCTAATTTTGTTAAGTGTGATAATGCTATTGTGATTATGGTAGAAAATAACTTTTTAAAGAGCTACATCTGAAGTTTGAAGGAGGGAAATAATAGGATGTTAGGCATTTGCTTTCAAAATTTCCAGGAATAAATAAAAAGAAAAAAAGAGGTAAATGAAGCAAAGATGGCAATTGTTGGATCTAGGTAACAGGTATACAAAGGTTCATTTTACCACTCTTCCTATATAAACCCAGTATGTGCATACACATATCTATTCAAAATTGTTAACAATAAGAAATGTTTAAAAAGAATAGGGCTGGGCGCAGTGGCTTACATCTGTAATCCCAGCACTTTGGGAGGCCGAGGCGGGCAGATCACCTGAGGTCAGGAATTCGAGACCAGCCTGGCCAACGTGGTGAAACCCCATCTCTACTAAAATTACGATAATTAGCCGGTCGTGGTATCAGGTGCCTGTAATCCCAGCTACTTGGGAGGCTGAGGCAGGAGAATTGTTTGAACCCGGGAGGCAGAGATTTCAGTGAGCCGAGATCATGCCACTGCACTCCAGCCTGGGCAACAAGAGCGAAACTCCACCTCAAAAAAAAAAAAAAAAAAAAAAAAAGAAGAAGAAGAAGAAGAAGAAGAAGAAAAGAAGAGAAGAAGGGGAAGGGGAAGAGGAAGAAGAAGAAGAAGGAGGAGGAAGAAAGAAGGAAGAAGAAGAGGAAGAAGAAGGAGGAAGAAAGAAGGAAGAAGAAGAAGAAGAAGAGGAAGAAGAAGAAGAAATATTTTAAAAGAATAAGAAGGAGAGGAAGGGGAACTGAGAGGCAAGAAGACAGGAGAACAGCAGGGCAGGGGGCTGAGGCAGGAAGGCATGTATCTAGAGCAAGCCAGAGACTGACATAAAGGGAAACTGGTGGGTGACAACCACAGTCACAGCCACAACAACAACAACAATAGTAATAATAGCAGCAAACTCTGAATAAAGACTTTAACCGCTCAACACAATGCCTGGTATGCACTACACGTTCAAAAATGGTGGTTGTTGTTTTAATAGGTTCCAGCCTCTGTGCTAAGTACTCTATATGCATTATCTCATTTCATTCTCCAAATAAACCCTATGACGGAGGTACTCTTCCTATCACCACTCTATGAATGAGGAAACCAAAACTTAGAGAGGTGACGTGACTTACCCAAGGTCACATAGCTGGGGCACTGGCAGAGGCAGAACTGTGAAAGTTCTGGAGTTAGACTAACTGTATTTGACCTTCTGACCTGAGGCCTGTGGTAGGCAGTCTCCAAGGGGTCCCCCACTTCCTACTTGCTGGTGTCCAGCTCTTGTATAGTGCCCCCCTTGGTGAAGAGGGCTGATCTGTGATACTAATAGGATACTGTGCAAATGACAGTATGTGACTTCTGAGCCAGGTCACAAAAGTCCTTGCTGGCTTCTGTCTTGTTCTCTTGGGTCACTCATTCTAGGAGAAGTCAACTGCCATGCCATGAGGACACTCAGTGGCTCTGAACAGTTCCACATGGCAAGGAACAGAGGATTCCTGCCAACGGCCAGGCATTGTGCACGAGCCACCTTGGAAGCAGACTTTCCATCCCCACTCAAGCCTTCAGATGACTACAGTCCCAGCCAACATCTTGACTACAACCTCCTGAGAGACCCTGAGCCAGGACCACCCAGCTAAGCCACTCTTGGATTCTTCACCCACAGAGACTATGAGAGATAAATGCTTATTATTTTAAGCTGCTAAGTGTGGGAGTAATTTGTTACATAGCAACAGAGGACTAATACAGTAATCATGGACTAAGTTATAATACTTAACATGTCTGAGCTCTAGCTTCCTCATATATAAAACAAAGACAATAACAGCAGGTACATCATAACACTGTGATGCGGATTAAATGAGACCCTACATCTAAGGAGCCTAGCCTAGAGCCTGCACACAGTAAATGCTCAGGAAAATGTAAACAGCCCAGGCTACCCAGCAACAGTCCACATCAGCACCCACCCCTTTTCAACCCTGTGCATAGTGAGCCATTGGGCATTCAGGGATTAGGTCAGAGGGCTAGGGAGCCAAGCAAGGACACAGAGGCAAGGGTCTGCATGGGCAAGGGTGTTGCCCACCACTCCATCATTGGGAGCTGCCCTCCAGACAAGCGCCAGAAACTCAAGGACCCCCATGGCAGGGAGGGCTTTAGAAGCCTTTATGTTCAAATCTCCCCTACTCCTCCATCAAAGCAAATGTCCTTGACCACACCCTCTGTGCATGCTAATCCCACAACCTGGAACATTCTTCTTCCAGGACCATCCCGAATACCATCCAAAAGTATCCAGGTCTCACCATAACTCCTCATAGCTTGCTCAAAGCCTTTCAGATCTCCAAGGACAAGAATCATGTCCCTCAGGTACCTTCTTTTTTCAAGCTAAATACCCCCATCTCCTCATTAATAAGCACAGAGTTGGCAAACAGCATGATGGGAAAGCAGAAACCTGAGCCAGGGTGGAAAAATGACCAGCTAGGAAGTGGCTGATGTCTTCCAGGACAACCCCAGAAGTCCAAATCACCATATCTAGACCCAGCCAGGATCAATTCTCCAGTTGTGAAGGATCTGAACAGCCTAGGAATATATTCATAAACTATATTGCTTACACAATGGAAGCCTGGTAAGATGGCTGTTTCCACATCAAAAGAGGTAAAAGCCCACTGTGCAGTGCAGGAGTCAGGCTACACCCACATGCAACAGGGGCTGAGAGCTTGAGCTCTAGGGTCAGGGCTCAGACAGGCCTGGTTCAGGTACTGGCTACAGGGTCCATGGTTAATATTCTTCTTCTTACCTCTGTGGGCTGAATTAAGGGTAATCTTAGTAACTACGCAAGAAAAAATCTTTAGAAAATTAGGATTTCACAAAGCAAACTGCTATCAGTCTTACAATCACTACATAAGAAAATTAGAAATTAGAAAATTAGGATTTCACAAAGCAAATTGCTATCAGTCTTACAATCACTACATCCCTGGTTCTCATCCAACTGGGAACCACTAGGGTGCCCAGTCAAAAGCAGATTCCTGAGTCACACTCTAAACCAAAGCATTTAGAATCTCTAAGGCTGAAGCCTAGGCATTTGTAATTTTTTTAAAGAATTCCCAAGTGGATGCTGATACACAGCCAGGGTTGAAACACAGCCAGGGTTGAAAGGCACTAGTCTACAAGTTTCCTGATCTCCTGGGAGCATAGGTCACTCAAAGCACCCATCTTGCTCTCAGATGCTGGCCTCTGCATACTTAAAATTGTACTTTATTCATGCCCTTCCAACTCTGGGGTGGTCCAGCCACAACATGGCAGGCATCCCCAAGAGGAAAATTTTCAGTTTTCAGTCTGCTAATGATAATAACATCAGCAAAAAAGCTGGGGCAGCTCCCAGGGTGCTTCCTTTGACCACAGTTTTGACAATGAGGAGCAAACTCTTCCATTTTTAGCTAACATGTTATAGATCCAAAATGTTCAAGTCTGGGGTTTCTCCAGATACCTTAAAGCAACTAGTTCTGAATCCTCACTCTGCCTCAGAATTACCTGGGAAACTTTTACAAAATAGGGCTGATTAGGTTTCAGACCCCCATCAAGAGATTTAAGTTCAGATTCAATGGTCTGTGGGGGAGTGTTGGGGAGGGGACTCTGGGTACCCTCATGTTTCCAAGACTGTCCAGGTGATTCTGATGTGCAGCCACGATTAAGAACCACTGCTACAAACTACAGTCTTGAAAACAAAACATCTCCACTCTAACGTCTTGTCACAACTTGAACTAAGGTATGTGTTGATGAGGTACCTTCCAAACTGCAGCACCCTGGGGAAAAGTCTTGGTCTGGCCTTGGCTATGCCTCTGAAGAGGAAGAAGCCCCCACCCGCCTCCCTCCTTCCAGCAGCCTGGCAAGGATCCCAGTCTCCTGGGCACATGCAGGTTCAGGGCTCACGGCAGGTGGGCTGCCCTCCTTGATGTTCGGATGAAGAATAAAGCCCTAAATGTCTAAACTGCTCCAGATCAGAGCTAAGCAGAGAACATAATCAGAAACAGCTTCAGCTGAGAACTAAGGCAACCATCACACACCTATTCTACCAAAGGGCTTCAAGAGGCAGTGATTTGATGTTGTTTTTGATTAGAAATAATGGATCATACCACATTAGAACAAAACAGAAAAAGAATGGAAGTCAGCCAATTCAAAAAAAGCAAACAAAGCTCTGTTCCCCAACCCTAATGAACACACAGACACAAGCACACACACACACACACACACACACACACACACATAATAATACAATAATACAAATAACTGCCACGTCTTCACATAAATGCTGAACAAAGCTAGTGGTACTAGTTTCCTCCTAATTTTTAGTAGACTAGGTGCCAGCTCTCGGAAGGCTTGAACACTGTGACTTTGTGTTAAGATATGCTCTTTGTCAAGTCTTAACAGTTCTGTAAGAAGAAAGGCATTAAGTTAAGAGTATTCTGGAATTCACACCCTAGTTGCAGCACTTTTTGATCTATCTCCCCAACCACACTCCTCTCCTCTGAGGTCTGAACCTCACTCACAAGGCTGGGTCCCTCAGTGTTTGCCCATGTTGACCACATACTCTTGGCCTTAGGTGACTGGACCAGCATTGGACACATGACTATGCTGGCCTGGACTGAAATCTGCTGGTCCCAGTCTGGGACGGTGACTTAAAGATCATGTAAACGTGGGCCCTTTGGAAAGGCCAAATCAGGTCAAATCAGACAAGAAAGCAGGAGAAGGAGAGGTAAAAGCGGAGCAGGAAGTAGGGACTGCCTGTGTCCTGGTGGCTCTCTGGATGCCTGAACTCACCCCATGAATTCTGTAAAGTGTCCCTTTATCCTTGTAATAAATTCCTCTTCAGCCTATTCAGCTACTTTTTTTTTTTTTTTTGACAGAGTCTCGCTCTTTTGTCCAGGCTGGAGTGTAATGGCACAATCATGGCTCACTGCAACCTTCACCTCCTGGGTTCAAGCAATTCTCCTGCCTCAGCCTCCCTATTCAGCTACTTTGAAATGGATTTTTGTTTACCTGATCTCACACGCACACACACACACACCCTGGGTAAAATAACCAAAACCTTGTTATCAATTGCCAAACATTTCCAGGAATTTTTTTAAGACCAAAATCAACTTTTTACCCTTTATTGAATATGCTGTTTCTAAAAATGTACATATGCTTTTTTTTTTTTTGACACTCACTATTTTGCTCAGGCTGGTCTCAAACCCCTGATCTCAAGCGATCCTCCCACCTAGGGCTCCCAAAGTGCCGGGATTACAGGTGTGAGCCACCACACCTGACCCATATATGCTTTCAATGTAAATATGTACATGTTTGCTTCGGCAACTGGTTTCAAAAATAGAAACAAGGCAACCACCAGAATTTGGGATGAACAAAAAGAGAACTTTCCAGAAAAATGTTCCCTCACATCACTTCTTGAAAGCAAACATTTTCAGCAGGAGGAGCCTGGGAAAAGGAATGAGGGTGTTAAGACCTGACTCTCAGGCGTGGAGTCCTGTGGGTACCAACTGCTCCCAGCCCTGCCAGAGTAGGCCAGACGGGAGACATTCTCTGGAAAATCCAAATACTGGGCTCAAAAACATGAGCACCATCAAGAATAGAATGGGGTTTAAATGGATAACATGCATTTATAGAGCCTGCAAGAGAGAAACTGAGACACTCTAACAGTGGCTGGCTAAATCCTCGCTGCCCACCCACAGCATGAATAGAAGAGTAGAAAGACAAAGTACAGACCTCCGGCTGGATAGCTTTAAACACAGGTATATCCATTAATGTAATCTGGCTCTGCAACAAAAGAGAATCAATTTTAGAAAATACTGTACATCAAAGATAACTGTCATGTTACTTTATACAGAGTCATATACACTCATAAAAGTTATACTTTCCCCTTTGAGATAAAAAACAAGACCAAATAGAGTAAAAAATTGGATACATTTCTGAAATGCCTCTCCCATCCCTTCCCCCGCTTCATAAATTCTGATCCACACCCTTCTTTCTTGAATGTGAGATGAACTTTCAATTTAGGAATTGATAAAAGTTGTTTGGGGGGTGGGCCTGGGAGAAAAGGGAACAGTTTTATTTGAAAATTTTCATACTATTTGAATTTGTATTTCAAGCATGAACTACTTTTGTAATTTTTTAAAGTTGTAGAAACAATATTTAAAATTAGAATGCTAAACAGAAACACTATTACTATAAATTAAGTTCATTTTAAAGCTGTGGCTTATAGAAATTATATTTTTCTTCTGAAGTCATTGATACTGCCCCTAAATTATATGGTAGAGTGCTATTCAAGACGCACCCACAGACCAGCACGGGACAACAAACTGTTTATTCCACCAGCCCACAATGAGAGAAGTACAGAAGCTGAGAGCAAGCATTTGGAACTTGCATAGCAATTTTTTACATGACCATGACATTTCCATTATATACATTTTAAGTATCTGTCCTCAAATTATTGCAAATGGAAAAAACTAGTCCTTCACCACAGCCGGCTTAAGATGCAGCAATGTCATCAATAGAGAAGACACACATCAGGTTAAAAGGCTGTGCCCATCATAAGAACCTCATCTGGTGACAGTAACAGGAAGCATCATGCTGACCATTTTTCAGACCAAGGCATGAACTGAACTGACTTCACGTGATCCACCTACCTCCATGTCACATGGGATGCCAGATGTCAGTTAAGAGATGCCTCTGTGACACGCCAGGGAGAGGAGAGCTGAAGACCTTTGGATGCCTTTAATGTGAGAAGACACTCTGTCCATTGAACACAGGCCATCCAGGATGACATGATACAGGGAACAAATGGGCTCTGGAGTCTACAGGGCTTGGGTGTGTGTCTGGACACTGTCACTTAACGGCAATGTTCTCTTTGACACACAATCTCTCTCAGTCAGGTACCACATCTAGAAAATGATGACAATAATCCCTATTTTATGGGATCTTGGTGAAAATTCAAGACAAGAGGTAGCGTTCCTGGCACCTGACAGATGCTCAATAAACACATAAGACAGTGTGTTTATGTGTGTGTATCTGAGTGTGTGTGTGTGTGTGTGAGTATATGGTGTGTGTGACTGTGAATGTGAGTGTAAGCGTATAAGTGTGTGTATGTGTGAGGGTGTACGTGTGTGCGTGTATATGAAAGTGTGTGTGTGTGTGTGTGAGAATGAGTGTTGAGTGTAAGGGGGTGTGTGTGTGTCAAAATGGAAGCCACACAGATGGGCTCATGTACTGGCATGTGAACTTACGGTTCCTGACCAATACATAAGCTAGCAAATAAGGGACCATTAATTTGGTTGAATATTCATGCACTGAGGTTGCTCTAAAGAACATGTTTAAAATCCACTGAGCCAGTAAAAACCCTTGTATTAAGAATATATTAGAGAAAAATGGCAACACACTCAAAGGTGGTCCAAGGTCACTGGGTTCCTGAGAAGCACGGGATACAGGCCAAAGCAGACCATCCTCAGGCAGAGTGGAGAGGAAAACATGCAGCTGGCTTCAGTGGAGAGCCTCTTTGTACTCTCCCAGGAGCGGAGCTAGTGTTCTTCATGGAAACGGGTGAGATGCTGCCACCAGCCTGGCTGAGAGGTGGGAGAGAGGACCAGGAATAAGGAAGCACTGGAGCGGAATCTGAGCTCTTCCGCCTCCAGTTTCCACCCAACACCTCTTGATGTCAAGGAGACTCTTGACATCAGCATAATGTATCTGGCCCTCATAATCTGGGTGTTGAGTGGCCAGTAAGCCCTGAAGGCCTATAGGTCTATGTTTGGCCTAGAGCTCCATGGCTCAGAACTATGTCCTGAGCAGTGCAAACAGACTGGCATTTCTTCTGCCAGATCCATCAAGATGGTTAGCCAAGTGCTTCTCATATTTGGATTAAGTCTGCCATCCTGGGGAACAGAAAGGCCTTGTAAAGACAGGAGATTTGACCTGAAAGCTCAGAGGACCTTGGAAATCTCCCCTGCACTTCAAGTTAACACCCTATCCGGGAGAACCGGCAGGATGTTTGCAATGTCATTTAGGAAAAGAACCAAACGTCTGCTAATGTGAAAATGAGAAAACTTCCTTTCCATCCTGCCACCAGTTCTAGGGTTTGCTACTGAATTTCCAGATGATTTATTAAAGCAGTGACCTTACATTTCACACTTTTTGGATGGTCCAAGTTTCAAATATTCTGCTCTCTGCTCAGACCATAAGTCAGAAAATGTGTTCAGGTGTTTTATTCAAAACAAACAACAACAGAGGTCACCAGACTTAGACTAGCTAGTCCGAAATACATAATGAGGTTTCAGAAGAATCTCTATTTCTATCCTTTCAATTCTGACCAAAAAAGATACAGTATCTAGAGCAAGGATATTTTGATACAAGATACTTACAAAGATCATCAGATTATCGATTTCATGCCATTTTACTAAAAAGCCAAACATATGTTAGAGGTCGCTGATGAGTAATCCTTCCCTGGAAGTTTGAACCCTCAAGGCCACTCAGTTTTACCAAAAAGGGGGGTGGGAAGTATGGGTAGGGGTTGGGGTAAGAGGTGAGGTCAGGTCCTGTCACACTTCATAGCCAGCTCTCGGGACCATCTCAGCGCCCTGTCCCTCCCTCAGGAGAGGTACCTTGGTTTCCTGGAGAGAAAAGGCATTTTCTAGGGGTATGTTACAGCCTCAACAGAAACATGAGACAAGGAGCCTCCCACTCTCGTTTCCAAGCAGCAAATCCGGCCAGTAGTGGGGCTGAGCGAGAACACTCGTAAGTCTCTTAATGGCCTATCCTTATTTTGAGAAATAAAGCATTAACATAGGATGTCCAGTCAAGCTAGTCACCTGGCAATGGCTTCCTTAAGCCTTCTCCCATCTCCTCCTTCCTCCTAGTCCAGGGCCCTCTAAAAACCCAGGCTTTTAAGGGAAATGCTACTTGGTTAGCCAAAAGGAAAAAAAAAAGTTTTTTGCATATGTTAAATGTAGTATTTCTCCTCTCTAACAGTGGCTGACTAAATCCTCTCTTCCCAGCCTCAACCTTAAATGTAAGGGTCTTCCAGACCCCAAATAAACAAACAAAAAAAGCTGTTGGCTTTACCCCACTCCACCAAGGCATGGCCAGGAGGGCGCACAGAACAGAGTAATCAGCTCCAAAGATCTATTCCTGCTTTGACTCACAGAACCACAGAAAGCCCGTGTCCGGCAATTTAGAAAAGAGTCAGGGGATGGGCCTAGGAACTGTTCTGTTCCTTTTGAAAATTAATCTAGCAGTAACTTATTTAAAGCTTTTTTAACTTTTCATTTTTAAAAAATGTCAAACTAGGCTGGGCACAGTGGTTCATGCCTGTAATCATAGCACTTTGGGAGGCTGAAGCTGGCGGATCACTTGAGGTCAGGAGTTCGAGACCACCCTGGCCAACATGGTGAAACCCTGTCTGTAATATGACATACAAAAATTAGCCGGGTGTGGTGGTGCATGTCTGTAATCCCAGCTACTCAGGAGGCTGAGGCAAGAGAATTGCTTGAACCCGAGAGGAGTGGGTTGCAGTGAGCCGAAATCGCACCACTGCACTCCAGCCTGGGAGTAAGTGAGATTGTCTCAAAACAAAACAGAAAGTCAAATCTACAGAAAAGTCACAAAGACAAATACTATATGACTCCACTTACATGAGGTAACTAGAAGAGTCAAAATCATGGAGTCAGAAAGTAGAGTAGTGGTTGCTGGGGGTTGGGAGGAGAGGGAATGGGGAGTTGTTTAATGGATACAGAGTTTCCATTTTGCAAGACGAAAGCAGTTCTGGAGATTGGTTACATGACACTGTGAATGTACTTAACACTGCTGAATTGTACACTGAAAAATGTTAAGATAGTAAATTTTATATTACGTATATTTTGGCACAATCAAAACGAATAAAAGAGCCACCCCAGAAGTTCTTCAATGTGACTTGTCCCAATCACAAGTCTCTCTCCCACCAAAAGTAACCATTATCCTGACTTTCTTCAAGTTTTTTAAATAATTTAATCACTCAAGTATATACACCTATACATCACAGGGTAGTCCTGTCCACTTTTTTAAAAATTTGATAAGTGCTATCTACCTACCTACCTACCTACCTACCTATTTTAGAGAGAGTGTCTTACCTGTTGTCCAGGCTTGAATGCAGTGGTGTGATCATACCTAGTGAGCTAACCTCAAAATTCTGGGTTCAAGTGATCCCTCCTGCCTCAGCCTCCTGAGAAGCTACAACTACAGGTATAAGCCACCATGCCCAGCTAACTTTTTAATTTTTTGTAGAGATGGATTCTAGCTCTGTTGCCCAGGCTGATCTCTAACTCCTGGCCTCAAACAATCCTCCCACCACAACCTCCCAAAGTGCTGGGATTACAGATGTAAGCCACCATGCTCAACCTGATACATACTTTTTGTTTGTTTTGAGATGGAGTCTCGCTCTGTCGCCCAGGTTGGAGTGCAGTGGCGCAATCTCGGCTCACTGCAACCTCCACCTCCTGGGTTCAAGCGATTCTCCTGCCTCAGCCTCCTGAGTAGCTGGGACTACACGTGTGCGCCACCATGCCTGGCTAATTTTTGTATTTTTAGTAGAGACAGGGTTTCACCATATTGGCCAGGCTGGTCTCAAACTCCTGACCTTGTGATCCGCCCACCTCAGCCTCCCAAAGTGTTGGGATTACAGGTGTGAGCCACTGCCCCAGCCGATATGTACTTTTAAAATCTCTTTTAATCTACAAATATTCTCTCCATCCCTTTATATTCCTTGTAATACATCTGCTGAAGAATCCAAGCCATAAGTTCTCCACACTTATGGAACAGGTCAATGTGTTCTTCCATTCTTGGTATGTCTGCAAATCAGCAGCTGGACCCAGGGACTTCATCAGACACAGGTGCATCCCTTTGGCAAGACCGCAGGTGGCGGCACACTGCTTCATCAGGAGGCACACAATGGCTCTCCTTTTGTAATGTTAGTGGCTATTGATGTTCACTGCTTAGATATTTTCATTCACTGGGGTTACAAAATGATGATATTCCAATTCTTTCATTTCTTTTCCTTTTCTTAACTGAATAATTTAATAGACACTTTCCCTCATCTACTGTTTGGTTATCCAGTGTAGTTTGTTCAAAAGTAAAAGGTAGGACAAATGCTTGATTCTTTCCTCATATTTACCAGTTTTTAAGATTATAAACTGCCCCATTATCATCAAAAGGTGACCCATTGCTTGATGAGTTTCAATCATTTGCAATTATTATCCTTTTGAAGCTCAAATTGTGCCATGATGGGGCAATGGGAGCTTCTTCTACCTAGCTCTTGAGTCCGTTTGCCACAAACCCTCCTATTCCTTGACAGCTTCCTCACTGGGTACTGGGAAGATGTACCAGGCTCATCTTGAACATGTCCTTTCCCAGGCTTGGAATCAACCAGTTCTCCGGAAGCCATGGGTTCTTTTAGTAAGAAATGCTATTTCAAGACCACAATGCAGAATTCATACTAATATTTCCAATTCAAATTCAGGGCATTTTTAAAAACTTACTTAACCTCTTCTGTATTACATCTGTATCTCCTTTCTTCTATTTTGAAAATCTTGGTCTCAAGGACATAGAGTATACTAGCATTCCAGAATCCCGTAAGTTTTCATTTACTTTATCCTATAGTCATACTATATCTACCATCTGGGCATACATTCATTACAAACTATACCCTCTACCTTTAACCCTCATTCAGTCTTAATTCCACAAGTAATTGCATGTTTACTGCTCTCTGTCTTTATAGTGATGGTTCTCTCATTATGTTCATTATCTAAGATTCATTCTCTCATAGATTCCTCAGGAAGGGCTCAGGGGAATAAAATTCTGAGGTCTTTGCATGTTCACAACAGTTTGTTTGTGTCCTTTATACTTTAAAGTCAGTCTTGCTGGATATATTATAAATTCTTTGGCTCACTTTTTCTTTCTTTCCTTAATTATGTAGTTCCATTTCCTTTTGGAAAAAACATGTTTCTGTCAAAAAAGACTGATGGTAATCTAATCATTTCCTGTATATGTCATTTGCTGTTTTTGCCTAAATGCCCAAATAATTTTTTTTCCTTTAAAACCCAGTAGTTTGTAAAAAAAAAAATATGTCTTTAGTATTGACCATTTAGGGTTGACATTCTCGGCTTCATGGTGTGTTCTTTCAATATGCGGTTTCAAATCTTTTTTTTTTTTAAATATCATGAACATTTTCCTAAATTTTAGTTTTAATTATTTGTGAAGTTCCCTTGCCTTTTTGTTCCCTGCTTTCAGGCATTCCTATTGTCTGTATGTTGGATGTTCCTTGGCTATCATGAATATTTGTCACTTTTTCCCAAAGTCTTATTCTTTCTTCATTTATTTTCATGTGAAAAAGTTTCCTCCCTTAGGCATTTTCTGTTATGTTTATGTGTTCCTGTGTTCCTTCTAGTTCAATCTTCATTTCCAAAAGAATTCTTTTATTTTTAAGTCTTCCCTAAGTTCTGTCATCTCATTTCTGAGATTTTTGTATTTCTGATTTATGTTCTTCATGTGTGATCTTAACATCTCTTAGCTCATTTAAAAATAAACAGTTACAGGTTTTGTCTGTTTTTGTGGCATGCTTTCATTGTCTATAGGGATTCTTGTCTCTTTTTTTGTACAATAACTCTGAATGAGATTTGACAGCAATAATTTCCTGTTGCTTATGTTTATGCAAAATTAGTTTTCCTGAGCTTTTACAGGGCAATATGGTTCAGAGTACCTTTTCTAACTTCACACAGCTGTTTTAGGTTGCTTTCATGTAGTGTTCAACACCATAGCCACTATTTCTTGAGATTTCTCTCTCTCACTCACACACATACACACACACACACACTCTTAGATCATCTTTTGCCACAACTATCTCTATCTTTTCTGATCATTTTGACTCCACTCCCTAC